>NC_000005.10:138803680-139452659 GCF_000001405.40 Homo sapiens
CAAGACTGTCTTCAAATCAAATGGTATTTTTTCAAGGAGGCCTACCTTGATCCCCCTATTTTAAATTGTATCTTACATCCCTTTTCTCTCTGTCCTCCTTTCTGTCACTGCCCCCGACCCTACTCCAGTACTATTGTTTATTGTCTTTCTCTCCCACTAGAATGTAAGTTCCCTGGAGCCCGGGATTTTTTCCTGGCCTGGTTGGTTAATTTCCTGGAGCATTTAGAATAGTGCCTGGCTGATAGAAGGTGATCAGTAAGCATGTTTTGAAAGAGGCATGAATGCTCTTGAAGATTGCTGTTGAATAGGTGAATACTGATGAAACACAATGAAGACCTTTTCTCTGTCTTCTGATCTTGTTTTACCTAGAATTAATCATTTCTACCAACCCTATTTTGTCTCCTAGTGCTTGCTGCAAGGCACTGAACTAGGCATTTTACAAGGTATCTTAATTGACACTCACAGCAGGTATTCTACACATCGTGCAGAGGAGGAAACAGAATCATAAAGTCTAGTTGCATAGCTGGCAAGTGGCAAAGCCAAAACTTAGGCCTATATCCAGCTCCAGAGCCTGTGCTCTTTCATGTTACTGCATTCAATACTGGTTTTTTTTCCTTTGTGTTTTTTGAGCTATAACTCAACATACATAAAATTCATCATTTTAAAGTGCACAATTCAGTGGTTTTTAGTATATTATTAGGTTGTGCAGCCATCACCACTGTGTAGTTTCAGATGTTTTCATCATCCTAGAAAGAAACCTAGTTTTACCTGTTGGAAGTTAGTCCTCATTCTTACCTGCTTCCCACTGCCCAGCAAGCATTACCTTCTGTCTCTATGGATTTGCCTGTTGTGGCAAATGGCGATTTCATATAAAGGGAACAATACAGTATTCTTTCACTTAACATATGTTTTGAAAGTTCATCCATGTTGCACATGTATCAGCACTTCATTTTTTCTTACGGCTAAATACTGGATAATGCCACATTTTGTATGTCTGTTTTTCAGTTGGTAGATGTTTGGGTTCTTTCTGCTTTTTCAGCTGTTATGAATAGTGACACTAAGTATTCATGTACAGGTTTTTAGTTGTGTAGCTATGTATTAGGTTGGTGCAAAAGTAGTTATGGTTTTGGCCATTTAAAAAAAAGGTGATGAAAACTGCAATTACTTTTGCACCAGCTTATATTAGTCCGTTCTCACATAGCTATAAAGAAATACCTGAAACTGGGTAATTTATAAAGAAAAGAGGTTTAATTGGCTCAAGGTTCTGGAGGCTGTACAGAAAGCATAGTGTCTTCTCCTTCTGGGGTGGCCTCAGGAAGCTTCCAATCATGGTGGAAGGGAAATGGGGAGCTAGGCATCTAACATGGTGGGGAGGAGCAAGAGAGGGGGTGGGAGAGGTGTCACACACCTTTAAACAGCCAGATCTCATGAGAACTCATTCACCATCACAAGAACAGCACCAAGAGGTTGGTACTAACCCATTCATGAGAAACCACTCTTATGATCCACTCATCTCCCACCAGGCCCCACCTCCAACATTGAGAATTACAGTTTGACATGGGATGTGGGCAAGGACACAGATCCAAACCATATCCACCTAGCAGTGGAATTACTGAGTCATATGATAACATTTAACCCTTTGAGGAACTGCCAGACTGTCTTCCAAAGTAGCTGCACCTTTTTACATTCCCAGCATTGGGGTATGAGAGTTCTAATTTCCTCATATTCTTGCCATTTGCTATTATCTGCCTTTTTTATTATAGCCATCCTAACTAAGTACAAAGTGATATCTTTGTGTGGTTTTGATTTGTATTACCTGATGGCTAGTGAGGTTGAGCATCTTTTCATGTGCTTGTTGGCCATTTCTAAATCTTCAGACAGGCACCTGTTTAAATCCTTTGCCTATTTTAAGTTGGATTATTGGTCTATTTTTGTTTGTTTGTTTGTTTTTAAAGAAGCCAGGTCTTGCTATGTTGCCCAGGCTAGATGCTAACTTCTGGGCTCAAGCAGTCCTCCTGCCTCAGCCTCTCAAGTAGCTAGGACTGCAGACACATGCCACTGCAGCCAACTTAAAAAAAAAAATTATTTAGTATAAGAGTTCTTTATATATTCTGGATACTAGATCCTTATAATTTGCAGAAATTTCCTTTCATTTGTGGATTGTCTTTTTACTTTCTTGGTAGTGTTCTTTGAAGCACAAAATTTTAAATTTTTTTGATGATGTCAAACTTACCTGTTTTTTGTTCTGTTGTTTGTACTTTTGGTGTCATAGCTAAGAAACCATTGTGAATCAGAGGTCATGAAGACTTACACCAGTGTTATCTTCTAAGTGTTTTATAATTTTAGCTCTAACATTTAGGTTTTGATAAATTTTGTAAGTATATGGTGTGAGATAGGGGTCCAACTTAATTCTTTTGCATATTGCACTTGTCCTAGCACCATTTGTGGACAAGACCATTCTTCATTGAATATTCTCGGCACTCTTGTTAAAATCAGAATATATTTCTGGATTCTCAAAGTTGATTGATCTCTATGTTTACATTTGTTTTGGTTGACCAGTTTTCTCTTACAAGTCTGGCCTTCTTGTTTTTGACAGTCTTGGTTCTCTTCATTGTTTCTTTTATTGCAGAATCTTCCTCTCCTTACTCTGCTGTCCACAGTCTCGAGGGTCCTAACTTTTTTTTTTTTCTAAATCTTTCCCAACTCATGTGTTTTCATACATCTCTGGCTTTCTTCTCCCGCTCAGAAAGGCCCTAGCTTGCAACCTTTAAATAATGTACTGTGCTTAATCAAAGGTGATCAGATCTTTTGACCCCTGCCTTTGTAATTTACTACTACTCTCTTCTGGGCTCTCACTGTAGCTTTCTGATCCATCTCTCTGGTTAGGTTTATTGTATGTACTTTAGATAGGTTAATCCTCTTTACTTTGACTTCACTCTGGTTGAGGGAATTGAATTCTGTTTGTCTCTGGCCTTTCTACTCCCATCTTCTGCTTCTTCTAAGCATATCCCTTACTCCTCAGTTAGACTAGATAATTCAGACTAGATATTATGCCTCTAAGCCTAATTAATATATGAATTATATATTAATATATAATATACAAGCCTTATTGTATACCTCAGCATGATAAGTGGTTCTACAAAGAGCATAAATACTGGCATTACAAATCCTGACTCTGCCATTTACTAGTTAGGTGGCAGGGATTTAGTTAGTTAATCTGTATAAGCTTTAGTTGCATTATTTGTAAGCAAAGGCTAATACCACTTACTCTCTAGGTGGGTGACAGAATTTTAAAAATATGTGTAGTGCCATAGAGTAGATGTTGGACTTTTTTTTTTTTTTTTTTTTGAGACAGACTCTCGCTTTGTTGCCCAGGCTGGAGTGCAGTGGCGCAATCTCGGCTCACTGTAACCTCCGCCTCCTGGGTTCAAGTGATTTTCCTGCCTCAGCCTCCCGAGTAACTGGGATTACAGGCACCTGCCACCATGTCTGGCTGTTTGCATTTTTAGTAGAGATGGGGTTTCACCATATTGGCCAGATGGGTCTTGAACTCCTGACCTCAAGTGATCCACCGGTCTCAGCCTCCCAAAGTCCTGGGATTATAGGTGTGAGCCACTGCACCCAGCCAGTGTTGGACATTATTATGTTACTGTTCCTTCTGCTTGAGGTGGTAACTCCCTTAACTCTGCTGCCCACATCCTTCCTCTCCTTTGAGGGATGGGTTCATTTCAGAGTACCAAGCCTTCCATAAAGCTGTTGCTGGTATTCATTTCTTCCCTAAACTAGTTGTTAGTGCTTCCTCCTTTGAATTCCCATGACACCTTGTGTTTTCTTTCTTACAGCTTGTATGTTAAAATGCCACATAATTTCTTAATGGTCAAATCCATCTTTTCTGGATAAATTATTTGAAGGCAGGGATGTTATGTTCAGCTTTGTGTTTTGGAAGTGGATTTGTTTGTTTTTAGTGTGTAGTAAGTGCTAAATTAGGTGAAGTTCTGCTTATTATATAGGGTCAACATCTCTTGCTTATTCTCTCTTGTTTGGTAGTAATATTGTTTAAGACAGTATTTATATATATATATTTGAGATGGAGTTTCACTCTTGTTGCTCAGGCTGGAGTGCAGTGGCGTGTTCTCGGTTCACTGCAACCTCCGCCTCCCAGGTTCAAGTGATTCTTGTGCCTCAGCCTCCCGAGTAGCTGGGAATACAGGTGCCTGCCACCACACCTGGCTATTTTTTTGTATTTTTTTAGTAGAGACGGAGTTTCACCATGTTGGCCAGGCTGGTCTCAAACTTCTGACCTCAGGTGATCCACCCACCTCAGCCTCCCAAAGTGCTGGGATTACAGGTGTGAACTACCGTGCCCAGCCTAAGACATTATTAATATATTTTTAAGGCAAATATCTCTTTCTGCATGGCTTTTCAGATAAATTCTTCCCTGAGTAAATAGTTTTCTTCAGCGTATTTCCAGAGCACCTTGTTCACAAGGCTATTTAATTTTTGGGTGCATTGTAATACTCTATAATTTGTGAACCCTTTGAGACCAAATGCCGTGTCTTAACCAGTTGTTAATTTTTTGTCTCCCTCCTTCCCTCCATAGAGCTCCAGTAGGGTATGCCCTTGATGTGCGATGGGTGCTCAAACATTTGTTGAACAAATAAAAGAATGAATGATCTCCATCTTTTAAAATACCAGAAGATACTAGCATTAATGTTACGAATCCACATAATGATTGCCATATGTCTGTATCTTCCTGAAGATGTAAGAGAGAAGACTGTGTTAGATCCAGGAAAACCTTTTAACTATATAATTCATTGGAAGTTTTTTTCTGGCCTGACAAATATGTGGAGCGTATCTTTACTCTTAGAATTATACAGTGCTTCTAAGCCTAATTAATATATGCATGTGAGGCAATTTTTCCCCCCTCTTCTGCTTGTGTTGTGCATCCAAAGATGATAGCTAGGAGAAATTTGATAGGTCTGTTGAGAAATAGCTAGTCTTCTTGAAAGTGCCTTAAAAAAAAAAAATTCAGGGAAGACATGAGAGTGTGAATGGGTTTTAGGCTTTAATGTGAACTGAAGTGGGCTTGCTTAGCCAAAGGAGGGAGTAATTGCTTTTCCAGGATTCCAAAGATAGTCTCCATAGAGGCCCTATTTGTATAACCAGTGGACAAGACACAACACTGGCCCTTTAGTTGCTTCTAGCTGTAAGAAAAGAGTGGCAATGGGCACTGTAAATAATTTTAAGACACAAATGACAGAAAGTATAAGTTTCACAAGTTTCTAGGAAATGTTATAAATTATTTTTAAAAATTTTTTTAAAGAGACAGGGTCTTGTTCTATCACCCACGCTAGAGTGCAGTGGTGCAATCATGGCTCACTGCAACCTCAAACACATGGGCTCAAGAGATTCTCCTGCCTTGGCCTCACAAAGCGCCGAGATTGCTGGTGTAAGCCACCATGCCCAGCCTATAAATAAATTCTTGAGCTCAGGATTGTATAAGTTGGATATTCCTATAAGCTATAGTAAAATCTATTTTATATGTTTTTAGCTAGTTTTTAAAAAATTATAGATACAATACCTCTTCATTATAGAAACTTTTTATAAGTACGAAATGTAAAGAGGCCGTGTGTAACCCAATGATAACTATTATTTGCCTTTTGACTCCAGTCTTTCCTCTGTATTTAAAAAGAAGCATACATTTATGATTTCATTTGTTTCTGCTTAACATTTTTCATATATATAAATATTTTCATAATAGTCAATTGTAGGCCATACCATAATTTACTTAACTAGATGCTTATTGAGCATGTGAGCTTTTGGTAGTGTTCTGTGAAGGAAATGAATGAATCAATGGCTGAGCTCTGTATTTTCACATACCAGTGAGTCTCTGTTATGGCTGTACACATCATGTAGTTGGGATGATTAATGAAGTGTGGTGGTTCTGCATAATTGTGGCCCTGTTTCTGTATTCTATGGATGTGAGAGTAGATTTTATTAGATATGTTTTTTCTCCTGTTCAAATCTTGAATTTTTCTTTTTTTTGGATACATATAATGCCCTTTTTTTTTTAAAGGAACATTATTAGATCAAAGGGAAATATTTTTAAGCCTCTTGATATATAGTGCCAAGTCACTTTCCAGATATTTTGCTTTCACCAGCAATATATGAAGGTGCTTTTTTTAGTGATAGCTATAAAACAAACAAAGGAACAGCAAACAACAACAAAAATGAAAACTCTTAAACTAAATTTGTGCATGAAATATACAAAGTTTGGATTATTTTTATATTTTTAAAAATGTAGATCAGTTATTTGAGTTCATTCTTGCTGAGTTTGTTTTTCATTCTGTAAAACAGGTGATTTGATGAAGGCTGCTGCAGGAGAGTTCGCAGATGATCCCTGCTCTTCTGTGAAGCGAGGCAACATGGTTCGGGCAGCTCGAGCTTTGCTCTCTGCTGTTACCCGGTTGCTGATTTTGGCTGACATGGCAGATGTCTACAAATTACTTGTTCAGCTGAAAGTTGTAAGTATACAGGCCTATGTCTGTAATTTGTTCTATCACAGGAAGATTGCTACTGGCCTTCCTTAGTTCAGTATTCCTTAGGATTTAGTTTGGTTTTGAATTTGGTTTATCTCAATGGACCAGAGATGTTTTTGTTTAATTTCCACTTACTCCTCTATTCCAAGTATATATCATCCTGGCTCTGTTCTGAGCCAGTGTTGTCTTGGCTGTAATGAAGAACTTGTAGCAAAGATACTGTTTTGACTCCTTCCCTTTTTCCAGTAATGATTAAATATTTTCCTTGTAGAGTTCTGGAGTTGAGAAACCAAGATACATTAAATTTTGTACTTTTATTTATTTATTTATTTTTTCCATTTAACCCTGAGTGGACACAGCACATGTTTCAGAGAGCACAGGGTTGGGGGTAAGGTCACAGATCAACAGGATCCCAAGGCCGAAGAATTTTTCTTAGTACAGAACAAAATGAAGTTTCCCATGTCTACTTCTTTCTACACAGACACGGCAACCATCCGATTTCTCAATCTTTTCCCCACCTTTCCCCCCTTTCTATTCCACAAAACCGCCATTGTCATCATGGCCCGTTCTCAATGAGCTGTTGGGTACACCTCCCAGACGGGGTTTCGGCCGGGCAGAGGGGCTCCTCACTTCCCCAGTAGGGGCGGCCGGGCAGAGGCGCCCCTCACCTCCCGCACGGGGCGGCTGGCCGGGCAGGGGGCTGACCCCCCCACCTCCCTCCCGGACGGGGCAGCTGGCCGGGCAGGGGGCTGACCCCCCCACCTCCCTCCCGGACGGGGCGGCTGGCCTGGCGGGGGCTGACCCCCACCTCCCTCCCGGACGGGGTGGCTGCCGGGCGGAGACGCTCCTCACTTCCCAGACGGTGTGGTTGCCGGGCGGAGGGGCTCCTCATTTCTCAGATGGGGCGGCTGCCGGGCGGAGGGGCTCCTCACTTCTCAGATGGGGCGGTTGCCAGGCGGAGGGTCTCCTCACTTCTCAGACGGGGCGGCCGGGCAGAGACGCTCCTCACCTCCCAGATGGGGTCGCGGCCGGGCAGAGGCGCTCCTCACATCCCAGACGGGGCGGCGGGGCAGAGGCGCTCCCCACATCTCAGACGATGGGCGGCCGGGCAGAGACGCTCCTCACTTCCTAGGTGGGATGGCGGCCGGGAAGAGGCGCTCCTCACTTCCCAGATGGGATGGCGGCCGGGCAGAGACGCTCCTCACTTTCCAGACTGGGCAGCCAGGCAGAGGGGCTCCTCACGTCCCAGACGATGGGTGGCCAGGGCAGAGACGCTCCTCACTTCCCAGACAGGGTGGCGGCCGGGCAGAGGCTGCACTCTCGGCGCTTTGGGAGGCCAAGGCAGGTGGCTGGGAGGTGGAGGTTGTAGCAAGCCGAGATCACGCCACTGCACTCCAGCCTGGGCACTGTTGAGCACCGAGTGAACCAGACTCCGTCTGCAATCCCGGCACCTCTGGAGGCCGAGGCTGGCGGATCACTCGCGGTTAGGAGCTGGAGACCAGCCCGGCCAACACAGCGAAACCCCGTCTCCACCAAAAAAATACGAAAACCAGTCAGGCGTGGCAGCGCACGCCTGCAAATCGCAGGCACTCGGCAGGCTGAGGCAGGAAAATCAGGCAGGGAGGTTGCAGTGAGCCGAGATGGCAGCAGTACAGTCCAGCTTCAGCTCGGCATCAGAGGGAGACCGTGGAAAGAGAGGGAGAGGGAGACCGTGGGGAGAGGGAGAGGGAGGGGAAGGGGGAGGGAATTTTGTACTTTTAGAGGCCAATATTAGTGTTTTTCCCACTATGAAGCTCCTGTGTAATTGCTGTTTAAATGTTAGAAGACCATGCGCAAACTCGAGAGCTAAGTTTGGGTTGCTTTTTGAGTAGTTGTTAACAGGAATGAAAATTCCTAGGATGCCATCTTCTTTACAGACCTACATTCAGAATTTTTGGGTTTTGGGGTCTTTCTTATTTTATAGGTGGAAGATGGTATCTTGAAGTTGAGGAATGCTGGCAATGAACAAGACTTAGGAATCCAGTATAAAGCCCTAAAACCTGAAGTGGATAAGCTGAACATTATGGCAGCCAAAAGACAACAGGTACAGTCATGATTTGGGGATATATTAAAGTTGTTCATTTTACTATCTAGAGGGAAAAACTCATTCTGTGTGTTTTCTGAAAGTACCATTACTTACCTTCGCCAATATAGTTCCATTAAAACATTTAAACTAAGGTGTCTTTTCAGTATTGTGCTGTTAATAAAGTTGTAATTACATTGCATTCATGTTATGCTCCTATTTTAATTCTTGTGAACATTTTATCTTAAGTAGCTTGACAACTTGTGATGAAGGTAGTGTCTGGAGAGGTAATAGGTCTTTGTGTATTTAAGGATTAACCTGAATTAGTGGTGCAGTTTTGTTCAGATTTTTAATAAAATCTTAATCCATTTAAATATACTGGAATTATCTCTGTATCAGAAAGTATCTCCATACCTTGCCCCACCAGCCCCGTGTCTTGTTACTTTTTAACTGTTTCTTATTGTTATTAGTATTTTCCATTGTGTGGCATGAGGATCAGTGTTAACTTTTCCAAGCTCCAGTAGCCCTTTGACCCTTCGGCATTTTCACTGTTGGTGTGCTTTGAAACCCTTCCTGTGCCCTTGCTGTTGGACGCTGTGTATTTCAGGTGTATATTCTTCAAGGAAGATCCATATATTGCTATCCATCTTCTTATATCTTTCATAGTCCTGATCAAGCTTACGCTTTACATTCTTACTTTAAAACAAGCCCCAAGAAGAATAGTTGTTGTTAGCTAGTACCTTTATCAGTTAGGATACTTTGCACTGGAGTTTGCAGAAAACCCAGCTCCCAAACTGCTTGAAAAATGGGGGATTTATTTTCTCATTAAGTATAAGTCCTGAGTTAGGCTAAGTGACTTCAGGGTTGTTAAATATAAGGGCTTTGCAGTATCATCAAGGATCCAGGTTCTTGATATTTTTCATCACTATCGTCTTCAGTGTGCCTGGCACTGGGTGGCTGCAGAGGCTCTTTGCATGACATCTGCACATAATATGTCCAGTGAGAACAAAAAGGACTGTTCCTTCCATATGTCTCTCTTTATAAGCAAACAATCTAGAAGCTCCTAGTAGACTTGTCCTAAATCTGAATTGTGCAACATGCCTATTCCTCAGTTATCCCTGGCAAGAGGAAAGGAGTCTGCCTGACTCAGAATAATCCAGATCCACCTTCTGCTCTGGGTTAAGGGGTAGCTTTCCTGAGGACAGAAACACCCGACAAAAGGTCTGACAGGTAGTAGAAAGTTGGGTTGGGAGTAGTGGGAGTAGGGAATGGATTTGGGTAGGCAACGTGCTATGACTGCTATAGACTTTTTTCATTACAGCAAGATGGTTGTCAGTAAACACATAAAAAAATTTTTTTTGAGGCAGGAGATCTCACTCTGTTGCCCAGGTTGGAGTACAGTGGTGGCATCATGTAACCTCGATTTCCCCAGGCTCAGGTGATCCTCCCACCTCAGCCTCCTGAATAGCTGAGACTATAGGCACAGGACACCACACCCGGCTAATTTTTGTACTTTTTGTAGATACAGGATTTTGTCATGTTGCCAGGCTGGTCTTGAACTCCTGGGCTCAAGAGATCCTCCTACCTCTGCCTCCCAAGGTACTGGGATTACAGGCATGAGCCACTGTGGCTAGCTAAATGCTATTAAAGTCTAATATATGACAGCTTCTTTTCTGGGGGCTTCTTAGTCATTTGGTTATATTTACATTAGTATTAAAAATCTATGCCATAGGGTTGAGAGGATTCAAATAAATAATATATGTACAGTGTTTAATATAGTGCCAGGCACTAAGAAGGCCCTTCTCAGTAGGCAGTTGGTGAATAATAGTTTATTGCTTATATTTCAAGTCATAAGATGTGATCAGACTAACTTATATATGAGATCCTGGTTTTGCATTTCTAGTACTTAAGATTATACATGGTAATATAGCTAGGTTGGTATACCCAAGTTAGTGTAGGCTCAGTGTGCTTTTTTTTTTTTTTTGAGATGGAGTTTCGCTCTTGTTGCCCAGGCTGGAGCGCAATGGTGCAATCTCGGCTCACCACAACCTCCGCCTCCCGGGTTCAAGTGATTATCCTGCCTCAGCCTCCCGTCAGTGTGCTTTTATAATTTATTTTTGTATTGGCTTAGTCTCCATCATATAAATTATAAGTATCTTTTCTTTTTGCTGGAGCTAATTGATCCTGAGAAGAACTTGTTTAATAGAATGGTAATCCTATAAATGTGGCAAGCCGGCCAAATTACATTCACAATTTATTTTAATTAATGGGTTTGATACAAATTCTCTTTTGAATATGTGAAGTAAATATTAAGTTATATTTAAAAGATACAATTTGGCAAATAGTCCTACTGGTTTAAAACGTAGTCTGAGCTTGGTTTATGAAGACTGACTGTTATTTAGACAAAATAAACATTAAGATTGCCACTATTGTGCATCATTGCAAAATGGCGGAATAAGTAAATAGATGGGTTTTTTTTTGTTTTTTTTTGTGGTGGACTCACATTCTGTCGCCCACGCTGGAGTGCAGTGGTGCGATCTCGGCTCACTGCAACCTCCACCTCCTGGGTTCAAGCTATTCTCTTGCCTCAGGCTCCCGAGTAGCTGGGACTATAAGCGCCTGTCACCACACCCAGCCAATTTTTGTATTTTTAGTAGAGACGGGGTTTCACCATCTTGGCCAGGCTACTCTTGAACTCCTGACCTTGTGATCCACCTGCCTCGGTCTCCCAAAGTGCTGGGATTACAGGCATGAGCCACCACACTCTGTCTGGAATTTTGTATGCTATTCAAGAAACTTACTAGAAAGTAATGCTACCTGAGTTGTTTTTTTTCTTTTTTCCAAAGCCAAATACTTCTCAATGCCTAAGTTTTAATACCATGTTCCATGGATCTGTGAAGAGTTCCTTGAACATAATCCCTTATGTATTTTTTTCATGTGTTTTTTTTTGAAAGTAGTAGCAAATGCCAAAGTTTTCTGAAATAAGATGTCACAGAAATATTGGAATTATTATATACATGCTGGATAATCTTCTGTTTGCCCTTCCATATTGTTTCCCACCCTTGTTTACCCTATTCTCTGCCCCAGGAACCTAACCTGCCTGGATTTCATTTGTGGGCTCCTGCTTGGGCTTGGTGAGTGGGAGCACCAGCAGGAGGTCAAAGGAGATAGAGTGATGCTAGGGTGTTACTCTTAGGCCTCTTTCCTGCTGGGTGCCCTGGGTTGCTAAAAGTGATGGCATTCTCTACACATCTTGCTCCCTGGTTTTGGTAACTGCTGCCTCCTCTTGTCCCTTCATTCCTAAGTGTCCTACCAGCTTTGTAGTTTTTCTGTATTTTGTCCATACCTATGTATGATAGTATAGTCTCTAAACTGCCTTTGAGTCACCCGATTTGATTTTATTCTATTTTTTTCTGCCAGAATTTTGAATGATACGTATTCGCATTTTCTTGGGTTTATAGTAAGTCATGAGTCATTTGTAGTTTTCCTTGGGCCTAAGTTTTTAGCCTTAGCCTCCTGAAAGAGAATTCACTGAGTAGACTGGTTGTGGGCTCCTGTGTACCCCCGTTCACAAAATGGTCTTTTATAGGCTTGGGCCTTGGTGTATATTCCAGTAGACGAATGCTTTTCTTGGAAATTAAACAAATACTAATTTTGTCCTAAGGGCCCAGCCTGATGGAAACTTCATTATTTCTTTTGGGCACTGTCCATTGGCCTCCTTCAGTAGAATTTATTCCTCCTATTTAACTGTATATTTGTATCTGATAACTAACCTTTGGCTACCCACCTCTCCGCACTACCCTTCCTCACTTCTATGAGTCAACTTCTTAAGCTTCCATGTAAGTGAGAACATGTGGTATTTATCTTCCTGTGCCTGGCTTATTTGACTTACCATAGTGTTTTCTGAGGTCATCCATGTTTCCATGAATGACAGAATTTTGTCTTTTTTAAATGGCTAAATAGTATTCCATTGTGAATATATGCCACATTTTGTCTGTTGATGGACACTTAGGTTGATTCCATATCTTGGCTATTGTGAATAGAGCTGCAGTAAACACAGGAATGCATGTCTCTCTTTGACTTACTGATTTCCTTTCCTTTGGATACCCAGTAGTGGGATTGCTGGATCATATGATTGGTCTATTTTTAGTTTTTTGAGGAAATTCCATACAATTTTCCATAATGGCTGTACTGATTTACATTCCCACCATCAGTGTATAAGAGTGTTCCCCTTTCCCTGCATTCCCACCAGCATTTTTTTTCCTTTCGTTTTGCTAATAGCCATTCTAATTAGAATGAGATGATAACCTCTTGGAGGTTTTGATTTGCTTTTCTCTGATGATTAGTGATGTTGAGGATCTTTCCATATACCTGTTGGTCATTTGTATGTCTTCTTTTGAGAAATGTATGTTTAGCTCATTTGTCTTTTTTTTTTTTAAGACAGAGTTTTAGTGTGTCACTCAGGCTGGAGTGCAGTGGTGCAATCTCGACTCACTGCAACCTCCACTTCCCAAGTTCAAGCAATTCCTGTCTCAGCTTCCTGAGTAGCTGAGACTACAGGCATGCGCCACCATGCCCAGCTGATTTTTGTATTTTTAGTAGAGTCAGGTTTTCACCATGTTGGCCAGGCTGGTCTCGAACTCCTGGCCTCAAAAGTGATCCACCTGCCTTGGCCTCCCAGAGTGCCTGGATTACAGGTGTGACCCACCGTGCCCGGCTACATTTGCCCATTTTAAAATCAGATTATTTGAGTTTTTGCTGTTGAGTTGTTTGAGTTGTTTGTATATTCTAGATATTAATCCCTTATCAGATGAATAGTTTGCACATATTTTCTCCTGTTCTTCAGGTTGGCTCTTCACTCTGTTGATTATTTCCTTTGTTGTGCAGAAGATTTTTAGTTTATATAATTCCGTTTGTCTGTTTGAATATAACATTCCATTTTTTCCTGGCCTGTAGCGTTTCTGCATAGAAATCTGCGTTATTCTAATGGGAATTCCCTTTTATGTGACTTGATGCTTTTCACTTGCTGTCTTTAGAATTTTATCTTTGTCTTTTGACTTTTGACAATTTGACTATAATGTGCCTTGGGTGTATAACTACCCACTAATTATAACTACTTTTTTGATTCAATCTCTTTGGGGACTTTTTGGGCTTTTTGGATCTGTATGTCCATATCTCTCCCCAGACTTGGGAAGTTTCCAGCTATTATTTAATTAAATAGGTTTTCTATGCCTTTTCTTTTCTCCTTCTGGAATTCCCATGATGGGAATATTGGTTGATTTAATGCTATCCTATAAGTTTTGCAGGCTTTCTTCACTCTTTTTCATTGTTTTTTGTTTGTTTGTTTTTCCTCTGGGTAATTTCAAGCTACCTATCTTCAAGTTCTGAGATTTTCTTTTTCTTGGTGAAATCTTTTGAAACTTTCTATTGTATTTTTTATTGAATTCTTCGTTGTTTTCACCATTAAATTCTTTAGCTGCATGATTTCTGTTGGTTCTTCTTCATGCATTCTTTTTGTTGAATTTCTCATTTACATCCTGATTTTGGTGAATTTTCTATTTGTATTTTATTGTATCTCTTTGAGGTTCCTTAAGATAATTATTTTATTTTATCTTTTTGAGACAGACTTTCGCTGTCATCTGTTGCCCAGGCTGGAGTGCAGTGGCATGATCTTGGCTCATTGCAACCTCCACCTCCCAGGTTCAAATGATTCTTGAGCCTTAGCCCCGTCCCTGCGCCCCCGCCCCCACAACCAAGTAGCTGGGATTACTGGTGTGAGCCACTGCATCTGGGCCTAGATTTTAAATTCTTTTTCTGGCAGTTTGTTGATTTCCCCCTTTTTTTTCCTTTTTCTTTTTTTTTTTTTCAGACAGGGTCTTGCTCTGTCGCCCAGGCCAGAGTGCAGTGGCATTTTCTCGGCAGTCTCAAGTGATCCTCCCATCTCAGCCTCCCAAATTGCTGGGGCTACAGGCATGCCATATCCAGCTTTTTTTTTTTTTTGGGAGCGGGGGTGGGTAGAGATAGGGTCTTGTTACGTTGTCCAGGCTGGTCCCGAACTCCTGGGCTCACACTGACTTCCTTTTTATTGGGTTCTAGTGTTAAAGAGTTATATTCCTTTCTTGGTGTCATATTTACTTGCTTTCTCATGTTTCTTATGTCCCTGTTTTGATGTCTGTGCATGTGGTGGGACAATCACCTCTTCTACAGTCTTTTGAATGGCTTTTATAGAGACTTTCCCTTGCAGTTGGATTTTAGTGTGCTGGTTAGGGAGTGTGTGTTGGCTCTGTGTCCAGTAGGAGCAATAGTACAGTCTTCGTGCAGCTTCTTCACCTGTGTTCAACATCAGCAGTAACTTTGGGTGCCTCAGTTGCCTAGGCTGTAGAAGTTTGTGGTAGTTGTGGCAGTCATGTAGGTCCTTGGTGTCAAGGGTTTTTGGGGTCCTCCTCTTCTTGTTTTTCTCACAGTAGGGAGACTTAGCTGACTGGGTCCCTGGTTGTGTCAGGTATGACACAGTGTACGAGCAGCTACTGTGGCACTGGGTTCCAGGTACAGGTGCTCGCGGTGGCTGTGGGGCTGGGGTCCCAGGCTCAGGGTTTTGTGAACTTACTGTGGCACCTGGATCTTGGGATGTATTGAGTGCCTGGCTTTGTTCTCTATGGCAGAGTTGGATGTCAGTTGCCCATAAAGCCAGGATCTGTGACTCTGAGGCACCCCAGTAGCTTTGGCCCAGGGGCCTAGGTTGAGGTTATGATTCTTTCCTTAGGGGGCAGGGCACAGCATTGGCGTGATTGGGAAGAAGGGGTGCTCTGGAGGTTTGGGCCCAGGGAGCAGGGTGTATGTAGCTACAATTTGGGAACCTGAGCCAATAGGGCTCAGTGGCAAGTTGGAGCCTAGAGGATGAGGCACCATGCAGTAATGACTCTAGGCCCCCGGATGGTGGAGCTTGGCAGTATCCTAGGCTCTGTGAAGCCAGGTGCAACAGCAGCACATATCCCAGAATGGCAGAGCACAGCTGTTGTGTGGGCCCTGGGGAGGGGAGGGAACAGCACAGCGATTACTCTACTCTGCAAGGAGAGGAGTGTCTCAGCAGTTCAGACTCTAGAGAATCCAGCTTTAGGGAAACAGAATACTAGAGTTGTTTGGCCTGTACGGCGAATGTCTCTGCTCAGCCACTGTTCTGTTTCCCTTGGATGCAGGGTACTATGTCGGCTCAGCCCTGGGATGCTCAGCTGGTTTAGGGCACCAGTTCCCCAGGGGCAATGTGCTGCTTCAGCGCAGGCCTGAGGGGCATGACTTTTCTGGACAGTCCAGGCACTGATTCCTTGGGATGCAGGGCACCACTTCTGCTAAAGCACTTGGATGCGTGACTGCTCTGGGTGCCATTTCCTTGGATTCAGGGCACCGCTTCAAGTTGGGCACTAGTGTGGGGTGACTCCTCTAAGCAGCGAAGGTACTGTTTTCCCTGGAAGGGGAGTGATATTGTTTGGATTTGTGTCCCCCCCCAAATCTCGTGTCTAATTGTAGTCCCCAGTGTTGGAGGAGGGGCATGGTAGGAGGTGATTGGATTGGCGGGGGGCGGGGGGGTGAGTGGGGGGATTTCCCCCTTGCTGTTCTTGGGAGTGAGTTCTCACAGATCTGGTTGTTTAAAATCTCCCCCTTTGCTCTCTTCCTCCTGCTCTCGCCATGTAAGATATGATTCCTTTCTCTTTGCTCTGTGCCATGATTGTAAGATTCCTGAACCACCCACCCCCCGCCCTGCCCCCCACCGCCAGCCATGCTTCCTGTACAGCCTGCAGAACCATGAGCCAATTAAACCTGTAAAGGTAGTCCTTTATAGCAGTGCAAGTATGGGCTAATACAGGGAGAGAAGAGGGGTAGATGGAGTGGCTTCCTCTCTCCTTGGCCCCATGAGTAAGGGTATAACAGTTGCTTGCAGCTTGGGGATGTCTGGCCAATTGGTTGTGATAGTTTGGTGGTGACTTAGCCTTGGGGATGAAGGGAAGCTGTGGCCGCTCACACTAGGAGCAAGACACACTCCAGCCATGGTTCCATTTCCAAGATGGTATAGCACAGTAGTTGCATGGGCTGTAGAGGGCAGGTCACAGTCTCGTCCCCTTCTTGGAGGGAGCACAGCAATGTGGATTCTAGGCAGGTCCCTCAGCTGGGCCTAGTGCCTATGAGAACTGCAGGGACAGTGGTGAGGTCTGTATGTGTCCAAGGTGTTGATGGGGGTTGCTGAAATCCTCTTGCTTACCTCCTCGAAGTAGGGAGGTTTGTCCTGGTTCCCGGGTGATCCTGGTTGGGGTATAGGGTGGTGGAGGCCTGGTGTTTCCTTCTGTTTTCCATGTGGCCAGCCTGAGATTTGTCACCAGGGTTTCTGTAACTCCTCTGATGCGCTTTGGCACTCTATCTCAATTATTTTTATTAAAATGTAGTTGTTTAGTCGTTGTTTTGGGTGTTGTTTTGAGGGGGGTGAATGCTAGGAGCTGCTAGTTGGCCATCTGATGTCACTGTTTTAAACCCTTTGTAAACATAAACTCATTTAATCTTCACAAAATAATGTGAGGTAGATACTATAACTGGTCGCATATTAATTGTAATAGAGGTTACGTAATCTTGCAAGGTCACTCATCTAACAAATGGTGGAGCCAGGATTTGAACCTAGGTTGTTTGGCACCAGAGGACAGAGATACTGTGTTTTAATTGTTCCTATAATCACTGCTGTCTAGAATATTGCCTGGACATAGTGGTGTTCAATAAATATTTGTTTAACAACTGAGTGACTGAACCACTTTGCTGTACTGGAATTGGATTCTAAGTGTGACGCCAATCAGTTACTTTCTAATTAAGTGTGGCTGGAATATTATTTGCTGACTAGAAGTGTTGAATCTCCATTAGCTGCATGTTGTTCTTTGACTGTAAGTGTAAAATTGATGGCAGAAGTAAGGATGGGTTGGCATCAACCTTAGATCCTGTGAGAAGGACCACTTCTGCCTCATATTGTCGACTCTGGCTTCCCAACATGCTAGTGATGTAATAATGCTTTGATGCTTACATTCCCTCCATCTGTGTGCAGAGAGCTTATTGAGGTATTTGATGATAATGTAATGCTTCTTATTTATTACCTAGTCTATGAATTCTTGCCTTTTGTGATTATTTTTTTCTGAAAACTTGGACACTGAATAGTAATGTTACTGTCGGTGTTTTATTTGTAAATACTTTGGACTGGTTGGATTGTTTGACCATGGACCCTTTTTTTAAGTGTAGCCATTTGTATCCAAGAGAAATCTATGGCTATAATTTTATATTGTTAAGAGAGAAATGAGAGGAAACTTCCACTTGAATTTTCAGCTCTTGGTTAGAGGCAGTGTTATAGATTGCTTAGAAGTTAGTTTCTATTTTTTGGTCAGTCCATGGGATATCATTCAGATTACATTGAAAGCAGTTCTTTGTTCCTGAGTCTGCTTGAACCATCACTGGGTTGGTGAAGTTGGGGATTATGAAAGCTAAAGTAGACCAAGAGACTCTAGTTTTGTAAATAATCTATTATGTTGCTTAATAGGTCACTTTCCTCAGTAATCTGGATTACTTATTGGCATTATATATCTTGAAAAGAGTAC
Organism: Homo sapiens; assembly: GCF_000001405.40. Lineage (NCBI taxonomy): Eukaryota > Metazoa > Chordata > Mammalia > Primates > Hominidae > Homo > Homo sapiens. The sequence goes on from NC_000005.10 coordinate 138,821,902, forward strand.
TTTTAATCATTATTCTTATTACAGTAAATAGTGCTGTACTGTGATAGTGTCCGTTTTCTTTATGTAACAAAATCTAATTTCTTTGTGCTAAGGCAAGAGCAGTTCTAAAGAGAGAAAAAAGAACACTTTAGCAGTCAGGACAAATGATGGTATTTCGTTATTATTTTCATCATAGATTAAAATATATCCCTCATACTTTGTAAATAGGAGTCTATCAGAGATACACTGTGATAAGGGCAAGACAATTAGAAAATGGCACACAGAACATATGCACCAGCTGTTTAAGCATAATGGTTAACCCTAGCTCCTTGTCATAACTCGAGTCTTGAAATGATCACCAATTCTCTAAATCCACAGGATCTTGTTTCTGAATATTTAGCCTAATGTAGTCTTTGGAAAAGTAGAAGTTGGTAATACCATACCAGGCAGTGGCTTAGGAAAGTCATGTGTTGAATAGTAATTATGGCACCTGCTAACTTGAGATGACCGTAAGTGTCTTTGGTAACTAACCTTTATAAGAAGCTATGCTGATCTAGGTCATAGATACTTAGGAGGAATGCCAAAGCTGATTGCAAAGCATTTTTATAAAACGGTAGACAATTTAAGTACTTAAAGGCAAATGCCTTCCCGGAAAACTTTTAGAGCCCCTCAGATTGTGGTGAAGGCAAGACATTTAGAAAATGCCACACAAAACATGTGCACCAGCTGTTTAAGTGTAATGTTTAGTCATAGCCCCTTGTTGCTTGAGTCTTTAAATGATAACTGATTCTTTAAATCTACAGGGTCCTGTTTTTGAATATTTAGCCTAATGTACTGTGTTACAGGGCATTTGGAGTGCTGTGAGCTATTACTTGCAAATTTAGATTCCAAATGAGAAAAGAATTCTAGGAGGAAAAGTAAGCTGTCATGTTATACAAGGTTTGAATAAAGATGCAAACCTAAATATATACTGAGATGAAGTTTCAGAAAAAGGAAGCCAGTTTGGTGTCTCTAATGCCTAATTAGGAACTCATCTAGAAAGATGAACCACTAAATAGCTAAGTCAGATGGCTAATTGAGTAATTGACTTTGTCCTTTCTAACTTGGTCAATTTTCTGTTACTGTTTACACATGTAATACTCAAAATGTTTAAATTTATACTCTAGGATTTAGTTAATGACATTAACATTGACATTTTAACATGTAAAATAAGAGTTGGGCTACCATTTGGTGATTATTTAGAGTTATCACCTGTATTCTTCTTCTGTGGTGGTGATCCATTTTTACTAAAGCCTTTTTTTCCCTTCTGAGTATTGTGAGTGAAAGAGGGATACCAGAAATACCCGCTTCCCATTCCCATCTTGTGTATTTTTGGCATCACTTATTTGTCGCTTAGCATATCTACTCAGCCTACCAAGTAGATGCCATCATTAGTGGAAATGATGCCAAGGACCTCAAATCCTTCTTACTGTGGATTATAATTATGGGGTAGAAGAAATGAAAAAAAGTAGTTTAAGACCGTATCTATACAGAGTCTTATAATCATAGATTGGGGCTATGAAGCACATACGCCTCAACTTTATGGCTTACTGACCTGCGAACTGTTTAATGTACTGTGTAAGAAAAGTGTGGTTCTGTGTCCTAAAGTGGTTTTTGGGGTGGGGAGCGGGAGAGGAGGAGATACGTGCTTGTCAGAACAGCCTTGTGATATCCTCACCTATTTATGTAGTTCATACATACCTGTGGCATCCTGTCCCAAATTTCACAAAACTCTTACAATAAAATTATGTAACTTGGCTGGGCGCGGTGGCTCACGCCTGTAATCCCAGCACTTTGGGAGGCCGAGGCGGGCGGATCACGAGGTCAGGAGATCGAGGCCATCCCGGCTAAAACGGTGAAACCCCGTCTCTACTAAAAATACAAAAAATTAGCCGGGCGTAGTGGCGGGCGCCTGTAGTCCCAGCTACTTGGGAGGCTGAGGCAGGAGAATGGCGTGAACCCGGGAGGCGGAGCTTGCAGTGAGCCGAGATCCCGCCACTGCACTCCAGCCTGGGCGACAGAGCGAGACTCCGTCTCAAAAAAAAAAAAAAAAAAAAAAAAAAAAAATTATGTAACTTGATAAAAAATAATACTCATAATAAGTCTTACTCTGTTTGACTGTATCTCTTCATGATCTTTCTATCGTTGGTTGGTATAGGTACATATATCTATATAGAGTTGTAATCAAGATGCTAGGCAGTTTGTTTTGTCTTTTATTTAATGCCTTATTTAGTGCTGTGCTAAGTACTTTACATACATTATCCGATTTAATCCTCAAAACAATGATAAGAAAGGTACTGTTACTGCTCTTCTTTGACAGAAGGGGAACCTTAGCCCTGAGGGTTTAAAATAAGGTCATAAAATAGCCAGGAGAAAGTAGAAGTGGGTGTGGGGTGGATTCAGATCTAGGTCTGTGTGATTCCAAAGCTCAGAATCTTACCTACCAAACCATACTGCCTTCTTTGTGATTGACTCTCAACTAGATTGTTAATGAAAATAATGTGTCTAATTAATAGAAATTCTAACTTTTCAGCATTTACCAGCAAATTTTTATATGAGTAAAGCCCATATAAAGAGTGCTCCAATTTCTTGTTTTATTTACTCTTGTAGGAATTGAAAGATGTTGGCCATCGTGATCAGATGGCTGCAGCTAGAGGAATCCTGCAGAAGAACGTTCCGATCCTCTATACTGCATCCCAGGCATGCCTACAGCACCCTGATGTCGCAGCCTATAAGGCCAACAGGGACCTGATATACAAGCAGCTGCAGCAGGCGGTCACAGGCATTTCCAATGCAGCCCAGGCCACTGCCTCAGACGATGCCTCACAGCACCAGGGTGGAGGAGGAGGAGAACTGGCATATGCACTCAATAACTTTGACGTAAGTTATGCTTGGGTGGAAATTTCCAGCTCTTGACCATCCCCCAAAAGATAACAGATTTCTGGGGAAAAGTGATCAAGGCTTCTGATGATAGCTCAATTTCCACTTAGATCTTTAATCTAAGTCAAAAGAAATTATGAATCATCAGTCTACTTGATTTTAACTTGGCCTAAAACATTTATTTTTATTTTTGTTTTTAGTTTGAATTAAACTTCTGGATTCTTTTATGTAGCTTGTGTTTCCTATGAGGTCATTCTTTACTGAGGATATGGGTTTGGTTCATTTCAACCAAGATTTTGACCTTCTGGCAGATGTGAAGCTATGGTAGATACAGAAACTAAGTACACGTAGGGTCAGCCCCCTAGAGGCTCGTGGTCTATTGGGAGATAGAGAAACATCATAAGTGACTGCAGCAAAAGTACCATCATTCTAATCTTTCTTGTCTGCCTAGATATACTTCTTTTCAGTGACTAAATTGGAATAATGAACAGAAATTTAATCAAGTGGAAGCAAATTTGGGATTAAAATACTTTCTTAGCATAATGCCATAATTACTTTTCATAAATGATGCGCTAGGTCTGTCCTGTGTACACAACTCTTAAGGTTAACTTTTTGGTGGGTTATGTGTTCTTAATTCCTACCCACAGTGCCTCTTGGCTTCCAGTAGATGGCAGCAGTATAAGTTTTTTTTTTTTTTTTAGGGCTTTAAAAGTAACTGTTGGGGCTAATTAAAAAAAAAAAAAACAAACCAAAAAACAGAAATTGTGTTCCAGGTGACCAGCATCCTTTCATAAAGTAGGGATGCTATGAAATATAGAATAAAAAAAAATTACAATGGAGTGCATTTTGTTTTTAAGTTTTTCCTTGCCTTTACCTTTTCTTTCTTTTGCCACTTTACTTTCGCTTAGGTAGCTGATCCTTGTTGATATGCATGGCCGATTTAAGACTTTTTCATAAAGCAAGAAGGCAGTGTTAAGTCTAAAGACCATGGTGTTAGAACTCAGTTTTTACCATGGAGCTTTAAACATTAAATTATTTTATAACAAACTCTTATGGTGCATGTTAAAATTTACTAGCAATGTTGTTTTTCCCCCCTTCAAAATTTGGCAGTATTAGGTATCTTTCAGGGTAGTAGCACATTTTGCCCTAAGTTGAGTAATATCTACCAGAAGCTACTTAACTTCTCAGGGACACAGGTATTTGTAAAATGAGGGTTTGTGCTAAATGATCTCAGGCTCATTGAGGCTCTGTTACTCTATTAAAATTCTATGACCATTCATTTCTCATTTTTGTTGGCCAGAAAGCATTTTGTATTCAGTTTTGACCAGAGAAATCCTGTAATAACCTAACCTTACAAAAAATGATCAGCTAAAATGTGTAGGTTAATAATGAACTGAAGGTATTGCATGTTCAGTTTGAAAACTGAGGGTTCTTTGGAAGGGAAGGAAGAAATGTATACTTATTGGAAAAGGGCAAGGTTTTGGTAGAAAAAATTTGGCATTTAAGTTGAAATCAATAAGGACATAGTCTCTGTAAAGAAAAATTAAAGCCATAATATTTGCACAGACATTTATCAGGGTGAGGATAAATTATATCAAGTGGAGGAATTGGAGGGAGGCCAGTAGCTGCTGTCTTGAGGATGCCGATGTTTCACCTTGTACCTATAGCTTACTTGTGACCAGACCTCACTAAATGCTAGAAAAGCTGGATGTAAGTGGAGTCAGGAGGGAAGGGGAGACAGAAAAAGGATTTATTCTTATTGGAGCAGTTCTTCCTCACAGCTTAGGTTTTTGGGAGGATTGCTATCATCTCTTACAGAATACTAGAGGTCTTTGAGGAAAGGAAGTCTCTAATTTAGACATAACAGGATAAATTTGAGACTGAATTATTTAGAAAACTTGATTAGATGTGTAAGATGAGGCAAATAGATGGAAATTCATTGTAAATGCATTTCTTTCTGAAACTTTAAGGTTAGAGATCAGTTTGTATGTGTGCGCACACGTGTATATATTTTAAGAGACAAAGTCTTGCTCTGTTACCCAGGCTGGAGTGCAGTGGCACAATCATAGCTCACTGCAGCCTTGAACTTCTGGGTTCAAGTGATCCTCCCGAGTAGCTGGGACTATAGGCGTGTGCCACCATGCCCAACTTATTTTATTTTTTTGTAGAGACAGGGTCTTGCCTCGTTGCCTAGGCTGGTGTTCAACTGGCCTCAAACAATCCTCCTTCAATCTCTCAAAGTGTTGAGATTACAGGCATAAGCCACCACACCTGGCTTGTTTGGCTTTTATTTTTTAATTTTTTTGTGGTGCAACAGTTCTAAATATCACATGGCAGTTTTATATTCTGCAAGTAAGAGGTAACTTTTATTTTCCTTGTAATTCTCATCTGATGATTTGAATTGCTAGTCTTATACGGGTTTACCTTTAGATGTTCAGAATAAGTTGTGTGAGCATGATATGTTTGTATTTGTGGTATCATACCTTATCATGCCTTGTTTGGCTACATAGCATTACTTCCACTGCTTTCTTTGAGGAGTGATCAACAGTAGGCCATCTTCTGTGGGACAGCCCCTTACCTGCTAAGAAGTATAACTTTCTTTCAGATGTTGGAATTTTTGTGTTAAATCTTGATATTACTAATAACACTTTTCTCACCTTGAATAAAGAAGGGAACAGAGATGAGTACTAACATTCGGTAATACTTTCTCTGCAGAAACAAATCATTGTGGACCCCTTGAGCTTCAGCGAGGAGCGCTTTAGGCCTTCCCTGGAGGAGCGTCTGGAAAGCATCATTAGTGGGGCTGCCTTGATGGCCGACTCGTCCTGCACGCGTGATGACCGTCGTGAGCGAATTGTGGCAGAGTGTAATGCTGTCCGCCAGGCCCTGCAGGACCTGCTTTCGGAGTACATGGGCAATGTGAGTTTGACAGCTTTTCTTTGAAGTAAGATATTTATGGATGAGGAGTTTTCTATAACATGTTGGATCTGAGATGTTTTCACTATAAATACCAAATATGTCCTTGACTCCTTGATTTTTGGGAGTAGGTCAGATTTTTAAAGAAATGGATAAATGGCTAAGTGGCTCTTTCCTCTCTCCAGCTTATTGAGAAATTTTCAACTTATAAAAATCATACAGTGAATACCTAGGAAATTTATCTGTATTCATCAATTAACATGTAGATACATGTGTAGGTGTGTGTATATATAAATGTATATGTATGTATGGTATATACACAAACATCCTTTTTTCCCCCGAAGCCTTTGGAAGAAAGTTGTAGACATTGTGATGCTTCACCTCTAATATTTTAGCATGCCTCTCCAAAGAATAATGACCTTCTATACCACTAAAGTTTCATTATCCCAAGTAGGTGGCTAATTTTGGGCAAAAGGGAATGTTGAAAACCTGCCTCCTCAATATTTATAGTTGTGAAAGTTTTTTCGTGAACCATATTGAATGTCACAAGAGTAGATAATTGCCAAGTAGAGTTACATAAAGCAAACTCTGGATAGTGTTTTTGAATTTTGAAGGTTTGTGCATAAAAACCCAGGCTATGAAATTTGATACCCACTTTTTTTTTAAAAGGCCATAGAAAATTCTATATTTGTTGATTTTTCTCTGTTGCCATATGTCTTTCTTTTTTTCCTTCGCTTATACTTCTTCTATTCTGGTTATTTAATGCTAGCTTAGGGTTCCTGTCATTTAGACCTTGGACCCAATATTTTACTGTAGCTAATTAGCAATAAATTAAGTAAAAATTATATGAAATCATTTTAAGGGGAAGAAGGACAACAACACAAATTAGTTGTCATCACTAGCGTTTTTTACCTGTTTAACACCTAAAAAAAAGATCTTGGTTCTTTCTCATTTGTTCGTTTGCCATACATCTTGTCTGTTCACTTACAGGCCTGTAAAAGTTAATGGGTGATGGTAAATCATGGTGGAATTCCTAGGGTGAAGATGAATGCCTTCCTCTGTTTATCTTGTCTCTACCATACTGTGAAATTAGTGATGCATATTGAATTTTTTTAAAGCCATTGCCCCCTGGGCATGATGGTTCAAGCCTGTAGTCCCAGCGTTTTGGGAGGCTGAGGTGGGTGGATTGCGTGAGCCCAAGAGTTTGAGACCATCTTGGGCAACATGGTGAAATCCCATCTCTACAAAAAATACAAAAGTTAACTGGGCATGGTGGCGCACGCCTGGTCTCAGCTACTCGGGAGGCTGAGGCGGAAGAATCGCTTAAGCCTGGGAGGTTGTGGCTACAGTGAACCATGGTCGCGCCACTGTGCTCCAGCCTGGGCGACAGAGCGAGAGTGTCTCAAAAAAAAAAGCCATGTTTTGATTATAGGCAGTCTACTTAAGAAAAATGAGATTAGAGGTTTTGTTAAATCAAATGGAAAAAGTGGTTTTTAAGTCACAGTGAAAATGTGGGACACATTTAAAAATCCATAGCTAAGATTGAACATTAGAAAATATTTTAAAAGATGGATATGTTGCAGAATGGCTCACAATGTTGCAGTCTTAAACAGGGGAACAAAAACTCATGGTAAGTGGATCAGTCATCTGCTATCATGGGTAGTGCTGGAAATGGTGTAAAAGTGTCTTATGTAGTTATGATGAGGAAATCACTTCAAAAACAGACTTTGGTGGGAAGGAGGATGTGATAAATCTGTTCCGATTGCTCCGTTTTAGAGCCTCCTAATCAGTCTATAAGATATCCCTTGAGTCTTGAGGTTGGTCACATTCTTGGGCCAATCACCCCTGGTCATGAGTAACCTTGAGGTTTCGAAACCTAGAGTGCCATACAAACAGTACTGTCTATTCATGCCATCAGTGTAAGAAAAGGTGGGAAGCACTCATTTATACTGAAGACATGGAGACTGCAGTAGCATTCTTAAATGAAAACTGGAACAATGTGTGATGTGAGGCTGAAATTTGAGTATTATGGTAGGGATCTTGAAAGAAATCTTGGCCGGGCACGGTGGCTCACGCCTGTAATCCCAGCACTTTGGGAGGCCAAGGCAGACGGATCACAAGGTCAGGAGATTGAGACCATCCTGGCTAACATGGTGAAACCCAGTCTCTACTAAAAATACAGAAAAATTACCTGTAATCCCAGCACTTTGGGAGGCTGAGGCGGGCAGATCACAAGGTCAGGAGATAGAGACCATCCTGGCTAACGTGGCGAAACCCTGTCTCTACTAAAAATACAAAAAAATTAGCCGGACATGGAGGCGGGCGCCTGTAGTCCCAGCTGCTCTGGAGGCTGATGCAGGAGAATGGTGTGAACCCAGGAGGCGGAGCTTTCAGTGAGCCAAGATCACGCCACTGCACTCCAGCCTGGGGAACAGAGGGAGACTCCATCTCAAAAAAAAAAAAACCCAAAAAATAAACAAACAAAAAACAGAAAAATTAGCCAGGCGTGGTGTGGGGGCCCCTGTAGTCCCAGCTACTCGGGAGGCTGAGGCAGGAGAATGGTGTGAATCCAGCAGGCGGAGCTTGCAGTGAGCCAAGATCGCACCACTGCACTCCAGCCTGGGCGACAGAGCGAGATTCTGTCTCAAAAACAAAAAAGCACAAAAGAAAGAAATCTTCTTGAGATTTAGAAATGTATTTTAGGAGATGGTCTCTGGGTATGTTTCTCCTAAAGGTAAAAATCTTTAGTTTCCTTTTATTGATTCACGTAACAGTGAACAGGCTTGGTCCTGTCAAAAAGCACTGGAGTGAGGATAAACGGTGAGGGCAGTGGAGCACACTTGAAGAAAGCTTAGAATGATAAAAGGGTCTGGAAGAAGCAGAAGCAACTGGGGATAGATTTTTGCTTATTTATGAAGCATTCAAAAACATTTAGAACCTCTAGTGAGTGTCAGAATATAACCAGCAATGTCTGCCTGTCAGTCAGTTCATTCTGAGTATGTGACACATGCAAAGCAGTGTGTTGGGCACAATGTAAGAGGAGGAATGAGGCTCTGATCCCTCCCTTCTGGAACAGACAAAGTTTCTATAGGGGGTTTAATGGGAGTGTCATCATAGGTACAGCCAAAATGCTGTGGAAATTGCAAGGAGGTTGAGGTTATTTCTATCTGGGAAATCCAGGAGGCTTTCTCTTCTAGAAGATTTATTTTGTAATCTTTTGGTTAACTTCTATCTTGATTTTAAAAAAATGGTTCATTTTATTTCTGTTGAAAAATATTAGACAAATTATGTTATGTGGAGAATTGAAATCACCTACATTAATTAATACTTGTTTACTACGTGGAACTTTGTATAAACATTGTTGTAAAGTCCAGAAAGGCTCACATAATATTCACTTTTTCTGTTTCTTGGATTCTCTCATGTTGTTATTAATATTTTTATGGACACACATTCGTAAAGTGTCTTCTTTCTTCGTTTTGTGTTGCTTATTACCAGGTTCCACTGGCTTTTTCTCTGAGGCAGTGATTCTTAACTTTGGATGCACATTACAGTCCTTGGGCAACTTTGATGTTTCAGGTGTACCCCAGACCAATTAAGTCAGAATCTCTGCGTCAAGATCCAAGCGTCAGTTATTTTAAAACACTTCCCAGTTGATTCCAGTGTGCAACTAAGGTGGAAAAACTGCTCTGGTAGTTTATTCTGTTTGTCCCTTTCTGTCCCCACTGCCATTACCTTACTTCAGTGTCTCCTCACTTTCTCCATTTTCCACTTTGTTCTGCCTGCCCAGGCCAGGCTGAGCTCCTGTCTTTAGTACTAGGGCATTGTTCATTATGTTCTGGAAATTCCCTTCCTACCTATGTAAACCTAATCTACTCTTTCTTCAGGCCCCACATTTGTTTTTCATCTCTTTGCTGAAGGCCATTTCAAACTACATCATCTTACATTATTTCTTTGGTGCTTGAAGTTTTGTGCCTTATTGTATACTCCCTTGAATTGTTGTTTAATTGCATTTCTTTTATCCATTTTATTCTGCAACTAGGTTTTTAAGCCTTTGGAACATGACAACTCCTTAAAAATATTCATTCATGGTCTAGTATAATGCTGCAAGAGGTGCTCAGTAAATGCTTGCTTAATGAACTCATGCTGGTTTGTAGGAATGAATAAAATGAATAATTTTGGATTTTCATGGTGCTAAGGAGGTAATAGTGTGGTGGAAAAAACCAAAGACCTTTACCCTTATGGGCCTTACATTCTACAGTGGATGAAGGAGGAGGCTGTGTGGTTTATTTCTACTTCCTATTAGATCTTTCACTATACAGATGACATTTGTTGAAAAAATTAAACCAAATACTCTGGAATAAGCAATTAAGTGAAAGTGATATCTTAGAGCAGAGTTAAATTTAATTCATCAGCTGAGGGCCAAATCCCCTTTTAAAGTTTCCAAGGGTCAGGAGGCTAGCAGCCTTAATGTTATTGCTTGCATAGTGGTTTGATGAAGAGTTGGTAGGTAGTCTTGGCTCTACAACTAACTTACTATACGGACTCTAAGGAAATATTGACATAAAAGTAATGCATTTGACCTCTACTTACTTAACATTAGGGAAATATCACAGACCCATGACAGTGGAGGTTTTGCGACCCTTCAGTGTATCCTTGTAGTTTCAGAGATGACTTCCAGGTTTCCTTGAAATGAAATGTGGTTATTGTGGTTAAGTTTAATTTGTTTTGGCTCTGTCAGCCTAAAGTTGCTTTGCCTGTGAGAGAGAAAAACAGCTTTGGATGGATGTTATAATCTTAAAAGGTTTAAAAGTGAATGGATTGAAATTAAAATGAAATGTAATTAAATTTGAAAAAGTTATTACCATTTTTTTTCATGATTGAAATTCAGACATGTGCATTAAATTACTAAAATACCACTACTATTAGCATTTAGGGATATATATTTTCAGGTTTTTTTCTTTTCTTCTTCTATGCAGAGCATAAAATAACAGTTTTAATTCTCTCAGTGTTTTCTGCCTATAAACATGAAATATCCGTAGAACTAGGTTTCAGACTATTAAGTTAATGGGTTAAAACAGTCTGCTGTCTGGTTAATGGGTTAAAATTTCTGTTTTTCAAATACATAGCTGACTTGGTTGCCCAGTTGTGTGTTTTAATGTTCTCTGAGTTATTTCAGTGCTACTGAGAAAGACTTCTGAAGGGCTCTATGCTTTATACAGCTGACTTCTTTATTTCATGCCTTTCATTCTGCTGAGGGATATGCTGACTGTTAATATGTTCCTTTCTCCGTTTTTTAAGGCATGTGTTTTTCCAATAGTAGAATTTATTGGAACTAAACTTGTCTCTGTTACCATACCCCCCTTCAACCCTGACTCCTCAATGAACAAATAAGCAAAACCTACCCTTTCCCCAAAACCTCCAAATCTGAATATACTTAATACAATGTCTGAAACATAAAGGACCCTCAGTCTTTGAAATGAACTCCATTTGGTTTTGACCAGAGCAGTCTTGCCCAGCAGGTCATGGTCGTGTTTGACTGACTGGCGTTAGGGCTTATAATTGGTAAGAACAAACACATGCCATGGGCTTAAGTAGTTCTAGCTCTCTGCTATTCAGTGTGGTAGCCACTCACCATATGTGGCTATTGAGCACTTGAAATGTGACAAGTCTAAATTGAAGTTTGCTGTAAGTACATCAGATTTCAGAGTTAGTATAGAAAAAAGAATGTGAATTATCTCACTGATATTATTTTAGATATATTGGGTTAAATAAAATCTATTAAACTTTATTTTTACCTGTTTCTTTTCACTTATGGCTACGAGAAAAATCATATTTACATTGGTTATATATGTATCTATAACTTGTATATATGTTATAAAAATTATATGGGTGGTTTATTTCTGGCTTGCATTGTATCTCTGTTGGATAGTTCTAACCAATAAGTAACCAACCAGCTAAGGTGAGTAGATGAGAGGTTAGGATCAACTTTGTTCAATGTCCAGAATGGCATGGTAGTCCATGCATAGTAGCTATTATAACTTGTATTCTTTTAATACTTAAAACTGTAGTTTTAGATAGAAGAAAATTGGTTCAATTTAGGACCTTGTAAGGATAATGTTTCTTAAGGATACATTTTATCTTTGTTCTTGCCTGAAAACGTTGGACATAGTAGTTGTAGGATCCCAAAAGAAGAATGCAGTAACTGGACATACTTTGGTTGGACTGGATGTATATTTGAGGAATATGACTATGTTAATACATCAAGTATAAAATTTTAATTCGATTTGGGTAAATTTGATGTGGATTGTATGAATGGTATGCAGCTAATGTTCATTTTCAAAGATCTTTTGAAAAGATATATTGTTATTATAGTGAAGTGAAGCACTCAATTTAGATGTTAATCCTTTCTCAGTTTTGCAAATGCCTTCCTGGAATCTCTTTAGCATAGCCAGAGCTTTTGAAGGACTCTGAAGAGCTTGTTACTGCATTATGTTGTGGCTACACTTTTCTTTTCTTCAGAATTAGAGTAGCTTAATTTTTTCCTGATTATAAAAGTTCTGTGTTCATTATATATTGTCCATAATCCCACCACTCATTTTTGTGTATAACATTCCAGACTTAATTCGGATCTGTGTATATGTACACTTATATCTGTTCTTTTCTTACCTTTTCTTTTTAAAAATGTTGTTAGTAATGATTGTCCATACTTTTACACTGCTTACCATATGCCAGCCATTGTGCTGAGAGACATTTTATCCCCATAATAACCCTATTGAGTTGATAATTGCTCAAAAATACATATACACACAGGTGCAGTTTGAGCTCAGATCTGTCTGACCTGAAAGTCTGAACTCTTAATACTTTTACCATTGTACATCGTCCCAAGTTAACAAATATGATTTTATAACATCTTAATGGTGGCAGAGTTTTCCATTAAAATTAAATACCCCCAGAACTAAAATAAATACTGGAATCTAAATTTCAGTATTAAATTTCTAAAATTGGATATCCTAGACTAAGTAAAATAGATCCAGGTCTGGGATAGCTGCTTGAAGTGAGTGGAATGTCACTTGCCTCTGTGTGAAGAGACTGCCAAACAGGCTTTTTGAGAGCAGTAAAGCTTTTTAATCACCTGGGTGCGGGCGGGCTGAGTCCAAAAAGAGAGTCAGCGAAGGGTGGCGGGATTATCATTAGTTCTTATAGGTTTGGGATAGGCAGTGGAGTTAGGAGCAATTTTTTGTGGGCAGGGGGTGGATCTTATGAAGTACATTGTCAAGGGTGGGGAGAATATTGCAGAGTACCTTCTTAAGGGCAGGGGAGGATATTACAAAGTACTTTCTCAAGGGTGGGGAGGGTGTATTGTCACAAAGTCAATTTATCAGTTAGGGTGGGGCAGGAACAAATCGCAGTGGTGGAATGTCATCAGTTAAGGCAGGAACTGGCTATTTTCGCTTCTTTTGTGGATCTTCAGTTGCTTCAGGCCATCTGGATGTATACATGCAGGTGACAGGGGATATGATGGCTTAGCTTGGGCTCAGAGGCCTGACATGGAGCAAAAGAGCTTTTAGAGTATTTTCCATGCTAGACTGGTGGTACTTGAGTGCTGTAGCTGTTTAAATGGGCTCTGTGGTTTGCAGGTACAGAGGCTGAGTTTTGTTATACAGTTATGGTATGATTTCCATCTTTCTTTGAACTCTTGAGTTTTCTGCAAGAGATGCTTACCTAAATTAGTAGTCCATAGTTCTGTAGAGGCATTTGAAGATTATTTTATTGAATTGTTAGTGTAAGCTTTTCTGTGAGCTGCCTAATAAACAGGATTTGGGAGAGTTTATATAAGTAGATGATGCATTGAATGCAAAATTTGAGCCTGTGTAGGACTTGCTTTTTTGACAGCGGCATTTATTTTTATTTTTTATTTAATAAATTTTATTTTTACTGTATATGTTTAAGGTATACAAGGTGATATTTAGATATACATAGTTAAATGATTACTACAGTGAAGCCATTTAACATATCTGTTATCTTAGAGTTACCTTGTGTGGGTGGTAAGAGGGCCTAAAATCTACTCTCTTAGCAAGTTTTCCAAATACAATACAGTGCTATTGACTATAGGCTTCATGCTGTAGATTAGAGCTCTAGATTTTTTATTTACTTATTTTTTGCTCTGTCACCCAGGCTGGAGTGCACTGGTACGATCACAGCTCACTGCAACCTCTGCGTCCCTGATTCAAGTGATTTTCATGCTCCAGCCTCCCAAACATAATAGCTGGGTTTAGAGGCTTGTGTTACTAAGCCTAGCTAATTTTTGTATTTTTAGTAGAGATGGGGTTCCGTGCTATTGGCCAGGCTGGTCTCGAACACCTGGCCTCAAGTGATCCACCTGCCTTGGCTTCCCAAAGTGTTGGGATTACAGGTGTGAGCCACCATGGCTGGCCAAGAGTTCTAGATTTATTCATCCTGCATAACTGCAACTTTGTATTCCTTGACATAAGTGTCCCCTACTCCCACCATATGGTAACCCACCTTTCTACTCTCTTGTTTTTATTTATTAGAGAACATGTAAAAATCATGCAATAGTTTTCTCTGTGTCTATTTCACTTAGTATAATGCCCTCCAAGTTCATCCATGTTGTAGAGCAGCATTTATTTAATTTGAAAACACTTTGTCAAAAATTAATTTGTGATTTTCTTACGGTTCAAGATAAGGAGTTTAAAAGATCTTCATAACTCTGAGAAAGACATCTTACCCCAGTTATATTTGTGTTGCTTTCAAAGAGGTTTGAAGTACTTCCCATTTATGAGCTATCCTGGCATTGCGCATTGCAGTATTTAGCAGGCAAGTTCTTAATCTCTAATACCAGAAAGATGCATGTTTATGTATTTGTTGAAGTGATGCTGGCCTGATGGAGCAGTAGTGGTTTTGAAATCAGAATGATGGAGCAGGCATGTAAGCCTGCCCAGTGTTAGGCAGCAGGTGGATAGGAGTTTAGCCTCCTCAGGATTGCTGTTAGACTGTCCTTTATATCACTTTGTGCTGTTTAGCCATCAAGCAGGGTTGAAAAGACTTCATATCTAAAGTAGTATTTCTGAATTAACAGGTAATAACCTCTAAATATATCAGATTATTAGTAATTATCTCTAGCTGGTGGGGCGATGGGCACTATAAATTTTCTTTGATATTTTTTCCCACATTTAAAAAAAGTTTTTTATGTTGTTAATGTCACAAAGTTTAAAAAACTTAGACCGTTAGATTTGCGTGTCTTAGATTTTTAGGTTTTGTTTATAATCATACACCGTGTTCATTTCCAAAGCACTATTAATATGGAAATTTGATGGTTTTTCACACATTAATATGTTGATTCGTCCTTTCGAGGTAATGATTCATTCAGGACTAGTTTGGCTAAAGTGGTTAGTTTGGTTTTATAAAAAATTATAGTATACATTTCTATCAAGTCTTGAAGTGAGACTCAATTATCTCTCTGTGATAGCATTTGCTTCATTCTTTTCTTGCAGTGTATATCAAAGCGATTTTTGACCTTGGAAGTATAAAATTGTGAAGGTAGAATTTGGAAGTGACGTTCGTTATCATGTGGTCTAGGGGTTGACAAATTATAGTTCTCAGGTCAAGTCTAGCCTGCCACTTATTTTTATAAATAAAGTTTTATTGGAACACAGCCATACTCATTTAGTTGTTTCTTCCTTCTCCTCCTCCTCCTTCTTTTCTTCTTCTTTCCTCCTGTTCCTCCTCCTCCCCCTCCTCTTGATCCTCCCCCTCCTGCTCCTTCCCCCTCCCCCTCCTCCCTCCCCTCCCTCTCCTCCCCCCCCTTTCCCCACTCCTCCGTCTTCTCTTCTCTTCTCCTCTCTCCTCTCTCTTCTCTCTCTCCTCTCTCCTCTCTCCTCTTTTTGGTTTTGTTTGTTTGTTTTGAGACAGGGTCTTATTCTGCCACCCAGGCTGGGACTGCAGTGGTGCAATCACAGCTCACTGCAGCCTTGACTTCCCAGGCTCAGGTGATTCTGCCATCTCAGCTTCCCCAGTAGCTGGGACTAGAGGTGTGCACCAGCATGCCTGACTAATTTTTTGTATTTTTTGTAGATATGGGGTCTTGCCATTTTGCCAAGGGTGGTCTCAAACTCCTGGACTGAAAGCAGTCTGCCTGCCCCAGCCTCCCAAAGTGCTGGGATTACAGGTGTGAGCCACCATGCCTGGCCAAGTAGTTTCTAAAGAGACCGCATGGCCCCAGAGCCTAAAGTATTTGCTATTTGGTCCTTTATAGAAACTTGCCAATTTTTAATCTGTTTCAATCAGCTCCCCAGTAGCTGGGACTGCAGGTGTGCACTGCCATGTCTGGCTAAGTTTTGTATTTTTAGTAGAGATAGGGTTTCACCATGTTGGCCAGGCTGGTCTCAAAGTCCTGATGTCAAATGCTATACCCACCTCAGCCTCCCAAAGTTCTGGGATTACAGGCGTGAGCCATGGCACCCAGCCCAACCAATTAATTTTTCTGAAGGTTTTAAATTATAAATTCAGTTTCTTCAGTAGATATAAAACTAAGTTATGTATTGTTTCTTGGGTAAATTTTGGAAGATTGTGGCTTTCAATGAATTAGTTCATTTTATCCACTTAGTTGATTTTGTACGCATGGAGATGTTTGTTGTAATCTCTTACTATCCTTCTACTGTTTAGCATCTGTAGCAGTATTCTCTGTTTCATAACTATTCTTGATAATTTGTTTTATTTTTTCTTTCTTTGTCAATCTGGCCAGAAGTTTATCAATTCTAGTGATCTTTTGAAAAATCCAGCTTTGGGTTTCATTAATTTTTTTTTCCTCTAATACTTCCAATTTCATCTGTTTCTGCTTTTTATTTATTTATTTTTCTGTCTGCTTATTTTGGGTTTATTTTATTCTATCTTTACTAGTTTCCTGAGGTGAGAACTTAGGTTATTGACTTGAGACCTTTCTTCTTTGTGTAAAGATATAGTGGTATAGATTTCCCTAATCTAAGCCCTGCTTTGTCTGCATCCGATAAATTCTGATACGTTGTATTTTCATTTTAAAATTATTTTTATTTTTTTGTTGTTGTTTGTTTGTTTGTTTTTAAGAGATCGGGTCTCATCGTGTTACCCAGGCTGGTCTTGAACTCTTGAGTTCAAATGATCCTCCCACCTCGGCCTCCCAAAGTGCTGGGATTACAGGCGTGAGCTACCGTGCCCGGCCTATATTTTCATTTTTGTTCAGTTCAAGATATTTTAAAATTTTCCTCGAGTCTTCTTCTTTGATCACTGGCTTATTTAGAAGTATGTTGTGTAATTTCCAAGTATTTGGAGATTTTCTTGCTATGTTTCTGTTACTGATTTCTAGTTTAATTCTAATTCCATATGGTCAGAGAACATAAACTTTGCATGATTTCAATTTTTTTTAAATTTGTTAATTGAGCCTTGTTTTATGACCCAGTGCTACCTTTGTAATGTTCTGTTTGCACTTGACAAATAATATGTATTCTGCTTTTTATTTTTTTTTTCTTTTTTGAGACGAAGTCTTGCTCTGTTGCTCAGGCTGGAAGTATAGAGGCATGATCTCGGCTCAAGTGATTTCTCCTGCCTCAGCCTCCCGAGTAGCTGGGATTACAGGCACCCGCCATCACGCCTGGCTAATTTCTGTATTTTTAGTAGAGGTGGGGTTTTCCCATGTTGGCCAGGCTGGTCTCTAACTCCTGACCTCAGGTGATCCACCCGCCTTGGCCTCCCAAAGTGCTGGGATTACAGGCATGAGCCACCGTGCCTGGCCTGTATTCTGTTATTGTTGGGTGGAGTGAAAGTGTCACTTAGATCTAGTTGGTTGATGGCATTGTTCTATAGCTTGCTGTTTTTTTAGTTGGGGGAAAGATCTAATTATTCTAAGAATTACTGAGATAAGAGTGTTGCAGTCTCCAACTTTAATTGTAGATTCGACCATTCTTTATTTCAATTCTTGGATTGCCACTCCATGTGTTCTGCTCAGGATCTTTAGTTACATTCAGTGGGACAGACAGGGTGGAGTATATTTATTACATTTAGCCAGAACCAAAACTCAACCAGTGTTTTCAAAACTGAGTCTGAAACTAGTGAAGTGTTAGGCCATGGTTACACCCATGTTTGAACAGTTAGGACTAGAACTAAGGCTTCTGATTTTTTAGTCCAGAGATACTCCTGGTGGTGCTCTTCACATGTGATGCCATGGATGATGAGCAGTAAGCTGATACTTCCATAGAATAGAACTTGTTAAAGCTTGATCAAGTAATGTAATCTCCCCAGGGCAGCTTTCTTGGCTGGAATTGGGGTCATTAATAGCTGCCCCTCTAACTGACCTTGTTAAAATGCACAGAGAATCTCTCAAGTAAGACCAAGTAAAACCGTGAAGATGGGGATATAATGGGTGGTGTTATTAAAAAATATCAAGATGCCTTGGAACAAAAGAACAGAAAATAAAGTGTAGCAAAGAATAGGGTGAACAGGGATCTGGATAGGTGGGGACCAAGGGACATGCCTTCTGTGACAGGTGCTTTATAGCTTTCTGTGTCTGCTCCATTGCTTGCTCTCTGCCTCTAGCAAAGAGCCAAAGTGGCAGTCTCCATTTCCAGTCTGCATGATTTTGTAGTTCAGGCATCTAATCATAGCTGACAGGTCTCTCCCTCTCCTCTCGTGTGTTTGTGTGTGCAATGCCATGTTTGGTGTGAACGTAAAACTATAAAATGTATGTGCAAATGTGCAAATTGGTGTTTTTAGGGAAAAATATAATATAGTTTCTCCTTCAGTTATTCTTTTTGGCCCAAGGAGTAGGCTTTACTTTTTGGCAAAGTTGTCATGTGTTGATAATAAAAAATCGATTTATTAAAAATATTGTGATTGTTTAAATGTAGCCAATTAATAGTTGTGGGAGGCCACCTATTTAGTTTAGAATGCCCATATGTGACAAACATGTAAAACTAAAAGCTTATCAATCATAACTTTCTACCCTAATAGTTTTTATCCATTCATTTTACATTTTTTTAAAATTAGGTGTCTTAGAGGATTTAAGGTAGTAAATAAAAACTCATTGTGACTAGGGCAGTTAAGGATTAAACAAATTGGGTTTGTGTGTTCGGTTTGTCTGCCCTCAAACTAGCCATAATGTTTATTTATTTATTTTTTGTCTTTAACCCTCTCCTCCCCTCATTAAATATAGTTACATAAAAGGATGCCATTCTGCTTTTCATGATGGGTAGTTCAGGTTCTGTCATGAGCATTGAGTTTCCAAACTGTCCTTGTCGGAGACAGGAGATTTCCTCCTTTCTGACTTCAGACCTGCTGTGTTGAAAGTTGCCTCTTTGGTTGATATATTTCTCAGTCATAATGCCAACTTAGAAGGGCACAAGTCTGTGGAATATGTTTTTATTCTTAGATGGGATTATTTTATTCATTTTCAGTTGAATCTTTGTTCATATCTGATGACTGCTAATGAAGTCCTTGCCAGCAACTCAATGGCTTGCTTATTTTATTTTATTATGTTGTATGTATATATGTATGTATGTATTTATTTATTTTTTGAGATGGAGTTTCCCTCTGTCACCTGGGCTGGAGTGCAATGGTGTGATCTCGGCTGACTGCAACTTCTGCCTCCTGGATTCAAGTGATTCTCCTGCCTCAGCCTCCTGAGTAGCTGGGATTACAGGCGCCCGCTACCACGCCCGGCTAATTTTTGTATTTTTAGTAGAGATGGGGTTTCACCATGTTGACCAGGCTGGTCTTGAACTCCTGACCTCAGGTGATCAACCTGCCTTGGCCTCCCAAAATGCTGGTATTACAGACATGAGCCACTGCACCAGGCCTGTTTTGAAGAGGAATATTGGATATATAGAACCAAAGACTGTTGGGCACCAATTCCATTTGGTCATTCTCTCAAAACTGCCATTAGGGCTTTTTGTAATGTCATAATTTGGAAACATAAGGAAGATATTTCCTTTGAGTTACTTTATGCTGAAATAACATCTGGTCAGTAAATATCCTACAAGTATTACTTTCAGATGTTTTGAAATGATTGGCCTCCTGCTCTGGTTTTAACCCCAGTTGAAGACACTTTAATGTTTGCAGTTTATAATAATCTACCAAGTTGAATACAGTGTGACATCGTATTTCAAGGCTTCCTTAAGGGCTAACCGTCCTTTAAATTTAACACTGGAACATATTAGCCTGAATTACTTCTCCTTGCTTTGAGAGAGAATTACTGGTTTTATAGATTCAAACATGAAAGTCATCTTCTAGGAGTGAAAAGATTAATGTTTTGGCTTGCCCTTGCTCTTGTGTCTGTAAGAATATTGCTTACTATTTCCTGGTATAAAATGACCTGAGATATTTTATTAGAAAAATTATACCGGCCGGGGCAACATGGCAAAACTCTATCTCTATAAAAATATTAAGAATTAGCCGAGCATGGTGGCACACACCTGTAGTTCCAGCTACTCGGGAGGCTGAGGTAAGAGGAGAGCCTGAGCCCGGGAAGTTGAGGCTGCAGTGAGCCATGATGGCACCACTGCACTCCAGCCTGGGAAACAGAATGAGACTTCATTTTTCACACAAAGACCAGTAATACTGAACTGTAATCTTTTAAGCTCATACTAATAAACACACTTGTTGCCAGGAGCAGAGCATATTGTTTATGTTACTTTGAAGATTCTGTATTTTTGCTGAAAAATAGCCGAAGCCACTGTATATAGGAAAATTGTTTGTTTTCTAAAATTGGCCATTAATATATACTATTTAGTGATTTCTGTTGTGATAAAGGATCCTCTCACCTCCCTCACCTTTTCAAAACTGGTTTTTCTTATGCCGTTAAAGTTTTTCAGTTAAGGAAACAGACTCAAGGCTCTAACCCATTTATGCCAGAGGTTGCAAATTTTTTGTTGTGGAAAATCAGACCTTGATGATGACCTTGAGCAGTAGGATATAAATAGCTCCCAGAAGCTTAGCGTTGCAGTAATGGAACACCAGGCCTAAATGGGTTAAGAAATTTGTTTGAGTTTTCTTTTTCAAAGCAATATTAAATGTTGTAGCGTTCAGATAAAAATCCAATTTTAAAATTAAAATTTCTAATCATGGCAGTTAAAAAACACCTGACACCATTGGCCACCTCTTACTTGCTTTCTACAGGGCTTTCATATTGGCCAACTGTAGAGGTTAAAAATCAAACTACTCTTTTCAACTAGGTTTTTCTATCCAATGCTCCATTAACCATTTTCTTAAAACCACTCTGAACCTGGAATTACACTAATTTGGGGGTTATGTTAATAAACAGCAATAATTGTATATTTTGGATTTAAGGTATTGATCAAGTGTGAATTATCCTTAACCCTCAAGATTTGAACAGATATGAAAGTTGGTTTAGGAGGAATGGTTACATACAAGATAATTCCTTACAGAGTGAGATGTATGATTTGTTTAAAAACATTCCAGCAGAAAAACCAATGGAAAGGTGATAAATGAAACAAGAAAGCAGAAAGTTGATGATTTTTAAAGTTTGGTAATGGTTAAGTGAGGGAGTTCATTTAGTATTCTCAATCCTTTTGGTGGTTATGTTAGAAAAAACTCATAATAATTTTTTTTTTTAAAGGACATGTCATCACCATGATGGTTAGTTGAGTAGGTGTTAGCATGTTAGATGTCTGAGAGCACAGTCCTTGCCATATGTACACCCTTCGGAGGGCATTTGCATGCTTTGCAACCCCTGGAAGGCCTTGTTTTATCCCACTCAGTCCTCTTCTCACTCTCCATTTTATAGGCTGGCTGGTGCCTATGCTGATTCTTAAGCCAATTAGATTCTCTTGGGGATTTGTATGGGTAAATAATGGGAAAATGATGCAATTAGTAATGGAAACTGAAAAAGGAAATGATGCCATTATGTAGAGCCAGGGTCATAGGGGTCTTGACAAAGTGAACTTATGGCTGAGTAGCAGCTATGAATTAGATAGGCAGCAAAGAGGGTGAGAATGGGTCAGGCATTTGAGATTGGAGAATGGGATAGCCAGCTAAGAGGAGTGTCCTGGGCTTCCTGTATGGCCGCTTCTAGGGGCAGTGGCCCAGCTGTACTTGGGTTCTTCTGTATATGTGTCCTTGAAGTAAAACCCTTTGTCACTGTATTCAATTTGGGTTTCTGGATTCCCCCAAAAGGAGTCTACTGTAGTTACTGAACAGTGCAGAATTTTCTTGGCTAAATTAAAAGTAAGCACTTTTTTTAGAAGGTCAAAAGTGATCATTGCCTATTCATCTAGGCATTCCATTGTGCAATTCTTAAGGCTTTTTTTGGAGACTTGGCCCTTCCCCAAGTAATTTAATTTTTCTTTTTAAACCAAAGTGGAAGCAAGTTTGTGGAAAGCAAAGGAATAAAGAATGGCCACTCCATAGGCAGAGCATTTTAAAAATTTAAAAATTTTTAAAATTTTAAAAATAAAAGTAGAGATGGGGTTTTGCTGTGTTGCTCAGGCTGGTCTCACATTCCTGGACTCAAGCGATCCACCTGCCTCGGCATGCCCAAGTGCTGGGATTATAGACACAAGCCACCGCACCTGGCCCCAGAGTCATATTTTTAAAGTTCTGTCTTGTATAGTACGAAACCTTTTGTCTCTTAGCTGCTTGACTTTTATATAATTTAGTAGTGATGTTTACATTGTTCACTAGACTTTGATTGAATTGAATTTAATAAATGGCAGTAATCAGGTGTTTTTTGGTGGAGGGGTTAGCTTGCTGTCTTCAGGTTTCCTATGCTTGAGAATTTGCCTCAACACAATTTTAGGTGGCTGTAACACTATTTTGTTGGCCAGTATAATTTTAGATTCCTCACTTTGGTTGTTGGTTGTTAAAAGACATAGGGAGCTTTGTTTGACTCTAAATCTACCATTGTCTGTCTCTTTCCTTTTCTTTGGTGTTCTTTTTTAGGGGACGAAAGTAAGAATTGAGAAGATCTGGCTTAGATAATGCTAGTAATGGAGATTTTAAAAAATTACCTATTATTTTATTATTATAAAGCACTAGAGCAAGTATAGAATTATGTATAGTAAGTAGGATATACAAAGAAAGAAAAGATTGGCATTCATTGGCTCTGGGGAGTGGGCTAAGGTTAAAACAAAGATTTAGAGTCAAAAATTAATTAGTGTGCAGGAGACAGCAAACCTCTTGGCTTGGTGGGAATGAAAAACTATTTAATAAGCATAACTGGCTAGAAGCAGTCTTCTTTCCCCATTAGTAGGTGGCTCACTGACATTGTCCTAGGTGTTTGAAATGTTTGTTTTTCTCCCTTTAATTTGCTCCTGTGTATAAAGTTACTGCCGAAGGAGCCAGGACTGAATCAGACTTGAGCAATACGGGGCTTGTGGAAAGAGATGTTTTGATCATATTGTTATTTTTGTGTCATAAAATCTTAGATTGGCAACTTTCTTCTAGGGTGGATTTAGCCTTTGATACATTTTCTTAGGCCCACGAAAATGAGCTGCTAAAGTAGAAATGAATAAAACTATTCGGTTTAGCCTCTAGACAGTGACACATTAAGGACTAATGACTGCCAAAAGGAAATGTCAAACACTAAGCTAGTCTACTTTCTTTGGCAGCTGAGAATCCGGTGAATCAACAGTTTTAGGGGGTGTATATTTAATGTGGGTGGAGGAAGAAAGTGTCTAACATTCTTTAAGGCCCTGTTCAGCAAAGTTGGAATTGGAGCCTGATTCTACCTTTCTAAACACAAGAAAGTCACATGCTATAGAATGAGGGTGGTTACTGTTTGTCACGTAGATAGTATCGACTAAGACATTTTAAAATGTGTTTACAGGCTTTGTCTTTATTTTCATTTAATTGTTGGTAGGTGCGAAGCAGCATGCATTTGTGTGTGAGAGGGACATACTTCAGAGTTTTGATTGCCTTGGTCCCCCTTTTCATAAACAGGAATTATCTGAAGAGTCTTGTGGAAGAGAATGGATAAAACTGTGATCCTTGAGGCATAAGGAGCAAATTTAGACTGAATTTCTACTAAATTACTGTTAAGAAAAGGACAACAAATTTAGAGCTTTTAAGCTTATAACCGAGTATGATTGCCATGTCCTGGGTACTTGATTGCCATGTCCTGGGTACTTAACAGTTTAGCACTTAAATATTCACATATAGATATAGGGTCAGGGAATGATAGCTAAAGGGTACAGGTTTTTTTTGTTTTTTTGTTTTTTGTTTTTTTGAGACAGATTCTCGCTGTCTGGCCCAGGCTGGAGTGAAGTGGCGCGATCACGGCTCACTGCAACCTCCGCCCCCTAGGTTCAAGCGATTCTCCTGCCTCAGCCTCCCAAGTAGCTGGGATTACAAGCGCCCACCACCACGCCCGGCTAATTTTCATACTTTTAGAGACAGGGTCTAATTTTCATACTTTTAGAGACAGGGTTTCACCATCTTGGCCAGGCTGGTCTTGAACTCCTGGCCTCAGGTGATCCACCCTCCTCGGCCTCTCAAAGTGCTGGGATTACAGGCGCGAGCCACTGCGCCTGGCCCAAGGGTACTGGGTTTCTTTAGGAGATGATAAAATGCTCTAAAATTGACTGTAGTAATGGTTGTACATATCTGTGAATAAACCAAAAAAACATTAAATTGTACACTATCAATGGGTGAATTTTAGGTGACCTATATCAGTATATAATCTGTATCAGTAGATAATTATCTTATATATTTGTAAAATTATTTAAAGATATTTACATGCGTTTCACATGTCAGTTTGCTAATGATGTGATATGTATTTTAAATTATATTTCCTGTAGGAGTTCAGGCAATTTGTTCATCTTACATGAAGTAAAGAGTATTTTTCCCATTTTGAAACACGGCCTGTGTCTGTTATTGCCACCAGAATTACATGGTCTACATTAAATCCTATATTGTGTACACTGTTGACCTCTTTAATCTTCTGACTTTGTATGGGACAAACTAATGGCCTACAATTTTCTGTGACTATTTCATTTAAATTATACAAATGTTGAATGAAGGATTGCTGAATTAAAAATAGTTAAAAAAAAACCCCTCAAATTATACTGAACAGGTGTCATTTCAAGCTGAGTGTTTTTCATTTGGGGGCAGGGTGTCTTCTCTCTGAAAAAGTGTTAGATCTCTACATTATGTACATTGTTAGCCCTTAAAGATTTTTGAATGGTTTGGATTATTAGAAGATTCTGCATATAATCACCTAGAATTTGATTATACAGCTCTGAGAACTATGAAAAGGAACTAATTTTTCTATTAATTACATGTTTGGATTATTATTTGCAGTCAGAGCTTTGGGGTTGGGTATTTTGGTTGAAATATTGGCACTCTTAAATACATGGTAGTATCTGAAAGCTTTGTTCTAGGCCCACTTGAAGGAATTGCAAAAAAAGATGTAGCAGAAGTTTTAAGTGAAGTGGTTTGTTTTAGCAACATTAACTTATTTACTTAAAAATAGGTTTTTACTTTTTTGCTTCTATTGGGTAGTACTTGTAGTTCAACAGCATGGATTTTCACCTTTTGGAGGGAAGAGGAGACTGACAACATTCCTTTTTAAAGCCGGCGTAGTCCCTCCCTCCCTGTCTCCTTCCCTGTCTCCCTCCCTCTGTTTTTTTAGAGATAGGGGTCTGGTTACATTGTCCAAGCTGGTCTCGAACTACTGGGCTCAAGTGATCCTCCTGCCTCAGCCTCCCAGAGT
Source organism: Homo sapiens (assembly GCF_000001405.40). Lineage (NCBI taxonomy): Eukaryota > Metazoa > Chordata > Mammalia > Primates > Hominidae > Homo > Homo sapiens. The sequence continues at coordinate 138,847,430 of NC_000005.10, forward strand.
GCTGAGATTAGAGGCATGAGTGGCAGGCCGATGTCATAATTTCTTAGTCAAAGTATTAGTTGAAGAATTCAAATATAATGTCCCCTGTCCACTTTTTATTGTTGCTTTATTCGGGGGATATTTACTTTCCTTTTGAAAAGAAAATTCTTGAAGAGAAACCTGATGGTGGGATTTCAGGCACTGTGGCAGGAAGTAAGAAAGATGTGTTACGGTAGAGGTGGTCACCCTTAGATCAGTGTGGGCAGTTGCTTGTGGGGCATATTTTGGGGGAGGGGCATTTCTCTCTAAATTGATGTACTAGGAGATAGAGCATATTTTTGCTGCCCCAAGTAAACTTTTGATGCATTACAAAAAGGAAACATTTGGGCAACTCCCATTTCTGTTGCTTTGGAGCTTAATAGTCATTAAGTTTGTGTTTCTTTATGTGGTACTGAGTAAAAGCTGAAAGTAGCAGAGATTGTATAGGCCAGTATATCTTTTGTTAGTTTTGAACTTGTTGGGAGCACTTATAATTACCTGTGTTTCTAGAGATAAATCAAGTGGCACCTCTGTTTCTTTAAGTTCTTCTTTACCTAGCTGAGATTCAGGGGTCTTGCTTCTTGGGTAATAAATTCTACCTAATTTGAAGCTTTGCTTTCCTTCCAGAGATGTTTGAACTACATTTACTAATGCATATATGCTGTTGGCATAAAGATAAATTTGTTATTGAAGGGATTTTCTATGGAGAGACTGTTCTAGTCTTGACAGCTGCACTGAGCATGAAAAGTTACCTAAGCTTTCCCAAGTCTATGTTTCCTCAACTGGGAACTGGGGATGATAATGGTGCCTATGCACCCATCATGGTTGCAAGTGTATAGAAAAGAGTCATGTAAGGCACAACCACTGCTGTTAATACTAGTGTTACTATTAACATTGCTATAACTAATAATTTATATTTGAATTGTTCACACTTTAAGTCCTCTTTTTTTTGTTTGTTTGTTTTTTTAGCTCTTCTGATTTCCAGTAGTTTCATAGAGCCATTGCATTTATCATTCTCCTCCAAGAGCTTAGTTCTCTCTCTGCTCCCCCTTTTCTTCTCTCTTCTTTTACAGTCATGGTCAAATACATTTGGAGAATTTTCCCTTTTACATGTGTATTCTGATAATAATGTCTAAAGACTGTGTCCCTGTTGACTGTGCTGCATAGCTTATTTTATTGCTCTCCATTTGTCTTAACTGTCTTGCCTGAAGTTGGTAGCTTTATTCCTAGATTCATAATATGCTCTCTTTACTATTAAAATGTGCATTTTGATTGGGCCTGGCATACTTTTTTTTGAGATAGAGTCTCTCTCTGTCGCCCAGGCTGGAGTGCAGTGGCGTGAGCTTGGTTCACTGCAACCTCCACTTCCTGGGTTCAAGTGATTTCCTGCCTCAGCCTCCTGAGTAGCTGGGATTACAGGTATGCACCATCATACCCAGCTAATTTTTGTATTTTTAGTAGAGACAAGGTTTCACCATGTTGGTCAGACTGGTCTCGAACTCCTGACCTCATGATATGCCTGCCTCGGCCTCCCAAATTGCTGGGATTACAGGCGTGAGCCACCTTGCCCTGCCTGGCATACTTCTTTATTGTTAATTCTGAGTTATCTGGCATGGGGAAGCATGGCTCTGATCGTCAGTGTTCATTCTCTGAATTGAGTTTTGTATAGGCATCTCTGTATAAAATTTCTTGATTATTCTTTCCTACTGGTTTTGGCTTTATTTGGTGATTGCATTTGAAGTAGACTGTTTATTTGAATACTGTAACTATTCATGTAGTTTCATGTTCATTTTTTATAAGTTGTATTTCCTCTCTATTTTTTTTTAAAATTAGCACTAGAGGAAAAAGCTATTATGAATAGGGTTTTGTTGTTTTTGTTTTAACAAACCCACTATCTCATTGTTTAAGAGAATTTACACACCCTAGAACTGGTTGAATAATTAACCAAAAACAGTAAACCTAGGCATAGCCTATGTATTTAAAAAACAAAAACAAAAACAAAGACGGTAGGACAGGCAGTGTGAGGTCTAGAAGTTCTCTTTCCCTTTCATGTTATAACATTCTCTGTCTTTAGAGCTCTTAAACCTCTGAAGAGAAAAATCTTATTAGGAAAATCTTTATAGTTAAGCAGGGCTGACTTTGAAGTGAGGCACGTGCGCTGGCTGGTATCATCACTCCACTTCAGGAGATGTGAACAGTTGCCATCAGATGTTATCTATGAACTTACTCATTGGATTAATGGTTATTTGCTTCAGAAAACTAAAGAGTAATAGGAGAGCAATTCATTTGCTGGCTTTCATAGGGTTCTTGTTTTGAAAAAGGTCTGTTGTTGAACTGAGATCCTTACAGTTGCATTTCCTTATACCTGATAAAAAGTTTTTTTTTTTAATTCTTAAAATAGGCAGTGCATTTACATGGCTTAAAGGGGTCTAAAAGAGTATCTAATGAGCATTGCCTCTCATCCCTGTTACCTAGCCATTCAGTTTCTCTTCTTACAGTTTCTTGTGTATCTTCCAGAAATATTTTTTGTAGATACAATAAAACACACACACACACACACTCTCTCTCTTAAGATTTTTGTGTCTTTTGACTTATATGGAAAGTTATTATACTTGATTGTGAAATAGGTTTTACTATGATAATTTGCTGACCTACACTTATTTTGTTTTTTTCCTCTAAAACAATGTTTTCCTAATGTTTATTTACTTTGCTCTTATGGCTACCCAGTCTGATTCCACATGCCCTCTTTTGGCCAAACCATCCGCAATTTGTGCTCTCCCTGTCTTCTATCTTTGCCTTCCTTCTTCTTTCTTAGATATTTAATCCTGGATGCCTCTATTTCTATTCACTGTACTATGGCATCAGCTTATAGTCCCTTAATTGCAATGAACTCTATGAAGCTCACATGTCTAGAATATAATCACTTTGGCTTCTTTCATGTTTGAATTGTTTTTCAACCAAGTCAGATCGAGTGGCCTTAGTCTAGGTGCTCTGTTATTGACTGTTCTGTATAATGTTGAGGATACTTCTATTTAACAAATAATTAATACTAATAATAGTACATCTTACTGTATTATCTATGTAGCCATTAGGCATTTACCATCTTCTTTCAAATGTTTATCTTACGGTGTTAGATCTCTTTATACTTCATTAATTTATTTTTCACATCACAGATGGTTTAAAGTCTTCATTTACTATAACAACTTTGAAGGTTTTACTATTTCACTGTAGTCTCTTTCAGTTTGTGTATCCAACGACTCCTGTGGTCTTTAGCTCTGGATCCAGGGTCTTATCCAGAAAATCTTCATTTTGTTCTTTCTTAATTTTTACTGAGGCTCTCTGGTTTTAGAGCCCAAAGATGGATGCTTCTACAGATTTAAGTTTTACCTATTATCACTACAAAACAAACAGAAACCCTGTCTAATAAGTCTTTTGGTGATTGATATTAGTTTCTGCTTTCTAATATTAGATCTTTAACTTTAGCCATGCACAAACGTTCTGTTAGGGGAATATTGAGCATTACCTTAAGCAGTGGTAAAAACTGGCATGCTGTGTTATGTGAAGAAAGAAGATGATTCAGTAAACAAACAAAAGGCATTTATTGCCTTGTGCCAGCTGGCATCAGTATAGAAAACATGCAGTGTAATGTCACCCATGATATATTCCTGGGAAGTTGAGGTTCAGGATAATTCCACAAAATGGTTTCTGTGTAGAACATATCATGGATGACAGGGGGCAGAGAATGCACACTGCCTTTGTCGTTTTCATTGTTGGGCTCTTATCTCAACTGAGCCTCATTTCCTATCCTGATGGGCATTCTTGTGCCTGATCTCTGTCTGCAGGGCTTCTGGGGCCCTTGACTTCACATCCTCCAGAGGTTGTTCAGTTGATCATGGCAGCTAGTCATCATAGAAGGTGATGCTACTTTGCCTGTGGGTGAAGGTGGACTCTGACAGCATCTTTGAAGAATAGGTGATTTTAGTCTCTAAGCAGGAGAGGTGTACACGTGGTTAACATGGGTGCTACCTGGCTGGGCGCGGTGGCTCACACTTGTAATCCCAGCACTTTGGGAGGCCGAGGGGGGCAGATCACTTGAGGCCAGGAGTTTGAGACCAGCCTGGCCAACATGGTGAAACCCTGTCTCTTAAAAAAAATGCAAAAATTAGCTGGGCGCGGTGGCATACACCTGTAGTCCCAGCTACTTGGGAGGCTAAGGCTGGAGAATCGCTTGAACCTGGGAGGCGGAAGTTGCAGTGAGCCGAGATTGCGCCACTGCACTCCAGCCTGGGCACAGAGTATGACTTCGTCTCAAAATAAATAAATAAAGGCCAGGCATGGTGGCTCATGCCTGTAATCCCAGTACTATGGGAGGCCGAGGCAGGCGGATCACCTGTGGTCAGGAGTTCAAGACCAATCTGGCCAACATGGTGAAACCCCATCTCTACAAAAATACAAACAAAACAAAACAAAAAATTAGCCAGGCATGATGGCGCGTGCCTGTAATCCCAGCTACTCGGAAGGCTGAGGCAGGAGAATTGCTTGAACCTGGGAGGTGGAGGTTGCAGTGAGCCGAGATCGCAACATTACACTCCAGCCTGGGCAACAAGAGCGAAGCTCCATCTCAAAAAAATAAAAAATAAATAAATAAATAAATATATAACATGGGTGCTACCCAATTAGTAGTGCTATAGTTCTGGAGCAGGATTTTGGAGGTCTCTAATGGGCCTGGCGTTAACCCTTTAAGTACTTGAGTAATAGGGGTATGGAATATTTCAATACTTTTAACATTGCCTCAGTGTAACCCATGAAGATGAGCCTTGCCTGTGAGGCTGTGGGCTAATAGCCAAATACCTTCCTTCCATATTGACATTTTTTTTGCTTCCAGGCTCACCTCGAGGTACTTCCTTTCACCTCTTTCTCGGGCAGTGTTCTAGGATAGTGATTCCAGCTTTTTCTCTGTTATACATTATTTTCTCCACTGCCTTCATACTTTACATTTCTGCTTCTTTGGGGGGTGGGGGGGGTACACATTTGTCACTTGCTTTCCTTTCCAAGACCCAGGGAATCTCATGACTACTATAGTTCAGTTACAGTTTCTTCCTATATAGGTCATATTTCGTGTTCAATATACTTGTAAGAAATTAGACTTAACTTTAACATGTACAATTATACAAAAATGTGTAAAGGCAAAGGTAATCTTTTAAAATTTACATACACACATGCCTTTTCCATAAATGAAATTTATATACATGCTGATTCCCCTGATTTCCCTCCTTCCCTTCTCCTCCCTCCTTCTACCCGCCTCTCTCCACATTCCACATCCTCTCCTCCTAAGAACCAGTGTTACCAATCTGGAATCAATAACTGTATACTTTCCTTTGCCTATAGATTCCTGCTTCCCTTCCCTCTTTTCGCGCGCGCGCGCACACACACATTTTTGCATAGGTGTTTGCCTGATCAAAGTGGGATCATTGTTCACAAATGTTCACAAACCTGCATCATCTTATTCATCAGTAACTCATGGAAATCCTTGCAAGCCTTCTGGTTTACCTCTAATTTGTTCATTTTATTGCTGACTACACTATGTATTTGACCACTCCCCTCCCATGTGTTGTGTGTTTTTATTTCAGTGTGCTAACAGTAGGCATTATTTGTTTTAATTTTGCTGATCTGATGAGTGTGAAGCAGTTGTTCATTATTACTTTTTTTTTTTTGTCTCGAACTCCTGACCTGAAGTTATCCTCCCGCCTCGGCCTCCCAAAGTGCTTGGGATTATAGGCGTGAGCCACTGCACCCGGCCTGCTCATTATTAAAGTTGCATTTCCCTTGACCACTGTTGAATTCAAATAATCTTTTTAATGTACTTGTAAGTCATTGGATTTGCTTTTTTATGAAGTGTCTGTTTGTATTCTTTGCCCATTTTCTACTGTCATTTGTATGTTTTTCTTTGCCGGAGCTCTTGGTATATTATAGCTATTTGTCTTTTGACATTGCGTGTGTTTTCCCCCGCCTTTTTTAATCCTTCCTAGCCAGCGGAAGTATATACTTAAAAAAAAAAAAAGTATTGAAGTTTTGTTTTTGTTCTCAGGTAGATGTGTTTATCTTTTGTTTTATGGCTAGAGGATTTCCTGTTTTGGGTAAAAATGTCTTTCTCACTTAGATTACTTACATGCACATAAGTTTGGGACTATCAGGGTTAAATCACAGAAGCAGAAGAACTAGGAAAGATGTGTAAGGAATTTATTATAGGGATTTGACATTTTACAATCATGGGCACAGATTAAAGAGTTTATGTGAGGCTGTTGCTTTTATATTTCTTTTCTAAAAAGGGAGAGGACTTTTCAATTTGGTGTTTCTAGGGAAGAACCTTCACATTTCAAATGAGGGTTTGAAATAAATTGACATATTTCAAATACAGATTCCTTTGCAAAAATGTCATGGGTGATAATAAATTGCCTGACTTTGAGCTTTTGGGTTTAAAGAAAATTCTTTTCACATAGACCATTTTAATTGTTTAAGATCAAAATTCATTTGACCTGGGTGAATGGAAGAAGAAGCCCAATCATAGAGCTGGGTTAGTGAAGGTTTTTGGAGCCTTTCCTGCTATAGCATTCTATGATAAACCTTCCTTTCACAATTATCATTGATATTACATCTGCAAGACTTTCGTACTTGTAAGTAGTTTTAAGAATATTTGTTTTTATTTTTTTACCCACATCTGCAAAAATGTGTGTGGATATCTGCGAATTATTTATGGATATACAAGTTTCTGAATGCAAGCACTGAATGTGACTCTACACACATTCAACTGAGTGGTTCTTTTTCTAATCAAGTAAGAGCAGTCAGTACAAGACTCAAAATCACAGGGGGAGCCAAACTTAAAAAAAATCTTTGACAAGAAATGAGCTAAATAATGGCTTTCTCTTTGAAATAAATAGGGGCTATTTTGTCTTGATCTGGGGCCATTTGCCTCCATTTCCCCCCAACTGAACACATGTACTTGTGTCTGTACACACACTCTCTTACATAGGCTTAAGTGAAAAGTGTAAATGCTAGAGGAACTTAAGTGGGAGAAGGAAAGGAGGACAGAACAGTTCAACAGACTCCTCAGACTGCAATAGCGTAAAATATAGAAATTATGTGGTACAGTGAAAATAGAATAAAGGATTTAAAATGCAGAATTGATTTGACCCACTAAGCCTCTCTATTAGAAAAACATTTCCCAGTAAGCCTCTCTGTAGACATTTTTCAGTTCCTTCTTTGGATAATTTTTTCTCATGTTACATTGTTTCCCCTTATTCTCTGTAGACACTGTTCATTAAAAAGGGTAATGATGGCTTATGTAATAATGTCATCCTGTGGATGCACATCCAGTGTACTTCATACTCCACGGGACATACACTTTGAGTGATTCTCCTCCCAGCATTGGTAATGTATTTTCACTGAACTCACATCTTTTGAGTACCCATTATAACCATTGACAGATACTTTCCATTTCAGAGAGAAAAAAATATTGGGATTTAGAGTGTGAAGAGCAAAATTGGTCCACTCAAACACCAAACCCATGATTGGCTTTTTAACTGTCATTTTGTTTGTTTGTTTTTGTTTTGAGACGGAGTCTCACTCTGTCACCCAGGCTGGCGTGCAGTAGCGCGATCTCGGCTCACTGCAACCTCCGCCTCCCGGGTTCAAGCTATTCTTCTGCCTCAGCCTCCCGAGTAGCTGGGACTGCAGGTGCCTGCCAGCACGCCCAGCTAATTTTTGTATTTTTAGTAGAGACAGGGATTCACCATATTGGCCAGGCTGGTCTCGAACTCCTGATCTTGTGATCTGCCCACCTCAGCCTCCCAAAGTGCTGTGATTATAGGCGTGAGCCACCGCGCCCAGCCTCAACTGTCATGTTTTAAACCAAACAAGCTAACCAGCCAGCACTTGTTTTTTCTATGTATAGATATTAATATAATTGTGGATGCAGGAAACTGCAAAGTTACCAGCAGATGCCCTTTACTTTCAGTGAGAGAAAATTCAGTTCATACTGGGTTAAACTGGTTTTTGTTTTTTCCTGTTTCCTAAAAATTTGCATCTAGGTGAGTTTTCATCTTCCTTTTAAAAAGCTTAGAATGCTGTTTTACCAGTGGTTTTTAGTTGCTGGCACTTGCCAGGAGGTGTTTGGGGAGTCTACAATTTTGTACGGTGTTTGGTGGGTGAGACAAGGTCTTTACTTTGTCACTGTAAGCGTGTGTCTTTCCTTCTTATAAAAAGAGCTGGAAAAGCAGTAAGAGTTGATTTTTGGTAGGTACTTTCCATTTGGGTTGGCTAAGTAAAAATGGCAGTAGAATTTTACTGTCTGGGATTTGACAGTTTTTGTAGTTTGCCTAGGTAGAGAAATTTGAGTTGTTAGCTAGTCTTGATTGTAATGAAAATGTGAAAAGAAATGTATGTTATTACTTGAGACTTTGAAGAGCTCTTATTATTACAATTTTTGAAAGAATCTTTCTAAAGAAGGAGAAAGTATGTGACCCTGGAGAGGAAACTAGGGACATTATAGAGTTAATTTTGGGTAGAGAATGAAGGGATTCCAAAATCCTGAAACTTGTTGATACATATTTTTTGAAGTATAACCCTCAAGATGTCATTTCTTAGCTTTAATTTCTGTTAAGATGGGAAGTAGATAATGGCTTGGGGCTTTTATTAAAATTATATTGATAGCCATGCCACATACTTCTTAACAAAACCAGCAGTTCTGCTGAGATTTCCAACAGTGAAGCCATTAATGAACCTCTTGTATATGAACGTAACAAATTAAACCTTATAATAAGATACTCTTTTGTAGTGTGTGAGGGAGTAAAATTAACATTGTCACTACACTGTGATGGTGCATTTCTTTCTTTTCCTTTTTTTTAAAGAATAAAACAGACAGGGTCTCACTCTGTTACCTAGGCTGGAGTGTAGTGGCCGTGATCATAGCTTACCAAAGTTTTAAACTCCCAGGCTCAAGTGATCTCCCACCTCACCACCCAAGTAGCTGGGACTACAGGTGTGTGTTACCACACTCGGCTAATTTTTAAATTCTTTGTAATAATGGGGTCTCGTCGTGTTGCCCAGGCTGGTCTCAAACTCCTGGCCTCAAATGATCCTCCTGTGTTGGACTCCCAAAGGGCTGGTATTACAGACAGGAGCCACTGTGCCTGGCCTGCATTTCTGTTTAATATTTGCACCATGTTAGGGAGCTAGAAATTATTGTTTAAAGCTTTTAAGAGTACATGACTAAGATTGGCAGAAGGGTGGATTTTACTAGGGTAAATTGGACTCAAGCAAGAGTGTTTCCCTCTACTACAAGGTAGAAACTGGACCTTTCTGTGCCTAATTCATGAGATGAAATCCTTATTGAGATTTGAAAAGAAAGTTGTAAATATGGAAGTATTTTAGAGAGAAATTGTGTATCTTTTCAGAAAATAGTTTTAGACTAGAGATTAATAATGAACACTTGAAAGTTGTCATGGGAACTCCAAGGCTGTCTTTAGTACATTCTGGTGAATGAATGATTTCTCTCATGTTTTTCCCTCATGCCCCAGTCTGCTGCCCATTTCTCTTGGAGGGAGTCATGTTCTTTTTCACCTGACCATTGGTTCTTACCCTTTGCCTGCCCTTTAAATAAATTTCTTTCCTTTTTTCTTTATCTCCCTTAACAGCCTTTTTCTAATAGTGGAAGTTACAGATTTTTCTCTGCAAAACAAGAAAAATTGCCAGAATACATCTCTCTAAGTCACTGCTTTGGTCATCATATCCTAGCCGTCTTCAGAAATCTGGAGTGACTGCTCTTGTCAACCATGTTAAATCTAAGCTCCCTTCCTAGCCCCAGAGGCTTCTTGTTATTTGGTCCTACTTTGGCCAAGCCCAGAGTAACTTCACTATTAATGGGCATCATGTCTCAGATTACTGGCTCTGGCCTTCTCTGTACCCAGCCATATTGAAATCCTGCTGTTCCTTTTGTACCAAGCTCAAAGCTCATTTATCCACTGCATTCGTTAAAAAAAAAAATTTTTTTAAATAGAGATGGGGTCTTGCTATGCTGCCCAGGGTGGTCTCCAACTCCTGGCCTCAAGCAGTCCTCCCACCTCGGCCTCCCAAAGTACTGGCATTACAGATGTGAGCCTACCACTGCATTCTTAAGTGCCTTCCTATTTTCTAAATATCAGTAATATTAGTGGCACTGTCCATTTGTATTTAACCATCAAAGCATGAAGCATGGTACTGTTAATGCATAAAGGTTAAATGATTTATACAAGGTCCCATAGCTAGTAAGTAGAGGTGCTATACTTTGAACCCAGCCTGGCTCCAGAATTTGAGCCCTTAACCACTGTGCAACACTGTAAGGACTAGTTGAAATTAATAGTATATTAGATTGACAGTACCATAACTTACAATTGTAATTCCCTTTCAGACATTTTATTTTGAAAATTACGCATGTAGGGAAGCTGAAAGAATTATACAGTGAACCACCCACATATGAATCCACTTCTTAGATTCTATTAAATGTTTAAATATTTCCTTTGAGACATATTTAGCCATCCCTGTATCCATCTTACTGTTTTGATGCATTTCAAATTCAGTTGCAGACACTTGTACATTCACCTCTAAACACTGTCCCATATGTGTCATTAATTAGAGTTAAAAAAAATTTTTTTTTTTTTTTTGAGACAGGTTCTTGCTCTGTTGCCCAGGCTGAAATGCAGTGATGTTAACACTGCTCACTATAGCCTTGAACTCGTGGGCTCCAGCAGTCCTCCCACCTCAGCCTCCTGAGTAGCTAGCAGCACGGGTATGCACCACCATACCTGGTTAATTTTTTTATTTTTTATAGAGACAGGGTCTTGCCATGTTGCCCAGGCTGATCTTGAACTCCTGGGCTCGAGTGATCCTCCCACCTTGGCTTCCCAAAGTGCTAGGATTATAGGTATGAGCTCCTGCGCCTGTCCCAGTATTTTTAAAGGTAAGTTTTATACATACTGAAATGTACAAATCTTAAGTGTGCTATTGGTGAATTTCGATAAAGGCACATACCTTGTAACCCAAGCCTCTATCAAGATAAAATTATGTAATACCCTTTTAGTTGAATATTTGGCTTTTTTTTCTTTTTCTTTTTCTTTTTTTTTTTTTTTTTTTGAGACAGAGTCTTATTCTGTCACCCAGGCTGGAGTGCAGTGGCATGATCTTGGCTCACTGCAACCTCCGCCTCCCGCATTCAAGCAATTCTCCTGTCTCAGCCTCCCAAGTAGCTGGGATTACAGGCACCTGCCACCACGCCCAGCTAATTTTGTTTGTATTTTTAGTAGAGACAGGGTTTCACCACTTTGGCCATTGTTGGTCTGAACTCCTGACCTCAAGTGATCCGCCTGCCTCGGCCTCCCAGGGTGCTGGGATTACAGGCGTGAGCCACTGGGCCCAGCCTTTGGCTCTCTTGTAGTTCAAGTACATGAGTTCTACATGCCCCTCAGAATTAACCCCTGCTTTTCTGATTGTTCGTGAACTTTCATTGGTTCTTCAGTTTATTACATTGACTTGAGAACAGGGCCATCTCCAGCTTATTTGCCAGCTTACTTGGCATGGAGCATAGTATGATTGATGGGCTTGTTATTGTAGTCATCATTCTGAATTCCTAAATGGTATACATGTGTATTCTTCATTGATTAAAAATTCCTTTGATATGTCGTTTCCAGTCATTTTCATGAATTAAGCTGACCATATTCCTATTTGTTTTCCAATAGCACATGACTTGTTCAAGTGGCTTTGATGTTGAGGGAATGCTTCCCTTGAAACCTATCCTTTTTTTTCCGTGACTGCCATTTTACAGGTATTGTTTAAAGATTTCTCAGACTGGTTTAGGAGGAAAGGATGGTTCTGTGAGTCTCATCTCCCATCTACACCCATTCCCTTGGTGATCTCATCTAGGCTAGTGACTTTAAATACCTGTATTCACGGATGATGACTTCTAAATTTATGTTTCCAGCCTGGACCATTCCCCTGGACTTGTCATCTCTACTTGGACGACTAATAAACATTCTAACTTTAACATGTCATATATTGAATCTTAATTGTTCTGCATCCCCCACTTTCCTAATGTGTTCCACTTAATAGTCTTCTTAATCTTTTCTTGGTATTCAGTTAGTTAAAATGCTAGTTACAAATAACAGGGCTCAGAGCAGTGGCTCACGCCTGTAATCCCAGCACTTTAGGGTCGCTTGAGCCCAGGAGTTTGAGACCAGCCTGGGCAACATGGCAAAACCCCATCTCTACAATAAATACAAAAATTAGGCAGGTGTGGTGCCATGCACCTGTAGTCGCAGCTACTTGGGAGGCTGAGGTGGGAGAATCGCTTGAGCCCAGGAGGCAGAGGTTGCAGAAAGCCAAAACTGCAACTCTGCATTCCAGTCTGGGCAACAGAGCAAGACCCAGTCTCAACAACTAAACAAAAAACAGAAGTCTAACCTTTCATAAGTATATCTAATCCCCAGACTCCCTTCTCAATTTAAACTGAGGGCGGGGTGTGGTGTGCGTGTGCATGCGTGTGTGTGTGTGTTTAAAGATTGTGTGTGTGTGTTTAAAGATTGATATAAAATATTTGAAAGGTGAGATCTTAAAAATATTATTTTCCAATGTGGTACCTCTGATACTGAAATAATTGATGAATAAATCAAAATACTGATTATTGTTTTTGGAAAGCCAGTGATTTATGTTTTTACTGGAAATATATTTGTTTAATAATTCTAGTTATAAATTAGGGTAATGGATTTGGTGGGAGTGTCAGCTGAACTTCAGATAAACCGTTTATAGTTTGTCCTGTTCTTCATAATCTATCTGATTCAACACACATCTAATTCAAAGCAAGCACAAATTGAGTGTCTAAATGGTACCACTTATGCACTGTAATTTTTTTTGACACTTTAGGAATGCTGCATCAAAACTAAGAAAATTCCTGACCACCTGCTGTTAGATTTTCATGTGGAATAATAGACAAATCTTAGACTGGCAGGGTTTGGTTTTTTTTGTTTGTTTTGTTTTGTTTTGTTTTGATACGGAGTCTTGCTCTATCTCTGGAGTGCAATGACGCAGTCTCAGCTCGCTGCATCCTCTGCCGCCCGGGCTCAGGCGATTCTCCTGCCTCAACCTCCTGAGTAGCTGGGATTACAGGCACGTGCCACCATGCCCAGCTAGTTTTTATATTTTTAGTAGAGACGGGGTTTCACCGTGTTGCCCCGGCTGGTCTGGGCACCTGACCTCAGGTGATCCACCCTCCTAGGCCTCCCAAAGACTTGGCAGTTTTAATACGGTAATAAAATGGGCTCTAGTTTTTGGAAGTTGACAGCAAGTGTCAGAGAACAGTTTTGCACACACTGGCTTGCAGGGTCTATCAGGAGAGAAGATGGAGATGTGGTGATGTGGTATTGTCCCATTTGCCTGCAGGAGTGTGCCGAGGATGGTATATTCTTCTTCTCTTTCCCACTGCCATTTTTTTCCTCCTGGTAAATTACAAGGGAAAATAGAGAGGTAGCGCTGTCAAGGCACTCCTGAACACAATCTTTTTTTTTGGAGACGGAGTCTCACTGTGTCGCCCAGGCTGAAGTGCAGTGGCATGATCTCAGGTCACTGTAACCTTTCAGCTGTCAGGTTCAGGAGATTCTTCTGCCTCAGCCTCCTGAGTGGCTGGGATTACAGGCACGCACCACCATGCCTGGCTAATTTTTGTACTTTTAGTAGAGACGGGGTTTCACCATGTGGGCCAGGCTGGTCTCGAACTCCTGACCTCAGGTGATTTGCCCACTTCAGCCTCCCGAAGTGCTGGGATTACAGACGTCCACCAACACGCCTGGCTCTGAACGCACTTCTTAATGTGTGGGCCACATGGGCGATCCTTACATGAAATAGTTACTAGTGCCTAATGTTCGTGTCTTTTTTTTCTATTTGGATCAAAAACTGGCAGAACATACTTTCAAATGAAAGGTCCCAGCTTTCTTGTGGCCAATTCTATGGAATCCCAAGAAAACTGGAATGAAAGATTACTGCCTATTCTTAAAGAATTCTACATTTCTGAAATGTTTGCCATATCTTCTACGCCCCAATTCACATTCCCCACTCCCAATTAAAAACAGCAAGAGAGCAACTTTTATTACAGGTATGAAGGGTGTTGGGGACTTTATTTGGTCATAGAACTGGAGTGAGTGCTAATTATTAAAAGTAAAAAGGGTACGTCTTAAATGGCAGGTATTCTTGGTCTTTTAAAAGTGAAAGCAAAATGAATAAATGCTATTTTATACTTGAATCTGTACAAAGAGCAAAGAGAAGCGTGGACTGAAAAGATAGCTCAGATGAGTGACTATATTTTTTATTGTAATTTCCAAATCGTGTAGATTATTTTGTAGCTGATAGGCACTTAGTTTTGTGGATTTGGGAGAAGCAGGTAGTAAGCCCACGGTCAAGAGATGTGGGAAAGTAGAGAAAAGTTGTGGATGAAGGAGGAGATAAAAGGATTTTCCTTGTTGGATAAACTAGATTATTATCTTGGAAAGACAATGCCAAGAAAGTTGTTTTCTTGACTTGAAGAATCTGGGTCATAAGATCTGATAAGTTCTGATAAGATTGTATGTCTTTCATTGAGATAGGTTAATTCTGAGCAAGCTTTATATGGAATAGAGATTTCAGTAATATGGAGGATTACTCTCCAGCTATCACGAAACATACCCTCCTGCGTGCATTGAACTAATGGATTATGTTTGTGTTTTTAAATTCTCATACCTCTCCTGCCCACACCCCTCAATAATTCTGGCAAATCTGCCTTGGAACCAAACCTGCCACAATTGGAAGGGCTGCTTCCTAAATTAGATGTGATAGACTTAAAGTACATTTTTTTCTAAACAAAAAGGAACGTAATAGTGATCCTTAATTCTCAGCCATGTATTTTGTCCTAAAATATAATTGTCCAAAGCTGAGACATCAATGAGATTCTTATTTCTTTTGAAAAAATAGTATCCTTTTATGATAATGGATAGTACTTGTTGTCCTATATAATTTTACTGAACAAGGAAAAGACATCACTTGATTTTAAGTGACTACCTTATTCAGAAGGAATTTTTGAGTTAGGGATTTTAAACCTTTAGAAATTTAGCCTTGATTCATAAAGCCAAACGAGAGTAATATCATATCTAATATTATAGTACATTTTGCAAAGCAGGTTACTTGACGGTGAGATAATGTGGTAAGTTTTATATCAATATTAGATGTAAAAAGTGTAACAAGGCTGTTGAGGCTTACTGAAAGTTCTAGCTAATTATCAGTTCTCATTTTGAATACTGCACATTAACTTAGAGAAGAAAGACTAGAAAGTAGGGTTTTAGGAAGCAGCACATGGGTCTAACATGTCTTTAATGTGATTACATTCTCTATTTGATGGATCTGTAGCATTTCACTCTCTACACGTTGCTATTAAAAATAATAAAACAGTTTTGAGCATTTATTCTGTGCTAGCCTCAGGACTTTATGTGAATAAATCCCCCTGTGGTTGTTACTGCTATTAATTCTGTTTTACAGGTCAAAGGCCCAAGGTACATAAAGGTTGAAGGACTTGTCCAGGGTCAGAGGCTCAAGTGTGGATCAGGGCTCCTAACTGCTGTGCAACTTAACTTGCCCCTGTTGAAAATCTAGGTGGTTTTTTTTTAATGGCTTCTAGAAAGAGACAGTTAAATTTCTGACTTGTTCAGGCTAATGATTGCTTCATCTTTTTTTATATATATATATAATTTATTTTTTTTGAAACAGTGTCTTGCTCTGTTGCCCAGGCTGGAGGGTAGTGGTGTGATCACGGCTCACTGCAGCCTTGATTTCCTGGGCTCAGGTGATCTTCCTACTTCAGCCTCCCGGGTAGTTGGGACTACAGGCAAGTGTCACTACACCTGGCTAATTTTTGTGTATACATGTATTTTTTGTAGAGACAGAGTTTTGCCATGTTGCCCCTGCTGGTCTTGAACTCCTGGGCTCAAGCAGTCCTCCTGCCCCAGGCCCCCAAAGTGCTGGGATTCCAGGTGTGAGCCACTGCACCTAGCTGCTTTATCTTTTTAAATGTGTTGTTTCTTAGGAAATTAGTTATTGTGTTATAGATTCTTACCTAAGGAGAACACGTATGATTATCATCAGCATTTTACAGCCCAGTTGGGTTCTTCTTGCCTGCTGCACAGAAAAAGCCAGTACCCTGAGACAGCAGAATTTGCAGCAGAGAAAGAGTTTAATAATCGCAAGGCTGATTGAGGTGGACAAGATACCTTTCAAATCCACCTCCCAAAGAATTTGGAGACTAGGTTTTTAAAGATGGTTTGGTAAGCAGGGGCTAGGGAATGGGTACTGCTGATTGATTGGGCTGGGCATGAAATCATAGGAGTGTCGAAACTGTTTCTTGGTATGGATCACCAGTATAGGTGGCGTCAGTTGGTCCACTAGAATGCAGTCTGAAAAATATCTCAAACACCAGTCTTTTTTTTTAATTAGATGGGATCTTGCTCTGTTATCTAGGCTGGAGTGCAGTGGCACGATCTTGGCTTGCTGCAGCCTCCACTTCTGAGACTCAAGTGATCCTCCCACCTCAGCCTCCAGAGTAGCTGGGACTACAGGTGCACCACACCCAGCTACTTTTTGTATTTTTAGTAGAGACAGGGTTTTGCCATATTGGCCAGGCTGGTCTCAAAGTCTTGACCTCAAGTGGTCCTCCTGCCTTCCAGAGTGCTGGGATTACAGGCATGAGCCACTGCACCTGGCCTTTTCTTTTTTTTAGACAGAGTCTCACTGTGTTGCCCACCAGTCTTAAGTTTCACAGTAGTGATGTTGCTTATAGAAGCAATTGGGAAAGTTACAAATCTTATTATGACCATTGGCTAAGTGACTCCTGAGCAGTAAACAATTATAAAAAGCAAGCTAGGAAACAGTAATAGCCTACTGTTTTAACTATGCTTAGATCTTATCAGAATAATTTTAACCTTACCACCTTTCATTAATTTTAGAAAGGCAGTTTCAGACCACCAACGAGAAGAAGGGTAGTTTTTGGGAGGGGACTATGATCATCCTTGCTTTAAAGTTAAGCTGTAAACTAAATTCCTCAGCTAAATTATAAACTAAATCCTCCCATAGTTAGCTTAGCCTATGCACAGGAATGAACAAAGACAACTTGTGAGGTTAGAAACAAGATGGAATCAGTTATGTTCGATTGCTCTCACTTGTATAATTTTGCAAAGGTGGTTTCATGCACAACCAGAGATGTTGTATGAAATATGCTTCTGTTCATTCCTGATGTAGTGGAAGATGTGTTTTTTGTTTTTGTTTTTGTTTTTGTTTTTGTTTTTGGAGAGGGAGTCTTGCTCTGTTGCCCAGGCTGGAGTGCAGTGGCGCGATCTCGGCTCACTACAACCTCCGCCTTCCAGGTTCAAGCAGTTCTCTGCCTCAGCCTCCCGAGAAGCTGGGATTACAGGTGCTCGCCACCACACCCGGCTAATTTTTGTATTTTTAGTAGAGACGGGGTTTCACCATCTTGGCCAGGCTGGTCTTGAACTCCTGACCTCGTGATCCACCCGCCTCTGCCTCCCAAAGTGCTGGGATTACAGGCGTGAGCCACCGCTCCCGGCCGGAAGATGTTTTTAATTTTAAATTGTACTCCTCGTGTAGAAGATGTGTAATATAATGTAGTAGGTGTTTACTGGGTGTCCCTTGTGTGTTGGAGCCCTGTTGTCTGGTCCCAGGGATGTGATAAAGAGGAAACACCAGCTGCTGAAAGTGCTTGGTTCATTCTTGCAGAACTTCTAGGCTCCACCCACCCTTGGGTCACGGCAAAGTTTAGGTCATCACAGAGTGCGCAGCATGCTTGTGTAGGCTCCTTACCCTTAGCCTTTATCAAGGGTCCTGATGAAGAACAACTCTGCCTGTTCTCTAGAACCTCCTTAGAGGGACAGTCCAACGTTGTTCCTACAGCTGGCTCCATTTTATAAATAATTCACAGGTTTTTTCACTTAAGTGTCTCTTTTTCCAGCGAAACCAATGTGCTGCTTTATCCGATGAAAGCTGTTGGTTTTATTCTTTGTTTTGGCCACCAGGAAGATCAGGGCCAAATTGGTGTATAGTGTATACTAGAAATAATGATTTCATTGCTGTACTAGGCCTTTCTAACCCCTTTTTGTAATTTATCAAAACCCATTAGATCTGGTAAAATATGTGGACTCACATACAATATTGTATTATAATTTTAAGACGTTCTTGCATCCTGAAACGTATTCTGGACCCTTGGGGTTAAGAGTCCTGCTTTTGATCTTTTTATATCTTTATTTCACTATTCTGTACATAGTTTTATTCTAAGTTTCCTTGACTGTATAGAAGTAGGTTATGTGTAAATGATAAATAACATTGTTTTTAGAGGTTTTGGGTACTGAGCAGTTGCCCTCCATGTATTTGACAGCGAGGCAATGGGAAATGTTTTTGTTCATCACAAGAGGAAATTTTTTGGCCCTCACGATGATGAAATTGGTAGGCTAATTATAAATGGCTGCAGAGGCTGGGTGTGGTGGCGAACGCCTGTAATCCCAACTCTTTGTGGGCTGAGGCGAGTGGATCACTTGAGCCCAGGAATTCAAGACCAACCTGGGCAACACATGGTGAAACTCTGTCTCTACCAAAAATGCAAAAATTAGCCAGTCTCATAACCCGGTCTGGAAATAATTAATTAATTAAAAATGGCTGTAGAGTTTTGGTACAATGATTTTCCAGGAAAAGCAACCTGTAGATTCTGTTGTAACTCATTTATTTATTTATTTATTTATTTATTTATTTATTTATTTATTTATTTATTTATTTTGGTACAAATACTAGGGCCTAAAGATGGAAGTCTTATGCTCTAAACACAATTGTCAATAGATATTCAGTAAACTTAATGTTTATGATGTTTTTACACCTCTTCTGTGTGGTTTTTGGTAAAATCTTGATGAAAGCTATAAAAAGGCTTTGGCAATTGTCTCTAGGGCTGCAGTTTTCATATCTGTTTCCTAAGTGAGGCATGAACCATTGGCCTCTGCCCATCAGGGTTGCTGTTAGCAGATGCTTCTTCATGCTGGATTTCTATTGGGAGTTCCTGACTTGGAGGCATTGGGCAAGCCTTTGCTCTTCAGCCTCCATATATAGAGGGTAGTATTTTCATTTGTAGGCTTCGCAGGATAGGATGCTTGATTGTACTTGACTTTGGAGATTTCTTGCTCTTTACTGTCCTCTTCAGATAGTAGAAGGGGAGGTTTAAGATGTGTCCTTTAAGAGTATTCCCAAAACAAGTATTGAGGATAAAGGTCAAATTCATGCTAAGGAGAAATGTTTTTGCAGTAGCTATGACTTTCACCTCTTTTTCCCCTTCCCTCTTTGTAAAAGACAATTTGTAGTACATTTTGTCTCTCTAAGGGAGACATGACTACCCCAAATTTTTAAACAGACCAGGAAGAATCTATTGTATATTTGAGTGGGAACCTGAGAATGCTGTGGCATATAGACAAAATTAATTAAAATAACTGATAAATCAGATGTAGCTTTAAATGGGATTTTCAAAATTAAAATGTAGGAGAATTATGTTAATAAGCTCTGCTTTTAACTCTATCAAGTATAGGAATGTGTTCCTTTGTGCAATTTAAAACCACCATCACCTATGCCCTCTAGTGCTTATGGGATGAGTTTGACAATAGAATTGTGTTCTCTGTTTCCTGCTTCTGCCCTGGTTACTGCTGATATTCCTGGTGTGAGAGTTCTCTTAGTCTCTCTGATCCCAGCTTCCCTGGCATTGGGAAAAGGGTGGCTTTGCCTATTCCTCCATGTGGTCCTGCTATGGGGCTGTGGTGCTGGAGAAACAATAAGTGCATCTGGGCAAACACGGCAGACTACTGGCAGTCAGCTCCTGGAAGCCAGGGCAGTTTATGCCCTAGCACTGCCCAGGTGTAGAATCCTGTCCTGAGGATGTTTATCTGTAGCAAGCCAAGGACATTATAGTTGACCCTTGAGCAACATGGGTATGAATTGTTAAGGTCTACTTATATGTGGATTTCCTCCCACCTGTGATACTTATATGTGGATTTCCTCCCACCTGTGATAACCCTGAGACAGTAAGACTGACTCCTTTTCTTTCTCTTCCTTCTCGGCCTACTCAATGTGAAGACAACAAGAAGGATGAAGGCCTTTATGGTGATCCAGTTCCACTTAATGATAAATGTATTTTCTCTTATGATTTTCTTTCTTTCTTTTTTTTTTTTTCTTTTTTTTTAAGATGGAGTCTCACTCTGTCACCCAGACTGGAGTGCAGTGGCATGATCTCAGCTCACTGCAACCTCCACCTCCGGGTTCAAGCAATCCTCCTGCCTCAGCCTCCCGAGTAGCTGGGATTACAGGCGCATACCAGGTTGCCTGGCTAATTTTTGTGTTTTTAGTAGAGACAGGGTTTCGCCTTATTGGCCAGACTGGTCTCAAACTCTTGACCGCAGGTGATCCACCCACCTCAGCCTCCCAAAGTACTGGGATTACTGGCGTGAGCCACCATGCCCCACCATGATTTTCTTAATAACATTTTCTTTTCTCCAGCTTATTTTTGTAAGAATACCATATATCATACATATAACATATAAAATATGTATTATTTTGACTGACGGTATTAAATATGTGTTATCTAATATGGACTGACCGTTTATGTTATCAGTAATGCTTCTAGTCAGCAGTAGCTATTAATAAAAATTTTTGGGAAGTCAAAAGTTATGCAGATTTTCGACTGTGTGGAGCAGGGGGTTGGCACCCCTAACCCCAGTGTTGTTCAAGGGTCAATTGTAGTTTAAAATCTTCCCTTCCTTTTCCCATCTGTACTCACTGAGTCGTCATCCAGGGTGGAGGAGGTCATGTAGGGATCTTCATGGTCCTAGTGTGTAAGCACCTGTGGGACCTCCCTCCTAGGAGTGGCATGGAAGGTGCTGCTGGGATGGACATCAACCAACCCCCAAGGTAGAGGCCAAGTCGCTGTTGGCTAGATACAGGCAATTGGTACCTTTCCGAAGCTCTCTGTGGTGTTAGTTCACTGTAATGGAGGATTCAGAGAGGGGCAGCCAACTCCATGCCCTGTGAGCCTGGGACAGTTGTTTGTCCACTTGCTCAGGCTCTTGACAGAGCAGCTTCTTACTGCATGACAGCTTTTTAGGCACTCTCCCTTCTCACCACTTTACCTTTACTTTCTTCTTATCCTAGTTTTACCTCTCTCTGAAGACAGGTAATGATTAGCTGCCCCTTTTTTCAGTGGACACATTTGACATTGTAGAGGAACATGGAATAAAACAACTGTTCATTTAAGATTTCTATGTCTGTCACAAATGGCTTTTCAAGTTTCACATGTCAAAATTGATAGGTTATCAAGGAAAAGTAAAAAGAAGGCATTCACTTTTTACAGTATACACAATTTTAATAACAAAACTTGCCTGTACACTGCTCTTTATGTTACCCTCCCCCCTCCCAAAACACCCTGCATAATAGTATTTTCTTCCCACCCTCAACCCATCTGCCCACCTCCCACCCAAAAAGAAAAATGGCTCTTGAAGGTGATTGAACACAATGTATTTGGACTGTACTTTGAGTTTCCAGTCTCAGTGTTGATAGGAAGGTTCACCAAACATTCCATATATCAGACTTAAAAAAAAAAAAAAAAACCGCTAAGGACAAAAATGTTAGTTGAAAGAGTTGCAGAGGTTTCCAAATGTTTGCAATAGCAGAATGAAAGCTTAAACAGTAATTTTCTATTTGTTTTTGGCCTTATTCAAGTACTATGAGTTTGCCCCAGGTTAGATAGAGAAATATTTAATTATCTATAGATGGCCTTACTGTCTCTCTCTCTTTTTTTTTTTTTTTCCTGGCTCAAGGGCTTTAGTCAATAAGATATGAAAAGTATGCCCCCAAACAGACTTTTCAGATAGGTCTGTCGCTGTATTCCTGTATTAGGAAAACGATCATGTAAGTCAGCTGTTAAAAATATTCTTTAACAAATTTTATATTGATATCCACACTTCAGAAAAAGAACAGGACATTTATAGCTTTTTCCCCTGATAGCTGTGTGTAGGAAGTGTGCCTTAAGAAAATGAAATGCCTGTTTTGAATTTTAGAATTCAAACCTAGTGCTACATAGGGCTCATTTTTATTGGAAAGATGGAGTCTAGCTCTTGGTGACTAGCATTAGAATAAGCAGATGGATTTTAATAATTAGTGGCGTTGGGAAGTTCAGTCAATTCCATTTATTGAATTGATACAGAAATTAACTTAGGCACATTAAGAAATTACATGTGTTAGTACAGATTTTTGGCTTAAAAAATTAGTATCTTTGCTTTTTGATGCTGGCAGTGGGTATTCTCAGAGTTGTGTGTGGATTTACAAGTTTATCAGCCCACTCTTTTCAGAAAGGTGATTGAAATCCCTGTCATGCTACAGAAATGAATATAAACGATTTCAAACTAGTTCTTGGTTTCTAGATGGGTATGGTATCATAGTCTTCTTTAGCTTTCCTTTTTCCAGAGAGATTAATTATTTTTCTGGTTCTTAATGGTCATTTTCCTCTAATCTTAAAAATAGAAAAAAAATGGAGTGGGTAGTGGTGGTGAAGAGGATAAAACCCCATCAAAAAACAAAAGCTCTGACACTGTGTAACCAAGATCCGCAGCGTTGCTGTGATGCTGTTCCGTTCTAGCCAGTTGGTAAAGAAAGCACAGATGACTAACAGTCTAATCTTCAAACCTGTGCTGATTCTGAAACACAAATGGACAAAAATGAAAGAAAATCTTGCCTTCTACAGGCAATTAAAAAGGGAGGTTTTTGCTTTTAAATGAGAAAGGAAAATACCTTTTTGGTACTACTGTCATTCACTTTTCTTAAAGGACATTACCCAGAAAAATGGAAGGCAAAAAATTTTGATTTTTTTCAACTGGAAAGTATGCCTCGCTAGCCTTGGCTATGCTGTTCCTCTGAATTAGTAAATGGCTGGCTTTTCCAATTTGCTTTTGTCCGTACACTAAGGATTTTGCCAGTTATGGTCCTTTAAGGATTAAGGTGGAGATTCCCAGCCAAAGAAGGGGATTTCTTACCCATCCCACAGTTTAAATCTTAATTTTGTTTGTGGTTTGAAATGATGGAAAATACTCCTCTGCTGTCCTTCAGGGCTGATGGAATCTTGTGTGCTCAGGACACAGTTGTGTTGTGACCAAGCTGTCTGTCACCTGACAAATGGCAATGGTCATCCTGATAAATGGGTTGGTAAATTTTAGCTCGTGGTGCTCTTATTTGTAATAGGGGCTTCTAATTCAGCCTGTCTGTGGGGAAGTAGGGCGCTGTGCTCTATGCTGTTAAATCAGCTTCTGTCTCTGCCCAGACAAGCCCAGGGTCTGGTTTAACAAGAGACAAAATACTCACCACTCGAGATCAACTGAATTGAACTGGGCTGAGACTTTGACAAACTAATCTGCCCACCTTAAAAAAGAGCACATTTTTACTGTAATTTGTGATCTTGTCTGCTTTTTACCGAGAGATGTTAGGTGAAGGGTACTAAGGTACCCATCTCTTAGTATTAAAGAAGAAAAATTGTGATTAAATCTTACTGGCTAAACTATAGCCTTAACATGTTTTCAGTTTGATCCTGGGAAGAAAAAATATGCCCTGAATGAAGGATATCATGTTGATGTTGATGTTGGGGAAAAGATAACTTGAAAAATGGTAGTGGCTTTCTCTAAGGTTTTATGTCTTTTTTCTACATACAGTAAATGGCAGTTGTAAAAAATGCTCATTTTCTAAAATCAAGTTAGTGCTATAATTTTACAGTTTTTTCAATATGTGGAACAATGTTTATGGAAAAGTTCTGTGTGAATGAGTAGCTTGCATCTAAATTCCAAATATTTAATAGGTTTTCTTTAGAAATCATAATACAAGAAACTGAATACCTGTGGTTCTTTTCTGCATGAAAAATGTGGCATCCTTATCATTTGTTAACTATGGCATGTTTATATTTACATTGGAGGATCTACCCCTCTTCCCTTTTCAGCAGCAGGTCCTTTCCCTGTTTGGTGCAGATTGTGTATAATCATTGTTGGCTGCCTTGTAACTCCAGCTAACCTGAGAGTCAGATTTCAAAATCTGCCTTTCCTTTTAATCCCTCACCTCTGTGCTGCCTTCAAGTTACCACTGTGTGGCTGCATAGGCATGTCGAGTTGTTCTGCCATGAGATTCATCTCAGTGGTGCTGTTTTCTTCACCTACACTGAACTACACTTACAGCGTGAATGCGTATCTTTATTGAAAGATCGAAATGTATTATATAATAGTTGGAAAGTGTTTTTTTTCATGGTTCCTTTGTAATACAATAAGAATCAGTGTTAAGCCTGTTGCTAGCCAATTATTTTTAACTTGGCTCTTTGAGGTTTGAAGATCAGGAAAAAGCAGAAGAAAGAGGTTTAAACCCCTTTGTCAAGGCATCTTTGATCATGATAGTTGAGAGAGAGAGCGCGAGAGTGTGTGTGTGTGTGTGTGTGTGTGTGTGTGTGTGTGTGTGCGCTTTTAAATTGGAGGGAGCATGTCAGGATTGTTAAATTGACTCAGTTTGTCTTGTTTATCTCCAAAATATCTTCTAAATCTTT
Organism: Homo sapiens; assembly: GCF_000001405.40. Taxonomy (NCBI): domain Eukaryota; kingdom Metazoa; phylum Chordata; class Mammalia; order Primates; family Hominidae; genus Homo; species Homo sapiens. The sequence goes on from NC_000005.10 coordinate 138,872,154, forward strand.
TTTCACATATTAATGTAAACATAGGATTTAGTACATTAATTAGTACAATGACAGTTTAATGCTAGTTTAAAACAGTTGTCTAAATGCCACAAAAATCATGTCCATTATAAGTCAAACGAGAAATGTATAAGAAGTTGGTGTAATTATTTAGGATTGGTTTCATTGTAATGAGACCTTTTCACAGTCACTTGGATTCATTGTGTAAATATATTAAAGAGTCACTCAGCTTATTAGAATTACATTAAAGGGTTCTGAATTCATGATATGGACTTTGATAATATCTACTAACCCAGGCAGAAACTCTGGAAGGAGAATGTTTAATATTTACCAGTCTTCAGCATACATGAAATTCTACTTCCCACCCTGGCAAGAAATTGAAGATTTGAGTAAATACCAAATTATCATACAAGAGAACTTTACTAAGTCTCCTTTTAAGCAGCAAGATAGTTGTGGTACATGGGATGGAGAGCAGTGATCAAACAGGTATTGATCTATATCTGTTTCTGCCCAATAGCTTCTTTCTAAATTGTTTTCAGTAGAAAAAAATAGTATATGGAGACCTTAGTGTAAAGGTTTACACACGATTGTATATAATTACATACATTTCTTATTTTGAAGTAAGCATTTTAGACTTTCCAACAGGAGTGCAAATTAATGTGAGCATTGATTCATTTAACACTTAAAATATGGTTTCATTTAAAAAATTAAAAATACTTCAACACTTCAAAAACTAAGTCTCCACTTAGTTTGGAAAATTAGGCTTAATGTCACCATTGGTAAAAATTAGATATGTATTTAGCCTCTACTATGTAAAATAGGTTACTTATCTGATGTGATTTTTGATGATGGGTAGATATTATACTTCACATTCTTTGTATGGCAGCTGCTGACACTTGCACTGTCCATAACCATTAATGATGATGAAGGGTCCTTCATGGGTGGGTTCATATTCATTATACGGTCCTTGGTCTGACATGTTTGACATATGGAGTCGTGTTTGGGATCGGAGCTGCCTGTGGTTCTGAACCATTGAGCACTGCCTAATTCTTCTTAAAGTGGGAGGGCAGCACTTCCTGGAGATGAACACTATAAAAATAATAAAAAAGAAAGAAAACAATAAAGCCATTGTTCCCGTAATTACCCGCTGAGTGAAGATGGCATTGTCTGGTTCAGGAAAGTGTTCCTCGGTAGTAACTGCTATGCCTGCAGTAGTTGGGATTTCTTTGTCTCCCACATGGTAACTTGATGAGCTTATTCTTTTTGTATATTCAGTGGTTGGATCTCTATAAGTTGTAGCCATGACAGTGACAGTGGTTGACAAATTCCAGCAGAGCTGAAATCCATGGACTGCATCTAGAATATCCTCTCCTTGGGTGTGGTCAGGACTGTGGCATAGGATGGAGTGTTCCCACCGACCTTGGAAACTGCCCAGCCAGGAGGCCAGAGCACATATTCGGGCGCTGCATTCCCACAGATTGCCAGAGAGACCAACGGTTGTGAGGGATCTCAGGGAGTTTAAGATCTTGGAATCAAGGCTGTTTAACTTGTTGTTATCCATGAGGAGTATTTTAAGATTGGGCATCGTTTCAAACACTGTCAAGTCGATGGCTTTGATTTCATTTCCAGTCAGGTCTAGCTTTTCTAAAGTGCCCCAGGTCCACTCCATCCCACATGTCAAGTTGCTGATTTTGTTCCATTGTAAGAAGAGCGTGTGCAGACTGCTTAGCCGTAGGAAATGAGCAAAATTAATCTTCGTCAGCTGGTTGTGCTCTAGGTGAAGCTCTCTCAGTTTAATTAATCCTGCAAATCCATTGCGAGCCAAACTTCGCAAACGATTTGTGCTCAAATCCAGAAACTCCAGACTACGACAGTCCCAGAACAGGCGTACTGGGATAGTCCGCAGGGAGTTGGAACGTAAATGCAAGGTCTGCAGCTTCCGAAGGCCATAGAAGAGCTCTGGGTGCAGAGATGACAGCTGATTAAAAGACAGGTCCAAATTTTGCAGGTTAATCAGTTGGGTAAAAGTTGTGTTTGGCAAGTAAAATATTTTGTTGGAACTTAAGATTAATTCCTTAAGTTTATATAGTCCTTGAAAAGCATCTTCTTTTACTGTTGAAATTTGATTGTGATCTAAGTGGAGCCAAGTAAGTTGACTGAAGCTGGCAAATTGATCTCTTTCGAGCTCTGTGATGTGATTGTGCCTCAGGGACAGGCCCAGAGAGCCCTTGTCTGTGGCGTTTGGCACTGAGTGGAAGCCCTGAGAGTCGCAGTAGAAGAGCAGCTTCTCGCAGCGGCATTTGGGTGGACACGCCATACCCAGGGCAGGCAGCATTTTTAAAACCATACTCATTGCATATATTGCTGCCAGCATAGGGGCCCCTAATGGCCACTTGAAATGTAAGCCTGCAGAATATAATTTAAGGAAAACAAGAAGATAGGATATTTTTCAGCAGAACATATGGGCTATTTAAAAAAAACAACCACCACCAACATTATAGCAAAAGATTTCACTGCATATAACTTATTTTTCATTTACTGCAGAAAAATTAACCTTATTGGTATGACTGGACCAAAACTTAAGCCATTTAAAAAGAAGATAAAACATGTCTCTGTCATCATCGATATATGCTTTTACCTAAACCTCAAAATCCAAAATATGATGGTGATTTCCCTCATAAAATGTGAATTCGGTAGCTTATTTTAAAAGCGTGATTCCTTGTTGAATGTACAAGACATATAAATGCACAGACTTACCCATTCTTCTGAGCACATTGGAGGCTGCATTCAGTCGCGGTTGTTAGACTCAACGCAGTGAGTCTGTAAAAGGCTCTAACATGTAGGAGCCTTTGACCAGTTTCCTGTTTTCTGTGTCCCAGGCTTTCCAAGTAAAATTGAATCCACCAGGACGAGTTGTTTTTTCCTTAGGATATCCCTCTGGAAAGCATTGGTTTCATTTTCTGTGATTGCTCTGATCCCTAAATCAGTTTTGAATATAAGTTATTAAATTTCTCCACCTCTAACTGCTCAGCTGGTTAATCAAAGCTTCAGTCTCCTTTCCGCAGCCGTTAGTTCTCTTGGTCTTAACTTGTTGATGGCAGATGGGTGGCTTGTTGCAGAGAAGAGCTCCTGGAGCAGCATGAGTGCATTTACTGAAAAGCTTTTCCGAGAAACGGCACAAGAATGGATTTGCTTATGTGCTGCGACCACACAGAACTGTATATAGGCTGACGTCACCGGATGACGTGTCTTTTGTTTGGGTTTTCCAGAAGCTTTACTGTTATAAAGCACCATGCTTTGTAACAGCATCGGGGTCGTTGCAGGACCCCCTGATTACAATAAAGCGAGAAAGAAGAACTCCTGACTTAAAAACATGATATTCCTTCAGTGTAGGAAGCAGCAGTGAGGTTGTAATAAAGGCTGCATTCAAGAAGACCCATCTGAACAGTGAGTTGGGTTAGCAGAGTGATGATTTTTAATGCTTGTGAGAGCCAGTGTTAGACTGCCGATTCTGCATAGAGAGATCATCTAAATGGGCAGAAGCCTGCACAATTTATGAAGTGCTGATTTAACACCAGCCTATGCAAGGTAGTGTCGCTGCACTGGTAGTTTGGAAAGCTATTCAGTTGCCTTGTTGTCATGCTTGGTTAAAATCAAAGTATGACTATGATTTGCTTTAGATGTGTTGATAAACTAGCTAAGTGGGCTTGGCTTGTTTGTCATCAAGAGCTTAACATTATAAACGAAGAATAAAGGGGGAGGGGAAGCTTGCAAAACAAAGCATGTGGTTATTTTTTTCTTTGAGAATTTCAGGGGAACTCTAAAAAGATTTCTCTTTCTCCTATTTTATAACAATGTTTTGTCGCCATACTGATTGAAAAAATAATGCTGAGTTGATCTTTAAATGTCCTCCTGGGAGGACAAGGCAGGTTGATACAGTCATTTTAATGCACATGCCCTAACAGCAAAGCAGAGATGATTTAGGACAAGTGATACCGTGTAGCTGGATTCTGACATGGCCCCTTGTATTTTACCTCAGAATCTCACCTACTCCATAACTAAAAGCCTCCGCTGGTACTGAGGTTGGTGGTTGTGACACTGAAATAATAGAGCATTTGCACCCTAGTTCCCAGCCACCAAGTGGCTGACTTAACTGAGCCTACTGCTGTTGTTAGAACCTGTCTTGTGAATACAAAAGGTCACTCATGCTTTGGACTGGGATTTTTGTTTTGACTTGATTTTGCTTGCCCTAACTCCAGTTTCTCCCTGTTGAATGGTGTCTTCACTTTTCAGACCTCAGTTGTGGATGTATAGCTCCATGTTTAGTGTTATATAAATGCAAAAGATGTTTCTAGATGTTATATTTTCAGGCCTGACAAAGGTAAGCCCTTTTCTACATCTTGCCTTATTGATTTGACCCAACATACCTATTTCTCCCATATCATTGGCACTTACCCTTTGTGGGTCTTGTCTCAGACCTAAGGACAGACATCTTTAAAACTACTGATGGTGTCTGTGAAACAAGAACATCGTTGGCCTTTTTGGTTCTGAGGGATTCATCCCACTGGGCAGATCTAAGAAGTAATTGTCTTGGGTAAAATTTTTCTGTTGTAGTGTTGTGCTGGAGTGAGAGCTGTGAGACTCCAAGGTCCCTTCCTTAGGGCTCTGTGTAAAGGTGCTATGAAAACTGCAGCAGTGCAGGTGTGTGGTTTGAGTCCTCCTAGAAGTGATCCCAAGGTAGAATTAGAAGTACAAGAGGCAAAAATGCCTACGAAGTACAAAGGGAGACAGAAGGCAGCAGGAATGCTCTGAGAGTCTTCGTACCACAGGGCAGGTCTGACACCTGTGAAGGGACAGAGGAAGCAAAGAAGATGAGATTGGCATTGTGGTTCTTAGACACATTTTGTAGGCTGAATGGAAATTCCCAAGCCAAAGTTGCCAGTGAACAGACTCTTGAGTCCTTAGTAATGAGCCTGCACTAGTACGTCCTCTTTGTTCCTTCTTGCTGGTTAAAGAAGGGAAGGAAACAAGTCCTGGTTTAGACCCGGGGAATGCTACTCCCCCTCTGACCTTAATCCTTCCTATAGTCTCTCTCAATAGGCTAGAACTTCTTAACCTGGTTCCATAAACTGTCTTGTGAAATTTTTTTGCTTGTTCATTTTTCTGTGGATAAGGTTGAGTCCGATTCCTACAGGGTCTCTCACCCTAGGTTTCAGAGCTGCTGTTCTACAGGAACTTGCCCCCAAAAGTTCTAAGGACAGTAGTCTCATAGGAGTGGTCTCTTAAATTTCTTTTTTTTTTTTTTTTTGAGACGGAGTCTCGCTCTGTCGCCCAGGCCGGACTGCGGACTGCAGTGGCGCAATCTCGGCTCACTGCAAGCTCCGCTTCCCGGGTTCACGCCATTCTCCTGCCTCAGCCTCCTGAGTAGCTGGGACTACAGGCGCCCGCCACCACGCCCGGCTAATTTTTTGTATTTTTAGTAGAGACGGGGTTTCACCTTGTTAGCCAGGATGGTCTCGATCACCTGACCTCATGATCCACCCGCCTCGGCCTCCCAAAGTGCTGGGATTACAGGCGTGAGCCACCGCGCCCGGCCAAATTTCTTAAATGAAAATAAGCCCTTGGGATGTTGTAAATGCCCTTATTGAAGTCAGCTACCCTCTGATGAAAAAAACCCTTTGCCACGCAGGAGAAGCTGGATTAAACTCTTCTCTCAAGTAACTACGTTAGTTCCTTGGGGAGAAAAGCATTTTAGTCAGTTGGATTAGAGCCACCATGATTAGGAATGAGTTGTGTGTTAACATGCAGAAGGAAAAGCATCTCCGTGCCCTTAAACTCTTGGTTTTTAGTCTGCTTGGCCTACCTCTTAAATACTAATAAATGGAGACTACTTAAATTATATTATCTCAGTACTATTATAACAGATTTGTGGGCAAGGAAAATTGCCCAGAGAAGCATCAGTGCAATCAAGAGTAATTATTTTTTGAAGGCCTCTGAGGAAGTGGGCACTAATGCTTGCAGTATCATGGTGCCCAGAGAGCACAGCCCCTTCCAGGTCACCAGCCATCTTTCTCACCTGCCCACTCTTTGGGTTCAAGAGGTTCAGGCTGTGGAACCAAAGAAGACATGGAGTTTGCCTTAAAATTGGTAGAGTGCAGAGTTCCCATTGATGGAATTGTGTATCATTTTTTGGTCTTTATCTTTCTTTAGCTAAAAGGGCTACATATCTATTTTTCTAAACTTTCTCTTGGTTTTGCTGTAGAGCAGCTTTTTTCCGCAAACATATGACTTTGACTTAAAGTGGCAATACTACTTCTGGAAGGTACTGTCCATATGATCTGTTTCAATTTTCATTGCTTTAGATGTTCATGATAAGGCAAAGGAGAAGTAAAATCTAACCTGTCTCCTCTCTGTAAATGGTTTTAAGCAAATTAACTGAGTCAAGTGGCAGGGCTTAGATGGCTGTAGTTGTCTGCATTCCTCCACATGAGAGTTTGCTTTTCATATGTATTGCTGATTAGGGAGAGTTATTCCCCTACTTGGAGAAGCAAATGTACAGATATATTCATGAAATTTCCTGTTCTTCTGTGGGAGGGAGGGTAGAGAGGGAGCTTTATATTTGCTTTATGCTAAAAAGGCAAATGTTTCTTTCATCATACCCAGCTCCAAAAATTGTGTATGCCCTGGCACCAAAGTGTTGCCCAGAGGTGTTTTGGAGGAGCATGTTAAAATAAACCTTGTTGCTGGCAGTCTCAATCCCTGCTTTTAAAAAAATGATAGCTGGCCAGGCACAGTGGTAGCCTGTAATCCCAGCACTTTAGGAGGCTGAAGTGGGTGGAGCACGAGGTCAGGAGTTCAAGACCAGCCTGGCCAAGGTGGTGAAATCCCGTCTCTACCGAACATACAAAAATCAGCTGGGCACGGTGACAGGAGCCTGTAATCCTAGCTACTCAGGAAGCGGAGGCAGGAGAATCGCTTGAACCAGGTGGCAGCCTGGGTGACAGAGTGAGACTCCGTCTTTAAAAAAAAAAAAAAAAAAAAAAAAAGCCATTTTTAGGGTGGAGGTCCTAGATGTTGTGTGTCTTATGTCCTCTGCCAAGAACCTTTTAAGGTGTTAACTGGCAACCACATACTTAGGCTTATGTCGTAGCCAGACTTGTATTAGAGTAAGTGGGTTTTACTAGCTTGTCTTTTTTTGAAAGAGAAGGGAATCTTTCAATAGTAGAGTGTCTACATTAGACTACCAGAATCTCCATTTCTGCCTGGATCCTTGTCTCCATCCCTTCCTTCTGTTGATTTTATTTTGTTGTTGTGTTTTTTTTGTTTTTTTTTAAAAAGACAGTGTCTTCACTCTTTCACCCAGGCTGGAGTGCAGAGGCACGATCATAGCTCACTGTAACCTTGAACTCCTGGTTCAAGTGATCCTCCAGAGTAGCTAGGACTACAAGCACATGCCACCATACCCAGCTAATTAAAAAAATTTTTTTCGTGGAGACAGGGTCTCACTATGTTGCCTAGGCTGGTCTCGAACTCTTGGCTTCAAGAGATCCTCTCACCTTGGCCTCCCAAAGTTTCTGGGATTACAGGTGTCAACCACCATGCCAGCTGATTTTGATTTTTAAAGTCCTTTTGTTATCTTGTTAGTAAACACAACTGAGAAAGCAGTAGAAGGGGATTCTGATTACACTAACAATGGTAAGCAGTGTTTCTTTGGATGCACCTTACACATTTTGGGACATATCCTTCTAGTTTTGGATACATGTGCACTCCGGCAGTTGTTGCTGTTGGGGAAGTTTCAGGGTCAGAATCATGTGACAACCTGCTTCCCTTGTATTTTGTGCCCAGGGCTAGATAGTTCAGCAAGAAATCTTGGAGCAATGCGTCTAAGTTGGGCATTAGGTTATGGAAGGTCTTCCATAGAAGTTTGGACAGATGAACGTTTATACTATTAAGATGTTTTATTTCTCCTATTATAGACATCAAAACAAAAATAACAGACTCTATCTTGAAGTTTTTGTGTTTGTTCGTTTGTTTTTGAGACAAGGTCTCACTGTGTTGCCCAGGTTGGAGTGCAGTGGCGTAACCTCCCAGGCTCCATTGATCTCCCTCCTTAGCCTCCCAGATAGCTGGGACTACAGGTGCGTACCACCATGCCTGGCTAATTTTTTGTGGAGACGGGGTTTCATCATGTTGCGCTAGGCTGGTCTTGAACTCCTGGGCTCAAGCTGTCCTCCCACCTCAGCCTCCCTAATCGTTGGGATTACAGGCATAAGCCACCATGCCCAGACCATCTTGAAGTATTGATTAAAGCACAGGCTGAAATGTTTATGGCAACCTCCCCGCCGCCCCTTTTAAAACTCTTCTTCTGCTAGTGGCTTCATTGTGTTCATGTTTTCCCTTTCCCCTCTGTGTAGCATGCTTCATCTTTTATTCTGAAATACATAGCCAAGTTTGGGGTTGTCCTTCCTTTCTCCTCTCTACATTTCTGAGTAGCTTTTGATGTAGATGTTATTTCCTCTTACCTACATAGATGGCCCAAGGGGCTATACAAAGAAAGCTGTTTGCACAGGATAGAATTAAGAGGTAAGATACCCGTTCATACTTACTTGAAGAATCGTTCAATTTTAGTGGACTCTCTGACCCAGTTGTCTAAATTTAAGGGGTTAGTTTGCATGTTTGTTGGCTATATGCTAGCACTTAAGGTTGATGAAGCTTGGAAACCATCATCTGAGAACCCTCTTAATAGGTTCTGGGCTGGAGGGGCAGTGACAAGTGATATGGCAAGGAAAAAAAAAAACACATTGAATATGTGATGTTGTTAATGCAAAGAAAATTCATAAAAATTTGGCCCAAAGAGAACAAGATCATTTCTTACTCTGTACGGTTTATAGCAGCATGTCAGCATTCCGTCTGCAGTTGAGATGTTGATTCCTCCTTGTATTGCACATTGCTGAAAGGGGCTTCCTGAGGCTGGAGAGAGCAGTGAGGTAAGACTGTCCTCCTTGAGAGCTCGTCTTGATGCTTGTTGCGTTTGTCTGTGTATGTCTGCAGTGTCTGTTCTGCTCTTTGTAATTTAAGAAGAGGGCATTCTTTGAAAAGAATTTGGGAATACAGGACTATATAATCATTGTATTCTAAGATTGATCTACTGTTGAGCTTTGCTTAAAGCACTCCCAGCAACTCTTGTTACATGTTCAGCTTAGGCAGAGCCCACCAGCCATTTGTGGGCCAGGTAGAACAACCAAGGTCAAATTGCTTCTCCTGTTATTCATTAAATATATGTTGTATGACACTGTGTTGCCCAGCCCACAGCAAGCTTTTTAGCCCTACTCATGAAGACATGTATTGACTCCCTAAAAGCTGCTAGTTTCCCTTAGTTTTCAAACATTTTTCTTGATAATTCTCTTTAAAGTTCTCTTTCCTCTCAGAAACCTTCTTGGTTGTGAGCAACAGCTTGGTTATCACTTCCTTTCTCAAGATCTTCATCTCTTGCTTTATTGAAGGTCCCTACTGTATGGATGACAGCCCCAGTTCTCTTTTTTATTGTCTTGGGTAGAAGAAGCTTCAATGCTGATTCTTATTTGGTCTTGTAAAATGCCATAATTCATTGTTTGTTGTTGTTGTTGAATTTTCTAATGGCTGAGGAGGTATTTTATCTAACTAGATCTTCCTGTTAAACTAATCAGACCTCCTGTTTGTTACCTTTTTAAACAGTCCTTAAATGTTAAGGGTTAAAACACTGTATTTCACCCTCCTCTACCCACCTCAGGCTTACTCTAGATTAAAATGAGGATAGAAAGCAGAGGTTTATTTGAAGTCTTATATTCTAACTAGTGACAAGGAAGCAGAGACTGATGACTTGCCACACAGATTACACATGAAGTCCTATATCTTTTAAATGTGTCTCTAATTGGTTATTGGTTTCTCATTTCATTCATGTCCAATGGGAGACAGACAAGTCAACAGGTAGTTATCCTAAGGTATGATTTGAGAAGGTCTTTGAGAGGAAACATGAGATGGTGTGGTAGCATTCTGTGGGGACACTGAACTTGAACTTAGGGCTGAGGTTGGCTAGCAGAAGCTTCCACAAGGAAGTAGTTTCTCATCTGAACGATGGGTAGGAGTTGGAAGGAGGGGAGAAGAGTATTTTATGTAGGTGAGAGAGAGCACGGCATGTCTGAAGAACAAAAATGTATGTGGGTGGGTCAGCATGGAAGATGGCAGAGTGACCATAGGTTCATTAAAGCAGTAGGAATGACCAGGTTCCATAGGGAGAATGTGTAGAAGAAGGAGAAAAGAAAGCCTTTGTTTAGCGGAAGAGGTTATGTGGATCTTTCAATGTAGGGCACTTTTTATCTAAGAAGTATGGTGGGATGATATTTGTTTCGTGCAGTCAGGTTGAGTAGCTTTTTTGTAGGTTCACCTGGAAACCTTTGCCTTTTCATTTAGGGACTAAAATGTGCCTTGAGATGCCACCAGCAATGCCAGGAACATATTTCATCCCTTCCAAACTGGCAAGGGTTGGAGTAAAAAGTTTCCTCACTACTTCCAGTAATAGTTATACGCTACAGGGTTGCTTTTCCTAAGGTTATGTTTGAGTAACGTAATTTTTGTTCAGTTAATGCTAGAAATAAAAAATCATAACTTTAATCTCAAAAGAAGTAGAATCTTGTTTTTGTTTGTTTGTTTGTTTTTTGAGACGGAGTCTCGCTTTGTCACCCAGGCTGGAGTGCAATGGCACAATCTCGGTTCACTGCAACCTCTGCCTCCCGGGTTCAAGGGATTCTCCTGTCTCAGCCTCCCGAGTAGCTGGGATTACAGGCACATGCCACCACGCCTGGCTAATTTTTGTAATTTTGTAATTTTAGTAGAGACAGGATTTCACCATATTGGTCAGGCTGAAACCAAAGGTTTCAGCTTTGAGGCTAAAGGTCTCAAACTCCTGATCTCAGGCTGTCCACCCGCCTCAGCCTCCCAAAGTGCTAGGATTACAGGCATGAGCCACCGCGCCTGGCAGAATCTTGTTTTAAAATGAGCAAGCTTTATACTTTCCTCAAGCTCAGTGTTAAGGTTGTGAGTGTGTCTATGTGTACTCATCTCTATTACATTTTAAATGATTGGTACCCTAAACTTGCTATTTGGACTGTATTTTTCTAAAATGATACTGTGATTTTAAAATGGTCTGTCTAGTATAACTTAAAGGGCTTAGTAAATAACTGCTCCTAAACTGCTCCCCTTCTGATTAATGAGGCATAAACCTCTATTTCCTGCAATAACAAGAAAGACAAATTGATTTTTTGGGTAGTTTGACAAAGACAGAATTAACAGATTCATGGTGTGGGTTGCATTGCATCTTAAAGTGAATTTTGCTGTGTGACTGTAATTCTTTCAAAAGTCAAATTCAAGGATTTGGTTTTACATAACTTGAACAGTAAATCTTTTTACTCAAATTGAGAAAATTCCTGGGCATTTCAGGTTGTAGGGGATTGGGCTTTCATGAAGTCTACATGCTCAACCTTTGGGTTTCAGATTCTAAGTGTTTTCTAGAACAAATGATCTATTAGAAACACCAGAAAAATGTGGCTAGGAACAATGGCAAACTTTACAGGGTTTATTTAGAGAAATTTTCTTGACGTGAGTGCTTGAGTATCTTAAGGAATATGCTGAGACTTTCCTGATTAAAGCATTAATTATGAAGTCAGTTTGATTGTGATTCAGTTTTAGCTACCTTTGTCTTAGATCCTGGTATTTTGAGCTTTAAGATTGCCAGTAAATAATTGCACGTCTCAAGCTGACTAGTGTCAACAAGAAAGAGTCAAACTCTGTAGAATGTTTGAAGAAATAAATATTCTAGGGCCCAATATGAGTGGCCAAGGCCCAAGGCACAGTCTCAAGAACATATTCCCAAGGTGGTTGGGTCATACCTTGATTTTATACATTTTAGGGGGACAGAATTTATAGGTAGACATCAATCAACACATGTAAGGTGTACATTGGTTTGGTCCTGAAAGCCTGGACAGTTTGAAAGGGTTGGTGGGGGGCTTCCAGGTCATAGGTGGATTCAAAGATTTCCTGATGGCAGTTAGTTGAAAGGATTAAGCTCTCCCTGAAGAGCTAAAGTTGGCAGAAAGAAATGTTTGTAGTTAAGATAAATGGAGGCGGGAAGCCAAGGTTCTTGTTATGTAGATGAAGCCTCCAGGTAGTAGGCTTCAGATATTAGATGGCAAATCAGATCCTAAAAGGTGCCAGATTCTTAGTTAAATTTCTCCTAAATCAGGAAAAAACCTAGAAAGGGAAGGAGATTCTCTACAGAATGTAGATTTTCCCCAAAAGTGACCAATTTGCAGGGCCATTTCAAAATATTAATATTTCAGATAAATACATTTTGGGGTAAAATAGTTGGATTTCTTTCAGGGCCTGCTATCTGTCATGTGATGTTATACTAGAGTCCATTTGGAATTTGGTATCTTATTGCTACAAATAATCTGCTTTGTCAGTCTTAAGTCTGTTTTAATGTTAGTGCTGGACAGTTGTGCCTGAATTCCAAAGGGAGGAGAGTATAATGAGGCACATCCAACTCCCTCCTTCCCATGATGGCCTAAACTAGTTTTTCAAGTTTACTTTGGAATGCCCTGGCTGAGAAGGGGGTCCATTCAGTTGGTTGGTTGACATTCATGACCCTGAATAAATCAGTTTATTCCTGCAGGTAGAAATCTTCCTATTTGAATGAGTTTTTGTTGAGACCTCTCCTCCCCATCAGTATTAATGGAATATTTAATTTGATTGGCAGTACAAGAGTGCTAGGGGGAAAGGCTTAAGGAATGAGACCATAACCAGATTTGATAGTGATCATATCAATTTTACTTATATTTCAACTCTTACTATTCCCTGTTGTCTCCTTTCTGCCCTTTGCTAAATAACCTATATCCCTCAATATTTCTAACAGTCCATAGAGAGATAGGTGGCATTTTCCACAATTGACAGGTAAGGGATAAGAGATAAAGTGAATAACAAATGTACATTAAAGGCACTTAGTAAACAGATCTCCCCATTCCTAACCATTCATCTGCTCTACTGGCTTGTGTACTAAGAGCATACCCATACCAAAATGTCTTGAGGGCATCCAAAGGGAGAACAATGGGCTAAATTCCTTTGTTCATTTGTATCTCTCCTATTATTTGCTGACATGTTTTTCAGAAAGAACCGTATTTGTTTTGCGAAAACAAGCTTTTAATATACTTTATATATACTTTATAGTTTAACCTACATGATGTAGGCATTTCCAGGGACACAACAATCTCCACCTGGGATTTAAAAAAAGACTTTTGTTCCTTTTCTTTCAACTGCTATTTTATTCCATTTGATTCTGCTTAGAATGTTACCCTGGCAAATCTCGACTCAGCACCTTGACCTCTGAAGACATGCTGTTTTACATACCACTTCAAGAGTGACTAGCGGGTTCTTTTCTGTGCAATATAACTGCATTAAAGCTTAGTCTAGGATTTTTTTAAAGTGACCAAAGTAATCCTACAAAGCATTATGATTTGAGCTGCATAATAAACATTATTAGCTCTGACCTATCAGGTACATCTTAGTTTTTAAATTTGTTGTTTCACATTGTTTCAGTGCCAGGTCCCATTTTTCACATCTTGACATTCTTCAGATCTCAGAGTTCATCAAAATCAGGTGTACCCTGTTCTTGCTGCAGTTCAAGGAGAGCTGCTTCATTAATAAAATTGGTGTATGCTGAACCTTGAGTTAAAATATAAATTTAATTTTTAAAAGCCAAACTTTAAGCAAAGCTCTTTGTCTCTTGGCTTCTCTTATTTTGGCAAAACTCCCTCAATTCCAGTCATCAGATAATGTGGAGCCCAAGAATTGTAAGGTTGGGTTTTTATGAATAAAGCCACATAACACCCCTCTGCTCCCCAGTATTTTCCAACTTTGAGTTTAAGAAGTTGTACTGCTTTTTCAGTGTTGACATGAGCACAAATGGCTATAGGCTATCATTAGGTTTCTTTGTAAATGAATAAAATGCTCATCTCTTTTCCTTTTATCCAGGCTGGACGTAAAGAAAGAAGTGATGCACTCAATTCTGCAATAGATAAAATGACCAAGAAGACCAGGGACTTGCGTAGACAGGTAATCTGGATGAAAGTGCTGATTGTTTTTCTAAGTTCTCAATTTTGTAGTTTTGATTAAAATCCTAATAAGCACTGGCCTTATATTTTTTTATTGAGAGAAAGGATGGATTTTCACAAGAAAGTGCCTATCTTTGTTTTGTTGCTAATATGCTTCTTAATGGCTAATCAAATTTCATGAAGACATGGGATAATACAGTCTCACTGTGTTGGACTGAATAAGTTAGCTCTAGTGTGAAAGGCATGTACAGGTAGGAAAATAAATTTAAAATGACTTGGAGACCTGTGAAAATAATCCTGAAGGATCTTGTTGTATTGACTATGTACAATAGAGACAGAAATTTCAGTTGTTTATCTGACTTGCCCTATACTCATTACACACTTGCAGTTCCCTTAGATCCATGGTGAAATGTTTCCAGTTCCAAATATGGTAGGTATAGAGATATTTGAGGTGCTGAATTTTCTGAGTTAGTAAATACAGAGTAGAGAAATCGAACCTTTTAATGATAAATGACCCCATTAACATTTGGAGTCAAATTGAGTTTTAGTCTTTAAAGAAGTTAGAGTTGATTTTATAAAGCAATGTATTAAGACTTAAGAAGTTGTAATACAGACAATTTTTAAGAGGTAATGGACAGATATTTTATTGCTTATGTCTGATATAAAACAAAATTAAAGATAAAATATATCTTTATTCAATTTCCTTTTGGTGAAGCAGTATCAGAAATGGTTATAAAGAGAACCTTAAGTTTTAAGGTTCATAGTGTGTGAATCCTTTCAGATAAGCCAGATAACTCTTTTTTCTCTCTTCTCTTTTTATTTAGCCAATTAGGCTAATTATATATATATTCCAAGGCTATGTGCCAGTTCAACCCAGAGCTGCTTTCAGTTCAGCTTTTGTATTATTTAAGTTGTAAGCCCTAGTTTTGTAATTCCCAAGAAAAAAGGATATTGTCTTAAGAACTGAGATTCTGTTGCTGAAATGCTGTAACTGTAGTAATGTAAACCATTGTCTCCATGATCATGTTTCCTGTGTTGTAGATTATGTAACTGCATGGCTTACATGAGGGGTCCTCATGTAAGTGCAGCAAGTCTACCGTAAGCTTCATTAGATTTAAGTGTACAAGAGAATAAAAAGCAATCTATTTAATACCTTTTTGGTAGAAATAAAATCAAATTTTTACAATTTAATCATTAGCTCCGCAAAGCTGTCATGGACCACGTTTCAGATTCTTTCCTGGAAACCAATGTTCCACTTTTGGTATTGATTGAAGCTGCAAAGAATGGAAATGAGAAAGAAGTTAAGGAGTATGCCCAAGTTTTCCGTGAACATGCCAACAAATTGATTGAGGTAAGTGAATTAGCAGTTTCATTGACTTGTAGGCAACTTGGTGAAGTGTGGTGAGTTTTAATCACATTATTTAATCAGTTAAAATTTGTAAGGGCTCGCTTAACATACAACATGTCTGAGATGATAGTCTTTCATTATCACTTAACATCTAAGGAAAACTACCATTTTGGTCACTTTACATTAACTATGTACGTTATTAAATACTAACAGTTCCTATCCTAGAAGCCTAACATCTCCACTTAATGCAAATAAAGATAAATCATGACATGACTAGACTCAAAAGATAGGATAGAAAGCAACAATGCCTAAGAACCAGAGCTCAGGAACCACACTGCCTGCGCTTGCATCCTGACAAGCTAACCTAACCTTCCTCAATTGCCATTTCTTGTCTGTAAAATTAGGACACTGATAATATCTATCTTGGGATTATTTTGAGGACCTAAAAAGATGATGTATGTCAAATGCTTAGCTTTATGCCTGAGACATAGACTCAGACCAGTCTTGTTTTAAAAGCAGAGAAACTGAGCCCTGACATGGGGCTAATTAGTTACATTTGCTTGGTAGAAATCTGTATGTTAGTAGTTGGTTTGTAGGGTGGCAAGAAGAAAGAGTGAATCGTGACTTATTTCGCAGGTAAGTTAGGCTTACTTCTCCTTTTGCTAACTGAAATTATGTTACTTAATTTATTCATTATTGCTGTATTTTGGAAATGGGACACAAAATAAGCATATATTCAAGTTATTTGATTTTGTAATCTTAATGCAGAACATCTAATACTTGGTAAAGATATTCCATATACCATATGGTAAGCTGGTCATTGTGTAAAAACAGAAAACGGGACCTTATGTAAAATGTGTGTCTCGTACTTTTGAATTTATAGTGATATTAGGCCACGTTTTGTTTTGTTTTTATTTGTTTGTTTTGAAACTGAGTCTTGCTGTGTAGCCCAGGCTGAAGTGCAGTGGGACAATCTCAGCTGACTGCAATCTCTGCCTCCTGGGTTCAAGCAATTCTCCTGCCTCAGCCTCCTGAGTAGCTGGAATTACAGGCACCCGCCACCATGCCTGGCTAATTTTTTTGTATTTTTTTTTTTTTAGTAGAGACGGGGCTGGTCTCAAAACTCCTGACCTCAAGTGATCTACCCGCCTTGGCCTCCCAAAGTGCTAGGATTATAGGCGTGAGCCACTGCGCCTGGCTAGGCCACGTTAATACCATAAAAATTTTCCGAGGAAGACACCAGTAGTCACATCGTGCATTACTAATTTTACATCATTTTCTTTGAACATTAAGTGTTATTCTGACCTGAATTCATTATTTACAGAATACATAGGTCAGTCTGCTATTTAAGTTAATGATTCTGGCATTTGAAACTAAAATTAGAAGACTTTGATTTTGTATCTCCATTAAGCATAATCTTGTTCACAATAGTCACATGACAGCATGAGGTATAACTTCCAGATACACACAGATTGCGCTCAGGAAGCCAGTCTCTTGTAAGTAGCATACATATTAGAAAGTTCTTCCGCATGGTAGGAAGCAAGGATGCTGCCAGCCCAAGGCCTTGGGTACCAGTGTGGTGAAGGGCTGAGTGTGGCAGCTGAAGAGAGGGCAGTCCTTGTCTGTATTGGAGCATCCTTTATTAGGGCCAGCTGCATTATCCTCTGCCTCTCCAGCCTAAGAGAGCTGACATTTGCTGAGCACCTACTGTGTATCAGCTATGTGCAAGTACAGTGTACTTCCCACAACATTTCTCAGGTAAGGAAACAGGTTTACAGAGGTTAAGTAAGTTGCCTAAGTTCACCTGGCTTACATCCCTCCAATAATGAGCACTGTGCACTCAAGCTCACTGGCTTAGTGGACAGCCTAATACCCCACTGAAGCATTGAGTGGGCGAGGAAGTATTGGAGACCTTGCTCCAGGAGCTTTTTCCAAGCTTATATATTTTATTGTATTTCATTTAATTCTGAACACTACTAACCAAAGGCCCCCCCACCCCCACCCCCCAGAATTGAGAGTTTGGTGTTCCCCATCACAGCTCAGTTCTGACCCCTTTCTAACCTCTCTTCTCTCCACACCCCCACACGTTAACTATGCATTAAATGACACATGGCTTTTCATTGCTTGAGGCATAACCATAGGCTTTGTAGTCCCATTCTGCAAACAGTTAAATTACATTTACGGTAATAGAGACACTAGGATGTATAATTGCATATGTCCATGAAAAGGAAATAAATTTTTAAAGTGTTGTAGAAGCCTCAAATTCCTGACTTATGGCAGAATTTTATTCTTCAGTGACAAGGCTTCTCCTCCCCTACCACTTTTGTATTATAATGAAACACTTTGAACTAGTCAGTGACTTGTTTTAAGCAAAGGTAAAATATTTCATTGTGAGTGTTAATTTCTTGACTGCTTCATTTCTTCTTGTTCTAACTGGATTAAATGTCTACAGGCCAACTTTGGTTTTAAGGGCCATTTGCCATTTTCCCTGGGGTGTAAGGGAAGTGAGAGTGCTATATGAAAGTTGGGCAGGGTTGATGGTGATAAGCCTCTGGCAAGAGAGGAGAGGTTCAGACATTGCAGCCACTGAGAAGTCTGCCAGATGTGTTTGGGTTGAGTGCTCCTCCTAAAATACTGCAATACAGTTCTGATGCTAATCACCAGAAGTTAGTGCAGACCCCACAGGTTTAGGGCATGGTCCCCAATAAGATTTGCCTTCACTTCACATGTCAGCTGCAAGTTCTGGGGTCCCCAGGCCACCTGTACTTCTGACCAGCCAGGTACAAATCTGAGGGGTTCCTATGACCCACCTCAGGTTTCAGTAATCCACTAGAACAACTCATAGAATATTTTATTATAAAGGATACTAATCAGGACCAGCCAAATGAGGAGACACATAGGATGGAGTCTGGGAAGGTCTCAAATACAGAGATTCTATGCCTCTTCCAATGAAATCAAGGTTCATCATCCTCTTGTCACATTGATGTTTCACCAACCAGAAGCTCCACTGAGTTTCAGTGTTCAGAGTTTTTATTGGGGTTTCATTATGGAGGCATGATGATCCAATAATGATATAGTTGAACTCAATCTCCAGTCCCCTTCCCTGAAAGCCCCAGTCCTCTAATCACATGGTTGGCCCCATATCCTGAGGAATCTCCTTAGCATAAACTATCAGGGCTTGCCATGCATGAATAACATTCTTCCATTACTACTGAAATTCCAAAGATTCAGAGGTTTCCTCACAGGAATCCAGGACAAAGACCAGACCAGACAAATTATATAATACCTCCCCATCTTAAAGGTATGTGGAATGCATGATTTTTAGGTAGCTTGACTACACAGGCCAGCTTAGCATGCTGCAGAGTCATAAACACCACCTGGAAGAGGTAAGGCAGGGCAAGTTTGTTTCTGCAGCTTTTTGTCGATCCTTTTTATGGTTGTTACCCAGTGATTTACCACTTGTCTTATTGGGTGCTATTTGCTTTGAGCTTTCCTTTTCCCTGGAGATGCTCTTTTCTGAGTCAAGTTTTTTCTTCTCCGCAGGGAATCTGATCCCATCTCTTCACACCAGAGTGAGTGGTCCTTTCTCATAGAATCATAGGTTCTTAGTCTGGTGTGTAAATCCCTTTCACTTGTAATCTTTATTGTCATGTCTGTATTGGATCCTTCAGCAGTGGGAAACTCTCCCTCCAGAGACAGCATATTTAACTGGTATGGTAGATTCTCTGGCTGTTAGAGGAGGGGAGTTACAACCTCCTTTTTTTTTTGGAACCTCTCCTGTCCATGTGCTTGCTGATTACACACATGTGAATTAGAAGTACTTTAAACATAAGATTAATGGCCGGGCACTGTGGCCCATGCCTGTAATCCTAACATTTTTGGAGGCGGAGGTGGGCAGATCACTTGAGGTCAGGAGTTCGAGACCAGCCTGGCTACATGGTGAAACCCCATCTCTACCAAAAATACAAAAATTAGCCGGGCATGGTGGCGGGTGCCTGTAATCCCAGCTACTTGCGAGGCAAGGTAGGAGAATTGCTTGAACCCAGGAGGTGGAGGTTGCAGTCAACCGAGGTTGTGCCACTGCACTCCAGCTTGGGTGACAGAGCGAGACGCCGTCTCAAAAAATAAATAAAATAACAACAACCACAAAAACAAAAAACCATAAGATACATATGTGAAAGGAAAATAAATCTTGGGACCCCCAAATCAGTAAGCTAAAGGGAAAAATCAATCTGGGAACTGCTTAAGGCAAACCTGCCTCCCATTCTTTGCAAAGTCATTTCTCTGCTGTGGGGATAAATGCATATGTGATTGATTGCTTCCTTTGGAAAGGGAATCAGAAACTCAAAAGAATGCAACTGTTTGTCTCTTATCTACCTATGACCTGGAAGCCCCTTCCCTCCTTCGAGTTGTCCAGCCTTTTAGACAGAACCAGTGTACATCTTACATATATGGATTGATGTCTCATGATTCCCTAAAATGTATAAAACCAAGCTGTGCCCCAAGCACCTTGGGCACAGGACTTCCTGAGGCTGTGTTACAGGCGTGTCCTTAACCTTGGCAAAGTAAATTTTCTAAATTGACTGAGACCTATCTCAGATATTTTGGGTTAACACATACTTACATATTTTCAGGATGTGATATAGAAAAAGAATATAAAATATGGAAAAAGAATATAAAATAGCTTAGTTTTTTTTTTTTTTTTTTTTTTTTTTTTTGAGACAGAGTCTTGCTCTGTCGCCCAGGCTGGAGTGCAGTGACATGATCTTGGCTCACTGCAACCTCTGCCTCCCAGTTTCAAGCGATTCTCTGCCTCAGCCTCTCAAGTTGCTAGGATTACAGGTGCCTGCTGTCACGCCTGGCCATTTTTGTATTTTTAGAAGAGATGGAGTTTCAGCATGTTGGCCAGGCTAGTCTCGAACTCCCAATCTTGATCAAGTGATTCGCCCGCCTCGGCCTCCCAGAGTGCTGGGATTACAGGTGTGAGCCACTGTGCCCGGCCCAGTAATAATTTTTTATATTGCTTGTATGTTGAAATAATTTTTGGTACCTTTTTGCCTTTTTAATGTGCCTACTAAAAAAATTTAAAAATTCAGGCTGAGTGCGGTGGATCATGCCTGTAATCCCAGCACTTTGGGAGGCTGAGGCAGGCAGATCCCCTGAGGTCAGGAGTTCGAGACCAGCCTGGCCAACATGGTGAAACTCTGTCTCTACTAAGAATACAAAAATAGCCAGGTGAGGTGGCAGGTGCCTGTAATCCCAGCTACTCGGGAGGCTGAGGCAGGAGAATCACTTGAACCCGGGAGGCGGAGGTTGCAGTAAGCAGAGATCGCGCCGCTGCTCTCTAGTCTGAGCAATAGAGATAGACTCCGTCTCAAAATAAATAAATAAATAAATAAAAATAAATTAAAAATTCTTCAGTGGCTCTTGTACTTTTGTTGATCTAGATGATTTCCCTGAGCCTTTTAGAGGGTCATTTTTGTCCCAGCTCTCCTCTGAATGCCCTTCACTCAAGGCCAGCCCTCACGGAACACCTGTTCCGGGGTCTGGGGATGAGGGTAGAGCAGTGGAGGCTGTCATCATTCCGGAAGGAGACTGCCCAGTGTATCCCAGGATGCCTTCAGCCTTTTGGGCAGCAGCCTCACTTTGTGATGCCCATTGAGCTCACAGTTGGTCAGCATCCCTAGGCTTTCCATACATAGGTGCTGCTGCTCAGTGTCATCATGTTCGTTCCTATCAGCGTGGATGTGGGTGGGTGTTTGGCTCTTATGTATGGCTTTGAAACTCATCTAGTATAACCTTATATTCCATCTCATGTTCTGTCCTATCAGGATTCCTGCTGCATTTTTCCACATATTATTGGCTGCCCCCTTCCATTTGTGTCCTTTCTTTAAAATAAAATATCTTTTCTCCTTTTATCCAACCTGATGTTTTATTTTTATTTTATTTATTTATTATTTTTTCTTATTTAATTATTTTTTAAAATTTATTTGTTTATTTTTGAGATGGAGTCTCTCTCTGTCACCCAGGCTGGAGTGCAGTGGCGCAATCTCGGCTCACTGCAACCTCCACCTCCCAGATTCAAGTGATTCTCCTGCCTCAGCCTCCTGATTAGCTGGGATTACAGACACGTGCCACCACGCCCACGTAATTTTTGTATTTTTAGTAGAGATGGGGTTTCACCATGTTGGTCAGGCTGGTCTCGAACTCCTGACCTTGTGATCTTCCCACCTCGGCCTCCCAAACTGCTGAGATTACAGGCGTGAGCCACCGCGCCTGGCCTATTTATTTTTTTTGAGACAGAGTCTTGTTCTGTCACTTAGGCTGGAGTGCAGTGGCATGATCTCTGCTCACTGCAGGCTTCGCCTCCCGGTTCAAGCAATTCTCCCTGCCTCAGCCTCCCAAGTAGCTGGGATTACAGGCACCCACCACCCTGCCTGGCTAATTTTTGTAGTTTTTAGTAGAGATGGGGTTTTGCCATGTTGGCCAGGCTGGTCTCGAACTCCTGACCTCAGGTGATCCACCCGCCTCAGCCTCCCAAAGTGCTAGGATTACAGGTGTGAGCCACCATGCCTGGCCTCTGATGTTTAAAAAATGTTGCCTAAGATTAGGCATAATATAGAGCCTTTACTTTTCTTTCTCTTTTTTTTTTTTTTTTTTGAGACAAGGACTCACTTTGTCACCTAGGCTGGTGTGCAGTGACACAATCATGGCTCACTGAAGCCTTGACCTCCCAGGCTCAGATGATCCTCCCATCTCAGCCTCCTGAGTAGCTGGGGCCACAGGTGCACCACCATGCCTCACTAATTTTTTTCATTTTTTGCAGAGATGGGGTTTTGCCATGTTGTGCAGGCTGTTCTCAAACTCAAGTGATCCTTCCACCTTGGCCTCCCAAAGTGCTGGGATTACAAGTGTGAGCCACTGCGCCTGGTCTACTTGGTTTCTGTGGCCACCTCCCTAGTCTGCACTGCCATCTCTCACTGGGCTTCTGTAGCAGCCTCCTGATTATGATTATGATTATGATTATGATTATGATTATGATTTTCTAGCACTAACCCTGTCCCTCCCCTGACCCACCCATCCTGTGGCTTCTAGGTAAGCCTGGAATAATATTCAAAAATCCAGATTCTCAACCATGGCCCCTAAGTTTCCCTGCCTACAACTGCCTTTCGTCCTGTGTCTCCCTTGCTGAATGACTTCTGCCATAGTTGACTAGTTTTCATCTTTGACCATACCTAAACATGTCACCACCTGTGCCCTCTACCCACATGTCACTTCTGTAGAGAAACTTTCCTGGAACGCTTATCCCCTCCATTGCATCCTCTAGCAGTCATTTTTTCATTCACCAGTTTTACATCCTTTGTAGTGCTTCTTACTATCTGAAACTATTGAATTTATTTTCTTATTTGTCTGGCCCCCACCCCATACTCCAAAAGAATATAAGTTATCTGAGGACATGGGCCAAGAATAGTACCTAGAATATAGTAGGTGCTCAGCAACTACTAGATGAGGGAACCTATTGGTTCTCAAAGTTAATAAACATTAGAGTTGCCCAGGTGCTCAACATTCAGATTCCTGGGCTACCACCCAGCCCCCTCCCCAAGATTCTGATTTAGTGGGCTGAAGACTATACTTTAGAAATGCAGAGCTCTACATTATGACTGATCGTCCTTGTTAGTGGACTTTGTCTTATTCTGAAGTATGTGTAACATTTGCACAAAAGAGCGTTGTAATGCATCTTGCATATATACCCAGTGTGCACAAGGGGAATGAACTGGGAAAACTTGTGGGATGTGGAGATGGTGGGAAAAATTTGGAGATTTTTTTTGAAAAGGTTAACTGACATTGATTTGAGCAGTTTTTTGGGGGGGGGGATGGGAGTGGCTAGAATGAAGCTTTCAAAAACCTGTAGCAAACTTCCTGTATTTGAGGGAGAAGAAAATTGTAACAAAATTCTTAAAATAAGTATTTATAGATTTCTTAGTATGTCCTGGTCACAGTTCTGGACATTAGGAATATAGTAGTGAATACAACAATAATCTCTACTCACATAAAGATTATCTTGTACTAAATACGTATTTTATATAATGTATATATTTTTTACAATGTAGTAGAAATTGTACTGAGGTGATACGTGCAAGTTGTCCATTTTATCAGAGTTTGAAATGAAAGTTGAACAAAAGCTGTTATTTCAGTAGCATTTTAATACATGACCAAAACAAATTTGGGGCAGATGTGTTGATTCTTGCTAACTTGGTTTTTGGAAATCTTATCTGTTGCTTTGATAGAAATACTTTTCTCCCAGACCAAATAAAACAGTATAAAAAGGTTATGCTTTAATCTGGAGTTTCACATAAAGTTGCTTCAAATATGTGAATAGTTCCTGAGTAGTATTAGGGCTAACACCCACTCAGAAGTGGAAGTGTTTTATGATGCCTTGTGTGTATATCACACTATGGAAATAAGATTCATTTCAAGAATAAAAACCACATATTGACTATTGAGGTTTTATCGACAGAAGTAAATTCCTCTAGTCCCCCTGTGTGTACACAGTGTCAGGGAGTCTGTGTGGTGCAGGCTGCCTATTGGATCTTTATTATTTTTTGAGATGTGGTTCTTGCTTTTTTGCCCACACTGGTCTCAAACTCCTGGCCTCAAGATATCCTCCCTCCTCAGCCTCCCAGGTAGCTAGGACTACAGGTGCACATCACTGTGCCCAGTTCTGGGTCCTTATTTTAATAAGAATCTTTTGTGATTTTACTTAAAAGCAAATAGCAGAATATTCGCCATGAGATCTCTCTTAACTGTTATTTTCTGAGGGTCTGGCTGGGACCTGTGACCGCCTCATACTGCACTTCTCAGTGGAATCTGGTAACTCCCTGCATGGTATTGAAGCCACTTCTCTTGTGTGAAGGGTGCATAGATGTTGTTTATCCTCAAGGCCAGTGAGTAAGGGGAGCAGGAGCCAGAGGGCTGGTATTGGTGGGCTGGATGGCTCTTCCCTTTACCATTTTCTTCTGTTCTGGAGTGTAGCATAGCACTGAGGGCATTTCTTTCATCTGTTTATAAAATAACATGGCCTTTCAAGGCCATGGTAAGGATAACACCTTTTATACTCACCCCTTTCTCCCCTATCAAGTTCATGATTTCTTTATGTTGCTCTTCAATTTAAAGTGTACTGAGGTGAAGAATTTATTCGCTATCAGAAATATTAACCTTTTTGTCAATAACGCAGTACCCATGTGTCCTTTTTAATTGCTTCATTCCTTGCCCACCTCCTTTGGCTGTGAGCAGCTTAAACAGCCAAAGAGCATTGTTTTACCTTTTATTTTGCTCTCTTCTGAGTACATTTTCAATTTTGTGAATTGAGAGAGTGGCATAGGGAAAATGCCATTAATGAAATCCTGCCTATAAAAATGATATATTATTCATATGATATATACAGTGATTGTGTTTCATCCTTTCCCCGCTACCACCAGTAACTTCAGTCCAAAATCCTTTCCCCTCAGCTCCAGACCTTGTATTAAAATGTGGCTGTTATTATAATGAATTTGCTACAATAAGATTCTATTCCATGGACTACCTTGTGAATTAAGAACCAAAAAGTGAATGTAACTGGCATGCTTTTGAGCTGTTACCTATACCTCACACCGCACCCCCCCCCCCCCCGCCCCCGCCCAGCACACACAGTATTTCCCATTATCTGGAACTTCATAGGCTATGGCTTTATTGGTTTGAAATGTATATTTTAACTGCAAATTGGATGATCTGCATTATAACTTTTATTCCGTAGTATGCTGATAATATGTGGTAAAGTGGCCTTGAAAAAGGCTCTGTAAGGAGCATTTGAATTAAACACTGACCTGACGTGACTACCTGTGACATCTTGGGTATTTTCTCAGTACTGTAGGCTGATATTCTGGCAAAAAGCAAATTTTAAATGAAGCTTCAGTTTTCTCAGATTATGGAATGTTTTCACGAGAGAAGTTAGCTGTCCTTGGGGAGAATGCTGACCTTGGATTCCAGAATTCTAAGCATACTAGCTTGATTTTTCTCACATATTCAAGGGTTTGTAAGTTCAGACCCTTACTTTTGTTTGAGA
This sequence comes from Homo sapiens, assembly GCF_000001405.40. NCBI lineage: Eukaryota > Metazoa > Chordata > Mammalia > Primates > Hominidae > Homo > Homo sapiens. The sequence continues at coordinate 138,897,742 of NC_000005.10, forward strand.
CAAAATTGTCTTACATGTGTTCTATTTTTAACACTTTGACCAAAAATAAGCTTTTTAGGCAGAATTTAACTACCTCGTCACATTATGGGATGATCAAGCAAAGGCAGTTGGATGAACCTTGTTCTCAAGGGGCATCAGGATTCTTCTTTTCTCTTGGAGCATTGGTAGGCATGACTAAAGAAGCACTCTGCCCAACCTTTGCTCTGTTCCAGAAAAGAGATGCAGTTTGGATACAGCTTTTGATACAGTTTGGGTATTTGTCCCTGCCCAAATCTCATGTTAAATTGTAATCTCCAGGGACCTGGTGGGAGGTGTTGGATCAAGGTGTTTGGATCTGTCATAGCTGGTGCTGTCTTTGTGATAGTGAGTTCTTATGAGATCTGGTCATTTAAAAGTGTGTGGCACCTTCCTCCCCCACCCCCCCCCACCCCTTCTCTTGCTCTTCGTCTTACCGTGTGATATGTCTGCTCCCACCTTTGCCTTGCACCATGATTGGAAATTTCCTGAGGCCTCCTCAGAAGCAGGTGCTACTATGCTTTCTGTACAGCCTGCAGAACTGTGAGCCAATTAAACCTCTTTTCTTATAAATTACCCAATCCCAGATATTTCTTTATAGCAATGCAAGAATGGCCTAATACAGCCTTCTTGTTTCCTCATCAGTAGAGCTGATGGATTAATGTTTAGAGAGTACCTTTGCTAGCTTTACTTATAAATTATTCACACACTTAGGTAGACTAGAAGTAGAGAACTTTAAAAGTGGTTCATATAATACCATGTGAATGGAAATGATTACAAGATCATCTGAGTGGTGATCTGCACCACTGCACTCCAGCCTGTGTGACAGAGTGAGACCCTGTCTTAAAAAAAAAAAAAAAAGTTATCCTAAAGCTTTACTACGACATGTCTAAGTGTGGATTTCTTTTTATTTGCCCCATTTGGAATTTGTCTTCCCAAGTCTGAAAATGATATTTCATCCCTTCTGAAAAACATTCAGCCATTATCTCTTTCAGCATTGTCTTTCCCATCATTCTCTCTGTTCTTTCTTTGAAATTCTTGGTAGTTAAATAGTAGACTTTCTCAGTTTATCTTGCATGTCTCTTAAATTCTTTTGTGGTTTCCACATTTTCCATAAGATGAAAATATCTTGGTTTTTCTAAAGAATTTCCTCATTTTGACTTTCTAGGTTACTAATTCTCTTTTCAGTAGAGTTTAAGTCAATATCACTTTAAATTTCTAGAAGTGGTAGAAATTACTACTTTTTTCTTGAACTTCTATTTTGATCCTTTTCAAATCTGCCTAATTATTTTTGAGTGTCTTTTTCCTTATCTGTACTCTTCTGTTAACATAAATATATTTTTTAAATTGCATTTTCGATCATTTGAGTATTGCGTTATTATGGATCTGATTACACAGGTGGTGGTTTTGCTTATTCTTGCCCAAGACGGCTCATTTCCTTGTATACTTTTGTTTTTGTTTTTGTTTTTTTAATTTGTGAGTTCACATTCCTGGAGTTTTATTGTGGGAATTCTTTGAAGCCTGTGTTTAGCTTACCTTCCATGAGGTAAAATTTTCATTTATATTTGCTTCTGCCACCTGCTTAGAGGTACTACTAATACATAACCTCTTAAATGTAAAAGTTTTCTGAACCATATACATAACATAATTTCTATACCTAAACCTCTGCCAGCTTTTGATTAGAATTTGGAGTGGGGTATAGGGGCTTTTTCTTCTTTTCCTCCCTGAGCGAATGCTTAGACTGAGAAATACCCTCTTTCCATGGTGACTTTCTTGATCACTCTTAGGGTTGGTCACTTACTAGGGTTGTTGCCTTTTGCCTGTTCCAGCTCTGCGCAGTCTCTGATCTGAGTCATCTACCTTGAGAGGACCCTGGCCTTGGCCCATTAAAACCCAAGTTCTCATCATGAAATGGTGCCTCCCTGCAAAACCCCCCACCACCCACCAGAGGAAACACTGTTTTGGCTGATTGCTTACTTCTCTGAAGTTCTCCTTTCTCTTTTCTAGCCTCTGACAATTTCTCTTAATTTTTCACCTGCCTAGCTCTGCATTAAAAATTGAAAAAGCATTATTAAAGCATAATCTGTATACCATAAAATTAACCATTTTAAGTGTACAATTCAGATTTTGGTAAGTTTACAGAACTGTGCACCCATCACCACAATCTAGTTGTAGAATTTTTCTATTATCCATGCATACTTCATTTTTCAGTATTGTAAGATATCTTATTTCTCCTAATAAGATCACCAACACCTTTCCCTGGAAATTGGAAAGGTAGGGGCTTATCATCATTTCCCCTGTGGGTTTGGAAGTAGTTGTTAAAAACTTATTGAGTGCCTCTGAAATGTTATGACCTGCATTTGGGACTTTTACTTTATGTACGACAAGTTTGTAAAAGTTGAGTTTTTGATTTTATTGTTATTTTTGACTTTTAGACATTCAGATCATTTTAAAGAAGAAAACTCGGGTGCTAGCTTGGCCCAGGGGCACAGGGGAAGAGATGAATGTTTTGAACTCTGTTCCTTTGGGCTGCTGCTGCGTTGGTGGGTCATTATTTAGACTTAAAAGCTCCCTGTCCCACATCTCTTCTCACTTGCTTACTCCTACAACAGGTATAAACTGTTATGAGAGTCAGTCATTAATTTATTATCAAGAACAAAAAGAAATCTTATCTTGTCTTCCTACAAACATTCCAGGATAAGAGGAACTCAGCCAAATAGGAAGCCAGGAGCAGTTAAGGAAGTGGGAAACAACTTGTGTTCGACTTCAGTAAATCATAAATCTATGTATAATAGAGAAAAATAGTCATTATGGTTACAGAAGGAGCAGGATTGAAATAAAGTCATAATGGGATTTTTTCCTAAATGAAACTTCATTTAACAAATTTTATGTAAGTAAAGATCATCCATCGTGGAGTAAAGGTAGAGCCTTCCTAAAAGACTGAAAAAGTTGTCTGTCATGTACAGATGTCTAATCTGTTGATCTGACACAGGGGGGCTGTGAGTCATTTCCTCAACAGCTCAGATTTGAGCTTGGGTTTTCCTGAAACCAGCAAAACCCAAGGCCGATTGTTTAAATGTTTTCTGAAACCTGCTCTTCCGCAAGGTCCAAACTTCCACACAGTAGGCACAGATGGTACAAAAGAGGGCTGCCTGATCTCAAACTAGTGGTTGTGGTGTCAGTCTTAGCCTACCTCTTCGAATAGTGGGAATCAGAGACATTTTAGTTGTTAATACAAGTAACTGTGGTAGGAAAGATAATAATTTATTCTCCTAACAAATCCAGAGATACTTCTCACTGTTCTACGAAGTCTTGGCTCTGCTGGGTTCTCTGTGGAAGTTAACTGCTCCAAGTGTTTTTCTTTTCTCTTCTCTTCTCTTCCGCTCCCCTCCCCTCCCCTCTTTTCTCTTTTCTCTTTTTTGAGAGAGTCTCGCTCTGTTGTCCAGGCTGGAGTGCAGTGGCGCCATCTCAGCTCACTTCAACCTCCACCTCCTGAGTTCAAGCAATTCTCATGCCTCAGCCTCCCAAGCAGCTGGGATTACAGGGGCGTGCCACCACGCTGGGCCAATTTTTGTATTTTTAGTAGAGGTGAGGTTTCACTATGTGGCCAGGGGTGGGTCTCCCAACTCCTGGCCTCAAGCAGTCCGCCCACCTCGGCCTCCCAAACTGCTGGTATTACAAGCATGAGCCACCACACCCAGCCTCTTTCTTTTTTTGGGACATGGTCTTGCAGTCATGGCTTGCTGCAGCCTCGACCTTCTGGGCTCAAGCTATTCTCCCAACTCAGCCTTCCAATTAGCTGGGACTATAGGTGCGTGCCACCACACCCAGCCAATGAAAAATTTTTTAATGTATAGAGATGGGGTCTTGCTATGTAGCCCAGGCTGGTCACAAACTCCTAGCCTCAAGTGATCCTCTTGCCTTGGACTGGAAGCCACTGCACCCAGCTCAGAGTGTTTCTCATTCTAACCTCAGGATCTTCTTTAGTCTCATTGTTAATAGTTACGTCATTCTAGAGCCCCAGATTTTCCACAGAAAGAGGCATTTAGGAAGCTCCTCTCCTCGCCCTCTCCTTTCACTGTAGTCAGGCCTGACACTAGTATGTGAGGTTAGCCTCTCAGAGAGCTATGGTCATGATGTTGCATTTGCACATTTGTCATTGTTAGAAGTGAGTAGCCCTGTCCCTGGGGGGTGAATTGAAGCTCATTCATCTGGAGAAGACTGTTAGTGACAGGCACTCCTTCCTCCTCCCAGGCCTCCTGAAATAGGCAGTGTGCTCTTGTAGAACATTACTGCTTCAACAGTACACCAGAAATATTTTAAAGTAATGTTTTAAAATAAAGAACAAGTCTTCCATAACCTTTGTTTTGTTAGTGTTTGTAATCATGAAACAGAAAAGATGGTTTAACAGCCATTTCAGCCTTAGCCACACACTACCCTCATGTGTCTGATGTAGAGAGTACTTACGTAATCTTTTGCTTCTTTTTTAAAAATCTTTTGCTTCTTAATTTAAATATTTTTCTGAGTTTTAAGGATTCATAAGATTGAGAATATAGATTGAAATAAGATTGTGCTAGTAGTGACTGTCCTGGATCCAGCATTCAAGTGGCCTCCTAAATGATTGGAATAGGCAGGGTGCTGGGCACCTCACCAGGGATCTTTGTTTTTTGTTTTTGTTTTTGAGACGGAGTCTCGCTCTGTCGCCCAGGCTGGAGTGCAGTGGCGTGATCTCGGCTCACTGCAAGCTCCGCCTCTCAGGTTCACGCCATTCTCCTGCCTCAGCCTCCCGAGTAGCTGGGACTACAGGCGCCTGCCACCACGCCCGGCTAATTTTTTTGTATTTTAGTAGAGACGGGGTTTCACCGTGTTAGCCAGGATGGTCTCGATCTCCTGACCTCATGATCCGCCCGCCTCGGCCTCCCAAAGTGCTGGGATTACAGGCATGAGCCACCGTGCCCGGTACACCAGCGATCTTTGTTAGTCACAAAATGCTAATTTTTTCAATGATCATCATCAGATTTTATGTTTGTTGTTCAAAATGTCGTCTTAAGGCAGTGAAGCAATAGAAGTTGTAGATTACTCTTCATGAACACATCTAATTCAAGCTTTCTCCTTCAATGAATATTTGTTTCCTTTTTTTTTAAGTCTTACATTTTACAAAATTTATCTTAGGTCATATTTTGCAGTGATTTTTTAAGCAAACAAATAGAAATCCCCAGTCATCTCTGTAGATTTGTCATCCTGAAAAGAAATGTCTCTCTGCTTGGGTCCAGATGACAGAGAAGGTGGAACTGTAAGTGTCAGGGAGTATAAGTGTTGCTTCTTTATGTGACTTTGAAGGACTCATAAACATCAGAGATCTGACTTTCCAGTTCCTTTACATTTTTATGTTTAAATTGCACGTTAACTTCTTTTGTTTCTCCTTGTGTTTGGGCATTGCAGGATTCTGATAGTTAGCAGTCTTATAGAAAGCTGATAATCCTTAACTGTAGCACTACAAACAACTGCCGTAATAGTGTATAATTTTTCTGATGTGTTTATGTGCTTAAGTTGGGCGGAGGAGTGAAAATCAAAGGTTATTGCCATTGCCCTTGTTTACTCTAGCATTTAAATTCCCAGAAAGTGCCTCTGATATTCAACTGCCTACGCCTTTATCATTCATAACTCAGTTTGCAACTGGGGTAAAGATGTGTCTCAGTACCGTGTATTCAGTTGGGCCCAGATATTGCTAATGGAATTGGCAAGCCTGTTCATTTAGAAATATGGATAAGTGATCACAGCCTTAGCAGTCACTACGCAGTAACATTCCAGAGCTTCAGCAAAGGAAGTATGACACAACCTGGAAAGATTGTTCCTGGCCACGTGAGCTGTATCATTGAGATGGCTGGACGGGAAGGTAAAGATTTCGGTTCAAATTAAGCCGCATCAGCCAGGAGAGATTCAAGCTGTCAGTGTTTTTGAGAACCCAGTTGAAGGGCAGTTTTGCTTTTAACTATGAAACATAACCAGTTTCCTTTTCCACTTTTGATCATGATTGCCTTTGGTCCATCTTGATGTTGTCTTCATGTTATTTTTTTTTGTTTGAAAAATTGTCTGGTGTTCAAATAAAATTCATCTTGCCTTAAATTAAGCATCTATTCCCTGTCAAATGAGCATAGCACCTTAGAGTTTTTTATTTCCTTCCTTCAAGAACACTGCAAAACACATTTTTGAGGATAACAACAGTTCTTTCCTGATGCCCTTGATTCTTCAGCTTTTCTCACCTTATTGCCCATACTAGAAGAACCTTTTTCTGAAGTTACTGTTCAGGCGGGTTAGAGGCCATGCAAAGCATGTGAGTTACAGGCCCTGGGATCTTTCAAGGTTTTGCCACCAACCTGCAATGTGATGTATGTTATGAGTCTGTATAGTTTGCTTTGTGTAGAGTTAAAAATGTGTCCTCATCTAAGTAAATAATCAGGCTGTGAGAAGGGAGGCACCCTTGGTGCCCTTGTCATCTGTTCCAGAATGGTCAGAGGTAGGGCCAGGTGTGTGTTTTTTCCTTAGCAGTCAAAAGAGAAAAATCTTTAAAGATTATTTTTTATGTTTATAGGTTGCCAACTTGGCCTGTTCCATCTCAAATAATGAAGAAGGTGTAAAGCTTGTTCGAATGTCTGCAAGCCAGTTAGAAGCCCTCTGTCCTCAGGTAAAGTACAACTGACACTGGTGACAGCATAACCAAATTAAATTTTGATTCAAGTGGAGATGAGGTTTATTTTGTTAAGTTTTGTTTTGTTTTTAGGATTTTAGATGGAAGTCTTGGGGACAGATCACTGACACAGAACCCACATAGTTTGGAATATTTTTTGTTTAACATTAAGTGACATTTGCACGGGAGATTACATGTTACTCCTGGCCCTTCATTGAAAATGCACAGTGGGCTGGGCACGGTGGCTCACGCCTGTAATCGCAGCACTTTGGGATCCCAAAGTGGATGGGTCAGTTGAGCCCAGGAATCTGAGACCAGCCTGGGCAACATAGCAAAACACCATCTCTTAAAAAAAAAATACATATTTTGGCCGGGCACAGTGGCTCACGTCTGTAATCCCAGCACTTTGGGAGGCCGAGGCGGGCGGATCACGAGGTCAGGAGATCGAGACCATCCTGGCTAAAACGGTGAAACCCCGTCTCTACTAAAAAAAAAAAAAATTAGGTGGGTGTGGTGGCAGGTGCCTGTAGTGCCAGCTACTCGGGAGGCTGAGGCAGCAGAATGGCGTGAACCTGGGAGGCGGAGCTTGCAGTGAGCTGAGATCGCACCACTACACTCCAGCCTGGGCGACAGAGCAAGACTCCGTCTCAAAAAAAAAAAAAAAAAAATACATACATACATACATAAATACAAAAATTAGCCCAACATGATGGCGTGCACCTGTAGTCCCAGCCACTCAGGAGGCTATGGTGGGAGGCTGGCTTGAGCCTGGGAGGCAAAGGTTGCAGTGAGCCGAGATCACACCACTGCACTCCAGCCTTGGTGACAGAGTGAGACCTTGTCTTGGTGGGTTGAGGAAGGTATGGTGCCTTCCATTGCTGGAAAATACAGGGTGGCAGTGACCACAGTCTCCTTGAGGGAGAGTCTACACCCTCCTTGAGGGCCATTTGTGACATCTGGCCATCCTGGAACCATGAGAGTTACCTCACACTATTCACCTATATTCATTTTAATGGTCAGTATTTGGGTCTCTGTGTTGGAGGAAACCAAATTCACAAGCTAGTCTCTTTATTCTGTAGTGTCATAAAGCAGCCTTATGATACAGATAGTAACTTAATTTGGCCAGCTTCTGAAGTGAAAGCTCAAGAACTTGTCTCCATTTATAATAGTATATTGGAAGACTGATGATGAAGCTGTGTTACACATCTGGCCCTCTAGAAAGACTCTGAAGCACACATGACAGCGAATGCTTTTTAAGTGCCCAGTGTGTTGCCTGCCTCCTGTGAGAAGAGCTGAGTTTGTTTGTCTGGCTTGACACTCCTTGTCATTCCAGGGATTTCTAAGGAGTATAAGTGATGATTCAGTAGAAGAGGTTTCCTCTCCACTTTCCCATGTGTAAATTGCTCATGGCATACTCTGAGGACTTACCTCTCTTTACATGTCCTGCCAGAAGGCAGTGGCCTCAAATAAAGGAGAGTAAGCAGAGGGACTGGAGAAATGAAATAGAGGTCATAGGAATGAAGTTGCTATGTTATGTCTGCAACCAATTTTAAAATATTCTGTGACTATTATTTGGCTTTTTTCATGTAAATAATCCCTGACATTCAAGGTAGGCAACCAAAATAAGTAAAGCCTCTCTCGGTGGTTATTAATCTGTCATTCTCATTGCTACATAGGTTAGTAGGGCATTTGTTCTAACACCTAACCATGTGGATTAATTTGCCAATGAGAGTTGCTCTGCCTTAATATTACTGTGATGGACCCATTGTGAATTCACATCATCTGATAGACATTTTCCCAGTGTTAGTCCAGTCCTGAAATCTGCCAGTCATTGACAGCTGCATAGATATTTGCAATGGATCCAATCACCACATCCAGAAGGATCTTGGATGGCCAAGTTGTATGAGACAGATTTGAATTTGGATTCTTTCTTCAAGTTTGTTTGCCATTTACCCTATCAGCACTTTGTTTTTAATGTCTTTGGTTTTCCATTTGGTCTTGAAATGCTTGAAAAGCGACAATGCTTTCACAAATCTGTGGAAACAGATGGTAGCATACACTGATCACACCTACCAAGAGTATTTATATAAATGATCTTAAAACCCAGGAAAAAAATCACACGGAGAGTCTAGTAGATCCTAATGAAAATGATGGTGTGCATAACCTGTGTGGCCAAGCCATGTCACATGGGTTTGAGTTAGCCATCAGAAAGCAATGTGTCTTCCTCTCCCTTGCAGTTTCATTTTTCCTACTAAAACAGATTTCAAGAGGAATAGGCTTTAGGCAGACAGTGCCCAGACCACACTTGGTACTGGGTATGTGTCCTGAAAAAAACCATGTTTTTTCAAGTGTGATTATTCTTCAGATTCTCACCTGGGCTCATTGCTACTCTTGCTCACAAACTGCTATGCACACAGGACTGGGCAGGTTCAGTAATGGCAAATAAAGTAGGTGTTTACAGACATGGTCACAGCAAACTGGGCATCATGTGCTTGATTTTCAGTAAGGCAGCTTTGACTTCACCCCAGCCCCGTTATTGCCAGATCCCTTCCTCCTCCTCCTTCTTTCTTGTTTCTTCTTCTTTTTTCTTTTTTTGAGATGGAGTCTGACTCTGTCACCCAGGCTGGAGTGCAGTAGCATGATCTCTGCTCACTGCAGCCTCTGCCTCCCAGGTTCAAGTGATTCTCCTGCTGCAGCCTCCCAAATAGCTGGAATTACAGGCATGTGCCACCATGCCCAGCTAATTTTTGTATTTCTGGTAGAGACGGGGTTTCACCATGTTGCCCATGCTGGTCTTGAACTCCTGGCCTCAAGTGATGCCTGCTTTGGCCTCCAAAAGTGCTGGGATTACAGGCCTGAGCCACCACGCCCGGCCCCCTACATTATTTTAAACAAAAATTCTGCAATTCAGATTTTTCTGTCATGTCTCAATTTTAAACAATTGGTAACTAATTTAAAGTTTTTGAAATCTTTGAGGAGGATAACTCAAACTCTTCTGTGTGCTGCCTCTGGCCTGCTGTGGCCCGTGTGTTTCATGCTCAGAGGATCTCTCCTTCAAGGAAGCGAAGGGCTGTCCCTCGGAGGAAGAGGGCCTTGATTGTGGAGACCTCTGCCTCCTCTCTTGTGGGCAGTGATCACAAGCACCACGGATCCTGATTTTGAGGTATTCCCTTCCAAGGTCTAGGCAAGTTAATCAACATGTTAGGTAACTAGGGTAGTTAGTTAATTCACTAGGAGCTTAATTTGGTGTTTTAATATGCTGCAGCATGTAGCCAAACATTTATTATTTTAAAGTGTGTGTTTCTTTATAGTAAGGCTACTGTTGACCTCTCTTCACAGTGTGGAAGAGGTGCTCAGTGCTTCTAGGATGTATTTTAGTGTTTTATGCCTCATGCCCAGGCTGCTGTACATAGGCAGCACTACAGTTTGGAGTTGGCTCCTATATGCTATTTTTAGTTTCTGGTGGGGAGAAATGACAGGTGGGACCATTAGAGGAGTTTTCATCCCCATGCCCCCCATCCGCCCTTTTTTTTTTCTTCTTCTTCTTCTTCGAGACAGAGTCTCGCTCTGTCACCCAGGCTGGAGTGCAGTGGTGCAATCTCGGCTCACTGCAACCTCCGCCTCCAGGGTTCAAGCAATTCTCCTGTCCCAGCCTCCCAAGTAGCCAGGACTACAGGTGCCTGCCACCACGCCCGGCTAATTTTTGTATTTTTTAGTAGAGATGGGGTTTCACCTTGTTGGTCAGGCTGATCCCACCCTCCTTGGCCTCCCAAAGTGCTGGGATTACAGGCATGAGTCACTGTGCCCGGCCTTTCATCCCCATTTTAAAGTTTGCCCTATAGCAAATTAACTTTTGAGAGACATAGGAAAATCCATTCTACAGTACTCACTTTTTAGCAGTTAAACAACTTTAACTGGAAACATTTGAGATAGTAAAGTTGAGTTCAGGCCCTGTGCTCACATCTGTAATCCCAGCATTTTCAGAGGTCAAGGTCGGGGGATCATTTGAAGCCAGTATTTCAAGACCAGCCTGGGCAACAGAGCGAGACCCCATCTCCTAAAATAAAAGAATTGGCTGGGCATGATGGCGTGCACTTGTAGTCCCAGCTACTCAGGAGGCTGAAGCAGGAGGATCGCTTGAGCGCAGGAGTTCCAGGCTGCAGTGAGCTGTGATTATACCACTGCACTCCAGCCTGGGCGACAGAGTATGACCCCTTTGACCCCTTCTCTAAATATAACATCAAGTTGAGGAAGAAGTAATCTAAAAGTGGCTATATTTTGTTGGGAGAAGGAACCCACATTTTTTGGCGATTTGTTATCATTAAGAAAAGAGGAGGTAGGTCGGCTCTCTCTCTGCATTGCCTTCTACTTGATGGCTACTTTCTCTCACTCTTTTCTCTGGAAAGGGACCTGCCTCCATCCGAGCAGAGCGCCCCGGTCTCACAAACTTTTACGAGGAAGCAGTTTACAAATTGGTTTGGGAAGAGACCAGAATCTGTACCCTTTGTATCCCAGGCATTATGTTTTGCTTGTGAATGTGCCCGTTTTAGTCTATAGTAGCTGCTTTAAATATTTTAATTTTTAAATTCAAAACCATTTGGTGTGCTGGTCAGGAAGAAGAAACAAAAACACAAAAACCCCAAACCTTGCAAACAGCAGCAGGTTTCTGACATTTTGAGTCTTTAAAATCAGAGGAGGGCATTTTGGAGATTATCTCACTCAATATTTTTTCTTAGTTCATTATGCAAGAATGAGCATTACACATTCGTATTAACATTAAGTTAATACAAATCTGGCACTTAAATAATTTATAATGCCTGGTTTAATGCATGGCTTTTCTTGGAAATTTACACAAAGGATGAATTAAGTATATGAAGCCTCTACTTATCTACATTTTTTTCTTTCCTCCCCCCCCACCCTTTTTTTTTTTAAGAGACAGGTTTTCACTCTGTTACCCAGGCTAGAGTGCAGTGGTGCCATCATGAATCACTGCAGCCTTGACCTCCTAGGTTTAAGCAGTCCTTGCACCTCAGCCTCTGAGTAGCTGGGACCACAGGTGGACTCCACCACACTTGGCTAATTTTTAAAATTTTTTGTTTGCCCAGGCTGGTCTCAAACTCCTGAGGTCAGGTGATCCTCCCACCTGAGCCTCCCAAAGTGCTGGGATTTCAGCCTGTGAGCCACTGTCCCAGGTCTCTTTTTTCTTTTGGTATTTCTCACTCACTAAATTGAGAAGTTACTTCTGAAATTGTTCATTCTTCCTTCTGCCTCCCTAGATTTATCTTCCATATTGCTTCTTCTGTCATTGTGCTTATGGGAACCCTGATCATATTTGTGGCTGACATGCTTGACACACATCAAATAAGCATAAACTCAGGCTGGCCTGGCCCCTAGCTCTAGGTGGGAAAATACATGGCCCTTAAAGGAGCACCCCATACATACAGGACGGGGCAGACCTGTGGCTTCAGCTGTCACTTAACCTATTATTTCACAATCATGGGACCATCTGTCTTTGAATCGCTTCACTTTTCCACTTTGGTATTCTCTAATCTGGTTTTTTACAAAGCAGTTTCACAGAGAACTCAAGGGAGATGCTTCTTACTAAAAGTTTCTCTGAGCATTTTCTGTATCCTCCCATCTCTACCCTTCTGTGCCTCCCACCCCTCCTTGACTGAGGTCTACAGGTAACAGCCCCACAGAGGTGCTGTGCTCTTTTCATAAGGCTTGCCTGTTGCTTTGCTGATTTCTGTATCTTAAAATTGGAAAGTGTTTCCTACTTTTCTTTTTTTTTTTTTTTTTTTTTTTTTTTGGAAAAATCTGTGTATATTTGGTATTAGTTCTTTGTATGTTTGGGAGAATTTACCAGTGAAGCCTGGTAACTGTTAAACTCTAGCTGGGCCTGGAATTTGCTTTGTGGGAAGGTTTTTAATGATGACTGCAGTTTCTTTAATAGACAGGGATATTTAGGGTTTTTTTAATTCTTGAGTGAGCTTTGGTAATTTGTCTTTCATTAATTTTCTACTCTTTGTTTTCTTCCTTCTGCTTGCTTTGGGTTTAATTTGCTCCTTTTCTAGTTTTAAAATTGGAAGCTTTAACTCATTGCCTTGAGACCTTCCTTCCTCCTTTTCTAAGGTAACATTTAAACATTTTAATACTATAAATTTCCCTCGAAGCACTGTTTTAGCTGCCCCACAGATTTTTATTATGATGTGTTAAATATGGTTAGGATGGGCAGGAAGGACTCACTGAGAAAGTGATGTATAAACAAAGACCTGAAGGAAATGACAGAGCAAACCACGGAGGATGTCTCAGGGGAGAGAGCTCCAGGCAGAGAGAACAGCAAGTGCAAAAGCTTGGAGGAAGGAGATCAGATATCTAAAACAAGTTTAGGGACTGCAGGGCCTTTGGAGGCCTTGGTCGTAGGCCTTTGGCTTTTAATTTGAGATGGGAAACCATTGAAGGGTTTTGAGTAGAAGAGTGACATGAGCTTACTTAGGTTGTAACAAGATCTCGGCCATGCGCAGTGCCTTACACCTATAATCCCAGCACTTTGGGAGGCCAAGACACAGTGACTACTTGAGCCCAGGAATTCTAGAACAGCCTGAGCAACATAGTGAGACCCTGTATCTATAAAAATAAAAAATTTGCCAGGCATGGTGGTGCAAGGCTACAGTCCTGGCTACATGGAAGGCCGAGGTGGGAGGATTGCTTGAATCCAGAGGTCGAGGGTATAGTGAGCCATGATTGTGCCCCTGCACTCCAGCCTGGGTGACAGAGTGAGACCCTGTCTCAAAAACAAAAAACCAAGATCTCTCTGACTTCTGTGAAGAGGGAAAGAAGCAGAGAGGCTCTTTAGGAAATTGCAGTACACAGAATAATGGCCTCCCAAACATGTCAATTTCCTAATTCCCTAAGCCCAGGAATGTATCACCTCACATGGCAAAGGGGACTCTGCAGGGATGAATAAATTAAGGATCTTTAGATGGAAAGATTATCCTAGATTATCCCAGTGGACCCCCCCCCAATATAATCATAAGTGTCCTTATATGAGGGAGGCAGGGGCATCAGAGGCAGAGAAGAAAATACAGTGATGGAAGCAGAGGCTGGCCACAAGTCAAGTAATGTGGGCAGCCTCAGGAATTTGGAGAAGTTAAGGGCTGGCTTTTTCACTAGAACCTCCAGAAGGAACACAGATTTGATGATAATGTTGTTGATTTTAGCTCTGTAAGACCCATTTCAGAATTCTGATGTCCAGAAACTGTAAGATAATAGATTTGTGTTGTTTTAAGCCACTACATTTGTGGTAATTTATTACAGAAGCAATAGTAGACTAAAACAGATGGTATTGTACTAATCCAGGCAAGAGTACAGTGGATATGGTGAGCACTGGTTAGAGTCTGGATATATTTTGAAGGTGAACTTTACTGAAGGATTAGATGTGAGGTGAGAGAGAAAAAGAGTCAGGGAATATAACACAGTTTGGAGCCTAAGCAGCTGGAAGGACGGAGTTCCCATTTATTTTGGTAAGGAAAGATGGTTTGGGGAAAGAGATAAGTTTTGGACATGTTATTTTTGAGGTGCCTATTAGACATGCAAGATGCATGTCATGTTGAGGGCAGAGGTCTGAACAGGATGTGTAAATGTGAGACATCACCAAGGGAGTGAGTCTACGTGAAGGAAAGATCTGGGAGTGGAACTGGGGTCCCTAACATTGAGAGTTTCAGGAGGTGAGCAGTGGCCAGCACAGGAGCCTGAGGAAGCACTGTCAGGACCAGAGCCCCGGAAGCTGACTGTGTCTTAGAAGCCAAGTGAAAGAAAAAAAAGCGGGGGAGTTTCTAGGAAAAGATTAGATGAGATTGCCCAGGGGTGGGAAGAGTAGAAAGAGGAGAGAAGGCAGCATAGGACTGAGCTTTGAGGAAATCCCAACACCTTAGAAGAAGATGAGAGAGCAAAGGAGACAAAGACAAAATAGCCAGAATGATGGAAACAAAACGGAAATAGTGTTTGAGAAAATCCAACATCCATTCCTGATAGAACACTTTACAAACTAGGAAAAGGAGGGAACTTCCTTAGCCTGATAAAGAATCTCCATGAACAGTTGATAGCTAACATTATACTTAATGGTAAAAACTGAATGCTTTCCCTGTATGATCAGAAATAGGACAAGGACGTCCACCCTTGCCACCCTTATGTCACACTGTACTGGGGCTCAAGCCAACAACAGCATTTTAAAAGTTACGATCAGTACAGTGATCGTGCCTAGTTGGGGGCTCCTTGCAAATTTAATAGTAACATGAATTTCCATTTTTAAAATTATATAAGTAAGAGTAAACTCCCCCCAACCAATAGCTGTTTTCTCATCATTTACACTTTACCTTAAGTAAGTGGTCCATTCCTGTCCCTGTTTTTCTACTGCTGTTTTGGTGTTTTCCTTATTGATTTACCTAATACTGTATATTTAATCTGTAATATATATTTAAATACAGACATACATAATTGAATTTATAGGTTGACGTCTCCCATTGTTATTTTGAAATAGAGTTTTCTAAGACATAAATATTGTGACTAATGGTGACTTAGTATATATGGCGACTTAGTATATAACTGAAGTGACTTTTTTTTTTTTAACTTTCGTTCAGTTTTTTTTTGTTTGTTTTTGTTTTTTAACTTTCATTCAGTTTCGTTGAAACTGTTCGTTTCTTTACAGATTTAACCTTTACATATTTCGTTTGAAATGCTTTGTGAGAGATCTGACCCTCCCTTCATTTTGTATTCTGTTTTTTTTCCTGGCATATAGAAAGGCTGTTGGTTTTTACTATTTTATATTGTCTTTAGTTACATTAATGAACTTTTATTCTAAGAGTTTTTTCAGGCCAGGTGCTGTGGCTCACATCACTCACTAATCCCAGCACCTTGACCACCTGAGGTTGGGAGTTCCAGACCAGCCTGACCAATATGGTGAAACCTCATCTCTACTAAAAATACAAAAATTAGCCAGGTGTGGTGGCACACACCTGTAATCCCAGCTACTCAGGAGGCTGAAGTGGGAGAATCACTTGAACCCGGGAGGCGGAGGTTGCAGTGAGCTGAGATTATGCCACTGCACTCCAGCCTGGGCGATAGAGGGAGACCCTGTCTCAAAAAAAAAAAAAAAATTCAGTTGATGTACTTCAATTTTCTGTGTAATTTGCATTGGAGTATGTGATTTTTCTCATTTTTCTAACAGTTTTTCCTATTATTTTCATTTCTCACCTTATTTCTTTGGCTAGAAAGTCCATTATATTATTATTTAACCAATGGTGACAGTAAGTATTCCAATTAATAACATCTTGATTTTTTAAGGTAAATGATTTTATAGTTTCACAGCTCAGTGTCATGTTGGATGATTAAAGTAGCATGTTAAGGACATATCTATATATTTTTTTAAAGACAGGGTCTCATGGTTACTCAGGCTGGAGTGCAGTGGCATGATCATGGCTTACTGCAGCCTTGGCATCCTGGGTTTAGGCAATCCCCCCACCTCGGCCTCCCAGAGTGCTGGGATTACAGGCGTGAGCCACTGTGCTCAGCCAGGACACCTCTTTCTATTCCAAATTTAGTAAGAGTAATCAGAAATGAGTATTTAATATTATCAGCTGTCTTTTGTACACAATTTTGTAATCAAAATGAGAAAACTAACCTTAGGCAAGGTGCTTCCCCTCATTATACTGTATGCGATATATTACAAAGAAAGCATTTTTCCCTTTGTAGTGAAAAATAAGTAAAACGTGTGATTAATTCCCTGCCCATGTTTACTTGGCTCTCTTCGGAAACATTTTCACTAGCCAAATATTCTTACAGTGTATAGCTCCACTCTGATACATGGATACATTATTGAATTAATGAGTTAATTAATGAAGAAAGTGGTCTTACAATGGTGAACACATGTAGTGGATAAGGAATGACAGGAAGGAATAAGTCTTTTGGATGAAAGTGTGGGAGACCACAGCATAACGTGAGAAAAACAAGGATCTCTTCTTCCAAATTATTGCCTAAACCCAGGCACTTATGGAAGTGTTGGGCTATTAATAGTTCATAAACTGGGATGGCTTAGTTCCCTGTGCCTGTGAATCTATAATTGACAGTCTGATAATCTACCAGTTCTAAGTATTAAGGAGGGAAGAGGAATAGCGGCACCAATCTAGTGGGCCTGAGTCGTCTTTAGTCTGTTTTCACCTCCAGCCTTTGGAGGGCTAAGTTACAACATTCTTGAATACCCCTCCAATAAATTGGGAATTACACCCATGATCCAAAGCATCTGAAAAATCACCCCAGACTCCTCCACTCAGGGCTGCCCCCACACTCCTGCCTCATCCAGGTCCAGCAGTTTCCTCTTGTCTTTGCTTCCTTCCCAAGTTGCATGATTATAAACACATTTACTGGGCCGGGCGCAGTGGCTCCTGCCTGTAATCCCAGCACTTTGGGAGGCCGAGGCGGGTGGATCACAAGGTCAGGAGATCGAGACCATCCTGGCTAACACGATAAAACCCCATCTCTACCAAAAATACAAAAAACTAGCCAGATGTGGTGGCGGGCGCCTGTAGTCCCAGTTATTCGGGAGGCTGAGGCAGAAGAATCACTTCAACCTGGGAGGTGGAGGTTGCAGTGAGCTGACATTGCGCCACTGCACTCCAGCCTGGGCAACAGAGGGACACTCTGTCTCTAAAATAAAATAAAATAAAATAAATACATTTACTTCTAATAACCCATAAGCACCTTGTACCTAGGAATCCTACTAATTATCCTCTCAGCGCATTTTCATACTACTCTCATTATTCACTTATTCAATGAATACAGCCGAAGGATCTGAATAGACATCTCTTCAAAGAATATAAACAAATGGACAATAAACATATGAACGGTACCTGACATCATCAGCTATCAGGATGGTGGTCACTTCAGATCCACTAGCATGGCTAGAATTAACCAAAAAGGGGGAAAATAACAAGTGTTAGGGAAGATGTAGGGCACTGTAACCCTCATACACACTGGTGGGATGTAAAATGGTACAGCCACTTTAGAAAAAGGTAAAGCAGCTTCTCAAAAGTTTAAGCACAAAGTTTACTATATTTCCCAGCAGTTCTACTCCGTTCCCAGAGAAGTAAAAACACAGAAACGTGTATGAGCGTTCATAGCAACATGATTCATAATAGTCAAAGAGTGGCAATAATTCAAATGTTCATTAACTGATGAATGGCTAAGTAAAATGTGGCATGGTAATATAACAGAATCTTATTCATCAACAAAAGGGAACAAAGTACTGGTACATGCTACACATGAGTGAACTTTGAAAACATTATGTTAGGCCAGGAGCAGTGGCTCATGCCTGTAATCCGAGCACTTTGGGAGGTGGTCAGGAGTTCAAGACCAGTGTGGCCAGCATGGTGAAAACCCGTCTCTACTAAAAATACAAAAATTAGCCTGGCGTGGTGGCACACACCTGTAATCCCAGCTACTTGGGAGGCTAAGACACAAGAATCGCTTGAGCCTGGGAGAGGGAGGTTGCAGTGAGCTGAGATCGCGCCACTGCTCTCCAGCCTGGGCGACAGAGAAAGACTCAGTCTCAAAAAGAAACACACACACACACTAAGTGAAAAAAGCAAGTTACAAAAGTCCACATGTTACATGATTCCATTTATCTGAAATATCCAGAATAGACAAATCCATAGAGATAGAAAGCAAATTAGTGGTTGCAAAAAAAAAAAAAAGAAGGGGCTAAGGAGAGTTAATGGGAAATGGCTGCTAATGGATATGGATGGGGTTTCTTTTTGGAGTGATGAAAATGTTCTAAAACTGAATGTGGTGAATGTTGAACAACTGCAAATATACTTTAAAAAACCAATGACATTGTGTCCTTTAAATGGGTGAATTGTAGATAGGTGAATTTTATCTCAATAAAGCTGTTTTTTGTCTTTTTTTTTTTTTTTGGAGACAAGAGTCGTCCTGTTTGTCCAGGCTGGTCTCGAACTCCTGGGCTCAAGCAGTCCTCCTGCCTCAGCCTCCCAAAGTGCTGGGATTACGAGCTCGAGCCACCACGCCCAGCTTGTTTGTCTTTTTGAGGTGGAGTCTCACTGTGTTGCCCAAGCTGGAGTGCAGTGGTGTGATCACAGCTCACTGCACCCTTGACCTCCTGGGCTCAAGCAGTGTTCCCACTTTGGCCTCTCAAGTAGCTGGGACTACAGGTGTGTGCCACCATGCCCAGCTCATTTTCTTTATTGTTTATAGAGATGGGGTCTCACTATGTTATCCAGGCTTTAAAATTAATATTTATTTATTTTTATTTATTATTTTATTTATTTTTTTTTTGAGACAACAAGTTTCACTCTTGTTGCCCAGGCTGGAGTGCAGTGGCATGATCTCAGCTCATCACAGCCTCCACCTCCTGGGTTCAAGTGATTCTCCTGCCTCAGCCTCCTGAGTAGCTGGAATTACAGGCGTGTGCCACCACACCCGGCCAATTTTGTATTTTTAGTAGAGACGGGGTTTCACCATGTTGGTCAGGCTGGTCTCGAACTCCAGACCTCAGGTGATTTGACCGCCTTGGCCTCCCAAGTGTTGGGATTACAGGCGTGAGCCACCACACCTGGCCTAAAATTATTTTTAAACCTTAATAGATTATACATTTTTTGAGCAGTTTTTTGTTTGTCAAATATGACTCCATTAAAAAGAAAATGAAAAATACTTATGCTTAGATGCAATGTATTTTTCATGAATACATTTTGATAATGTATCGAGAACCTGAAATGCCACATTTTTATCACAAGATATTTGTAGTGATGGATAACCAGAACAACCCAGACATCCTACAATAGGAGAATAACAGTGTGTCCATAACATAGAATATATACTTAGTGTTTTAAACATATATTTAATGATATGGAGAAGCATTTAAAGTAAGAATCAGTATAGTCCATTTTAAGTGGCATATAATTCTAATTGTGTATTTTTTGATGTGGCTATATATGTGTCTATATGAGGAGAAAAAAGTCTAGAATTTAGTGTCACTGAAAATGGTAGGCTTGCCACCATGAATGAAGCTAGTACAGTTTTTATTTGTTTTATCATTGTCTATAGTTTGCAAATAAAATATGTATTAATTCAACTTCACCATATAAAACTTACTGTTTTACACTCTTCCCCTTCATCTTTGTGATAGTTAGGATAGAGCATGTGGTGTGATGTCTCCTAGTGAAATGCATGTAAGACAAAGCCATGACTCTGAAAAAGAGTAAACAGTGAAGTTTAATATCTTTTGCAGGTTATTAATGCTGCACTGGCTTTAGCAGCAAAACCACAGAGTAAACTGGCCCAAGAGAACATGGATCTTTTTAAAGAACAATGGGAAAAACAAGTCCGTGTTCTCACAGATGCTGTCGATGACATTACTTCCATTGATGACTTCTTGGCTGTCTCAGGTAATGAGCTGGTTCCCCAGAGAAGTATGTGAAGATGTTCATAATTACTTTTGTCTAAGTTGTATTAATGGGCAAACACTGCTATGTCTTGGCAGGTAAATTATTCTAACAATAATATTGTGCTGGTTTTCATTTTAATGTTAAAAAAGCTATCAGCTACAGGGTTTTCAAGTGACAGCTTCTCAGCTACTAGGAAGTAGCTGGGGTTGGAGATGTTTCCCTTGATAGGGCTGGTCTGAATCCTAGGAGCATGAATTAGAAACCTGGCTGGCAAAGGCTTATCCCTGCTTGTATAGAGTGAGGTCTTTCAACTGGGACCGGTAGAACACCAGGACCATCCATCCCTCTTGCTGCCATTGTGTTTAGAAAAAACATTGATCTGTGTCTTGGTGGAGACTGTGGTTATTTGTTATCAGCCTATGAAACTTAGGAGAAGAAGGGATTCTCAACACCATCACCTTTAGTTTCTTTTTTAAAATAATTTCTTCCCTTCTTGGAAAGCCTCTCTTCTGTCTCTCAGAAATGATCATAGTCATAGTTTATCTGCCTACTTTTCCAAAGACTTTCTGTCTGCATGATGCACAGATAGAAAACAGAGAGGAAATATTTAAGTGCCATTTAATTATGAACTTGAAAAAATAAATCTGGGTAATTCACCTCACAAAAACAGTTGATTTCATTATATAAACATAAACTGGTAATGACTTAGTAAATTGCATTCATATAGAAAATATCTGTCAAATGCAATTCAGTGTTTATCACACAGAGATAAATTTCAATCCCATCTTCTTAGAGTTGAGTAACTATAAATGCATTCTCCATTTAACGGGACCTCTGTTGCCCTTGGCTGCATGGCTTGCTCTCTGAAAGTGCCAGACTTCCTGAGGCCAGTGGCTGTGGGCAGAATCAGTGGCTAAGTTTTTGTAGGGCTGAAACTACCTGTCACCCCAGGGAACCACGGGCTAGAACGTGGCAGTAGGGCTTGAAACAGAAGCGGGGCTTAAGTACATGCACAGCACAGTCCTCCAGCAGTGACCTATATAAGGGTGACTGTGTGTTCTGCATACCAATGCCTCCCTGTCTTCACACTCTCTCCTTAGGATGGGTAGCCTTGGCTTAACTTGAGAAACTGGGGAGCAAGCCATCTGTAAACTGCAAAAAGTAGGGGGTAAACCATGTTGCTGCAGGACTGCCAAATTGCAGGTGTTGGTACTTTAAAACAAAAATCTCATTTGCAAGCACATCTTTGCAGGTGCCAGAAATGCAGCAATGGCTTTTTTGGGAAATCTTGGCCTTCTGTTGTTTTTCCCAATGAAGTACTGAATTATTCTTTTTCATTGGTTTAGAGAAAAACATTCCACCTTCACAGCACACTTTTAAGCAAACAACAAATTCTGAAATCTAAATGCAAAGCCCCCCTCCGGATAAATACTACATTCTTAAAGTTACTTTTTTGAGATTAGGTTGGGTATGTCTCAGGCTTGGTCTCAAGGGATTTTCAGTCCTCCTTACAGCCAAATAAAATGTAACAGCATCAGATGTCCCTCATGCACCATTCGTCAAATCAGTGAAGAAAAGGGATTCTGCAGCAGCATTTAGTGGATTCTAGGCAATATCTTTAGGGCATATGACATAAAAGAATGGAAAAGAGAAATCAAATTCTTTTAACAGATACACTGTTGTCTGGTGAGTGTGTTCAGTTTTTATGCAAATGTATGAGAGTATAAGAGGGATTGATTTGATGGAAAGGAGTTTAGACAGTTTCTATTTAGCAAATAAAATCATGGAACAATTCTTTCAGTCAAAGGTGGTGGTGTTTTCAGAGCATCTGAATTTTAGAAGTCTACCTGGTGTGTTTTTCTGATGTTCTGTCACAGCCCTGCTTAGGAATGTTACGTAATTAAATCATTAATAGGGCAAGGCCTTTCTTCATAACTCCTCTGATTTATGTAATATGCGGAGACAAGCAGATGCCTGTGCAGGTTTCTACTGGGATGACCAGTTAATTTTCAGCATTCAGACTCCTTTATGTTCTTACGTACATCCCTTACCCATGGTAGCTTTGGCAATTTTTTTTTTTTTTTTTTTTTTTTTTGAGACGGAGCTTTGCTCTTGTTGCCTAGGCTGGAGTGCAATGGTGGGATCTCGGCTCACTGCAACCTCTGCCTCTCAGTAGTTCAAGCAATTCTCCTGCCTCAGCCTCCCGAGTAGCTGGGATTACAGGTGCTTGCCACCATGCCTGGCTAATTTTTTGTATTTTTAGGAGAGACAAGGTTTCACCATGTTGGCCAGGCTTGTCTCAAACTCCTGACCTCAGGTGATCCACCCGCTTCAGCCTCCCAAAGTGCTAGGATTACAGGCATGAGCCACCGTGCCCGGTCTAGGTGTCACACTTTTTATTTCGGGGGACTAGAGATATTTCCCCATCGCTCCTGACACACAGCCTAGGCAGGTGTCATCTGCAGCAGTCACGGGCAGTATTTAGATGGGAAGCCACATCTTGGCCCTGACGTGGCCCTGCCACATTTGCCAGTGTCCCCTGGCCCTAAAGCATAGCGGTGCTTTGGTGGACCCATAGTGAGATGGGCTTGTTTTTGAGTAGGGGCTGCCTGGCAAGTGCCCAGCACAGGATCTGGCTTTTGAGGTAGGTGGGCTTCATAGCTTTTACTAAATGAACAGCAGGGATGCACCCTGACTTCTTGGAGTGGTTGTTTTCTACTGTCTCCTGGGGCTTGAGGCCCTTTGGTACAGAGTGAGAGGTTTTATGTAGTATTTGCATTTGTGATTTTCCACCATCAAATTCTCTTACACTCCATGGGGCCTGGATATTGGCTATAGCACTGTCCAGTCACTGAGAACCTGTCCAAGAGGAAATCGTTTATGGAGTAGGGCTTCAGCTCCTTTGTTCTGGATATTCTGCCCCATTGGCTCCAGAAATTCCCTCATACTTAGAACAAGTCATGTCCTGATTTGTGGCTCAAAAAGTAATGGTCATCTTGTGTATAACCTGGTGCAGCCACCAAGACCCCGATGCCAGCATTTTATGAGGCTGTAGGGCGGGGGGAACTTTGATCATTGTCAAATATGTGACAGTCGCACTTGCATAGAAAAAGAGGAATATGCATGATAACCTCCAGGGAGGAGGGGTAGGGTCTCCTCACCCCCAAGCTATTCTATCCCAAATGCTGCCTTGTAAATATTGGAGATGGTTTAAGATGCTGGCATTCAGCAGACCAAGAATATATTTATATTGACCAATCCCTTAAGGAGAGTGGTTTGAAATTCATCAAAGTGATAAAGACTCTTTGAATTTCACTTGGATTGTATTTGATAAACGTTTTCCACGGAAATGTTATTGATTTCCATTCTCTGTGCTTACATGTTGCAGTTTTGGCTCCCTTTTTTTTGAAGATGCAAGTGGTTGCTTAGAGAAGCTCTAATTGGGTTTATTAAATTTTTTACTAAATGCTCTTAGAAACAATATATATGCATTAAATGCTTTGGAGCAACACTTGGAGTGGTAATTTGTACTTTCCTTCATTAAGTGTCAGTGTCCAAAGAATTTGGTCTGATTGGGAGGTCATTAAATACCTAATTATTATTGTACCTAAATGTTGGTTTTGTGTTTAATAGCAGAAATGCTAAACTATAGACAGTTTCTCTCTTTGGAGGAAGTGGTGAAGTTAGATTAGTGGTGATTTTTTTTTTTTTTTTTTTTTTTGAGATGGAGTCTTGCTCTGTCACCAGGCTGGAATGCAGTGGCATGATCTCGGCTCACTGCAGTCTCTGCCTCCCAGGTTCAAGCGATTCTCCTGCCTGAGCCTCCTGAGTAGCTGGGATTACAGGTGCCTGTCACCACACCCACCTAATTTCTGTATTTTTAGTAGAGACGGGGTTTCACCATGTTGGCCAGGATGGTCCCGATCTCCTGACCTCGTGATCTGCCCGCCCTCAGCCTTCCAAAGTGCTGGGATTACAGGCATGAGCCACCATGTAATCAAAAATCACCCGGCCGGTGATTTTTTTTTTTTTAAGCCTACTATATAGTTTACATGGCAAGCCATCAGAATAGTTCATGTCACAGGGTAAATCCTCTACATAAAGTATGAAACATTGTTTTCATTTTCTTTGTGTGCAGCAGCCCTGCATACGCTGCATGCCATAAAGATACCCAGGGCAGAGGGTACAAAGAAGAGGCTCTATTGCTACACGTTGTAGACTGACATTCTGACATCTTTTATGGAGAATGCCAGTTGGCATGGTTCCTGGGGGGCAATTAGGTACCATACTTCTACTTTAAACATATATGCTTTTTAACTCGTGATCTAACTGCTAGACATTTTCTCTAGGGGAGTGTCACAAATATTTGCCAAAATACCTGTATAAGGATGTTTTCTTCAACCAGAATGTCTAAGGAAAGACTGAATAAGTGAATTATAGCCCCTCCATCTATTCAGTAGGGTACTATGCAGCCATTAAAATGGATGAGGTAGATCTGTAGGGCCAGACCTAGAAAGGTTTTCAAGTGAAAAAGATACAATAGTGTCCATAATATAATTCCTTTTATATTCATTTACATATAGTTGTCTGTATTTTGTATGGACTGTTATATGTATGTGTATGAATTTTTTTCTATTAGAAGCACACCTATAAATAATGTATTGAACAGTTGTTCATGGGTACAGATTGTTGTGTCTACTCATAGTGGACCTATGCTGTTTCCTTAGCTAAAATGATGTATGGTTTCAGTTAAGTGTGGGCAGAGCCTGTCCCCCTCTGTTGAACAGTGGACTCGCACCTCCCCCCATCAGGTTCAGTTGTGGAGAGCAGGCTGGGTGCTCTGTCCTGGGTGTGTGGTAGCCTCAGCGAGGCTGGGGCTTTCCTAGAGACAAGTGTTTCATGAGGGTAGAGAATATTACTTTGGTCAGCTTCCTGAAGTGGGGAATATTACTCTAAAAAATGGCACACTCTTTCCTGGTTTAGGTTCATCTAGAAGGCGGCCAGGATGAATTCAAGAAAGTCTAAATGGATTAAAAAAAAAAAAAACCGTAGAAGTATCTAGACAAAGGTTAAAAAATCCTTGGTGGAAGTTTGGGTCACTTTTGAACGGAAAGGAATGCCATACTTCATTGATTCTGAAATAGGGATGAGTCTTAAAATCAATGATATGAGAAAACACTGGTTCTTAGTTTTGCTATCAACATGATTTCTTTCAATTGTATTCCTTTCCTTTCCTTAGCAATGCAAGTTTCATCTTAACGGTATTGTGTTAGATCCAGTAAAGCAGCAGTTTTTAACCCAAGACCTCGTATGGTAGTCCTGCTCAGTACATTTGTTTAGCTTGAATTATTAGAGTTTATATATTTTAAAAATGCTTGTGATGGGCTCCAAATCCATTTATTCTTGTAATTGGTTTAAATATCCCTCTTAAAATGTGTTTATGTTAGAAGTTTAATATGTTTACTCTTTTCATTAGTTCAGTGGTATAAACCCTGGCAAGTCTCATAATTTGTAATTAATAGAGACCAAAATATGGTCTTAACTATATTGCAGTAATCTAGTTTTCCCTTCTCTAATAAGAATTCTTACTGTTTCCTGGCCTTCCCTGGAAAGGTGTTTTTTGTTTGTTTTGGCTTTTGTTTTTGAGACAGAGTCTCACTCTGTTGCCCAGGCTGGAATGCAGTGGCGCGATCTTGGCTCACTGCAACCTCTGCCTCCTGGGTTCAAGCCATCCTCCCGCCTCAGCCTCTAGATCTGTATCATCCACTTTAATGGCTGCATAGTTCCCATAATTCATTTATCCACCCTTCTCTTGGAGATTTTGGTTGCTTTCACGTTGTTACTACAGATGAGTTCGAGCAAACCCTTTGTGGTGGGGTTCCTAAAAATTTATAGTGTCAGGCTTTTTGCTTTGAGGAAAAATAGTTTTGGTGTGTTGCCCAAATTCAGCTGTATGACTGTTAGGAGCCACCCATCAGCTTCATAGGAGTCAGGGGTTTTCACCTCTAGGGACCCTTCAAATATCACAATAAGCCCATCTGTGTACCATGAAGAGGGTTATTAAATAGTTCATCTCACACCTCAGGGTCCTCTAGAGGAGGCTTCAACCTGCTTTCCAGCACCTTCTCCTATCCCAGGGCTGTACTGGCTTCTTGGTAGATTGTCTGAATATCATCAGCATCTCCTGGAAGGAGAGGGAGAGGGGACAGTGGACTTTTGTTCTAATTTAGCCTTTCCTTTATTTGGGACATAGAGTCAGTGAAGCTAGAGGAAGATAAGTTATTGATGCTTCTATGATAATTTTCTGCCAGAAAATTACAGAACAGCTGTGTCTCAAAGATGGGCATGTCTCCTGTTTTTTTTGTGTGTGTTTTTTATTTTTTGTTTTTTTTTTTTTAAAAACCTGGAATGAAGATTGTTATTCTTGGGGGTGATAACAGGTTTAGTTTCTGTCTCTGTCACTAGTCACTGGTCTCTCCAATGAAGTATATGTAAAACTTTCAGCACTGTGGCTGGCACCAAGCAAACAATAAATGATAGATGCCAGCTTACAGTTGCCACCTTTTCATAGAAAGCCTCCTTCCTCATTCAACTTTTTGCTTGTTCTCCAGAGAATCACATTTTGGAAGATGTGAACAAATGTGTCATTGCTCTCCAAGAGAAGGATGTGGATGGCCTGGACCGCACAGCTGGTGCAATTCGAGGCCGGGCAGCCCGGGTCATTCACGTAGTCACCTCAGAGATGGACAACTATGAGCCAGGAGTCTACACAGAGAAGGTTCTGGAAGCCACTAAGCTGCTCTCCAACACAGGTACGGGAACTCTCCCTTTCCAGTGCTCGCACACACCGCAGCCTCAGTGAGGCAGGCCACCCCATTAGCCCAGCCCTGTGGTGAGGAAGGAGGAGTTGGGAACTCAGATTTGGTCTCATGGCACATCGGGCTCCTGAGAAGCTGGTCATAGCCAAATTCAGGCCTCACAAGCATATTTTCTTCATCTGTATCTCATGAGTAATCACGGGACTAATTCTAAACACACGATTTAAGATGAATTTCTGAGTTAAATCTCCTATTAGTGAGTAAAGACTAAATTAAGGTAGGTCCCATTCTTAAGCAAGGCTTCAAGTTAGTCTCACTTCAAGTTCTCAACCATCCAATCTCTGTTGCAGAGAAAAAGATGATTTGAGTCGTAAAATACTGCATTTAATTTATTTCAACTGTAAATACCCTTCACACAGGTAGAAGCAGAGGCTCATCATAAGCCTCACCTCTTTCTGTCTAGCTGAGTGATTCAGGGAGGGCCAGGGGAATGATGCTGCCTGCTGACCAGGGTATCTACTGTGCCTCTTTCTCCACAGTCATGCCACGTTTTACTGAGCAAGTAGAAGCAGCCGTGGAAGCCCTCAGCTCGGACCCTGCCCAGCCCATGGATGAGAATGAGTTTATCGATGCTTCCCGCCTGGTATATGATGGCATCCGGGACATCAGGAAAGCAGTGCTGATGATAAGGGTGAGTAACTGCATTTCAGACGTCTTAACAGCTTCTTTCTTATCATTTGCTAAACTTGAGCAATGCGTCATTCTAGAACTCGGCAGATGCGGTGGCAGTATATTAAAACCATGAATCTAAAAGCTGTTAGAATGAGATATATTTAATTACGTTGTCTAAAATGACTGTTAGTTGCAAGTTAGAGCCCAAACTTGGGCCAAGAAGGGGAGCTAGCCTGAGTTGACGATTTAATTTAGGATAAACAGTCTCTACAACATGAGGCTTCAGTTTGAGTTAGGCAGGAAATTATAGAAAATAATGGTTCTCAAGCTAGTATCAGAGAAGGAAGTATTTTCATAATGCGGATTCAAGTTATTGTTCACATGAAGTGCCCCTCTCTTCGGAGGGGCTGCAGGCAGACGGGATGATGGAACCCCAGGGTGTTGGGGGGAGGAGCGGCCCCAGGTGATGCTCCTAGGCTCATGGCCAAGTGCCGAGCCCCTTTCCCCATAGCCAGAGTGCCTGGAGGGCCTCTGTCGCAGGGGCAGAGGAGAAAGGGGCCTCTATGGCATCTGTGATTGAGCTCCCGGCATACCGTCCTGCTCTCTGACAACTATTCCTGTCTTCATTCAAGAATCATCCAGCCCCTGGGCCTCTCAGTTTCTTGATGTCTTGTCCTCCTCCACCTCAACCTCACGGCCATAGCTGTACCTCAGCTTTTGTCACTGCCTGCCATTGTCTTTGTCATCCCCAGCAGCCTAGATCTATTGTTCAGGTTGCGCCCTCGAGTCCTGCAACTCCCAGCGAGCCTTTGAGTCTACTGTGGGGTCTTCAGTCAGTTGGTCCTCCCCATGTGTCACTCAGCCCCTTGTGTCCTTGGTTCAGTCCTTTGTTAGCTTTGAGTCCATAGTTGAATATACTCACTCCTCTGCCCTGCTGTTTCCTCACACCTGCCTTGCAAGGTGCAGTCCTGGCAAGATCCTGCTCTCCTGAGCACAGTGCAGATGGCCACAGCCACGCTGATGGAGCCGCAGAAGCCGCGGCCATTTGTGCGCCCTTGCTGCCCTGCAACAGGCGTCCACCCACCCACCCACACCTGTGCCCCTGTCCTGTTTGGCCCACTTGCCGATTTCGTTGAGGATACTGAGGCAGTTAGTGCGTCCACCCCTCTGCATCCCATGTCTGTGTGCTCTACCTTCCTCCTAGCACCATGGGCATTGCTCTCGGTGCTTCTGGCCAAGGCCATCCCTTGCACGTCTTTGTACTAGGATCCCAGCTTCTTCACCCCCTGCCTCCTGTACCTTTCCCCAAGCCTATGATGATTTCTCCCATTTTTAGGGGGAAAAAAAAAGTCTCTTGACCCACACCCCTTCTCAGTCTCCTTGGCTGGTTTCTCCCCATCTCCTCAGCCTGTGAAACACGGGTGTGGCCTGCTGGGAAGTCCTTGACCTCTTCAGAGTCCTGTCTAGAGGCCGACTCTCCTAAGTTCCACACCTGTCTGCGCACCTTGCCTCCTCCCTCTCACTTGCTCCACCCAGGCAGCACATGTTAGTTGATAGTGACTCCGTCTTCCCTTGCTCGGGCCCAGACCTCGAATCTTTTATTTCCCTTTTGTCCCATACCTCACATCTGCTTTATCTGTGAATTCTTTTGGCTCTCCGTTCACAGTAGAGAACCTGAACATGTTCTCACCCTCGTCTAAGCCACCAGCACCTCTCACCCGGGTTCATGCAGGTGCCACTCAGCTGGTTCCCTGTTCCCATCCTGGGTGCCTACAGTCTCATGAGCCACAGGGCAGCCAGAGCGATTTCTGTAAGCTTCAATCAGATCATGTTATCCTCTGTGCCAGCGTCTCCACAGGCCGCCACGTCACTCATTCTTTATGCTGGCCTACGAGGCCTTCTGGGACTGGAACCTGTCACTTCTCCAACCTTATTTCCTGCTGATCTCCTCTTGTACTCATGGGGTTCCAGGCAAGCCGGTGACATGGGGGCAGTGAGCTAAGCCCCCCTTCTGTGGCCTCCTTGCTATTCACGCAGTTCCCTGGGCCAATGCCCCTTCCCCACGGCCTCTATGCTGCCACCCGCCCCCCCTTCCCCCTCCTTGAGAGCACCTTCTCGTGAGACTTTTCCAAACACCCATATAGAATTAAAATCTCCCTTTATTCATCACTGCTTTCTTCATAGCACTGGTCACTTTTGATGTGTCATATAATTCATTTGCTTACTTTGTTGTCATTTCTTCCATTAGAATATGCGAGAGGAATTTTTGTCTGTTTGTCACTTTGTATCTTTAGGGCCCAGAACAGTGCTTGGCAGAGAGATAATGAATGAATGAATGAATGAATGAATGAATGAATGAGAGTACTCGGTTTTCTTGGCAAGAACGGTTCTTGGGTCTGCGATGGGGTGCTGGGGAGGTAGAGATGATGTTAGGAGGTGGTCCTTTGAAAAGCCCCTTAACTGATTGATTGCATGCCAGTCCCGAAGGCATGTGTGACTGCAGCGTTAAAACTGTCAGTGCTGGCATTGTGTTTTGTGCCACCGAGTCCATCGGCCTCCAGGACCTCACACCGACATGCTGTCTGGTCCCCTGCGTGAGCGTCCACTGTTCTCACCTCATCAAGGGACAGGCCCAGCCTTTGCACAGCACGTTCTTGGTGGTTCCA
Source organism: Homo sapiens (assembly GCF_000001405.40). Lineage (NCBI taxonomy): Eukaryota > Metazoa > Chordata > Mammalia > Primates > Hominidae > Homo > Homo sapiens. The sequence continues at coordinate 138,928,055 of NC_000005.10, forward strand.
GAATGTTTCTTGCATATCTTCTTGTTTGAACCTCACTGCAAGTCCTTGGGCTGGGCTTGGACTATGTCCTGGTACACAGACGAGAGACTCGCCTCACTGCCCTCCTGTCACAGGCCAGCCGGCTGGGCTGAGCGCCAACCCCAGCTGTTCTGCCTGCTGCCCCCTTACTGATAACTGCCAGAGGACAACATTATGTTTCAAGTCAGTAGCTAATCATGAGAGGCTGGTAGTTGGTACAAAATAAGAATTTTATTTCATAATTAAAGCAAAGAGCTAGGACCAGTAATCAGTCCCTTGGGTATTTACTCAGCCCTCACCTGCCATATTCTCCCCTCTTTTCTTTTGATGAAAGTCAAAAGAATACTTTAAAATACATTGCCTATTTTTACTCCTCCAAGCAGCCTTGGTACCCTAACAGAAGGCCCAGTTATTTAATTTTCTTTTTGTCATAAAGTAGGAAAGTTATACAAATCCGCTTAATACTATACAAAACACCTCTATTTTTAAGTCAGTACCTTTTCTACCCAGGACAGTTCTCATCTTTGTCTTAAAATGCCGGTGTTGGGGAAGTAAATTAGGAAGTAAAAACCTTATGTCACTGGGCACAAGTGGCTCACGCCTGTAATCTCAGCACTTTGGGAGGCCAGGGCAGGCAGATCACCTGAGGTCAGGAGTTCAAGACCAGCCTGACCAACATGGTGAAACCCCGTCTCTACTAAAAATACAAAAATTAGCCGGGCATGGTGGCATGTTGCCTCTAATCCCAGCCACTTGGGAGGCTGAGGCAGGTGAATCTCTTGAACCCGGGAGGCGGAGGTTGCATTGATTCCAAGATCACGCCACTGCACTCCAGCCTGGGTGACAGAGCGAGACTCTGTCTCAAAGGAAAAAAAAAAACAATCATGTCTTACAAAGAAATAGTGAATTGACTCAGTGATAGCAATTGAGCCCCACACACAGTGAAACCAGCCCAGGCCTGCTGTGGGCCAGGCAGCCCAGCGTGTGCACCAGTGAAGCAGAGGCTCGAGACAAATGCTGAGTGATTTTGACTTTATTCACCATACTGTTCAGAACACTGCACATTAAAATCCAGAATTCTGGGCCTCCGTGCACCTGGCCAAGAGGCTCAGGGTGGCTGGGGGCTGGTGGCCCAGAGATGTGTCTGACCTGTGATCTTTGTCTGGGTGGCAGACCCCTGAGGAGTTGGATGACTCTGACTTTGAGACAGAAGATTTTGATGTCAGAAGCAGGACGAGCGTCCAGACAGAAGACGATCAGCTGATAGCTGGCCAGAGTGCCCGGGTAAGGAAGCGCTCCGTGGGGCAGTTCAGCTTGTGCTGCCGACTTTCCCTGTCCCCTTTCTTGTTTCCAGGAAAACACCCTCAGTATTCAGAACACCGTTTCTCTCTCTCTGTCTCTCTGGCAGTAGACTGAAGTTAAACTAAGTTGTGGCACCTGCTAGTCAAATGTAGCCTCCTCAGCTAGAGGCAGACCAGGTCCTGGGCCTCCTCTGCAGTGCCCTGAGCTTTAGTTTATGATAGAGCCCTGGGTCAGGGAAGGGCTAAGATTTAGTCAATGCAGTGTTTGTTGAAAGGATCGTGAAATTTGAAAAAGATTGCTGCCTTTGTCCATCTCGATACTATGGGTATGAACTATTTAATTATTCATGGGTTTAAAAAATAACAGTGGTACATTCAAGAAAGCCAGTCAGAGCCATTGCATTCATTTGAGTCATTAAATCTTCAATCAATAGCATTTATGTTTTGGGGAGGATGCCAAGAAATATTTCTAAGGAGTCTTTGATTTCACTCCTTGGAAATCTGTCGTGAACAGCGAGCACATCCCTGCCTTATGTCCTGCTCAGTCATGAGCACTTAGGGAAGCTGAGAGGGAGGAGCTCCCCAGCCGTAGGTCTGTGGGCTGGAGGTGGGCAGCAGGCCTCCAGGTGTTGCTCAAGTATGGCCTGAGTGCCAGCGGTATCTCTCAGCCCTCTTTCTTCAGGTGTACATTCTAAAGCCACTTTCAGTTCATCTTGAATAGTTGGAAATGTCCATCAGGGCCCACCAGGGAAAGGGCTCCACACTTTCATCAACCCCTTCTCTCATTTCTTGTCTTATATTAATAAGAATTAAGCAGGTTCTGTCCCTGCACAGGTGTGATTCCAAAGCTTCCACATTAGCCTTCCACCCCTCGCTGTTTCCTTCCACACTAAAACTTGTGCTCAAAAGTGGGTCGGAAATTCAGGCTGCCATAAGTTTCTGCAAAAAATGAGAGAAATAGCCCTTCAGGCGAAATGAAACCTATTAAAGCATTATCCTACCTATGCCACAGATTGCCTGTTGGAAATATTCTTGGCTAATGCACTCTGAGAACTTCATATTCTTTTTATGTAAGAGCTCTTTGTGCTTCTGATCACAGGCGATCATGGCTCAGCTTCCCCAGGAGCAAAAAGCGAAGATTGCGGAACAGGTGGCCAGCTTCCAGGAAGAAAAGAGCAAGCTGGATGCTGAAGTGTCCAAATGGGACGACAGTGGCAATGACATCATTGTGCTGGCCAAGCAGATGTGCATGATTATGATGGAGATGACAGACTTTACCCGGTGAGCAGCACCCCGGCCCCACCAGGCTGCACAGGGGCTACTTTCTTCCCCACAGGTCACCTGCGCAGCGGCTCAGACAGCCCAGGCCATGGGGCTTTGTGGACAATCTTCTTTTTCTACTCCAACTGTGAGGGGCTTCACATACAATAATCCTTGTTCTCTTCCCTCTTCTCAGAGGTAAAGGACCACTCAAAAATACATCGGATGTCATCAGTGCTGCCAAGAAAATTGCTGAGGCAGGATCCAGGATGGACAAGCTTGGCCGCACCATTGCAGACCATGTAAGTGACAGACTTGCCAGGTGGGTCTCCAAGCTCCTCCTGGGGCTCAGGCAGCCCAGCCTGGTCCATTCAGGGTAAGTTTCATGGGCCACAGCACTTTTGCCACTCATCTCTAAAAATGGTTCTTATTAATCCCAGCATAGATTTGTAAGGATTCTCTAGAGCGGATGTGTATGTCCTGGAATCTTCCATCGCTTGGTAGCCAAAATTAACCTCTGCTATTGTCTCTTATGTCTCAGTTCCCTCTCTCCCCCTCTGGGCAGGGGCCGAGAGCAGCCAGAAGCCATGTGGCCAGTGCTGTGGAAGGCTGGTGTGCCTAGATGGGCCCAGGTTTCTTCATCCTCAGCACTGTGTTTCTCAGCCACCCCGTCTTCATCCCCCTATTCCCTCACACTGATAGGTACAAAAATACGGTTCCTACCGCCTGGAAATTGTACAATACATTTCATTTGGTGTTTTAAGCCTGATCAAGAGAAGCTCTTTCTCAGTTACAGTTTTTCTCTGTAGTTAACAAGCCTCCCCACCATTTTCCCTGAAATAGCCAAACTCTCAGCCTCATCTAGGCCACAGGATGTGTGAGACACAAGCCTCCTTACACAAGCCAAAGATTGTAAAGGCATCCTTGACTCCCACACAATCGGTAATAGGGCCTATTGCTTCCATTGGCCAAATGTATCTTGACACAAACCAGTCTTGTCCTTTCTGCAGATCTCCATAGCCACTTGGACTACTGTGGCCGCTCCCGATTTCCTGTTCTTTCCTCTCTCCACTTCCTTCTGCATCCAGCTGTCAATACTGTCATCTGAAAATGCAGATCACATGGCTCTGCCCTGCTTCCATGACTACTTAGAATACAGCTCATCTCCAGTATGGTCTGCGGGGTCTCAGTTCATACCACTCTCTGTGGTGTACTTTGCTCCAGCCTCACTGGAAGAAAATGTTTGCTTGCTATAAACACTTGAGAGGTGCTCTGTGTTTCTCCCTTTGGGTAAAGCTTTCTAGGCTGGTCCTAATCTGGGAGCCTCTAAAACTCTGAGATGTGGAGCGAGACAGGAACTGGGCAGGGGCCACCCTTTTCTCTTTGACCATCCCCAACTGCTTTTTTTCTTGCTTTACTTTACTCACTTGTCTTCCACCTCAGCCTGCAGTGAGTGGCTTTTGTCATCAGGCATTAATAACGCAAAGTGCCTCAGAGCAGAAGAGTTAACTATTTGTTTACTTAGCTAAAAACATCTGGACTTTTCTCCATAGCCAGGCTCCTGCTTGCTGAGCCGGCTTGTTCTCACCTCGAGGGGCATGGGCCTCCACCCTGCCGTTTGGGGTGAGGGGATCCTTGGCCAGGGTGGTTTCCCCGCCGTCATAGGAGGGAAGTCAGTGGGAGGCTCAGAAGGCCTTGGCTATACAACCAGTGCCATGCGGCGCAGTCAGGGTCCCATGGACGACTTCCATCAGCTCACCCGCCTCCATCCCCAAGCAGAGTGTAGGCAAGGGCTGTGACTGCCTCAGGTAATTGGGTGATTTTGCTCCAGCAAGAGGAGAGGAAGCATGTGAGTGCCACACTGAACCTTTCAGAAACAGCCGTGGGGTCGGGGGTGCTTGGGCCAGGCCAGGATACTTGGTGTTAAGCCTGCTCTCTCTTCAGTGCCCCGACTCGGCTTGCAAGCAGGACCTGCTGGCCTACCTGCAACGCATCGCCCTCTACTGCCACCAGCTGAACATCTGCAGCAAGGTCAAGGCCGAGGTGCAGAATCTCGGCGGGGAGCTTGTTGTCTCTGGGGTAAGCATTAGCTGAACAAAAAGAGGGCCAGTGGGAACGTGCTGACCCTTGTCAGAAATGAAAGTCACCTCCTATCCGCATAAACACCTGCCCTGGGAAAGTGTGCTGTGCAGAAACTCCAAGTCCTGTCCCAGTCTCTGGAGACCAAGGTCTGTCCATCATCTGTTCCCTGTAGAACTGTGACACCTGCGGGGCACTGCAAGGGCTGAAAGGCTGGCCTCCTCCCCTTTGCTGGCCACTCACTGGGTAGGAATTTTTAAAAATCTTCCTTGGGACCGGGCGTGGTGGCAGGTACCTGTAAGTCCCAGCTACTTGGGAGGCTGAGACACAATAATTACTTGAGCCTGGGAGATGGAGGTTGCAGTGAGCCGAGATGGCACCACTGCACTCCCGTCTGGGCAACAGAACAAGACTGTCTCAAAACAAAACGAAACAACAAAACAAAACAAAACTTCCTTTTCTTCCCCCAGAGAGGAATTAAGAGTAGACATAGATAGGGTGTTTTCTCAAAAGCCCTTCACTCCTCAGAGTGCTTGGGTAGCGTCTCTTTCTTTTTACCACATCACAGTTCTGAGGCCTTTCTCACCTAGGGCAGGGGAAAGAAGAGGTTTGCTGAGTGGATTGGGGTCCACCGAGCCTCCATGGCTTCTCTTAATCCCACTGAATTTCCTTTAAAAGAAACACTTCTTATATTGAACATATTGAGACCATTTGCTCATCTGCTTTGCCATAAACATCCCTGTCTCGATTCCTGCTTCTCCTCCCCCACGTGCTTACAGCTCTGGGATCACTTACAGTGACTTCCAGTTGGTTTGAGTGAATAAACACTTGCTGAGGGGTGGGGGTGAGCAAGGCGAGGTTGCCTCATGTCTTCTCCAAAGGGTCTGAGGGCAGGCGCTTCCAGGCTATTTAGATAAGAGCAGCCGTTGAGGGTGTTCTTCAGGAACAGGCTGCTGCCCAATCCTCTGCGACCTGCCCAGGCCCTGGTCTTGCAGAGGAGTAGGGGGCTCCCCTTCAAGCACAGCCCACCTGTGTCCACGAGGCTGGAGGTCAGGCCGGTGCTTCTTACCACCCCTGTCTGCCTCGTAGGTGGACAGCGCCATGTCCCTGATCCAGGCAGCCAAGAACTTGATGAATGCTGTGGTGCAGACAGTGAAGGCATCCTACGTCGCCTCTACCAAATACCAAAAGTCACAGGGTATGGCTTCCCTCAACCTTCCTGCTGTGTCATGGAAGATGAAGGCACCAGAGAAAAAGCCATTGGTGAAGAGAGAGAAACAGGATGAGACACAGACCAAGATTAAACGGGCATCTCAGAAGAAGCACGTGAACCCGGTGCAGGCCCTCAGCGAGTTCAAAGCTATGGACAGCATCTAAGTCTGCCCAGGCCGGCCGCCCCCACCCCTCGGGGCTCCTGAATATCAGTCACTGTTCGTCACTCAAATGAATTTGCTAAATACAACACTGATACTAGATTCCACAGGGAAATGGGCAGACTGAACCAGTCCAGGTGGTGAATTTTCCAAGAACATAGTTTAAGTTGATTAAAAATGCTTTTAGAATGCAGGAGCCTACTTCTAGCTGTATTTTTTGTATGCTTAAATAAAAATAAAAATTCATAACCAAAGAGAATCCCACATTAGCTTGTTAGTAATGCTCTGACCAAGCCGAGATGCCCATTCTCTTAGTGATGGCGGCGTTAGGGTTTGAGAGAAGGGAATTTGGCTCAACTTCAGTTGAGAGGGTGCAGTCCAGACAGCTTGACTGCTTTTAAATGACCAAAGATGACCTGTGGTAAGCAACCTGGGCATCTTAGGAAGCAGTCCCTGGAGAAGGCATGTTCCCAGAAAGGTCTCTGGAGGGACAAACTCACTCAGTAAAACATAATGTATCATGAAGAAAACTGATTCTCTATGACATGAAATGAAAATTTTAATGCATTGTTATAATTACTAATGTACGCTGCTGCAGGACATTAATAAAGTTGCTTTTTTAGGCTACAGTGTCTCGATGCCATAATCAGAACACACTTTTTTTCCTCTTTCTCCCAGCTTCAAATGCAAATTCATCATTGGGCTCACTTCTAATAACTGCAGTGTTTCCCGCCTTGGGCTTGCAGCAGAAAAACCTGACAACATAGTGTTTGCTAAGGCAGTAATTTAGACTTTACCTTATTTGTGATTACTGTAGTGATTGATTGATTGATTACTATTAACTACAAGGTATAATTTACTATCACCTTATTTAAATTTTATGAATTAATTTGAATGTTTTTTACACTAACTAACTTTTCCCAATAAAGTCCACTATGAAACCACGACATCCAAGAGCCCAAAGTCGTCTTCTCTGCCTTCAAGTCATAGATTTGCCCGCAGTATCTGTGGTGCTCTGGGCCCTCCCGGTGTCCGTCTCTTCCAGGATGGGGATGCCCGGGAGGGAAACTGTCTGTGGCTCTAGGCTGCACGGCTCGTGCCAACCCATCAGGGAGGGCCATGCCCGTTGTCCTATTGAGTGCCCCACCCTGCACCCCCACCTTGGGAATTCACATGTCCATTCCTTGAGGTTCATGTCAACCTCGGAGGCATCCCTGTCTTCATTATAGCTGACCCCTCTCCTGCGTCCTTCTGTCAGCATATCCCTTCTGCATCCTTCCCGTCACACATACATACCAAGCTATGATGATTGATTGATAGTGGCCTTCGAGATGAAAACCATCCTTAACCCCATGATCCTTCCCAGCTGGCATCCCCACCCTAAGCAAGGTTCCCTAAAGAGAAGCTTGTTGACATTTTCTCCCCTTCCTCACTTACAGTCAGCTGTCACCTTGCTCCCTCCACCTCCCCTCGTCAAGGTGACTGCCTTCCACTGCCAGCCACACTGGCAATTGTCTTGAGACCTCACTGTGCAAGCGGCCTGGGGGCGTGGCGGGGAGGAGGAGGAGGACAAGGACTCCTGAACGCTGCTCACTCGGCTTCCAGGACACCCCGCTCAGGTTCTGCCTGCCTTACTGGGGGCTCCTTCTCCTTTCCTGGGGCTGAGAGGTTGTGTCTGTGCCCACTCTCCTGAGCTCAGCCAGAATCTCGCATGTAAAGACATCCAAATGCCGACTTCTTCTCCCCAGAGCCTGGCTTTTATAACTGACTGCCGCCTCACGCTCCATTCGGATGTCTAATGAATCTCTCAGACTTGACCTGTCCAAACTGCTTGCCACCTCTACTCGCCACCGCCCACCCCCACACCCTCCATACCGTTTTCCCCACGTCACTGCCCCTCCCCCCCTTCCTCTTGCCAAATGCCTAAAAATAAAAATTCTGAGGTGGATCTGTAGCACAATGGGCTTCTAGTGACAAATCAAAATTCTGATCTTTAAAATGTATGCACAATTTACCTGTTACCGCCTGGCCTAAGCCATCCTGCTGTTACTGCTGTGTAGCAAGTTGCAGCCAAAGCGACCTCACACGGCTCCTGAAGGTCAAGAATCTGGGAGCAGCTCAGCTGGATGGCTGTGACTCGGGGTCTCATGAAGTGGCCAAGATGCCAGCTAAGGCTGCCGTCTCTGAAGGCTTGACCTGGCGAGGATTTGCTTCCAGACTCACTCGCGTGGCTATTGACAGAAGGCCTCAGTTCCATGCCACATGGCCCGTTCCACAGAGCAGCTCACAGCTTGGTAGTAGCTGGCTTCCCCAGAGCGGTATCTGCGAGCAGCGTCCAGATGGAAGCCATGGTGTTCCCTTAAAACCTGATATGGAGGGTGATTCCCCATCATGTCTGTATTCTGTGGGTCACACAGACCAAGGCCGGTCCACTGTGGAAGGCAAGGACGAGGTTGCCAGTGCCCGGCGGTGGGTGGCCACAGCCAGCCTCCCTGCCAGTGTCCCCCACAGACAAGTTGTCCCTGTAAGACAGGTCAGCTCAGGTCATTCCGAGCTCAGACCTTCCAACGGCGTCCATGTCCCTCAGTAAAAGCCAGAGTCCTAAAGGCCTCTTGCCTGCTCTGGCCTCCTCTCACCATTCTCTGCCATCCTCCATCTGCCCCTGGTGTCCCTGAAGTCTTGAACATGCCGAGCACATCCTGCCTCGTATGCTTCCTGGCCTGGAATGCACTTGCCCCGGGACACCCTGTGCTGGCTTTAGTGTTTCCTTCCTGTCTCCTCAAGTCACCTTATTATCAAAAGGACTCCGACAGGCTAAGTGTGGTGGCTCATGCCTGTAGTCCCAGCACTCGGGAAGGCCGAGGTGGGAGGATCGCTTGAGCCCAGGAGTTCAGGACCTGCCTGGGCAACATGGCAAAACTTTGTCTCTCTTAAAAAAAAAAAAAAAAAAAAAAAAAAGTCCAATGTCCATTTATGTATCTCTTAACATCTTCCCTTGTGCCTCAGTGGGAAAGCAGCCCACACCATCCCTTGCTCCCTGGGCTCCTCCATCCTCTGCCAAGGCTCACAGCACCGCAGGCACCAGCCCTCACTGGACTGACCTATGGGGAATAGCCAGTGTTGGCTCTGCTCATCCTCATCAGAGGCAAAGGGCTTGTTGGCATGTGCTCGATAGATAGTAGTTGAACAATGTGGACCATTATTGATTTAAACCAACCCATCAGAAGGTGTTAGAGGGCAAAAAGCTGGCAAATGAGAAGGCACCAGGGGCCTGGAGAGCCGAGGCTGAGGCTCAGAGGCCCTGCCCCGAAGTCCTGACCCCTCCTCTCACCTCACAGACCACGACAGAGCTGGGCCAAGCAGGAGGGGAACTGCCTGTGCGTGCGGGGCCTTTGGGGCCTTCCTGCAGCCTCCTTTATGCTCGCTCCTGCCCCTGTGCCATCTGCAAAGGGGACTGCCTCCCCTCTGCATCCCGAGATTTCGCATCCAGGACGGGCCCCTGCTCTCAGCAGTCTTGTTGATGCCTCATCAGAGGAGGGTTGGGGGAACAGAGCCAAGGACCAAAGCCGAGTCCCAGATCCCTCCACCCCACTGTGCCTCCCCAGCCTGTCACCCTGCGTTGGTGACCCCTCAGACCTGCTCCCTACTCCCTGCACTCAGCACACAGCCCCTGCTCTCCTGTGGCTAGCAGCACCCATGCCTCTCCCAGGATGGCTCTGTCCTGGTCCCTGCCTGCTTAGTGCCCTGCAGGGGTTCCCGTGTCTCCTGTGCAACACCTTCAAAGGCCACAGTTCACTCTGCAGCCTTCATCCTCACAGCTTCCAGCCCCAACCTCTTCCACCCTCCTCCCAGGACAAGGCCTCCTCCCCTCCCCACGGAAGCAAGAGAGAAGGAGCTGCCACGTGCTGGGCACCTCAGAGCCTGTGTCCAGCCTTTACTCTCGTCACCCCATTTCATCTGTGCGACCCGAGATGTCAGTGCCATTGCTGCATCTCCAGCTGCACAGCTGAAGAAGTGACTAGGGGAGGTGAAGTCACACTGCGGCAAGTGGCTGGCCCCGCCACCCGGCTTTGAGAGGCACTTCCTCCAGGGCCCCCAGCTTTGGGCCATCCCTCCTGGACCCTCTGAGTAATGGTGATGCCAGTGGCCACTCCCTCCCTCTCACACCTTGTCGATTCCCACGGTTCCCTGCCCGTCACCAATGCGTGTCCCTCGTCTCCCTTACCAGCTCCTTCTCCTCGTGGCCCCTGACATTGAGGTGCTCCAGGGCTCCCATCTGGAGCCTCCTCTCCATGTTCAGTGACACCCAGCAGGGGCTTGCTGGTCAATGTTGAGCCACCGGCTCTCTAGGGCCAGGCCAGGGAGGATGCGAACAGATGCACATCTGTGCATTTAGAAAACACGGGACCGCTATAAAGGAATTGCAGCACACCATTCACAAAAGGAGACGTACAGGACTCTAACTGGGAATCCCAGCCAGCCAGCTGATTCCCACAGAAGGCTTTCATTGATTTTTGCCAGACTCTTGCATCCACGGCCAACCTATGGTTGTAACTGACAAACGAGACTAGTTCCAACAGGAATGCTGCTTGATATTTGTGTTTACCTTAAGGAATAAATGAAAGTGAAACAACAAAAACCTATGTTGGACTTTCACTTTGTCAGTGAGTGACTTCCTTGCTGAGTCAGATAATAGTTGTTAACTACTTTGACAATTTCTTCCATTTTTTTTTGTGCTACTGACGATGTAACTGCTATAGATAACACACATTTACATTTAATTGGCATTATTAACATAACAAATTCACCTTTGATCTGTAGCGTTTCCCAATTTCCATGGGTAAATGCTCCCACCACATCAGATTTCGAGCCACGGGCTGGCAGTGCGAAAACGTGGAGTTGGTTAGAGAAGCCCAGGAGCGCGCCGTGATGCATCCTTCTATCACCCAGACAATTGGACCGATTGTGGTAAAATGTCATTAGGAAAGGATGAGTTGCTATTATAACTTAGGTGAAAATTTACACACAGTGAAATCTGCTCTTTCTGGTGTGTAATTCCATGAGTTTTGACAAACGCAGTCCTGTAACCACCACCACAAGGAAGATGGAACAGTCACCCTTCCCCCAGGATTCCCCTGTGCTATCCCAGTATCATCAAAACAGTCCCCAATCCTAAGTCCTGGCAACACCTTCCCTATCATTTTGCCTTTTCCAGAACGTACATAAGTGCAGTAATACAGTACGTGGCCTTTTGGGTCTGGCTGCATATGGCGCAGTGCATTTCAATCAGTGCGGCTTCAAAATGCACGCAGATTGCTGTGTGCATCGGTGGCTCGTTCCTTACTGCAGAGTTGTATTCCGTTGTAAGGGTGCATCACAGTTTGTTTATACATCCCCCAGATAAGAGACATTTGAGTTGTTTCCAGTTTTTTATTTTTATTTTTTACAAATAAAGTTGATATAAGCATTGACGCACAGGTTTTCACATGAACACTGATTTTTTTGTTTTTTGAGACAGTCTCATTCTGTTGCCATGTTAGCCAGGCTCCTCTGGAACTCCTGACCTCAGGTGACCCACCCACCTCAGCCTCCCAAAGTGTTGGGATTACAGGCATGAGCCACCACACCCGACCTCAACATATTTTTTAAAATGAGCCTTGACCTATTTACAGTACCTCACATCTTATACAAAATTTAACTCAAAATCAGAGACCTAAATGTAAAATTATAAAACTCTTAGAAGAAGACAGAAGAGAAATCTTTGTGACTTTAGAGTTAGGCAGAGTTCTTAGAGACAACATCAAAGTCACCATTCATAAAATTTAAAAATGGATAAATTAGACTTCATTAAAATAAAAACCTCTGTGAAATTGTTAAAAGAATAAAAACTTACAAACAGAACATATTTGTAAATCACATATCTGACAAAGGACTTGTATCCAGAAAATGAACAGAACCCTCAAAATTCATTAAGAAAACAGTCAACCAAACGAAAAATTAGGCAAAAAGATTCGATGCCTGTAGTCCCAGCTACTTGGGAGGCTGAGGCAGGAGGATTACTTGAGCCTGGGAGGCAGAGGTTGCAGTGAGCCAAGATTGCACCACTGCACTCTAGCCTGGGTGGCACAGCAAGACTCTAAAAAAAAAAAAAAAAACTGTCTAATGACTGCAGTACCATTTATTGAAAAGACAGTCTTTTCTCCACTGAACTGCCTTTGCATGTTTGTCAAAAATCAATTAACTATATCTGTGTGGGTCTGGCCAATGCCACACTGTGGTATTACAGGTTTATATCTTAAAATCAGCAAGTGTTAGCCCTCCAACTTGGTTCTTCTTTTTCAAAATTGTTTTAGCTATTCTTATTCTTGTTCTTTGCATTTCCATGTAAGTTTTCAAATAAGACTCCTGATACCTAAAGAATTCCTACGGGGACTGCATTGAATCTAGAGATCAATTTTGTGGGGACTGACATCATTTAACAATGTTGAGTCTTCCAACCCATGAATGAACTCAGTAGGTCTGTCCATGTGCTTAGATCTTCTGTGATTTACTTCATCAGTATTTCATAATTTTCAGCATAAAATCCTGCACATATTTCACTTTTCAGTTGATTTTTATACACTGACTTTGTATCCTATGACCTTGCTAAAGTCATTAGCTAGTTCTGTGAAATTGTTTTTACAGATGCCATGGGATTTTCTACATTGACACTCATGTCATCTGTGAATAGGGACAATTTTATTTCTTCTTTTTCAATCTGTATGCTATTTCATTTTCTTGCCTTAAGGCAGTGCCCAGAACTTTTAGTACAATGTTGAAAAGGAGTCAGGAGAGTGGGCATTCTTGCCTGTTTTACAATCTGAGGGGGAAGGAATTCAGCCTTTCACCCTTAAGTTTGATGTTAGATGTAGGTTTTTATGTGGTTTCTGTTCATGAGGTTAAGGAAATTCCCTTCTGTTCCAATTTGCTGAGAGTTTTTATTATGGCTGCTTAATATTTGTCTATATCTGTTGAGATGATGGTGTGGCCTTTTCTTCTTTAGTCTGTTAATATGGTGAACTAATTGAACTAGCCTTGCATTCCCAGGGTACACTCCATTTGGTTATATTATCCTTTTACATATTGTTGCATTCAATTTGCCAATATTTTGTTGAGGATTTTTGTAGAGACTTCAGAAAAATCTAAAGTCTTTGCCATAGCCTACAGGATCTCCTGTCGCCATTACCTCCCTAATCTTGTTGATGACGGGATATTAGCCTGTAGGATATTTTTCTTGAAATATCATTGTCAGGCCGGGCACGATGGCTCACGCCTATAATCCCAGCACTTTGGGAGGCCGAGGCAGGCAGATCACAAGGTCAGGAGTTCGAGACAGCCTGGCCAACATGGTGAAACCCCATCTCTACTAAAAATACAAAAAATTAGCCAGGCATGGTGGCAGGTGCCTGTAATCCCAGCTACTCGGGAGGCTGAGGCAGGAGAATCACTTGAACCTGGGAGGTGGAAGTTGCAGTGAGCCGAGACCGTGCCACTGCACTCCTGCCTGAGCAACAGAGTGAGACTCTGTCGAAAAGAAAGAAAAGAAAAGAAAAGAAAAGAAAAGATATATCATTGTCTAGTATTGGTGTCAGGGCAATGCTGGCCTCATGAAATGAGTTTGGAAATGTTTTCTTCTATTTTCTGGAGGAGACTGTATAAAATTGGTATTAGTTGGTAGAATTTGCTAGTGAAACCACATAGGTCTGGAGTTTTCTCTGTGGAAGGGTTTTAAACAGTAAATTCCATTTCTTTAGTACCTGTAGGGCTACACAGGTTATCTATTGTTGAGTGGGTTTCAGCAGCTTGTGTTAGGCAGAATAATGGCTTCCAGAGATGCCCACATCCTAATCCCTGGGCCTGCGCATGTTATGTTACATGGCAGAAAGCGAATCCAGGTTGCAGATGGAACTGAGGTTGCTAATTGGCTGATTTTCAGATAGGAAGATTATCCTGGATCATCCAGGTGGGCCCACTGTAATCACAGGGTCCTTAAAAATGGAAGATGGAGGCAGAAGAGGAGGTCAGAATGGTGCAATATGAGAAGACCTTGACTTCCTTTTTTGGCTTTGAAGACAGAGGAAGGTCTAGGAGCCAAGGAATACAGACAGCCCCTAGCAGCTGGGAAAGGCAAGGGATGGACCCCACCCAGAAAGGAGTACAGCCCTGCGACACTTGGATTTTTGCCCCATGAGAACTGGGCCAGACTTCTAACCTACAGCACTGTAAGAAAATTGACTGGGAATGTTTTAAGGCATAAAGCTCATGGTAATTTGTTAGCATAGCAGCAATAGAAAGCTAATACAGTGAGAGGCCGTGTTTCTCAAGGAATTGGTCCATGATTTCTTCTAAGTTGTCAAATTGATTTTACAATGTATTTATTTAGAGTTGTTCATAATACTCACTACTCACTATCCTTTAATGCTCGTAGAGCCTATAGTGACACCCCGTTTTCATCCGTGAGGCTGCTGATTTATGTCTTCTCTCTTTTTCAAAGGACCATCTTTTAATTTCATTGATTTTCTTTAGTTTTACTGTCTTCAATTTTATTGGTTTCCACTCTTTATTATTTCCTTTTCTTCTGCTTCCTTTGGTTTTAATTTGCTCTTCTTTTACTAGTTTTTAAAAATTACCTTTGCTTTCTTGGTGTTACTTAATTGTACACTTGCATCATTTAGTTTTAATAATGGCTGTGTTTAACAACCAGCTGGCCACATTCTGAACCCTGCGGCTCCCTTGTGTGAGGTTCCCAGGCCTGGTCAGTATCCCCCACCCAGCCTCTCTCTCAGCTCCAGGCTGTCTGCTGCTGCCTGTCAGCACCCCCACCTGGATGTCCTGCTGACATCTCCATATAAACATCAACAGGGTCCACCTCAGAGCCCCAGTCACTCCCCTGTTCTCCAAGCTCCCACTCTGGTACCAGCTCCTCCCCACGCCCATCTGCTCCATCCCCTCGACTCCTCTCCCCACACCCTGCATCCCGCCAGCAGAGCCCTGAGCTCTGCCTCAGCCCCATCTGGAGTCTGCACACTTCTCACAGTCCTATGTCTTCACCCTGCCCCACATCCTTGTCCAGCTGCCCCCTGGATGCTGCCCTGGGCTCCCTGCCCCTCCTGGCCCCTGTGTCATCTATTCTCACCACAACAGTAAGAAAAGGTGAGGCCGGGCACAGGGGCTCACACCTGTAATCCCAGCACTTTGGGAGGTTGAGGCAGCAGGATCGCTTGAGCCCAGGAGCTCAAGACAAGCCTGGAAAACATAGGGAGACCTCTACAAAAAAATGAAAAAAATTAGCTGGGCGTGACAGCTTGCACCTGTGGTCCCAGCTACTTTGGAGGCTGAGGTGGGAGGACCACTTGAGCCTAGCAGGTCAAGGCTGCAGTGAGCCATGGTCACACCACTGCATTCTAGCCTGAGTGACAGAACAAGACCCTGTCTCAAAAAGAAAAAGGTGGGTTACATCAGGTCTCTCCTCTGCACCCAACTCTCAACAGCCCCACCTCAAAGAAAATCCCAGGTCCCTTCCACAGCCTCCCCAGGCGGCCCTCCCTTGCAACTCCTCCCTCGGTCTCTGCCTGCTCCAGGCCTGGTTCTCATGGCTTTTCCTGAAGTGCTTTGGCCTGTTCCTGCAGGACCTTTGCCTCTGCTATCCCCTTGTCTACAAAGCACCCCCATGGCTCACTGCTGCGCTCCTGTGCCTGGCCCCTCCTCAGAGGCCTTCCCCACCACTGAGGGGAAACAGCAGTGCCTACCCCTCTTCCCTTCCCACTGGGCTCTGTCTTCCTTGCCTGGCCCTCCCCTGAAGCATGTGTATTTATCATGGTCCAGCCCTCTCCCCTCCTGTCCTACCACTTCCTGCCCTAGAACAGTGCCTGGCTCGTAGTACCCAACCAGATTTGTTGAACAAATGAATGAATAAGCAGCAGCCCAGAGAACACCTGCTAGGATGAGGGCACAGCCCTTGGCAGGGCTGACAAGCTGCCGGAGGACCCGAAATTGTGGATTCTGCAAATGGCCACTCTCTGGCCTTCCTGTATCTTCCCAGGGCCAGAGCCCTTGCCCTGCCTGCCCCAGACTGGCCCTTCCAACTGCCCATCCCTGACTGCTACTCCTGCAGCCTGCAGGGCTTAGCCTGGCCATCACCAGCTCTGGGAGGCCTTTCCTTGGCTTCACCCAGCTCAGCAGACTTCTCAGCTCCAACTGCCTGACACACACGACTGCTCAACAGCCACAGTGTGAATGAAATAATGAATGAACAAGTGAACTCATAAAACCACAGCTGCTGAGGGATGGGGTGAGGACCTAGGCCCACCACCCTCCCTGCCATCCTCCCACACTAGGGCCCGGGTCAGCCCAGCCCAGGAGCAGGGACCCAATAATCACTGAGGGCCTGTGGGTGTCAGCCCAGCACACCTCTCAGCCCATCCCAAGACAGTGAGGACAGGAAAGCAGGCTCCAGCCCCACAGGAGGAAGTCCCACCTCCCCCGTCACCACTCCCTGCCTCACTTCGAGCCCCGGTCACACTCCTTGACCACAGTTCCCAGGATGGCAGCCAAAGGGAAGGCAGAGAAGGGGTTCCTTCCTGACCTGCAGACAACAAGCCGCGATGAATCAGGAGGCGGAGCCAGAACCCACCCCCAAGCAGCCCAAGCCCAGACCCTGGGGCGCCTCGCCACCCTCTCCCTGGAGGGTCTGCTTAACAGTCCAGAACGAACCTGGATGCGGCCAATGAGGAGAGAGACTGCAGCCCAACTCCCATTCCGATGCTCTGAGTGTGTGAGGGCAGAGTGCACGCAGTCCCACCTCCCAGGCCTCGGGCTCAGCAGCCTGGCGCTGGTCCAGCCCCCTCCCTACAGCCCCCAGGTGCCCGTTCCTCCATCCTCGCTCCCAGAAATCCTCTCAAGAGCACCTGGCCCAAAGCCTCCCTCTGCTTTACAGAATCGCTGCTGAGGGCAGCACACCTGGGGGCAGAGGGGACACTGGGGACTGCAGTTAGGCCCCTACTAGTGGCACTCCTCCCATAGGGACGCTTTCCACACCCCGGGCCAGACCCTGGTGGTCACAGAGGCCTCCAGGGCCAGCCTGGTCCTGACACAGCCGAGCGCCCGGCCTGGCCTCCCCACAAGGCCCCACACTCTCGCCTGTCCACTGTTCCCACTGTCCAGCCTTGGTGCTCACCTCTGAATGCTGAAAGCCTAGAATAGATTCATCCCCAGCCCAGCCCCAAGTCCTCCTGTCTTCCAAGCCTCTGCTGAGGCAGCCCCTCTCCCCATCAAACCTCACCTTGCCCCTTTCTCAAGTCTACGCTAGATCTTCCAACACTACCTCTAAAGCACCCCTTGACCTTGGCCTCATCCAGGCGCTGGCACCTCCTGTCTGAAACCTGCCTGCCCTGTTGTGGCCACACATGCCCGGCCATTTCTCGTGGTCCTCCCTCCGCTGCCTGTCAGTTCAACATCGTCCCCTTCTTGGCCTCCCATTCAAGCCTCCCACAGCACCATCAGCACCGCAGGCCCACTGCTGCCCCCACAGGCAGATCACTTGGCCTCTCTGAGCCATGATTTCCTCATCTGTAAAATCTACTTCGAAGACTCCTGCGAGGCTGTAAAGGCAGCAGGTACCCAATGGCTGGCAGACTGCGAGTCTGTTCCCCACTCTGCCCTAGCCCTGAGGCCTCCCGCCCTGGGGAAGCTGTTACTCCAGCATCAGCCTGGACTCCTGCCTCCAGCCTGCCCTGCTGGGAGGGGCTCCGTGCAGGCCGTGGCTCTGCTCCGAGCTTCCTGCGTGTCGTGTTGCGGCAAGAGGCGAGCAGGAGAGGGGCTGAGGAGAAGAGCCAGGTGGCCAAGCAAAGGGACTGCAGGGAAGGCCAACTACTGACCCCATGTTTTTCTGGGCCTCAATTTGCCCTCAGCTCAGTAAAACTGAGATTTCTACAAGTGAGGCCTAGAGCCAGGGAGAGGAGAGTCCTGCCCCAGACTGGCCCTCCCGACTTTACCACCTGGGGGCCGGAGGGGCTGCCTGGGCCCGCAAGAGCAAGCCTCTGGTGCACTGGGAAAGCTGAGAAACAAACACACCAGAATCCGAGTCTGAAAAGCCCAGAGCCCGGGTTGCCATGGCAACCTGCAGCCAGCTCCAGCCCGGGACTCCGCCAGCCTGGGTAGGGGCCGGGACTCGCCAGGCACGGCTGCTCCCAGCTCTGAGGCCTCCTCCTTGGGCTTGGCCCTGTTTCTGCTTGGACACAGAAGTGGTGCAAGGCCACAGAGAGGCACTTCTCCCCTGTCAGGTGGGCCAGGCAGGCCTGGGCTCCCCTGGGCTCCCACTGCCAGCTTTCTCCCAGAGTAAGGCCTGGCCCCTGGGCCTCCAGAGTCCAGCACCTCTCAGCACCCCACCCCGGCACCCATTGCTCCAGCACCCATCACTCCAGCAGCTGTCAAGCCCATCAGCTGCCTGGGTCACCACAGCACCAGTGTATGGACAGGCCTCAGGCGCCGGCCAGGTCAGCGGCCTTGAGGCTGTTATGTGGGCACCGATAGAGGGGCAGTGAGATGATTCCCTGCCTTACCTCACAGCTGGGGGGTGCCAGCACTAGTGTGAAGCTTTCTACGTGATTTTTCTCCTTTAATGGCACTCCTGACAGATGAGGAAACAAGCTCAGAGCAATTAAGCGACTTCCCAAGGTACAGAGCTGCTGCTTGGTAAGAAGCAGAGACTTGCAACTCCTGGGCCCAGGTTCCTGCCCTGGAGCCTGTTCCTGGATGCCCTGGGCTGAGCCCTGCACGTCAGCAGAGCCCATCACCCAACCACTCACCTGACCCCCCGGCCACAGGGCTGTGCCCAGTCTACACAGACACACAGCAGAAAGAGGATGGCCTTCAGGTTTCCATTTAATGGCCAAGCCAGCACTGCCAAGATGTCCTCCTGCCTGAGAAGCCCACCCACGCTGGCACCCCTCAGCCTCACTAGCGGCATCCCAGTCCAGTCCTGGTGTGGGGCCTCATCTCAGCTCCTTCAGCAAGCTGTTGACAGAGCCCAGCAGCTCCTGGAAGTAGCCCTCGTCCTCACCATCCTGCAGCTCCAGGCTGGCCAGCACCTGGTACTCAGCCTGCAGGCTGGCCAGTGTCCTGCCGAGCTGGGGGTCCTGACGGTAGCGGTCCCGGCAGGTGGTCAGGAGGACGCCCAGTGTCTGCAGCACCTTCTCACGGGCATCATGCTCGGGCAGCGCCAGGAGGTGGGCCGTGATCTCGCACCAGCCCTGTTCCCACAGGCCTGGCAGGAGGTGTACCTGGCGATACTGCTGCAGCTTCTCTGGGGACATCTCCTGGGTCAGCTCAGCCTCCTCCTCGGCGAACATCTGCCATCCGCCACAGCCGCAGGCCAGGTAGGGTGGGGGTGGGGAGAGAACACACAGGGAGCAGTTAGCTCACACCTGGCTAGCTCTGCCCTTCAGACAGGAAGGCACGAGGCTGACCCCTGAGGGCCCACCTCTTCCTCTATCCCCAAGTCTGTCTGTCTATTCATTCATTCATCCACCAACAGAAACACTTGTGTGGTGCCAGGTGCTGAAGAAACCACGATGGAGACATAGTCTTACCCTCAAGGAGCTTAAGGTCTAGCAGGAGAATAAAAATTAACTAATTCCCAAATAGCATAAATGTAATCTAACAGTGCAGCATGGAGGCAGACAGGCTGGCTTCAAATTCCTGCTCCACCACTGACTTGCTGAATGACCATGGCTGGCACTTAGCCTCCCTGAGACTCATCGTCATCACCTCCTAAGTGGAGAAACTCAGCCTGTCTGTAAAGCGCAGAAGCCCAGCTCTATCAGCAGAACATGGTGGGAGCCAATCCTGCCGGGCTACCAGCAGCGGGAAAGCCAACACCTGAACCATGACAAGCAGGCAGGTTACCTGAAGGTCAGAGGTAGAGGGTTGGGAGGGGGCAGAGATCTCCCGTGCAGCTGTAGGAAGTGTGCCTGTATGGAGAAAGAAGGAATGCCTGCCCTAACTCCAGGGGAGAATGAAGCACAGGGAAGATGCACAAGGCAAGAGGGAAGCCCAGGAGAAGAGGAGGCCACAGTGGACCACCTGTGCTTCCTGCGGCAGCAGGAAGTCGTGGGGCTGATTGGGGCTGGCAGAGGAAACTGAGGAGGGGTGCAATCCTGCATCCTGGGACAGGAGAGGCTGAGAGGTATCCCCTAGTCCTTTCCTACTTCACCCCTCAGTCCTGCCAGCTTCGCTTCCAAAACACACCCCAATTCTGTCAGCTCCACCTTTGTCCCTTGTGTCCTGCGATCCAGTGCCTCCTGCTCTCACCCTCTCCTCCAGCCCCCAAACCCTCACAGCCTGGCATTGCGGGTGATAAAGACAAAATCAATCCCTTCCCTGGGACTGCGAGGCTCTGCAGGCTCTGCCCCCACTGTGCGCGGCCTGGACCCACTCACACCCACTCCTGTCACTCTAACTCTCCCCTGGGGCCTCTGGAGGCGCAGCTCCGACTTCCAGGTGCACCCCCGCATTGGCCCCATTCACTCCACGGCTCCCTGCACACCTCACCGCCACTGACCGGCCTCCCCTGACTGGCCTTCTCTGCTTATATGCTGCTGTGGTTTGAGTGTGTTCCCTAAAAGTTCAAGTGTTGGAAGCTTAATTCCCAAGGCAGCAGTATTGAGAGGAGCTGCCTAGGTCAGGAGGGCAGCGGGTTCCTTACGGGAGAGCGGTTGTTATTCTAGAGAGCAAGCCCGGCCCAGCATGCTTTTTTCCGCAAGTGCTCTTGCCCTCTCACCTTCCACAATGTTGTCATGCAACACAAAGGCTCCCGCCAGATGCACCCACCCAATCGTGGATTTCCCAGCCTCCCGAATCATGAGCCAAAAACTGCCTTTTCTTTATATTATCCAGTCCCGGGTATTCTGTTAAAGCAGCAGCAGACAGACTACAACACAAGCTCAGGGGAATTCTCTGATAAACATCTGCCTGAAAGCTCAGGGACGACAGGGACTGCGGATTATTTTCCCAGCACCCGGCACAGCAGGCAGCACAGGCAGGCAGGGTCCCCCTGCGGCCCTTCAGCTCCTCAGATGCACCAGAGGCCATGGAATCCAAACCCCAGGCAGGCATCTCACCACTGCAGAAGCCCAGATGTCAGGGCATGGTCTCTCAGTAGAGGTCCTCTCACAGGCCAAGGTACATATGAGGACTGCCTGGGGCCTGGCAGACCCCAGCACCCTGATGGGGGTGTCACATTGCCCATGGGAATTCCACAGTCCTTGGCTGTCATGACAACATGCTGCAGTGATCCCCGAGCTGCATGGCACCCCTCCATCGTGGTGGACAGCTCATGTCCCTCCACCTTCAGGCAGCTCTGGACCCACCCCTAGCTTGGCTAGGTCTTCATTCTTAAGCGCTGCAAGAGGCTGGACTTAGTGACTCACGCCTATAATTCCAATACTTTGGGAAGCTGAGGCAGGACTGCTTGAGCCCAGGAGTTCAAGACCAGCCTGAGCAACATAGTGAGACCCTGTCTACAAAAAACGAACAAAATTAACCAGGCATGGTGGCATGGACCTGTAGTCCCAGCTACTCAGGGGGCTGAGGTGGGAGGATCACTTGAGTCTGGGAGGCAGAGTTTACAGTGAGCCAAGATCGTGCCACTGGGTGACAGAGAGAGACCCTGTCTCAAAAAAAAAAAAAAAAAAGAAAAAAGAAAAGAAAAGAAAAAAGAAAAAAGAAATCACAAGAACAGAGAAGCCCTGACTGCCTCAGCCCAAGTACAGTGTGTCCTAAATCTCTCTGGCTGAAATTTATCTGCTGTCCTCCCTGAAAGAAGAGGGCCATTTCTGTACTGTTTGTAGAGAGATGCCAGTCCTCCCCTCCCCAATCATGTCAGCACCCCAAAGCTTCCAGAGGCAGGCTCCCGGGGCCGGCAGCCTCGGGGCAGCCTTGGTGAGCCTGCCTGGTGGTAGTGTGCTAGCAATGTGTCAGTGCCATAGTGCCCAGGATGCCAGGGCTGGGGGCAGCAGGGACACACACCCAAGACACCAGAGAACAGAGCCCAGTTTCCCTGGGAAATGCCCAGCCAGCTGACATGTCCTTCTCCAGGCTCACTGGCCCAGTCCCAGAACCTGAACTGTGCCCAGGCCTTATCAATTGGATCTGAGCACCACATGGCTGCCTGCTGTTCTAAGAAACTGGATTTCTGCAGCTTTAACAAGAGAAGAGAGAGAAACAGGCAAAGACAGAGAGTTGGGGAGAGACAGTGATGGACAGAGGTGGCCACAGCCATCCCGACACTGCCTGGGAGAGAAGGCCTGGGGGAGGCGTGTGCAGAGGGAGTGAGGGGCCCAGCCTCCACCATTCGGCAGCAGTTCCAGCGGCTGCCCAGCCCTGCTCCACTAGTCGGCATGCGGCTCTTCTGGGGAGCGTGTGGCCCGAGAGAGGCAACTGAGGAAGCCCTGCCAATGCTCTCTGCAGTAGCTGAATTAAGAATCCAGGCCTGGCTGGTTTTCCTCTCTCCTCCTTAATTAAGATGCTTCTTCAAGCTTGCAAACAGGGCTGGGCACCAAGTCTCCTCCCAAGTGGCAAGCAATTGGGTCCCTGAGACTCTCAAGGGCAGCCACTCTGAGGCCCTGCCCAGAGCCAAAGCTCACAGAGGAGGCACCTCCACGTTTCTAGAATCCGAAGAGTGAGTGCCATTCGAAGGAGCTCTGGGCTGTTCTACCCCCTCAGCCTTTTGTCCCCTCGGGGCCTGGTCTCGGCTGCTCCAAGGCTTGCCTCATACTGAGCCCTCTGCCTGCACACTTGGCCGTGACCATGGCTGGCAGGGCCACCTCCCACTCCTCATCAGCCCTCAGGTTTCAGCTTAGCCACCACATCTCACATGACATACTCCCTGACGTCCCCAATCTCTTCCAACTGTCTGTCTGTCCATCCATCCAGAAGCACACACAAAGCAAACAAGTGACGTCCGCAGTCTCTTCCATCTGTCTGTCCATCCACCCAGAAGCACACACAAAGCAAACAAGAGGAGACTGGGTGGGCCTGGGCACTCACCTTCTCCGTGACCAGGTCGTAGAGCAGTGTGACCACGCGCACGGCGAGCACCTCCGTGCCCTTCTCCTGCACCAGGGTCCTCAGGACCTGCAGCCCCCCGAGCTTCAGGAACTGCCGCTGGGCATAGGGGAAGTGGCGCAGCAGGGAGCACAGTGCAAACAGGACCTGGGGGCACAGACCCAGGGGTAGGTGAGGGGCCAAGCGAGCTGGACCTGCCCTGAGGCCCAGGGAAGGCAGGCAGAGGTGCCCCAAATTAGTCCCCATTCCTCCCGGCCCCACCTCAGTTACAGCTATACCCCAGAACCCAGGACTGTGAGGCCAGGAGGGACTCAGACACCTTCAACATTACCAAGTGAGTAAATGGGAGGTAAACAGAGGCCAAGGGTGGGAGGCCAGGAGTAGGGCCCAAGGCCACAGCACAGGAGCTGCCCCCAGGCCTCTAGTCACCTCGGCACACTGCCATCTGCTTTAGTTGAGTGTAACTTCTCCCCCTGTGCCACCCAGCAGATGATGCTCAGGCCCCCATGGTAACATGCACAGCCTGGACAGGAACCCTTTCCTTTCAGGCCCCACACGTGTCCTGGAGGCTGGGCAGGAGGAAGGGCATGGAAACACACCTTCTTCTTTGCAGTGAGCGGCTGCTCCGTGGCCAGGATGACCAGCAGCTTCTGCAGGGCTCCCCCTTCGATGGCCTCCACCTGGACCTTGGGGTTGCTGGGGAAGAAGCACAGGACAGCATGACTACCCTGCCCAGCCCAGGGATCGGATGGTCAGGGAACTGAGCCCATGTCAGCCATCCCTGGGGAGAAACAAGAACAACAGAGGTTCCCACACGGGGCAAGTCAAACTCAGCTGGGGAAACAAAGACCATCTGGCACAGACCCACGTGGGAACAGCGGCCCACAGCACAGGTGACAGGGCTGAGTGCTCCCATGCCAGCCCCCACTCCCCAGCAGCCAAGGGGCTGGAGTGGGCTGGGAAGGTGAACAACCTCTACTACTGTAAAGACATTTCGATGCCGAAGGTGCTCCTTCAGCGTCCCTCCCGTAGGAAGCCTTTCTTGGCGCTTCCCAAGCCAGTGCCGGATGTTCCTTCCTCCATGACCCAAGCACATCACACACTGGGGCAATTACTAATGGGTCTGTTCCCCTCTGGGTCTGGTGCCCCAAGGCCAGGGCCCCATCCCTCTCCTCTCCTGGGTCGGCACTCAGACTGCACATAGAAAATGCTTGCGGGAGAAGGCAGGAAGAAAGTGCAAGAGACAGGAGCCTCTGAATACCCAGGCAGATCCTAAAACAGGACAACCCAATGCCTCCCACTGGGCTCCCACTCTATAACAGCAGCTACTGTCAGCTTCTCTGCCCTGTATTCTCAGCACTCAGCACAGAGCCTGCCACGTCACAGGTCCCTGGACAGTAGGGAATGAATGAACGACTGAACGAACGAACGAATGAACAACACGTGTACACAACCATGAACATATCAATAGATAAACATACTGCACTAAAGTACTCAAAACCCTGAGCTGCCTCTGGAACTCCTCTCCCCATTCTGGGCTAGAGAAATAGTGATGTGATTAAAACATTTCAGGCCCAGACCTCCCAGATGAAGGGATGAGGGGCCTGGCGGGGACCCCCATCAGGGCAGGGTGCCATGCAGGGGACAAGGCCGGGATCCCTCACAGGATGCCCTTTTGCAGGCTCCTTGCTTTTCAAGATTGCATTAGGGATCAATTAAGGAGCAAGTGTCAAGCACAGGGACCAGATAGTCAGGCCCTTGGGCAGGTCAGGGCTCCCCTCTCAGCAGCCCACATGTGAGGCCCCAGAGAAAAGAGGGGACAGGCACACAAAAGCCTGAGGCCAACAACAAGTGAAGGGGCCAAGCCAGCAGTCAGATGGTGGCTGTCACACCCATCCAACTAGCCCACAAAGGACACCGCAGTCTACCAAAGCCACCGCATGCCTCTGGCTGCCTGCCCTTGGCATGACCACAAGCTCCCAGAGACCCAAAAAGCACCTGTTCCTCCTAACTCCCAACCCTCCTGGCCAGGGGGCCCTCACGGTGTCCTTGAGAGTGAGCCAGGGTATAAGGAAACAAAGACAAATCAGAAGGAGCTGGCTCCTGGTCCTAAACCCAGAAAAGACACACTGTGCCACCGTACAGGAGAGGGCCCGACACACAGCAGGCGTGCCCCCAAAGCTGGCTGAATGGAATGAAGATAGCTCCCCACTTCTATTCTGACCAGGAACAAGCTTCAAGGTCCAGAGCAGACCGAGCACGCTGAGCCAGCTTTCTAAAGAGAAAAGCTCCTTTGTACCACGTGTCACTCTGTAGCCTCTCAGCCAGAAAGGAAGTACAGGGTGGGTGCCAGCCCGTCCCACAGCAACTCCACCCCTGTGTCTGCAGAGCAGCCTGGAGATGGGCCAGAGTCCCTGGGGAAGGGAGGCTGACAGCTCCTCTCCAGATAGGCAGGCAGGCGCTGGCGCAGGGGGGCCTGGGAGCTGAGCTGCTCCCCTGCCCCCCACGACTTGAGACAGGCAGCTGTTTCATCAAAGCATGAGCTAATTAGGGCTGTCTCTGCCATCATGTGCCTAAGGAACGCTCACCCATGACAGGAGGGTCCAGGAAGAGAAGACGACCACGCTGAGAGATTCACACAAACATCAAATGCTGCTTCCCCAAGGGGGCTGAGAGATCTGACATCGCATCAGCCTTTGGGAGCACTGCCAAGGAGTCCCATCCCTCATGGGCCCTCAGAGCAGCAGAGACAAGGCCCTCCAAAGACAGCACAAAGCTCATCACAGCACCCCATCATCGCAGCCTCAGTTAATCACCCAGGGCTGGGCAACCAAAGCCCTTCCACTTTCTGCACTGTGACCAGGGCAAAGAGAAGTCCCTTCTCTTCAGAAGGTGGGCTGATGTGGGTCGGGAGCCACCCACAGCCAAGCCAGCAGCAGCCCAGTCCCACCCACTCTGTCCCCCTCAGGCAGGCTCTTCCCACCCCATTTAGAGTAGGAGAGAAGAGAGCTCCAACATCAGATAAGTAAATCGGAGAGAAAAGAGAAAGTCTGACCTTTTGTAAATTGCTGAAATCAGGTTCATAAGGCAATAAATTCATGTTTTCACCCACAGCCAAGTCTGTGGGTACGGCAGGACCATGGGCCAAACATGGGCTGTGACAGTGCACAGCCTTGGCAGCCCTGGGCCCATGCCCTGCCTGGCCTCTTCACATGATCAGCTTAAACGAGGTACCCATGGAACCCTGGGAACTCCAGGCCTTACCCCAGGGTTCCCACAGCTTCAGGAGTTTCCTAAAAGGCCACCCTGTGAAGTGGCCTTTTAGGGCTGCCCAGGCAAGGGGTTGAAGAAACACAGCAGAGGAAGAGGGGGAAGATGAGGCTTGCGCTTCCAGCTGCTCCTCAGTCCATCCAGGCAGGGCCAGTAGAGCTGAAGGTTTCCTGAGCAATCACCCACCAAGGGTAGAATCTGCTCCTAGAAACAGACCCTCTCGCCAGTCAGCTCTGCCTTGGGCTTTAAATGCTCACAGCCTGGGGCTGGGGGAGGCAACTACCAAAACAGCTCAGAGTGAGGCCTCTGGATGTGCAAGGACCAGGGCCTGCAGGACCCTTGCTGGGAATCTCATAAGCAATGAATGGCTCATGGCCTTGGGCAAGTTTTCACCTGTGAGGCAGAGCTAGGACTACCCATGTAAAAGACAGAACAGTTAATGAATGCCAAAATGCCACACTGCTAGCCAATGCACTGTGGCCAAAAGATAATTACAGTAGGCTCACTACACAAAGAGGCCAGACCACATCTTTGAGAGCACAGCTTTATTTGGCCTGGATGCCTCGAGCACATATCATGTATGGCAGCCCCATCCTCCTCCAGCCTATGGACTCTGGACCAGAGCTGCGGCCCACCCCTGGAGGGACCAGTCCTGCTGGCTGGAAGGTAGGTGTCCTGACAGTTGGGGATCTGAGTTAAGGGGGCGGGGGCCTGGCACGCCTCAAAGTGACATCAGTGGCGCTGGTGTGCTCAAAGTCAACAGAAGGATATTAAGGACGTAGCTCATCTCCGATGCGATAAATGAGAATAAACCTTGTTCAGGGCTAAGCCGGCTGGACTAAATAAATACCATTAGCACTTGGATTACTGGGATGTTCACAATCAGCAGGCAAGTCAGCTGTCTGTGTGCAGAGGGACGACAGCAGCTGCTACTCTGTAAATCTTGCAGGGAGATGGGCTGGGGGTGGGGCAGGCTGCAAAAATGGAAGTGATTGCATTTGCAAAAACCAAAGAGTTTGGGTCAGGGTGACAGCAATTTGGGCAATCAGCCAAGAGTCAGAGGTCATATTTTAGCTAACTGAAGCTAAGCAAGTGTCTGGGTGGAAGGGGACTGAAGGAGCTGACCACAGGGAAGGCAGCCCAGCTCGGCCAGGGGGCCCAGGAGATTGCTGCCCAGCACACACCCCGGGGCTGACTTCACCCTTGGGCTCAGGGCTGGCTACATAATTTTCAGGCCCAAGTGCAACATGAAAACGTAGGGCCTTTTGTTCAAGAATTATCAGAAATTTCAAGACAGTGAGAACAGAGCATGAAGCCAAGCACGGGCCCTTTTGAGTGTGGGGTCCTGTGCCGCTGCACGGGTGGCAGGGCCAACAAGGTATGTGCACGGAAATCCTGCTCCAGGGTCAACCAACCGGAACAACAAGGGCTGAAAAGTAAGCTTGAATTTCTGAAAAGGAAAACAACTGGAAAAGGCAGAGCTCTAGGATGGGAATAAGGATGAGGGTGACTAGTTAGATGGGGGCCAAGGAAATGCTAAGGTGTAACTGAAGAGAGCTTCTGTGATTGAGACTGCCAGGCCAGACCAGGACACCAGAGGCACAGCAGAGGGATGTGCTCACTCACGCGTCCTCGTGACATTTCTAAGTGCAACAAATACTCTTTTCATTCCCTTAGAACAGGAAAAAACTATTATTTTTCTTCTGAAATGCCTCTGAGATGATGCCATGCACTGAGGGCAGAGGGCACATCTCAGGGGTATATGGGGCCAGGCTCAATCATTCACCTGATGAAGTGCAGCTCACCTTCTTGCCCAGAAAGAAAGATTTCCTCTGGTGGCCCCACCTTGCTTATGCCTTAATGTGTGGCCTCCATCATCTGGGAAAGCAAGAATTTGCAGGATGTGTAATCCTGAAATAGATGGGTTCAAGAGACATCTATATTTGCCTGCCATCCAGGGATGAGTGGGGCTAGGTAATCAATCAGTTAAGATACAAACAATTGGCTGGGCGCAGTGGCTCACGCCTGTAATCCCAGCACTTTGGGAGGCTGAGGCGGGCAGATCACTTGAAATCAGGAGTCCAAGACTAGTCTGGCCAACATGGTGAAACCCCGTCTCTACTAAAAATACAAGAGTTAGCTGGTGTGGTGTCAGGCACCTGTAATCTCAGCTACTCGGGAGGCTAAGGCAGGAGAATCGCTTGAACCCAGGAGGTAGAGGTTTCAGTGAGCTGAGATCACGCCACTGCACTCCAGCCTGGGCAACAGAGCAAGACTCTATCTTAAAAAAAAAAAAAAGATACAATTACCGAATTGAATAAAAATGGAATAGGTTTAACAACAACAACAACAAAAAACAAAAAACAAAACAAAAAAAACACTGTACAAATCTTCCACTACAAAGTCAAGCTTCCAGGAATAACAAAACACATGAGCTGCACATCACTTTGTGTTGGGACCTGTATGGCCTCAGGAGTTCCATCTGGACACTGGGGAAAGGCAGGGCTATCATCTGACCCCTTCATGTACAGCCCCCAACTGGAAGCCACCCACGTAAGCAACTATGAGACACCCACTCCTCACCACAGTAACAGCAACTCACAAGAGGGTCTCTAGACCCTACTGACAGACACACACACAATACACACACACAGACACAATCATCTGCCCACCTCTGAGGAGATAAAGGGAACCTCAGAGGGAGGGGCAGCAAATCACCTTCCTGAGGGTCATCTGGTAGCTCTCCAACACAGCCCTGTGTCACAATCACCTGGGCAGTTTATTTCCTGAAACCATTTCAGACTAGTGCTTTAAAAAATTACAGAAAATAGGCCAGGTGTGGTGGCTCATGCCTGTAATCCCAGCACTTTGACAGGCTAAGGTGGGAGGACTGCTTGAGTCCAGGAGTTTGAAACTAGCCTGGACAAGGTGGTAAAATCCCCGTCTCTGCAAAAGTAAAAAAAAAAAAAAAAAAAAATTGCCGGGCATGGTGGTATGCACCTATGGTCCCAGCTACTCGGGAGGCTGAGGTAGGAGGATCACTTGAGCCCAGGAGGCTGAGGCTGCAGTGAGCTATGGGCAACAGAGTGAGATTCTGTCTCTCTAAAGAAAAAAAAATTATAGAAAAGTAATTACACAAAAAAATGACTTACTGGAAAGCTGCAAGAATAGTAAATAAACTCCCATCCAGATTCACCAATTGTGGACATTTACCACAATTTTCTGTCTCTCTTAATATTTACACAGATTTTCTTTTTTAAAATATTTGAGAGTAATTGAAGATATGAAGACCCTTTACCCCTAAACATATCAGTGTGTATGTCCCAAGAACATAACCAAAGTACAGTGATCAAAATCAGGAAACTAACACTGACACAGTAATCTACAGATATTTATTCAGCTTTTGCCAGCTGTCCCAATAATAGTCCTTACCCCCCACTCTTTCCTCTTTTTAAGAAACACTTTTTTTTTTTTTTTTGTAGATGGGGGTTCTCACGATATTGCCCAGGCTGGTCTTGAACTCCTCCTAGCTTCAAGCAATCCTCCCGCCCTGGCCTCCTAAAACGTTGGGATTACCGGCATGAGCCACTGCACAGAGCCCTCTCAATAATATTGTTTTTAGAAAAATAATTTTGACCCCACGTCCGATTTATGCCCATACGATGTACACAGCAGCCTGTCTCCTTGGTCTCCTTTCATCTGGAACTGTCCCTTAGTCTTGTCTTTCATGACACTGACATTTATGAAAAGTGCAGGCCAGTGGTAGAATGTTTCTCAGTTTGGATTTGTCCAATGTGTTCTAATGATTAGACTGAGGCTGTGGCTTTGGCAGGAATACACAAACACAATGCCGTATCTTTCTCAGTGTATCACATAGGAGGGCAAGTGATGTCCATAAGTCTCACAATTGGATGTTTTCTTTGCATACTTGGTTATGGTGGTATCTGCCAGATTTCTCCACTATAAAAATACTATTTGTTCCTCTGAAATTAATATTTTGTGGGGAGACACTTTGAGATATGAAGACAGCCTATTCCTCATCAAACTTTCATGTAGTCGTTTTGGCAATCATTGACAATTCTTGCTTAATTATCCCAGGTTAAGCATCTTAAGTCCAAAAATCTAAAATCCAAAATGCTCTAAAATCTGAAACTTTTTGGGCATCAACATGATGCTCAAAGGAAATGTTCATTGGAGCACTTTGGATTTTGGATTTTTGGATCAGGGATGCTCAAGTGGTAAGTATATAATGCAAATATTCCAAAAGCCAAAAAAAAAAAAGAAAATCCAAAACATTTCTAGTCTCAAGCATCTCAGATAAGGGATGTTCAACCTGTACCATGATGTTTGTCAAATGATGATATTCAAACTCCTGTCTTTATTTTTCTTGTTTCTATCTTTATTTGCTGGCATTCTACCTAAAAGAAGAGGTTTTCCTTCTTTCCTATTTCTTCATTCATTCATTTACTGGTATCAGTATGGATTAATAGATTCTTATTTAATCTATGGAATGGCATCCATTTCTATCATTTACTTCAATGCTCAAATTATCCTTAATCACCAGGCATTTTCATGCTGGCTTCTGTGTCTTTTTAACATGTTTCCATCACCCTTTAATATTTTCTTACCTTCTGGCACAGGATGTTCTTGTACAAGATATTGCTCTTTTCCCGTGCCAGCCATGGAATCAGCCATTTCTCCAAGGAACAATTGGAGCCCTTTTTGAAAATACAGACTCCAAGCCCTACCCTGCATATACTAAATCATAATCTCAGAGAACGTGGCTCCGAA
This sequence comes from Homo sapiens, assembly GCF_000001405.40. Classification (NCBI taxonomy): domain Eukaryota; kingdom Metazoa; phylum Chordata; class Mammalia; order Primates; family Hominidae; genus Homo; species Homo sapiens. Next base: position 138,959,250 of record NC_000005.10, read on the forward strand.
GACCTGATTTTTCATAAATGCCACATGTGATTCCTACGTTCTGAGGACAAGCATTTGGGATAACTAGAGTCAATGCTCAACCTTTTATCCAGTATAGCATCTCTGGTAATTGGCAGCCCAGTACTTGAAGACTACATCATCAAACAAGGCAGCTTTACGCTAGTTTAAAACTCCTCCAATTGCCAGAAAAACATATTCTGATACTGAGCTGAAATCTGCTCTCATGAAGCTTATACCCTCTGGTCCTATACCCTCTGGTCCTAAGTCTACCCTTGAAGAAAGAAAGGGTTGCCTGATCTTGTCCTGACAGGTCAGCCCTTCTGAAAGTTGGGAGCAGCCAACCATCCAGAGAAAGCTCCCCTCTCACAACGTGGCCTCACGGGATTCTGCAGTCATTCTCAGGGTGACTCTTGAAACTCTCCACTTTCCTGACAATGCTCTATGGGACCCTGTTCCACTTACTGATGAATCCCTACAGTGGTGGTGCCCAAACCTACCCTCAGGGATCCAGGCTGGACAACCCCCCACCCACAGTCCAATGGGCCTGGCTGCCTCTGCCCCAGGGCCACTCTGCCCCTAATGCCTCAATCTCTAGATTTTTGTTAGTAGCCTCACAGAGCTTACAGTGGCCTGCCTAGGTCAAATCCCTAAAGGCTGCTCACATGATCTTCTGATGAGCCAGGGGGTCCCCAACATGGCTCTGAAGCCAAGCACAGGGCTTCGATTTTATTCTTACTAAAGAATAAATATTGTCAGGAGGCAAAAAGCAAATTACAAATGGTATGGGTGATATGACACCATATATTTATTTCTGGGTGGTGAATTTTTGTTTTAAACAAGGAATCTGAATTACTTATAAATTAGAAGTTTAATAACAATAAAATTTAACATGCCACTTGGCTACCTAGACCCTTCCTCCTAGCCTGTCACTATTCTTTTGGATTCTCACTGTCATGTATCTTACATGGTTATCTCTTCCTGATCCGTGCCATCTGTTCCCACATCTTCACATGAGAACCAGAATGCAGGTTAGACAGACAGAGTCTGCCACAAGCTCTTTGGCACATCACTACAGTGAAGGCTCTGTTGACATTGAACCACTTGAACCATTTCTAAATAAACATTGATTAAGTCTGATTGTTCAAGCTGCTACAAATCTACGTCTTTTTTTTTTTTTTTTTTTTTTGATTCAGAGTCTCACCTCACTCTGTCACCCAGGCTGGAGTGCAGTGGCGCAATCTAAGCTCACTGCAACCTCCACCTCCCAGAACTCAAGCTTAATTCTCATGCCTCAGCCTACCACGTAGCTGGGACTACAGACACACACCACAACACTAACCACCATGCCCAGTTTTGTTTTGTTTTTGTTTTTGTTTTTGTATTTTTAGTGGAGAGAAGGTTTTGCCATGTTGGCCAGGCTGGTCTCGAACTCCTGGCCTCAAGTGATCTGCCAGCCTTGACCTCCCAAGTGCTGGGATTACAGGCGTGAGCCACGGCACTCGGCCTCAAATCTACGTCTTTATTATCATTTCTCTATCTGATCTATTAGATTATTATGAGATTCTGTCAAATGATTTCCTGAAACGCAGACTTCCTCTGTGTCTATTATACCGGCCTAATCTGCCAGCCTGGCAAATCTTATGAAAAAGAAAATTAGAGTTGGGAGGAACTTGAGACAGTCTTCTGGGGTACTGATAATGTTACATTTCTGGATCTGGGTGGTGGTTACATGGGTGTCTCCACTTTCAATAATTCATCAAGTAGAATGTGTTAAACTTTTCTATATGGAGGGATGGGGGAGGGAGGACTTAAGCATTAAACTAGTCCAGCAAGACCTGGTTTTATGGAACCCACACTAACTCTAAGAAATGACCTCTTTTCTTTAAAAATACTCTTAAGTCACATCTCAAAAACTTGCTCTGTTATTTTGAAAACCAGAACAGTTGCCCATTGTGTCTCCTTGCCCCTCTCCCAATCCCCATAATGCCATAAAGATTTCTGCACACAGTTTGATGATGATGTCCCTAAGTTTCTGTCTGGCATTTAATTTTTCAGACCCTGTCTAATTTGGAGAAGCCAGTGGTTCATTTACACTTTTTGTACACTCCTGGTCTCAAGTTCCACTTAACTCTATGTTTGTTTTACTTTCTGCAGGAAGGCCATTCTCCTTGAGAGAGAAGGCAGAGGCAAACAGAATAAGCAGTAAGGACAGAGATGCCCTCTATGGCATCTGCTAAATCACCTGATTGAACCAGGTGGCCTAAAGCCTTCCTTGCCATCCCTCTCACTCTCAACAGTAGCTGCACAGGCGCCTTTGTTGTTCTTAGTGTTTCCCAGGTCTCACCCATCTGGTGCTCCTGACACTGTTCTCGGAGGTTGCATCCACTTCTCTATTTGCTCTTGGTTACAGGTCCCTTTTTCATCTCTAGACAAAATCTCAGCTCGAACTGTGCCCCCTGAAGCCATGTGGGTCTCTTTAGGTGGCTCCCTGTTCCCTGCAGTAATCACTCGTGACTCTATTAAGTACACTTCATTTTTCAAACTCTAAGTCATCTTTCCTTTTGAAGCTCCTGTTCAGACATCATATCTACTTTTTCCTGGACCCTCTGAAATTTACTTTCCCTAAAACTCAGAGGCAGAGAGTTTTACCTTCCCCTTTTAGCTTCTCCAAACACAGTCACTTTCTGCTGATGTTCTCTAGACTTTTTTTTTTTTTTTTTTTTTACCAGACAGATCCTTCTTGTTGCTCAGAATATAATTTCAGTGAGGCCCTTCTCCTTATTGCTTCCTTAACCTCCTGAGAGAGAAAACTGTCAGAAAAGAGAATTAAGAATTAAAGCAAGTGAAGAATTTATTGGTTTCTTTTTTTTTTCTAGAAGATTTCCAACTGCCCAGATACCCCGTGCACCACGCCAGTTTGCTTCTGTGCCAGTTTTATAATTTCAATTGAGAAAGCCTCTTCTACACGGAGGGTAAAGAGTTGACAATTACCTCAGAGTTGATTGGTTGGTTAGTTTTTTGGTGGGCTAAAAGCCAATGACCTGGACTTTTTCCATTTTTTTTTTTTTCCTCTTCACCAAAAAGCCCAAACCCAGGAAGCAAAACACTGAGTGCTGCTCTGGAGTCAGAGAGACCTAGGTGAAAGTCCGAGATTCTAGTGTTTTCAGCTGTGTGACTGAGGTAAGTTACTAAGCCTCTCTGTACCTCAGTTTCTGCATTTGTAAAACAGGGATTAATAACAATAATATTTATCTCATGGGATTGTTGCGGGGATGAAATGTGATTTTATATACATAAACATACCCAGAGTTCCTGGCAAATGCCAAGCATTAGGATAACAGCTGTTTTATCATAATATACCATTTAACAAAAATTATTATTTTTACTTTTCTGCTAAGACAGAATGCCAGGGTTTTCAGGCTTCTCAGAAGGGAGAGGAGCTATCTGTGTTGGGGGACAAAGAAGACCTCCCACTGAGTGGCCTTAGATTCCCATTCTCAGCTCCTCTGACTGGATAGACAAAGCCAGTACAGAAGGAATTCATGGGGGAGAAATGTAATTAACAAGCTAGAGGGAGAGATTGGGAGGAAGGATCAAAGCAGCTAATTAGAACTGGCTAAAGGGAGACCACAGGGTAGGGAACATGGAAGAAAGCGGGCTAAAGAGAATTATCTGCAGCCTCTAATTATTCAAAGAATGTCCCTGAGTAATTGTCTCAGGCAGTCTGAGGGAGGCAAGGCAGGAGTAACAAGGTTAAGCAGAAGAAAATTTAAGCTAAAACATACGGGAGATTTTTCACACACTGAGATTTATCAACTTTATTAGAGAACACAGAGGATGTTATTTTAGGTCTTCTATACTCAGTTGGTGGTATAACTATCCCCATGTCTGGTGGCTGGGGGAGAGCGGAGGAGGCCAGACCCTGCAGGGCAAGAGGGGATCCAAGGAAATGGCCCACACAATCCTTGCTCCAAGCTTATAGGCAACACACCTTGTCAACCCGCCCTTTGAGGCTCAGGAAAGAGCTTCCTTCCTCACTCAGATCTGCACTCCCTCCAACCTCCACATCCCCTCACCCTCCTTGTGTTCTGTCATAAACTTGATAAACATGATAAATCTCACTGTGTGAAAAATCATCTCCTCAATCAGAGCCAGTGGAATCACGCAGGGCCTATTTTGCGTTTGCCACACAACTGTAGGAATGTTTATGAATGAGCCATCTCTTAATAGCAAAAGAAAAGGCAATGATCGTAGGACGGTCTATAGCTGAAAATGACAACACTGAAATACTTCGTTTACAGGATTTGGAAGTCGTATAGACTACAAATCTCTCTGCTGTGCAACACACATAACAAGTCCCCAAAATATCCTTTGTTTGCTGAGGTTTTGCTCAGATATTTAAGGTTCTGACAGTTTAAATATGGTGAACAATATGGTGAACCATCCAAATATTTTGCATCATTGGTATTTGGAAAGATCTTTAAGAACAATTAGTTCTAGTTCAGAGAGGCAAGTGCAGCACCCAGGCTCCCGGTTTTCCGTGGGGGCGGATCAACATGGCCTCCTCAGCTAGCTGCATTTCACAGGGAGTCTCAGGCCCCCCTAGCATGGGTTTCCTAGGCCTGGCCACTTGGCTCACATTGTAACAGAGAAGAAAACTGGGCAGATCCGCTGACTCCTCAGCTAGGCGCGGGGTTCACCAGGTCTCACTGGAGGCTGAGAAAAATACAGAGCTTCCCGGAAGCAGGAACAACACTGGGAGGCCTGACCTTGCTCAAGGCCCTTTGACCTGACTCACCAGACCGGAATGGGAACCTAAAGGAAAGTGGAGACTTCCCATTCTGTGGAAATCTTTAAGAACTGGAGAAAAGTTCCAATTACTTACAGCTTCAAGGGACAGAATGATGGATGGCTTTGTTTGCAAACATGCTATTTGTCTGAGGCTCTTTGTCCAGTCAGCTGGTTGACAAATACTGATCACGCCCAGTGTGCACAGGGACCTCAGTTAAGAATACCAGGGCTAGAGCAAAGAACGAACATAGTTCCTGTCTCTATCAGACAAAATTAACAGCCGACAGAGACGCGCAGAGAGCCACTCTGAGAGAAGCCACTGGGTGCAAGGGTTGTCTGAAAAATGGAGGAGCTGAGCAGGAGGGCATGCTGGAGGAATGACCTTGACAAGATCAAAAGTTATTAAAATAGGAGGAGGAAAGCTAAACTTCTGTATGTACTGCCCAACTGAAGGCAGATGAAAACCTCCTTTTTTCCCCAAAAGAAAATGTTAAGAATCACCTTCCACAGACTCTTTTAACTCTATTTCTGATAAATCATTAAAAGGCCTTCTGCTGGAATCACTCAAATACCAAAGAAAAAGTTACACTCGTAAAATAGTTAATGTCAAAACGTAAATGGTTTGTTTAAGATTCAGCAATTGTTGCTGAATCAAACACAAAATCTCTATGGCTTGAATAGCAAGGGAAACAAAAGGCTTGACGATTTAGTGCTCGTTAAAGCCTGTCTGGCTGAATTTTAGATTGCAACTTAAAAGAAAAAAACATTAAACCAGTTCAAGTGTGAACTGACATATGCACAGCAGTTTTCAGCTGCCTGCAAATGGGGCAAGGACACAGCCTGGAATGTGACTTGCACACGCCATGGCTGAGTATGGACCAATGTCCAGGGTACAAGGGCAGGGCCTGAGGGAACCCGACAAGAAAGCGTGGGGAAGCTGAGCCCAGGGGCCCACCAGGGGCTGAGGGTGACGCTGGGAAGAGGGCCAATCCCCATTAGCTCTTTCCTGCAGGGAGGCTGGGGGCTTGAGAACAATCAAATGCTAGGCAGGGGCTTCCCTCTTGCCTGGGGAGGTGGGGAAGCAACAGCTTTTTGCTGTCCCTCCCCTTTTCTGGCCTTGCTTGTCAGACACTTCCATGAGCCACAGTGGGACTCCTGCCCTTTCAAATCTCATCACAGGCCTGGTGACCCCCACAACCCTCAAATCGGGTGTTAGAAATAGTCCTTTGTGGTAGGTTTGTGGGGTGCTGAGCAGAATCTTTGTCTACATTCTCTTGCCTACTGGGATATAAACGCTTAAAATTTCACCATCTGGGATTTACTTCTTTGAGTCTTAAAGACAATTCTGTCTTTCAGGGTCCTCTATTAAAATGCCATTGTCCCTGGGTTGGGAGGACCCTGTATAAGTAGGGTGACCACATAATTTATTGTCCAAACCGGGACACTTTTGAGAGTGAAAGGGGCACAATTAATTACTGCACTGGGACAAGAGGCATAAACAGAACATATGGTCACTCTCTGTATAAAGCTTTGTGTTAAGTTCTATGGAAGACACAAAGGTGAATAAAGCACTTTCATGGTCCTGGAACCTGGACCTTGAGCTGAGGGGCAGGAGATCCTGGGAATAGGCTAACTCTAGGCACCCACGGAGGGGGATAACAGCACTCCAGAGGGAAGTGTCATGGCAGCTTAGCAAAGACCAAGGGCTCTGGAGCCACACAGATTTGACTTTGAATCCTGGACTTCTTTCTGTACAACCTTAAGACAGGTCAATTAACCTGCCTCTCAGCTCAAGGTCCAGGTTCCGGGACCATGAGAGTGCTTTATTGACCTTTATATCTTCCATAGAACTTAACACAAAGCCTTATACAGAGAGTGACCATATGTTCTGTTTATGCCTCTTGTCCCAGTGCAGTAATTAACTGTGCCCCTTTCACTCTTAAAAGTATCCCATTTTGGACAATAAATTATGTGGTCACCCTACTTATACAGATGAGGACCCAGCTTCCTCATCTGTCAAATGAGGGTTACTTCATGAGGCTACCGAGGATTAAATGAGATACCAAATGTAACAGTACCTGGCATGTAATTTTCAACAAGTTCAATATTGCTAGCATAATCAAGACCAGCCTTCCACTCAAACCCCCGTTACTGCTGGAAATGTCCCAAGTCAGAAGGTGGGGGCAAGGCAGGAAGAGAAAACCACTAAAATGGCAGACTTAGTTTAGCTTCCCTCCAAACTAATCCTCCAAGGGCCACCACCCAGGGCTGGGCAGTGAAAGGACCAGGATCACAGTAGCTCCTGAGGAGTGGACCACCCGGCCGCCTTGCTCTCCTGGTGCCCCTTCCTCCTGGTCTTAGGCTTCACACACTGACCCAGCCCCTCAGCTACTGCTCCATCCTCAACTCCTGGAGGCAGACACCACCCACCAGGCTTCCTCAGGCCATTTCCCTCGGCGGGCGGGTGTAGGGGGGTGGTGACTTTCCAAAGTGACTGAGCCCTGTCCTGATGGCCGGGTAATGCTGTCTGGTGGGCACTAGTACATCTTCCTGTGCCTCTTGTGACAGAAATGCCAAAAACAAACAAAACAAAAAACCCGCAGCCCCTCATCGCCATGAGAGGAGGGGATTCTGGAGGCCACCATTTAATAGCTCTCAAGTGCTTTTCAAGCATTAAATCATGCCATCCTCATGACAACTCAATGAGGCAGACACCATTACTCCCATTTTGCTCATCAACAAACTGAGTCATAGAAAGCTAAGTAATTTTCCCAAGGTCACATAGCTAATAAGTAGCAGAGTCATGAAAGCTCTAGAATAGGAGCTAAGAAAACTGGATTCCACTGGGGACACGCCGCAAATTACTAGCCTAATGGCCAGGAAGGAGGCCTTAACTTATCTCAATTTGACTTCTATTATTTGTCAAGAAGCTGTGCTACTTCACCAATGGACCTGCTGTGAGTATCGAGTGAGATAGGGCAGGTGAAATCACTGTACAGGTGTTTACTATTATGATGCCCTGGCAACATCCTCCATCGTTGTGTTTCTGAGAGCTGGACCCAGTATGGAGGAGGAGAATCCTGGTACCCTGCTGTTCTTTCCTCCCTTGGGCCCTGCACACTCTGGCTCAAGGTAAAGGAGGAATTACTCTAAAGCAGTGGTTTTCCAAGTCTGATCTCTGGGCCAGCAGCACCAGCAGTATCTGGGAGCTAGTTAGAAATGCAAATTCTCAAGCGTCACCCCAGACTCACGAAATCAGAACCATTAGGGGAGGGGCCTGGCCATCTGCATTTTAACAAGGCTTCCAGGTGCTTCTGAGGCATGCTTAATTTTCAGAACCGCTAGGCTAGAGTATCCCTGGACAGATAACAACCTGGGCCTCTCTCACCCTGGTGGGCCTGAGGCAGGACCCAGCATTGGCCAGAAGACCCAGGCCGTGAGGGCCACTGCCCCAAAGATGAAAAGCTCCCAATAAAACCCAGACCTACATGGCTGCACTGATCAAAATACAATAAAGAAGAAAGTGAGAAATCTGACAAAAAGAAAACGCAGCTTCAGTGGGGGTCAAAATACAACAATCTTCTGTGGGAGATGAGAAGCATAAAAGGGACGTTAGATGTTCAAAGAACCAAATGTCACAACGACAAAAAATACAAGAATAAAGACAAAGTGTGGATATCAATGCCACATGGGCCTCAGTCTAATGATGGCAGTTGCAGGGAACAGCAGCCCCCCCAGGACTAGAGCCTGCTTTCCCCCGCCCCCAACACGACAGCCTATATAAATAGAGTCTTGAGGAAAAAATTACCAGCAATTAGTCATGAATCTGCTTGCTGGAATGAGGAGAAACTTGTGGAAAGTCACCAGAGGCTCTGGTGGGAAAAGCTCAGCTAAGGAGGCCACGCAGACAGGGCAAGAGCAAGACGACTAAGGGAGAAGGCCTGTGGGGTGTTCCTGCAACCTTTGATGCCTTCCAAGTCTTAACCTGGAAGGGAAAATGAAGGGCCTGGCCACTGGGCTATAACGAGCTCCAAACTGGGCCCACATCCAAGTCGGAAGTCCTTTAATGTGTGCTTGGGCTGGAGGTGGGGCAGGTGAATGAGGAGGAAGAGTCAGCATAGCAGGCCCTGCCCTGGGTTGCAGGTACCTTGGGGGGATGAGGCGGTAGAGCACAGCTTCTGACCACAGTGCCTCCACCACAGAAAGCCTGTGCCACACAGGTCCTCCCCTGGCCCCTGGGGAATATGCTTCAGAAGCAGTGACAGCAGCAGGCTCAGCGTTTCCATTCAAGAGGTCTGCTGAAAATGACCCTGTTTCAGGACCAAAGTGATGAGGAGGGAGGACCTCTCTTGCCCCGATGAATTTCTCAACTCATCTCCATCGACAGAGGAATCTCAGTGTGCTGTGTTCCCCACCGCCTCTGCCTGAGCGCCCTGCCCCTGCCCGTCCCCATCTTCATCTGGCCAGTTCCTACTGCAAGAACCCTTCAGACACGATCTCCTCAGAGAAACACTCGCTGACCTCCTGACCCTCACAGGGCCCCTGCTATGCATTCCTGGGGCCCTCCTTCTTTCCATCCTCTTAACAGACCTGACAAGATCAGCTTCCCCTCCTAAACCATGAACTCTCTCAAGGACCTGGACTGTGCCTTGTTGTCTGTTCAACTGTGACCTCACTCTAGATGGTAGAGCCCAATGCCCAGCATGCAATTAACAGGAGCTGCCTGCAGACACAAGGCTGGCTCTGTGTCCCCTCCCAGCTGAGACACTGAGCCCCAGCACTAGGCACGTGGATGGGTTGGGCACATGACCTCCCTCCCTTTCTGAGCACCTTGCCCATTCCAAGAGCTCACGGAATCAGACTCCGCGACTGCCCTGAGTTCTGACTTCTCTCCCCATCTCCCTGCACTTTGATTCTCTTGACCATGGGTCCTCCTCACTGCATATCCCCTGCCTGCTTGAGAAAAGGGATGCAGCCCAGATGGTCAATAACCCCCTGAGGTCCTCCTCCTAGGAATGTCTGTATTTGCTCACAAAGAGAAGTTTATATATATAAAACCAAGAAACAAATTTCTAATGGTATTAATTGAATTTTAGGCAGTAGCAGAAAGAAAAAAAGATTTGGGAAGCAGGGAGTTTCACTTGATTCCTGAAATCACCTCTAGTAGGTAATGCCCACCTCTGCTGTGTCTAAGATCAGCCCTGACTCAATCTTAGGATTAGGCACCGCCTGCCAGCCATGGCAGGACAGTCCACAGATATGTCCCCAGGTGGCCACTGTCACCTCCTTTCAGCCTGACCTCAGCTGGCTGTCCTCCTTGACAACAGTCCTCTCTGGCTGAAGACTGGAAACTGTAGGCTAGAGCTCCTGCTTTCCTTTCTGGGACTCTAACACAGTACCAGCCCAACTTTCCATGCCTCTGTCAGGTCAGCATGGTATCAGAGATGGCTGTTTGGCCACTCTCCTCCTGCAATAATACTCCACGCTCCACCAACCCCTGTTCCATCTGAGAGCCACTCACAGTCAGCTCTGCCCGAGGTCCCTGATAGATTGGCTGGTGCCAAGGATCCATTGAGGAGATGGCACAGAGCCACACAGGGGAGCAACAACATTGGAAGAGGGCAAGGTCAAGTTGACAAATACCATATACGATCAGAAAGAATTGCATGAACCGCAGTGGCATAATGTAGCATAACAGATGGATAATTAGATTTATTCTAAGAGCTGTAAAAGTAAGTAATTAAATAAAAATATGGAACAATGAATCTGCCACAGAGAGACATCTAACAGCCTCACAAGGGCCTTGCAGCTGGCACGAGCAGCCTGGGAAGGAAGCAGTGGGCAAGGAACCTCTAACACTGCCCTGATGTTTTAGGCACAATAAATTTAGCACCAGCTCACACTGGGCACAAGGGGACAGCTTGATCTCAGAGGGGGATAATCACACCCATGGCTGCAACAGTACTGTGCCCTGGGAGTATGGCCTCTTGTCTGCATCTGGAAGACAGCAGCCTGAGGTATTCCGATAAATGCCCCACCACTGGCATGTTTGGAAAGGCCCCTGCAAAGCAAGACTGGCAGATTGTATTTATCTTTGCAGAAGCAGAGGCAGAGAGGAAGGGAGATGAAAATGTATGCACAGATGACAGGATTCACTGCCACCAACAAAGGCAGGCTGGGAGACCCAGGTTCAGGTCTCCACTCTCCTCCCAAAGGATGGTGGCAGATGGTGAGGGTACAGTTACCACATAAGAAACACAAGGCAAGCACCCAATGTGTGCAAAGCAAAGTGTTAGGTACAGGATTTCACCAGGGAAGCAGCTTCCCTGGACATGACATTAGCTATTTGGAAGCAAACAGATCAGTTGGAAGTTGTTTTGTATTAGTTAGGACTCTGTTTTTAAGGGACCAAAATGAAATTCAGAGGAATTTGAATTCCTTTGAATTCCTTCCTCATCTATGGAAAAGAGAGTGTACTGGGTCCCATTATGAAGAGGCATGACAAAGGTAAAAAGCACAGCTGGGTCCAGAGGCTTAAGTAATGTGCCAAGGCCCTCTCTCAGCCTGCACCTCTAGGCTTTGCTTCTCTCCAGTTTTCTCCCTGTAAACAGCCAATCCCAGCATAAAGGTAACTACATCCTCCCAAGTGGTATAGAATTCCAGGGAAGATCCTGGCCAACATGGGGAAACCGTCTCTATAAAAATACAAAAATTAGCTGGGTGTGGCGATGCGCACCTGTAGTCCCAGCTACTAGGGAGGCTGAGGCAGGAGAATAGCTTGAACCTGGGAGGGGGAGGTTGCAGTGGGCCAAAATTGTGGTGAGCCAAGATTGCGCCACTGCACTCCAGCCTGGGCAACAAAGAGCAAAACTCAAAAAAAAAAAAAGAATTCCAGAGAAGAACTTTGATTGGTCCTGCTTGTGTGACACACACACCCCTGGACCAATTACTGTCCAGATGGAAGTGATACTGTGAGTGGCAAGTCTAGATCACATGACCAGCCCTAACTGGGAAGGGAACAGGTGGGGCATAAAGATTAACAGCCTCACCACACCATGTGGCACTGGTGAAGAGATTCCCAAAGGAAAGGAAGTATTATTTTCCAAAGAGGAGAACAGAATGTGTTGAGAGACCAAAAACAACATAAATCAAGAGCCTTCATAGCCCACCACATTGTTTTATACCACCCCAGGCCAAGATACTAGATGATAATTGACTATCTGGGGCTGGAATGGGAGGTGGCCAAGTCTATTAACAGTCTGGTTGGAGATTTGTTTGCAGAGATCCCATGTGACCTACCGGCTTGAAATGCTCCAAAGGCCCTGCTGCTTGTACTTCTAAAAGCAGCCCATCCTTGTAGACCTGCCCCTGAGACCATGCACAGGACTTTTTCTACTTCAAACAGCTCCACTTAGGAAATCTACACAGCACTAAAAGCATAGTGAGGAGTTCCCCCAGCAGCCAACTCTTTGCAGGGTTTTCTCACCAACTAACTTGAATCTTCTTCTCAGAGCACAGACCATAAAGATTAACTCCCCTGAACCTGGAAACCTCAGCACCTTTGACGGGGGTCAAGAGCGGGGATGAGGCTCAGCCCAGAGTTGCTCCCCATTCACACCAATGGTTTCACAGGATAGCTCTCTATTCCAATATACCCCTACATCCTGGAGAGGGAGGGAAACTCAGCATAATAGCTGCAAAAGTAGAAAACTTCCCACATCCCCAGCACCACAAAAGCTGCCACTTTGCTCAATGCCTAGCACAAAGGGCTCACAGTGGGGCTCTCCCCACAACCTGGCTTGAAGGAAGAGAGGTCCTTGGCCTTTCCTCACCTCCAGGGCCCACGGCACACTCTTCTAACATCCTCACTGGGCTCCAACCAACAGGCTCAGTCATCTCTCTGGCTAAATATCAAAGCAGCTTCCCTTCTCAAGCGTGTCCAAAACTCAGGTCTCCTTCAGGCCACACAGATGACACCCTCCAAAAGCCCAGAATGAGCTCTGTAGGGTCCCTGGGGAGAGCTGAGACATAGGAGGCCTCGTTGTTCCAAGGCCAGCTGGGGATAAGGGTTATGGGGACCTTTGGAAGCCAGATCCAGCAGGAGAATCATGAGGCTTCAGTTCCTGAGCTCTGCACATTCTTAAGTGATTCCGTTGACTTCACCAACAACCTGGGGCCCGCCGAAAGCAGTGGTGCTAGCCAACATCTGGTCACCAAGTTCTTTCTGCCACCATTACTTGTCCACTGAGCCTGTCCCTAGAAATGCAGAAAGACAAAGCTCAGCTCCCATGTGGAGTACTTAAATGCTCTAGCCATGCCTGGTACTCACAGCCACATTTGAAGGTCTGGTTCAACGCAGCCATGCTGGGTCCAGATGTAAGAACCTCAAGCTGGGCTAAAAAGCAGCTTTCCCATGGGTGAACCCTCTGGCTCAGAGCTCCTCAGGCTGGCTCTGCTGCTGCTCCACACATGCCACAATTTACTACAGCTGTTAAGAGCCCCAGAGACAAGAAAGCTCCTCCTTCCCACTTGTTCCCTGCCCTTCTTCAGCACAGGCTGGAACCAAGCACCAGCCAAACCTGGAGAGAACCTCAGAAACTATGACCCCACCCCACAAACTGAGCTCACACAATTTTTCTTGAGCCACAAACTAATTTTTGTTAATCCCAGAGAAACAGTTCAAACAGCAACTAACCTTTTTCTTCCTTCACAACTATTAAACTTGGACAAATACCTCAAAATAGTACATGAACCAAGAGTTTAATCCTTCTCCCCAGAGGCAAAGAGAGGACTATGTGGGTAACATGAGGGTAAAACCCTGGGTCCACCAAGTCCAGGACAAACGGGTCCTGGGTCCTCAGGCAAGGGGGACAGAGGGGCAATAAGAGCAGAAGGGAGGACAACCCAGGGCTGAGGCCCCAGTGATGGGGGTAGAGAAGCCCTTGTTCAGTCCCAGCATGGAGCTGAGGCTGGCCACAGTATTCCTACAGTACAGCAGGAGCGACACCTGCCTGCCACCTGGCTGAAGGGATCTGGGCAAACTGATGAGTCCACCCCCAAGCCCAAGCCAATTAAAGGTTATCCTTATACAATTAAAGGTTGTGTAACATATGTAACAAACCTGCGCGTTGTGCACAGGTACCCTAGAACTTGAAGTATTTAAAAAAAAAAAAAAAAAAAAAAGGTTGTGTAAGAATAAAGTGGCCCAGAGAATGATCATGAATGCTAAAACACAGAATCCAAAGGGCTCATGCCAGAAAACCCAACAGCAACTTCTGTGTCTTATTTTATAATAAGTAATTTAAATAATTATAAATCATGTAAGTTCATGGTAAAGAAAAAAAAAATCAAGCAGTATAGAAGAGTGCAAAATAGAAAGGAAAAGTCCCTGTTTCTCAGACCATCAGAGGTAAGAGCAGAGTTTTTTCTTTTTTCTTTTGAGACAGGGTCTCGCCCTGTCACCCAAGCTGGAGTACAGTGGTGTGATCACAGCTCACTACATCCCTGAGCTCCCAGGCTCAACTGATCCTCCTGTTGCAGCTTCCTATGTAGCTGGGACTAGACATATGCCACTGCACCTGACTAAATTTTTTTTTAATATAGAGCTGAGGTCTCACTATGTTACCCTCAAACTTCTGGGCTCAAGTGATCTTCCCGCCTCCCAGAATGCTGGGACTACAAGTGTGAGCCACCGTGTCCAGCCTTGACTAATTTGTTGTTGTGATTGTAGAGACTAAGTCCCACTATGTTGCCCAGGCTGGTCTCAAACTCCAGGCTCAAGTGATCCTCCTGCCTCAGCCTCCCAAAGTTCTAGGACTACAGGCATGAGCCATCACGCCCGGCCCAGATTTTTATATCACATATTTAAAAATATATGTGCAATATAAATTTATATATAAATCTTTACCCATTTACTTTTTATATGAATGGATCACGCTTCTACACATGCTATTTTCAATGTAGAGACCCTACTCTCCAGAAAGAAGAGGCTCCTCAGGTCTCTCCGTGCACCCCTTGATATCAAATTGAGCAGCAAACAGAAGAGAACAGGGGTGGCTGGTCATATTTTAAAAGACTCCAGGATACACTAACATTCCAGAACCAAAAGCTAAATCCAAAGAGCTCCTCAGGAAAGCGTGAACTCGGCTGCAACGGGGTCTCTCTCTACAGGCCAGGGAGAGGGAAGGCAGCCTTTATAAACCGTTCCTCTTGGGCTCTCCTGCCTGTGGCTGTTAGCTTCACCTCCCCCAACTTGCCATCTGAGGGCCTTCATTCTTCACTGTCATGCCTGTCACCACCTCTGTCCTCCCCCTTTGGGCCTGCTCTACAGCCTCCGCACTGCTCTGAAACATCACCACTGGCAGGACTGTGCAACTGAGAACAACAGGAGATGACCTCACGGCCTTTACATTCTAATGCCAGCTCCCAATTACTTGTACTGTTGAATAATTGAAAGAGGAGAATAATCCACTCAGCTGATTTGGGAAGCCAGCCAGGCACACAGATTATCTCAGAGTGAATTATTCACACTAGGGATAATTGGGAGTTGCCCAAACTTCTATTTGTAGTTCAGGCATCACGTGGAAGAACATTCGGTATGGAAAGTATGAAAGCTGGAGAGGGAAGGAGCCCCTGTTTCCGGGCCTGGGTTTCCTTTATGTTGCTTGGGAAGTCAATGCTCCTCTCTCGGTCTCACTCAGAGTCGGTGAGCACAATGATGATGATGATATTAACATTAACAATATTTTAGTGACAGCTCTTGCTGTATTTCCTTACAATGTGCTGTGTTCTGTGCTATGAGCTTCATGTGTATCATCCTACATTATCTCATTTAATCCTCACATGAGTCTGTGAAGCACCACTGTCTTCTTCATCTCTGAGCTGAGGAAGCTGAGGCTTAGGTTAAGTAACTTGCCCAGAGATATACAGCAACAAGCTGTATGTCCATCCATAGACCAGGATCTTACTCAAGAAGTTCTTTTGCCACACACCTCTTACCTCTCCCACTTTTAAGAGTCTTCCTTACACAAGACATAAAACTGTAAAGGATAAAAACACCCCATTTTTAGTATAATACTGTCTACTCTCATCTTGAAATTACTGGATTTCAAGGTAAGAAAAATGGCTCCCTCCTCTGAAGGTTGGCAAGAAGCCTATAGGAAGGGGCTGGTCAGCTGGTCAATCCATTTCGAGAAATCCAGTGTCTGGAAGCACAAGCCACTGGCAGACTTCCAGAAGAGCTCAGCCTTCTCTCATGATCAAAGACTCAAAAATGAAACCACTGTCCTCCCCCTGACACGCCACCACTTCAGCCAAGAGGCAGCTACTGAGCTGGGCAGCTCAGCACCGTGAGGCCAGAGCATGGGGGAAGGGCATAGGCTCAGTGAGCTGCAAGGAACACCTGCCTCAGACAAGGGTCCATGAGGTGACTGACTGTCCCTGCATGTGTGGGGTCTCCTTCCACAGTGCCTAGGACAGAGTCCCCAGATACTAGGTGTGGTGCCAGTCTCCAGCACGGTCACCGGCGATCCCCACCAGCGATCCCAGCCTTTGTGTTGGTGCCTCCCACATTAACTATAGATGATCTATGTGACCAAAAGAATAAAGAGGAAGTGATGATGTCGAATTCTAAGGCTAGGCCACAAAAAGAACTGAAGTTTCCATCTTGCTGTCCTATGTTGTTCACTCTGGGGGAAGCCATGGGGAGACCTGCACAGCCCTGTGGAGAAACTCACAGAGAGAGAAACCGAGGCCTCTCACCAACAACTGGCACCAACCAGCCAGGCGTGTAAACTGGAAGCAGATTCTCATACCCAGTCAACACCCTGCCTACATTTCCAAATTCCTGACCCAAAGAAACAGAAAAATAATAAACTATTACTGTTGTTTTAACCCACTACATCTGAGAATAATTTGTTATACAACAACACATAGCTAATAAACTGGACAAGAGGGAAAAGAGCTGCTTCACAGCATTGTTTCCAGAAGTGTGACGTATCCATAGAAGAACCAAACCTGGTGTCAGGGCCAGAGGCCACCAAAGGCCCTGACTAAGCCCCTAAGGTCTTAGAACACTATATGAGAAAAAACAATGACCTTCACGGCCCAGATATTCCAGCCCTCCAGTCAAGGAAAAGCTTGCAGAAAATATTCACGATGCCCATACCTCTGCCTCCAGTCAGGATGACAATAACAACAATATTAGAAGCTACCATTACTGAATGCTTACTATGTGCCCGGTGCATGCTCAGTATTCTTATATTACCTCTCTTTTTTTTTTTTTTTTTTTTGAGGCGGAGTCTCACTCTGTCACCCAGACTGGAATGCAGTGGCACGATCTCAGCTTACTGCAACCTCTGCCTCCTGGGTTCAAGTGATTCTCCTGCTTCAGCCTCCCAAGTAGCTGGGATTACAGGCACGCGCCACCATACCTGGCTAATTTTTTGTATTTTTAGTAGAGACGGGGTTTTGCCATGTTGGCCAGGCTGGTCTCAAACCCCTGAGCTCAGGAGATCCACCCGCCTCAGCCTCCCAAAGTGCTAGGATTAACAGACTTGAGCCACCACGCAGGCCATTACCTCCCTTATTCTTCATTGCAATCCTCAGAGGAAGCACATAGTAGGGACTCAATAAATATTTGCTAAATGAGTAAATAAACCACCATTAGGAGTTCGTCTCTATAACTGATCTATGTCCTTTTGGTATAATTTCAACTTTCTATATTACGTATTACTTTAACGTTTGAAAAGCTTACACTGAGAATGTATTACTTAAATAGAGGAAACAATATATATGAAATTAAAAAAAAAATTTGTAGGGCAAGCAAAGCTCTAATCATTATGTGCCATCCATCACGTTTCCCAGAGAAGTGCACCTCCATCCTGAGCTGACTCTCTGAGAGCTTCTCACACATCCTGAGCTTCTCACACAGCTTCTCAAGAGCTACCTGGATCCACTAGAAAGCCCATTCACACAGCACCCTGTGTTGCTTGACCCTCCAGATTGTCCTCCAACTCAGAGGAAGGAAGTAGGTATGCTGCTAGCTGGTGGAAGTGGCAGGATTGCTCTACTCGTCTCAGGACCAGGTGCCATGGCCAAAGACAGCCCCAGCAATTGAAAATCAGGCAGACATCACGGTCCTGAGTCTGGACAGCCACAATCTTATGATGAGAGTAGCCACAAACATGGAGAGACATGAAGCTTTCTGACTCTATATCCTAATCTGGGGAACAATAATCTTCCCAGTTATGAAGCACTATCATGGCCATCAGATCTACCACCCAAAATCCTGATGAGAGGAGGTGACTTGAACTAGATACCAGGAAGAGCTTCCTACTATCAGAGATTTAAGATAACAAGGTAGGCAGTGCTGTAGTCTGAAACCATGAAGAGTTCCTTCTCTCCCGCAAAGCAATCAGAGGAATCTTTTTTTTTTCCTCCTTTTTTTCTTTTTGACACTAGGTCTTGCTCTGTCACCCAGGCTGGAGCACAGTGGTGCAATCATAGCTCACTGCAGCCTCAAACTCTTGGACTCAAGCAATCTACCTCCCTCGGCCTCCCAAAGTGCTGGGATTACAGGTGTGAGCCACTGAGCCAAGCCAGGGGATCATTTTTAAAATGTAAATCAGATCTTGTTACTCCCTTAATTAAATGGCACCAGTGGCTTCCTGCTACCCTTAGAATAAAATCCAAATTTAGTTCACCTAGGTCTCTAGGTGCACTGCCAACTTCGCCAACCTCACCTCTTCTTAGTCTTTCTTTAGCTCACTCCATTCCAGCCACACTCACCTTCTGGCTGCTTCCTCAACTGGCCAAGCTTGTCCCTACCTCAGGACCCTTGCAACGGCTATTCCTGCTGCCTGGAAAACCCTTGGCCTAATGTACATATGGCTGACTCAATCTATATTTGAGTTGAGGCCAGAATGACATCTCTTTGGAAAAGTCTCTGTAACTAACTCATCTAAAGAACCTTATATCATCCTATTTTATTTTCTTCATAACACGTTACTGACTTAAAAATGCTTTATTGAGGTAAAATTCACATACCACACAATTCACCCATTTAAAGTGTACAACTCAATAGCTTTTTGTGTATTCACAGAGTTGTGCAACATATCACAATTTTAAGGCATTTTCATTGCCCCCCCATACCTATTACTAGTGCCCCCCGCAACTCTCCCCAACCCCCACTCCCTCAGCACTAGGCCCTACAGATTTGAATATTCCAGACATTCCACAGAGATGGAATCATCCAGTATGTGGTGCTTTGTGACTAGCTTTTTTCACTCTGACTTTTTAAAAGTTTCATCCATTCATAACATGTATCAGTACTTCATTTCTTTTTATTGCTAAATATTCCATTGTATGGATATACTACATTATATTTACCCATTTCTCAGTCAACAGATACTTGGGTTGTTTCCACTTTTTGGCTGTTATGAATATTGAGGCTATGCACATTCATGTACAAGTTTTTGTGTGGAATATGGTTTCACTTCTCTTGGGTACACACCTAGCATTGGAATTGCTGGATCACATGATAACTCTATGTTTAACTATTTGAAGAACTAGTAGTGTTTTTCAAAATGGTTGGATCAATTTACATTTCCACTAGCAGTATATGAGGGTCCCAATTTCTCCACATCCTTGTCAACACTTGTTATTATCTATCTTTTTGAGTATACAGTGTTCTCTCATTGTGGTTGGGTTTGCATTTTCCTGGGAGTTAATGATGTTGAGCATCATTTCCTGTACTTACTGCACATTTGCATTATCTTGTCTGGACAGCTGTCCATTCAGATCCTTTGCCTATTTTTTAATTGGGTTGTCTTTTTATTGTTGAATTGTAGGAGTTTTTAATTACGTTGTTTTCTGTTGCTGAGTTGCAAACATTCTTTAGGTATTCTAGATAAAAAGTCCCTTACCAGATATATGACTTGTAAAAATTTTCTCCCATTCGGTGGTTTTCCTTTTCACTTTCTTGATGGTATCCTTTGAAGCACAAGAGTATTTAATTTAATTTAATTTTATTTTATTTTTTTTTTGAGAAGGAGTCTCGCTCTGTCGCCAGGCTGGAGTGCAGTGCATGATCTCGGCTCACTGAAACCTCTGCCTCCCGGGTTCAAGCGATTCTCCTGCCTCAGCCTCTCAAGTAGCTGGGATAACAGGAGTGCACCACCACGCCCAGCTAATTTCTGTATTTTTAGTAGAGACGGGGTTTCACCATGTTGGCCAGGCTGGTCTCGATCTCCTGACCTCATGATCTGCCCGCCTTGGCCTCCCAAAGTGCTGGGATTACAGGCGTGAGCCACAGCACCCAGCCAAGAGTATTTAATTTTGATGACATACTGACTGACTAAAAAATCAACTTCTGACATGTAAAAAGAAACACCTATCTGTCTTGTTCACCACCACATCCTCAGTCTAGCAAAATGCCTGGCACATAATAGGTAGTCATGACTTTTTTAAATAATTTTTTTTCGAGACAGGGTCTCACTCTGTCACACAGGCTGGAGTGCAGTGGCGTGATCTCGACTTACTGCAGCCTCTGCCTCCCAGGCTCAAGTGATCCTCCCACCTCAGCCTCCTAAGTAGCTGGGACTACCAGCACAAGTCACCATACCCGGCTAATTCATATTTTTTAATGAATGTATGAATTTTTAGGGCCAGAGGAGATGAGTGTTGGGATGGGCTATGAGAGAGGGCTCCTTGCCAGGAGGCAGGGGTGAACACAGTGATATCTGGAATCATTTCTGTCTAGAGGAGCTGTAAAGAGTGAGAGAATGCGGTCTTCCACAAGAGCATGGGGGCAGTGTTAGATGCAACACTCCTGAGAAGTGAACGGCATCATCAATAACAAACTCCCTGACTGAAATGCTCAGGTAGTCATCCTGTCTTTTCAGCCACCCGGGTGAGCAAAAGACAGAACAATGGCTCAGGAATGGGGACAACTCAGGCAAAAGGGCCTAGTCACAGGGGTGAGGTTCTTTCCAGAATCCTCAGCACACAGCAACACCCCCAAAGGGGGCTCTAGGCTCTTGCTTTACAAAAACCGCTAGGGGCCTGTGTGTCAGCATGGCTGACAGGAAGCGGTTATACTGAGGAAAAAGAGATGAAGTCAAAAGATAAAGTTGACAGATATTAGGGTTGTTTCCACATTTTGCCTATGAACTTGCCTCTTCTAGCCTTTGCCAAGAACAATGAAATAAGAAGTCTGAAGAGCTGAATGTCCATGCCAGGGTGCTTCATCAAAGCACCTCAGGGATCCTAGACTTGACTGCCGAGAGGAGGCATTTTAGTCAGGCAAAGAGGTTGGAGGTGTGGTATGGGTGCTTAAAGTTGGCTAAGTGCTAAAAAAGGTGGACAGTTTGGACAACCAGTCTATGAGTCCCATGGCAGGGAAGGAGGTAACCTAAGAGACAAGCAGGGGTCCAAAAGAGAGGTCTGGAAACTCATCAGTTGCAGCATCAAGAAAGGTATTCAAAGGCAAGGGCCCTTGCCCTTCCATCCCAGACTTCCACTGTGTCACTTTTCATGAGGGAAAGGAAGGAGGGCACAGTGAGTTTTAGAGGCACATGCATGCACACACACATATATGGAGTTGCCTCTGGGAATGTAAATAAATATTCATGAACAGCTCAGTGTATGAAAAGCAAGGACAGAGGATGAAAAATGGTGCCAATTAGAAAGAAAGGGTGGTATCTATTTTTAAAGTGGCTGAATAAACAGTAAAGGATTGCTTGCTAAAAATACTGTGCTTGACCCCCTCCCCAGTGGCAGAGTCCCTCTCCTGTGCTTGGTAACAACAGGCAAACTCTCCTCCCAGTGTGGCAGGTCTAATGCTGCCATGGCAGCCTCATGTTCTTATGAGAGGTTCACCCTGGGCCAGGTATGGTGGCTCTCGCCTGTAATCCCAGCACTTAGGGAGGCCGAGGCAGGCGGATCACTTGAGGTCAGGGGTTTGAGACTAGCCTGGCCAACATGGAGAAACCCCATTTCTATAAAAGATACAAAAATTTGCTGGCTCTGGTGGCGCATACTTGTAATCCCAGCTACTTGAGAGGCTGAGAGGCTGAGGCAGGAGAATCGCTTGAACCCAGGTGGCGGAGGTTGCAGCAAGCCAAGATCACGTCACTGCCCTCTAGCCTGGGCAACAGAGTGAGACTCTGTCTCCAAAAAAAAAAAAAAAAAAAAGTTTACCCTGGGTGCCTGTCTCCAGTAAGAAGGAGATTTCTTGTGAGAAGCATTCTGGGTCTCGGACCACAAGCTGATAATGGCACTCATGCCTCAGAGGTGACTCAGGTTCTCAACAGTCTCCAAAAGATCCCTTGGCAAGAGGGAGCAAGTGAATGCAGGACTCCACTGGAGAATCCAACTATGGAGGCATCAGAACCAATGTAACAAAAAAGGAGGGGAGAGTCCCCAAATTATCCTCCCCAGAGTCCAGATCATATGGGAGTATTTCATGAGAGTCATTTCATGGGACTAGTGGGGCACTGAAATCAAGTTTCTTATCCACTGCCCACTCCTGATACACATGCACCAGGATATTCCCCCCTGGGATTAGATCTGACTGATGGCACATGAAAATAAAGGCAAGGAGTGAAGCTCAGTATGATTCATGGACAGAGAAAACAACAGGAACCCAAATTGTATGTGGGCCAGTGATGGGCAGGGACTGGAGTTTCTGTTCTGTCCCAGATGCGCAAATCTCACCCAAGTCAGTCCTGTAGGAAAAGCACTTGCTCTCCCACGCTCACGCCTGCTCTCGCGTGCTCTCAATCTCTCTCTCTTTTTTTTTTCTCTCTCTCAGCATTTATCACCACTTGGCACCACACTGTGGTTAGAAGTCTGGCTTTGAAGTCACGCTGCCTGGGTTCATGTCTTGGCTCTGACACAGTCTAGCTGGGCGACACTAGGCAAGTACTTAACCTCCCCAAGCCTCAGTTTCTCCATGCATAAAATGGAAATAGTAATTGTCTTTACTCCATAACAGTACTTACTTGGCCAGATTCAATGAGAGCATGCAGTGACTCTCAGCTCGGTGCCTGACATGTTGTAGGTACTTTTTTCTAAATATTCTTCATGTCTTGGTCTAGACTCTAAACATTTTGAGGACAGTAACCATGCCAAATGCATCTTCCTATCCTCTAAGAGTGTAACAGAGTTGAAATTCAGTAAACTTTTGTCAAATGAGCTGGCTTCCCTGAGCATGTTTGCCATGGGCAACAAACCCAGCTGGCAAATGCATTTGTCCAGTTCACCGGCCCCATTTGTTCTCATCACCTCAAGATAAATCCTCCCAACCACCAGCAAGGTGTGCAGGGTGGGCAGCATCTGCCCCTCCCTCCATTAGGAAAAGGTGAGAATAAATTGGAAAACAAACAGCCACAGGCAGTATTTGCAGCTCCTCAGAGCGATGCCCTATCGATTTTTAAGTGTCACTGTTAATAACAACAACAACTGGCAGTGATACAACATTTTTCTTCCAAAACAATCAGAGCATTTTATAGAGACAATTTCATCTATCTCTCCATGGCTCCAGCAGGAGCAGGAGAATATTCCCCACTTCAAGTAAAGGGCAGGAGAGGCCAAGGGGTTTGGCCAAGGTCACTGTACAAGTCAGTGGGATGCCGGTGCTCCTGGTCTCTGCGGCCCTCTGCATCCCTGGATGGCATCTCCCTAGGACAGAACTTCCCTAGCATAGTTCTTTTCAGATGTTTAGCAAAGTTAACCTTTTAACAAAACACCCATGGGTGGAGGGTGGCATCAAGCACTATTCCAAAAAGCATCCTCTTGGCGGGAAGCCCTTAGACATGACCACTCCTTGGCTTAGTCTTCCTCTTCCTGTGTGCCATCAAGAATCACACCTACCAGTTGGGCGTGGTGGCTCATGCCTGTAATCCCAGCACTTTGGGAGGCTGAGGCAGGCAGATCACCTAAGGTTAGGAGTTCGAGGCCAGCCTGGGCAACATGGTGAAACACCATCTCTGCTAAAAATACAAAAATTAGCCAGGCATGGCGGCTTGCACCTATTAGTCCCAGCAACTCAGGGGGGCTGAGGCACGAGAATCACTTGAACCCAGAAGGCAGAGGGTGCAGTGAGCCAAGATCATGCCACTGCACTCCATTCTGGGTGACAGAGTGAGACACTGTCTCAAAAAAAAAAAAAAAAAAAAAAAAAAAAGGCCGGGCGCGGTGGCTCACACCTGTCATCCCAGCACTTTGGGAGGCCGAGGAGGGCGGATCACGAGGTCAGGAGATTGAGACCATCCTGGCTAACATGGTGAAAGCCTTTCTCTACTATAAGTACAAAAAATTAGCCAGGCGTGGTGGCAGATGCCTGTAGTCCCAGGTACTCGGGAGGCTGAGGCAGGAGAATGGCGTGAACCCGGGCGGAGGAGCTTGCAGTGAGCCGAGATCGCGCCACTGCACTCCAGCCTGGGCGACAGAGCGAGATTTTGTCTCGAAAAAAAAAAAAGAAAAAAGAAATCAATCACACCCACCTAGTAGTCCAGAGGCTGGAGTGCCACACAAAGGGAGGCAGAGAAAGGACAGGTCCAATCTTACCCATGCGACACACAGATGTGTGTCCAAGGAGATTCCCGTCCAACCACCCACTCTACCCTGCCCGGACTCCCACGCTCCACCCCTCCCCAACACAGAACTCTACTCCCAAGAGTGACGTCTGGCAGAAACTATGAACATGAATGACAGTGATGCCCAAGCAGACAGACACAGTCTCTGTGAGACACATGCCAAGTGAGCATCCCTCCTCCCAGAGATGGACCCTAACCACCACTAGACAAGAGCTTCCTCTGCTGGAAACAGCTCATCCAGCCATCTCCATGATACATACCCTGCCCACAGCTCTGGGCATCAGGCAGATAGGTGGGACAGGAGGCCACAAGTAGTGTGTGTCATCCTGAAGGCTAAAATCAAAGCTTCCTGTCACACTGGGCTATGTCGGGGGATTAGCAAAGGTAGCTAATCCTGGTGCAGAGGATAGGTTCCAATCAAGATCTGAAAAATCAAAGGCTGAGGAAGGCACTGAATAAGATCTCCTGCACCTTATATAACCAGCAGGCTCAAGTGTCTGGTCTGTCCTCTTGTCACTGAATAGAGCAGCTGTGCTTGCAGGACTTCAGGAGAAACAGCACTCAAGGCAGATGAGAGATAATATCCAGGCTCAAGTACAAAAGAGGAATGAACTCCTTAGAACCTGGATGCCAAGGATTACTTAGTCTCAGGCAGGACTGATACTATCCCACCAACCCTCCCTCTCTTACGGTGTTTTTTTTTTTGTTTGCTTTTGTTTTTTTTTTTTTGAGACAGAGTCTCACTCTGGAGACTCTGTCACCCAGGCTGGAGTGCAGTGGGGTGATCTTGGCTCACTGCAACCTGTGCCTCCTAGGTTCAAGCGATTCTCCTGCCTCAGCCTCCCAAACAGCTGGGACTACAGGCATGTGCCACCATGCCTGGCTAATTTTTGTATTTTTAGTAGAGATTGGGTTTTGCCCTGTTGGCCAGGCTGGTCTCAAACTCCTGACCTCAGGTGATCCACCCACCTTAGCCTCCCAAAGTGCTAGGATTACAGGCATGAGCCACTGCACCCAGCCTCTTATGCATTCTTGAGGCCTGTGAGCTCTAGAGAATCAGGCATAGCCTCCCAAGTGGGATTACCAACCCCTACCATCCCCTTATACCCAGACAAAAGCAGGAAGGAAAATCTGACCACTTCTTGCTCTTGAGGGCCCAAGCTAGGGTGTGGGCAAAGGGTCCAGCTGAGTCTAAGCTGGAAAGCAGGGCGATGCCTCTGATAAGAACAAAGGCTGTATCAGACACAGGGGATGAGATGCTTCTCAGGCGCTATTCTTCACAAAGGGGACACCAGCAAAATAGGCAAATTAAACTCATTTGTGCCTGGCACAACGGCAGCAGTGGAAGCTACAGCCAGAGCAGCTAGAGGGGCCGAGGTAATGGCAGGACATGGCAGTGGGCACATGGGGAGAAGAGAAGCAGGGCTCAGCTCTTATCTCTATAGCATCCTAAGGGTGTGGCATGGGCCCTGGTTCACCAGCTCTGATGTGGGACCAAGAAACCTCACCTCCATCCCTTGGGGATATTTTAAGTATGTTCAATTTTGAGAGTGCCAGAGTTAAGAAATGCTGTCAGGGGAGTTGTTTTTGTGTGTTTTTGGTCTCCTTCTGAGATGGCTTTGCTGTACTTGTTTCCATCTAGGGATGAGTGAGATCCCTTATGGTTCCCTTTGACCTGCCTGATTAGCGATTCCACAGGAAAACACCTCCCATGACAAAATGAAAGTAGACTTCAAGCCACCTTCCTTCAGGCTGACTCCTGTGTAAATGAGCTGCCTGCAGCCTGACTCACGGCAGCTCAAAATGGAAAAATGAAGAGAAACAAACCAGTGTAGTTCAAAGGTAAGGGTGAGACTTGCCTATCACGTGAAGCTTCTATGGGCCTAACCCAGCACGCTGCCAGGGACTTGGCATGGGTATACAATTCAGGAAGGAAGGAACTCAGGGCACACTTCTCAAGCCAGAAAGAACCTCATATCTAGTGCTCTTGTTTTCACAGAGACTTAAAGTCTCACAGAAGTAAAATGATGGCTTAAAAGTCAGTTCTCTGACTGTCGACCCAAGACTGTATCCCATGTGTCCAGACTCCTGAGTTCAGGACTAGGTCAGAGTCACACTGAGTCAGGGGCCCCTGTACATATTTGCATCACCTCCCACCCCATGGCCATGGCTAGAGATAAGTGGTGGCAGAGCTGTGGGCGGGAACGTGGACTTCCTCCCTCAGCGACTGGCCAGTGAAGTAGAGCCCGCTGATGAAGGCAAACCCTGCAATCTCCAGCTCCACAGATGATGTTCTGTACTAACAGGCTCCCTGGCAAGGCAGCAGGGCACCCATCATCCTAATGGACTTTGTGATTAACATGGCTAGTCCACCTACAGCGCCAGGCCCTCTCCCTTCCCTCCCTCTGGATTGCAGGGTCCCCACAGGCAGCAGCTACCCCAGGTGTCTGTTTGATCCAAACATTAAAAAAGCGTCCATTCACTATAGCAAAGAGGCAGTTATTTCAAACCTATACATTATGCATCCCTGCTGGAAAGAAAAAAGAGCAAAATTAAATTAAAATTCTCTCTGGAAGATTTCTGCCCAGAAAGACAGAAAAGCACTCTGGAGTTGTACCTAGTTCCCAACTCCAAGCAGCTCTCTGCTGCCCTTCCCCTGCTTCCCCTCCTGGCTGGACAGCTCCAGATGTGTCTCTGAGTTTCAATGATTCACTCTAATGATAATGCACCCTCTGAACAAATCACGGACTCTGATTGATTTAGGACGCAACTTGCACAAATACCTGTAATCTAGTTCTAATCTTGTTTGTTTCCATTCCAATTATCCTGCATCAATGGTTTAAAAATGGGAACCGTCTGGTGCATACATCCAATCCATTTTAATAGAGGATAAATCTGGGTTATTGTGACCCTTTCCTCTCCCAG
The DNA here is from genome assembly GCF_000001405.40 of Homo sapiens. Classification (NCBI taxonomy): domain Eukaryota; kingdom Metazoa; phylum Chordata; class Mammalia; order Primates; family Hominidae; genus Homo; species Homo sapiens. Next base: position 138,986,564 of record NC_000005.10, read on the forward strand.
GCGCAGGACAACACCAGCCCTCTCAAGGCACTGATTGGGCAGAATCAGCTCTAACTCTATTCAACTCTTCAAGGATTCAATTAATCATAAAGCCAATTCCATTCTAGGCTCCATCTGTCTTGCCTCCTTCGGGGACTAATAATCACTCACTGTGTGTTTTTACACACTAGTTGAACTGAAATTAAGACTGATTTCATCATGGAACACTCAAAAAGAAAATACATTTCTTGAAGAAAAATTTCAGAGCTACTTTAAAGTTCTGTTCAGATAAAGATATTTGTAAATATAAACAAAAACAATTTTAACTTCAAACTTCTTGACATTGTAAAATAATTCCTGCCCCCAAATCCTTGGAAAAGGGCAGCTTCTCAGGAGAATCAGAAACTCCTGAGATTGGATCAGACAACAGAAAGACTCAATTTGTCCTTGGGCACAACATAGGTACCTAAAACATGGGAGGGGAAAAAAAATTGGGTCAATTTGATATTTGATGCACTATTTTGTTTTATTTATGATAGATTATTTTATTTTATTTTATTTTATTTTATTTTATTTTATTTTATTTTATTTATTTTGAGACAGGGCCTGGCTCTGTCACCCAGGCTGGAGTGCAGTGGCATGATCACAGCTCACTGTAATCTCCTTAAGTGATCCTCCCACCTCAGCCTCCCAAGTAGCTGGGACTACAGGCACACACCACCACTCTTGGTTGCTTTTTGTATCTTTTTTGGTACAGATGGGGTTTCACCATGTTGGCCAGGCTGGTCTCAAACTCCTGGCCTCAATTGATCTACCCACTCGGCCTCCCACAGTGCTGGGATTGCATTATTAAAAAAAAAATCTAACTAGTCATCCATTCTGGGACCAGAGGACTTAACCTAAAATTTAGAATTATTTTTATTTTGCATTACCTATTCATGAAGGCAGGGAGGTCAGGGAAGATAGGGCACCATATTCTTTTCAATGTGTAGGACCTCTAGAAGTTTTCAGCTGGCCCTGAGGAGTCTAAACCCTCACACTCCTCTAAAGGGCATGATATATGGCTTTTGTATTCCTGCATAGCCTGGCTCTCATAGAAGCATTAAAGTGACTGCCCTGGCAAACACTCTAAATGGAGCCCTCTTACTACACCCATCTCATCCCCTACCCTGAGGATAATCTCTTTACCAGGAGCATGACCATGGAAAGGGCCACGGCCCAACCAGCTGGCCACCTGGATCTAGAAGCAAGCCTAACTTGTCAGCAGGTTTCAACAGAGAAAATGAAAATAGTTGAGCTTTTTATTTTTTGAGACAAGAGTTTTGCTCTTGTCACCCAGGCTAGAGTGCAATGGCGTGATCTCGGCTCAATGCAACATCCATCTCCCGGGTTCAAGCAATTCTGCCTCTGCCTCCCAAGTAGCTGGGATTACAGGCATGCGCCACCATGCCCAGCTAATTTTGTATTTTTAGTAGAGACAGGGTTTCACCATGTTGGCCAGCCTGGTCTCAAACTCCTGACCTCAGGTGATCTGCCCACCTCAGCCTCCCAAAGTGTTGGGATTATAGATGTGAGACACTGCGCCTGGCCAAGTTTTTTACTTTTTACTTTTTACAATTGTAAAGACAAAGCATTTGGGCCTCTCCAGAGTCCAAAGCTCCTGGTGGCCATTGTACGCCTAGCACAGACCCGTACACCTGGTTCTTACAGAACAGTCCCAGCACAATGGAGGGAACATGCTGCAGCCAAGGAGACACAGCATGTGGCTTCTTTATTGCCTTAACAGATTTTAAACTAAAATTTTGAATTACACAGATTCCCAATCAGAACTAATGACATAGGCATTCCAAACTTAACATCAAAGATGTTTTGTGAGTCATATTGGCTCTAAAAAACCATCAGTAATCACTTCTTAGACACAACAATCAAATACCTCCTTCGTTTAAACAATAAATTTTGCCTACTAATAAGTCTAATTAATTGAAGCACTGTCATTTTTAAACGTAGGTCAATGTAAGCATTTTCCCAAAAGTTTCCACCTGAGTCATTCTACAACTATTGAAAGCAAAGAAACTATCTCCTAAGAAGCTCTTTATGGACTGATAAAGAATGATATTCAAGATACAGTGCTACCAGCCTGACCAACCCAGTGAAACCCCATCTCTACAAAAAATTTTTAAATTGGCCAGGCATGGTGGTACGTACCTGTGGTCCCAGCTACTTGGGAGGCTGAGGCAGGAGGATCGCTTGAGCCCAGGAGGTTGAAGCTGCACTAAGCTATGATTGCACCCCTGCACTCTAGCTTGGGTGAGAGCGAGACCGTATCTCTACCAAATAAGCAAACAAAATACTTATATAGTTAAACAGAAAAAGTAAATTACAGAATGATGAATCTACAGTAAACTGCCTTTCATGTAAAAACAATATATGGAAATATTTACTTTAACATGGAAAAATATCTCTAGAAGAAACTGACAACACTGGTTGCCTTGAGGCAGGGAAGCAGGGTAGCAAAGGGACACGGTGGAAGGACACAGTGGAGGATACTTTTCATATCCTCTGGTGCCGTTTGAATTTTGAGCCATGTGACTGTATTACCAAATCAGAGTTGAAAACATGAAGTTTAAGTAAGTCATCTCATAGACAGTAATCTGGACACTTACCAAAATACTACAGAGAAGTCAGACCATGTTCCACAGGGAAAACAAGAATCTTATATATCCCAGCCAGGCATGGTGGCTCACACCTGTAATCCCAGCACTTTGGGAGGCCAAGGCGGGCAGATCACTTGAGGCCAGGAGTTCTAGACCAGCCTGGCCAACACAGTGAAACCCCATCTCTACCAAAAATTACAGAAATTATCTTAGTCATATGGTTTGAATGAACCTCTGTGTACAGACTTCACGAACACCATCAAGATTAGCCATGGCAAGAGAAAAATGGGGCCCCCAGTGGTCACTACACATATCTGAGGGCAGATGGCAGCAGCACAGGAGGGAGGGAAGAAAGAGAGGAAGGAAGACAGGAAGGAAAGGAGAGAGATACGGAAGGAGGGAGGGGAAGAAGGCTGGAAACAAGGGCCGCACTCCTTTATGTAGGACACCTTTTGCCCTCTAAGGCATCATCTAGCTTGATAAGCCCCCAACAGTTTCTCTCCTTTGCAAAAGGGGAAACTGCAGCTCATTTAAGTCACAGTTCATAGTGAGTTACAGGGGTGGAGAGGGTGGCTTTACATGAACTTTGCAGGAACACATCACTTCTGATCCTAGGACTTCTCTAACTGCACGGGAAATGCCATCTGAAGGCCATGTCTTATCCTGAAAACTCAGAGTTTCTGACTCATCTTCTCATTCTGACTGCCAGCTGGCTCTGTGGTCTTGAACAAATCACTGCAGCAGAGGTACTGAGTGGGAACAGAGGCTCCTCCATTCAGCCACTGATCACTGTCCATGGCTCTTTGGGAAAGGCATGCGTGCGACAGGAATTTCACGTTAAGGGTCACAGGTAGGCACCAGGGCTTGCGTCTTCCTGCCCTCTCTTCCTGGACCGCCCAGCAAGTTTACTCCTGGTCCCATTTTTTTGCTTTGGCCTTTGCTTCTCTTTGAATCTTTGTATCCAACCCAATGTGAGCGTACACTTACCCAAGAGTTTTCCATCTAGACAATGAGGACTGTGGAAAGACACTTGCTCAGAGCAAAGGCACCAGTGTGACCACTATGAGGGAAGGTTGTCCTAGGATGCCCACAGAGATCCCAGTCTAATGCCAAACAGCAACTCTAACCAGGGCAGCCTTTAGTCTCAACTCCTTGCCATGAGAATCTAAATGACCAGATAACCGTAGAAGGTAACCTGGGGAGGACTGCTGGGAATTGGGCAGATGACTTTCATTCTATTTTCTAGATGCTTTCCAGCTGGCTTTTTATTTATTTTGAGACAGGGTTTCATTCTGCTGCCCAGGCTGGAGTCCAGTGGCGTTATCATGGCTCACTGCAGCCTCGACCTCCCAGGTTCAAGGGATCCTCCCACTTCAGTCTCCAACCATGCCTGGATAATTTTGTTGTTTTTGTTAGAGATGGGATCTCACTATTTTGTCCAGGCTGGTCCCAAATTCCAGGGCTCAAGTGATCCTCTCACCTCAGTCTCACAAAGTGCTAGGATTAGAGGCATGAGCCCCAAACAGGCCCCAGCTGGCTTTTCTTTTCTTCGTGACAGAGTCTTGCTGAAGTCCAGTGGCGCGATCTCGGCTCACCGCAACCTCTACCTCCTGGGTTCAAGCGATTCTCCTGCCTTAGCCTCCCAAGTAGCTGGGATTACAGGCACCCATCATCACATCTGTCTAATTTTTGTATTTTTAGTAGAGACGGGGTTTTGCCATGTTGGCCAGGCTCGTCTCAAACTCCCAGCCTCAGGTGATCCGCCTGCCTCAGCTTCCTAAAGTGTTGGGATTACAGGCGTTAGCCACCATGCCCCACCCCCAGCCGGCTTTTTAAAACAGTCTTTATCCTTTCCTTTTTCCGGGTGATCTGAAAAATGAAGGCTTCATGACAGGAGTCTCTATAGCCTACACCATCCTGCAATTGCCAGTCAGAAAGAGTAGGAAGGCCTGAGACATTCTGTTTTCTGGCGTGTTGGCCAGATGCTCTGGATGGAGGCTGGGGCACCAGGGCCAGCTATAATCTTTTCCCAGCAGCCTGGCTGAAGTAGCTGTGGGACCAAGGCAACTGATTAAATGCAGAATAAAAGCTGAGAGAAAATGGGATAGAAATAAATTAGCTTTAGACCTCAAGGCTGTGTATGCAAGTGAAATGCAGTAGGGGCTGGGAGGCAGCATGGGAAGTCAGTCTTAGAGATTTCCCTGAAACAAAGGGATTATGGATTGTCCAATACAAGGAAATCCTTCTGTTCCACAGCCACATGACAGCCTCTTTTACTCAGGGCTGTTCATTCCACATTTTGCACACATTCTGAGATAATGGGATACACTAACTCCCTAAAAAAGCCCCAAGACTCCCCCAGCAGGCCTTCTATCCAGGCAGCACAGGCTGCAAAGCAGGGCTGGTCATCATCAGGGTACAGGGTCGATATTTCCTGCCATCCTTCAATAGTTGCCCTCCCTCTATCCTTGACAGATTCTCCACTTTTAAGTATTGAACTATGGTTACAGAAGAAGAGCTGCTGGGAGAGAATACATCTAACTGATCAGAATTTAACAAACAAACACTCAAAAGTATTTGGCAGAAGGAGAGAAGAGAAGAAATACAACGGAGAAGGTTCCCCATCTATGTCCTTGTGACTTAAATATCACAGAGAACCCATCCAGAAGGGGCTTGATCCAAAAAATGGACCATAGCAGCAGAGTTTAGAAGCATGCTTACTCTAGTTAAATCAGGGCTATTTCTAAAAAGGCTGGTCAGAGCTCTCTTTCAGGTTTGCTGCCAAAGGGCAGAAGCCTGTAGGTACTGGACTCCTGATGAGGCTCACTCCAGTCAGTGCCCACTGTACACCTTCTAATGCATACGCAGACCATGGAAGGAAAGCAAGGTGCAGAACGGATGTACTGAGTCCCATGGCAATCACTACACGACTATGGGTGCTAGGCTGAATGAGGAGACCTTGCCACAAATCCCACCTGCTCCCTCCCTATCATTACCTATATCCTCCAGATATCCAAGTCAAAAGCTTGTGTGAGTGATGAAGAAAGAGACTAGGAACCCCACTCAAGACCTTCAGAGAGATGGCCCTTTCTGAGAGAGTCTGCTAGCTCTTCAAACTATAGAAAGAACATGGGCTTTGACATCAATGCTTTAGGTTTGAAGTGTAACCATCCCATAAGTTAACTGCATGCTCTTGGGTGAGGACCCTCCTCTGTGAAGCCAAAATCCTACCCCTCACTCTGGCAGTTGTTGTGAGGATTAAATGAGACAGTATATGTAAAGCCCCTGCCCCTAGCAGGCTCCTTTTCCACAGCCAGCCTTTCTCATATCCACAGCATACCTGGTCCAGGTGAGTCCAGTACTCTCTTGGTATGCTATGCTCTTCTACACATAAGAAATAGAGTAATTGGTAATTTTTCAGGTTATCTTTTCAAACATCAAAAAAATAAATAATCCTTGGGCGCTAAACTACAAGGACACAAAGGCCTAAGAATTATATAATGGACTTTGGGGACTCGGGGAAGGGTGGGAGGGGGTGAGGGATAAAAGACTACACACATTGGGTATAGTGTACACTGTTCTGGTGACAGGTGCACCAAAATCTCAGAAATCACCACTAAAGAACTTATCCAGGCAACTAAACACCACCTGTTCCCAAAAAACTATTGAAAAAAGTAAAATTTAGAAAATAATAATTAAAAAAATATAAATAAATAATCTTATGCTAAACTATTCCAGAGCCAAGAGAAAAGAGAAACTTTTTCTTTTGTAACTGAAAGCTAGCTGAGATGGAAGCTGCTAGTGGTCCCCCACAATCTGTTCTCCCATTCTTCCACAGTAGCAGAATTTTTGCTGGGCAAATAAAGTATAAAGACTATATTTCTCGGCCTCCTTTGCAGGGAGGTATGGCCAAGGCACTACGTTTTGGCCAACAGATTATAAGCAGAAGCATCATTTGACAGCTTCTGGGATCCCCTTAAGAGATTTTTAAGTGCCCTTTACCTCCTCTTCTATGTCGCTCCTTCCACCCTGCTCCCTGGAATGCAGATCTTGCCATCTGGGATGATGAGGAAGGGCTATTCCTTAGGGATGGCATCCTAGTGTGACTCGAAGGAACTCAAGACCCAAGAGTCTACCCACAATACAGTTGCCACACCAACCCAAAGCTGCTGACCTGAAGATGCTGTTTACATGGAAAAAATAAATATCTATCCCATTATGTCATTTTCTGTCACTTCCAGAAATATGATGTCTAGGCCACAGCCAGACGCATCCTTGTGTAATTACCTCCCATTGGGTGTGGGAATATGACATGCTTCCAACCAATGGAATACGGCAAAGGTGACAAGATATATACGACTATGTGTATGTGATTACACTACGTAAGACGGTAACATCTGTTTTGCTGAGAAACACTCTCCCTTGCTGGCTCTGAAGAAGCAGGCTGCCATGTTGTGAGCTGCTTATGGAGATAGCCATGTGGCAAGGAACTGAGGGCAGCCTCCCACCAGCAACAAACTAAGGTCTTTAATCTGACAGCCTGCAAAGAACTGAACTCTGCCAACAACCACATCAGTTTAAAAGGAAATGCTTCCCAGTCAAGTGCCATATTAGACCCTAGCTCCAGCTGACACCTTGGACTACGGCAATGCAGAGGACCCGACAAAGTCACACTTGGACTCCTGACCTACAGAAAGTGTAATATAATAAGTGTGCATTGTTTTAAGCCACTAAGTTTGTGAGAATTTGTTACATAGCAATAGATAACTAATACAATGACCAAAAACATTTATTTCAGAAATGTAAGGATGATTCACTACTAGATAATATATAAATAAATTCATCAACCTATGGAAGATATCATATTTAGTGGTAAAATATTAGAATCATTCCCTTTAAAGACAGGAAAAGGATAAGGATGTCTACTAGTATTTCAATAAACACTGTATTAAAGGTGCTAGACATTGCAATAAGAAAGAGAAATGGAGGATAAAGATTGAAAAGAAACAAAATTATTTTTATATTAAATGATACGATTATCTACAAATAACATCCAAGAAAAAATGTAAACTATTAGAACTAATAAGACATCAGCAAGTTTGTTGGCTATAAAGTCATATACCAGCAACAAACAATTATAAAATAAAAACTTGAAAATTAACCTCTTTACAATAACAAATACTATGAGGTAATTAGGCATAACAAAAGAGATTGATTCACTACCTATATGGAAAAAATTATGATGTTTTATTAAAAGATGTGAGACCATCTAACTGGAAAGACATATCATGTTCATGAACAGAAACACATTTTATAAATATGTTAATTCTCATAAATTAATCTATACATTTACTGCATTCTAGCTTAAATATCCAGTGTTTTGTTGAGCCTCACAGAGTATGCCTAAAATCCATATGGAAGAGTAAAGCGCCAAAAATATCCAAGGCAATTTTTAAATTAATAAATAATAGATGTACATATTTTGGGGATACGTGTAATAAATTTTTAATAAATTTAATTTCCGGGACACACGTACAGGACATGCAAGTTTGTTACATGTAAACATGTGCCATGGTGGTTTGCTGCACCTATCAGCCCATCACCTAGGTATTAAGCCCTGCATGCATTAACTATTTATCCTGATGCTCTCCCACCTCTTGCCCCCCAGCCAACCACCCCAACAGGTTCCAGTGTATGTTGTTCCTCTTCCTGTGTCCATGTGTTCTCATTGTTCAGCTCCCACTTATAAGTGATAATATGTGGTGTTTGGTTTTCTGTTTTTGCATTAGTTTGCTGAGGATAATGGCTTCGAGCTCCATTCATGTCCTGCAAAGGACATGATCTTGTTCCTTTTTACAGCTGCATATGTACCACATTTTCTTTATCCAGTCTATCACTGATGGGCATTTGGGTTGATTCCATGTCTTTGCTATTGTGAATAGTGCTGTAATGAACATAGGCATGCATGGGATACATGTGCTATTTATTACATTCATATAATTTGTAAATATCAAATCAGTATAATTGGGATATCTATCACCTTAAATATTCATCTTTTTTTTTTTTTTGAGACAGAGTTTCACTCTTGTTGCCCAGGCTGGAGTGTAATGGCGTGATCTCGGCTCACCACAACCTCTGCCTCCCAGGTTCAACAAATTCTGCCTCAGCCTCCCAAGTAGCTGGGATTACAGGCATGCACCACCACGCCTGGCTAATTTTGTTTTAGTAGAGACAGGGTTTCTCCATGTTGGTCAGGCTGGTCTCAAACTCCCGACCTCAGGTGATCCGCCCACCTTGGCCTCCCAAAGTGCTGGGATTACAGGCATGAGCCACCACGCCCCACCTTGTCTTTTCTTTATGCTAGAAATATTCAAATTACATTCCAGTTATTTTGAAATATATTATACAACAGATTATTGTAAACTATAGTCACCCTACTGATCTAGCAAACAATGGTGCTACTGCTTCTATCAAACTGTATATTTGTAACTATTAACCAACCTCTCTTCATCTCCTCTTTCCCCTACTTTTCCTAGTCTCTGGTTACCACCAATCTACTCTTTATCTTTATGAGATCCACATTTTTATCTACTATATATAAGTGAGAACATGTGATATTTGTCTTTCTGTACTTGGCTTATTTCACTTAACATAATGACCTCCAATTCCCTCCATGTTGCTGCATATTAAAGGATTTCTTTTATTGTGTATATGTGCCACATTTTCTTTATCCATTAATCCACTGATGGGCATTTTGGTTGATTCCATATTTCAGATATTGTGAATAGTGCTGCAATAAACATGAATATGTGGTGATTTCTTTGATATATTGATTTCCTTTCTTTTGGACATACACCCAGCAGAATTGCTGGATTATATGGTAGTGCTAATTTTAGTTTTTTGAGGAAACTTCATACAGTTTTCCAAAGTGGCTGTACTAATTTGCATTCCTACCAACAATGTACCCCTTTCACCACATCCTCACCAGCATCCATTATTCCCTGTCTCTTTGATAAAAGCCATTTAAACTGGAGTGAGATGATATCCCATTGTGATTTTAATTTGCATTTATCTGATGACTAGTGAAGCTGAGCATCTTTTCATATACCTGTTGGCCATGTGTATGTCTTCTTTTGAAAAATGTCTGTTCAGATCTTTCGCCCATTTTTAATCAGATTTTTTTTTGCTATTGAGTTGTTTGAGCCCCTTATATTTTCTGTTTATTAATCCTTTGTCAGATGGATAGTTTGCAAATTATTTTATTCCATTCTGTGGGTTGTCTCTCCACTTTGTTGGTTGTTTTCTTTGCTGTGCAGATTTTTTTTTTTTTTTTTTTTTTTTTGAGACAGAGTCTCACTCTGTCGCCAGGCTGGAGTGCAGTGGTGCAATCTCGGCTTACTGCAATCTCCACCTCCTGGGTTCAAGCAATTCTTCTGTCTCAGCCTCCTGAGTAGCTGGGACTACAGGTGCGAGCCACCACGCCCAGCTAATTTTTATGTTTTTAGTAGAGATGGGGTTTCACCATGTTGGCCAGGATGGTCTCGGTCTCTTGACCTTGTGATCCGCCTGCCTCGACCTCCCAAAGTGCTGGGATTACAGGTGTGAGCCACCATGCCCAGCCTGTGCAGATTTTTAGCTTGATGTAATCTCTTTTGTCTATTTTTGCTTTGGTTGCCTGTGCTTTTGAGGTCTTACACACAAAAAAATCTTTGCCCAGAACAATGTCCTGGAGCCTTTCTCCAATCTTTTCTTTTGAGACAGTATCTTGCTCTGTCACCACAGCTGGAGTGCAGCAGCACGATCACAGCTCACTATAACCTTGAATTCCAGGGCTCAAGCAATCCTCCTGCCTCACCTTCCTGAGTGGCTGAGACTACAGGAATGCAACACTGTGCCCAGCTAGTTTTATTTTTTATAGAGAAGGGGTCTCACTGTGTTGCCCAGGCTGGTCTCAAACCCCTGGCCTCAAGCGATCCTCCTGTCTTGGGCTCCCCAAATGCTGGAATTACAGGTATGAGCCACCACACCTGGTTTCCAATGTTTATTCTAGTAGTTTCATAATTTCAGGTCTTAGACTTAAGTCTGTAATCCATTTTGATTTGATTTTTTTGTATATAGTGAGAGATAGAGGTCCAGTTTCATTCTTCTGCGTATGGTTATCCGGTTTTCCCAGCACCATTTATTGAAGAGACTGTCCTTTGCCCATTGGATGTTCTTGGTGCCTTTGTTAAAAATGGGTTGGCCGTAAATGTGTGGATTTACACCTGGGTTCTGGGTTCTGTTCCATTGGTCTTTGTGTCTGGGTTGTTTTGTTGGTTTGTTTGTTTTGTTTTTTACCAATGCCATGCTGATTTGGTCACTACAGCTTTGCAGGTGTTTGTTTTGAGACAGAGTGCTCTGTAGCCTAGGCTGGAGTGCAGTGGCGCAATCTTGGCAAACTGCAACCTCCACCTCCAGGTTCAAGCAATTCTTCCACCTCAGCCTCCCGAATAGCTGGGACTACAGGCGTGTGCCACTATGCCTGGCTAATTTTTGTATTTTTAGCAGAGATGGGGTTTCACCACGTTGGTCAGACTGGTCTTGAACTCCTGACCTCAAGTGATCCACCTGCCTTGGCCTCCCAAACTGCTGGGATTACAGGCATAAGCCACTGTGCCCAGCCAACTTTGTACTATATTTTGAGGTGAGGTAGTGTGATGCTTCCAGCTTTGTTCTTTCTGCTGAGGATTGCTTTGGCTATCTGGGGTCTTTTGTAGTTCCATGTAAATTTTAGAATCGTCTCTTTTATTTCTCTGAAGAATTGCACTGGTATTTTGATAGGGATTGCATTGAATCTGTAAATTGCTTTGGGTAGTATTATCATTTTAACAATATTAATTAGTCCTATCCATGAGCACGGAAACTTTCCATTTTTGTGTGTCCTGTATTAAACTCTTTATGCTGCTATAAAGAAACATCTGAGACTGGGTAATTTTTACTTATTTATCTATCTATTTATTTTGAGGCAGGGTCTCACTCTGTTACTCAGGCTGGAGTGTGGTGGTGTGATCACAGCTCACTGAGGCTTCAACCTCCCCAGGCTCCAGTGATCCTCCTGAGTAGCTGCGACCACAGGCGCGCACCACCACACTTGGCAAATTTTTATATTTTTTGTAGAGATGGGGTTTTGCCATGTTGCCCACACTGGTCTCGAACTCTCAGGTTCAAGTCATCTGCCTGCATCAGCCTCCCAAAGTGCTGGGATAATAAGCGTGAGCCACTGTGCTCAGCTGAGGCTGGGTAATTCATAAAGAAAAGAGGTTTTATTTTGGCTCATGGTACTCCAAGATATACAGAAAGCATGGTGTCGGCATCTGATTCTGGTAAGGGCCTCAGGAAGTTTATAATCATGATATAAGGCAAAGCAGGAACAAGTGTCTCACATGGTGACAGTGGGAGAAGGGAGCAGTCCCAGACTTTTAACCAACCAGATCTCATGTGAACTAACTGAGGAAGAACTCACTTATCACCAAGGAAGTGGTGCTAAACCATTCACAAGGGATTTGCCCCCTGTGATCCAATTACTCTCCCACCAGGCCCTACCTCTAACACTGGGAATTATCTTTCTTTTTGTTTTTCCCTCATGAATAAAGTAGGATGCAGAGGATTATCTTTCCTTTTTTTTTTTTTTTTTTTTTTTGAGACAGTTTTGTTCTTGTCATCCAGGCTGGAGTGCAATGGCACAATCTCAGCTCACTGCAACCTCTGCCTCCCAGGTTCAAGTGATTCTCCTGCCTCAGCCTTCGGAGTAGCTGGGATTACAGGTGCCCGCCACCACGCCCAGCTAATTTTTGTATTTTTAGTGGAAATGGGGTTTCACTATGTTGGCCAGGCTGGTCTCAAACTCCTGGCCTCAGGTGAAATGCCCACCTTGGCCTCCCAAAGTGCTGGGAATACAGGTGTGAGCCACCATGCCCGGCCGAGGATTATCTTTCAACATGAGATTTGGAGGGGACAAATATCCACACTATATCATGTCCAATTCAATTTTTTCCATCAGTGTTTTATAGTTTTCCTTTTATAGATCTTTCATTTCTTTTGTTAAATTGATTCCTAGGTATTCTTCATAGCTGCTGTAAATGGAAGTGCTTTCTTCTTTTCCAGATTGTTCACTGTTGGCATATAGAAATGCTATTGGCTGGAAACGATGGCCAAGCCTGTAATCTCAAAGCTTTGGGAGGCCAAGGTAAACTCTTGGCCTCAAGCAATCCTCAAGGAGTTCAAGACCATCCTGGGCAACATAGTGAGACCCTATCTGTGTAAAAAAAATGAAAATATTAGCCAGGCATGGTAGAGTACACCTGCAGTCCTAGCTACTGAGGTGGAGGCAGGAGGATTGTTTCAGCCCTGAGGTTATATAGGGAGCTATGACTGCGCCATTATACTCCAGTATGGGCAACAGAGACCCTGTCTCTAAAAATAATAATAAAGAATAAATGCTACTGGTTTTTGTATGTTGATTTTATATACTGCCATTTTACTGAAATCGTTTATCAGTTCTAACAGTTTTTTTTGTGGAGTCTTTAGGTTTTTCTAAGTAGAAGATCTGTTGTTTGGAAGGCTAAGGTGGGAAGATTGCTTGAGCCCAGCAGGTCAAGGCTGCAGTGCACCATGATTGCACCACAGCACTCCAGCCTGGGTGACAGAGTAAGTCTCAGAAAAAGAAAAAAGTTCACTTTGTCTAAACTGTTTCTTCCTTTCCAATTTGGATGGCCTTTATGTTTCTCTCTTGCCTAATTGCTCTGGCCAGAACTTCCAGTATTCTGTTGAATAAAAGTGATGTAAATAGGCATCTTTGTCTTCTTCCTGATCTTGCAGGAAAAGTTTTCCATTTTTCCCTGTTCAGTACAATGTTAGCTATGGGTCTGTCATATATGGCCTTTATTATTATGAGGTATGTTCCTTCTATATCCAGTTTGTTGAGGGTGTTTATCATAAAGGGATGTTAAATTTCATTGACTGTTTTTTCAGCATCCATTGAAATGATTACATGGTTTTTGTTCTTGATTCTGGTAATGTGACATATCACATTTATTGATTTGCATATGTTGAACCATCCTTGTATCCCTGACCCAAGGCAATTTTAAACATGAATAAGGATGAAGGTTTTGTTCTACTTGATGTCAAAACTTATATAAAGCTACAGTAATTAAAATAATATGAGATTGGTGCAAGGATAGAAAAAGAGACCAATGGATCAGAATACAAACCAATACAAATAAGAGAATTCAGTATATAGTAGAGGAACAATTATACTTCACTGGGGAAAAGATAGACTCTTTAGTACATAATGCCAGAACAACTAGTTGGCCACATGATAAAAACTAAAATTAAATCTATATCTCACAGCATACATAAAAATAAATATTAAAATAAAAACCCGTCAAAACTTTATACTCTCAGAAGATAATATAGGCAAATATCTCTATACCTCAAGGAAAGATTTCTTAAAACACACAGAGAATAAACTTCAAGAAAAAGATGGATAATTCTGACTTTCTAAAAATACTTTAAAATGTCTGTAACAAAAGCAACATAAGCAATGTGAAATGACCCGCTACACACAAGAATATATTTGCTATGCATATAATTGACAAAAGACAGTATCCAGACTATATATAATTCATGAAAATACATATGAAATATATAATTACCCAGATTATATATATAATATATAAATGCCAACTAAAACATAAACAAAAGACTCTATGGGAAAAAATAGGGAAAAGATATTAAGAGGCAATTAAAAAAGATGGCTGTATTGAAAACACACAAAAACCTACATAATCCAAACCAAAAAATCTCAGAGCAATCTGTATAGTATAATTCCAATTGTCTGTGTGTGTGGGGGGGGAAACTACTCAATTTATATAGTAGTCAGGAAAGAGTAAATTCAAAAGAAGAATGAGATACTATACCATACCCATCAAATTGGCAAAAAATAGAAACTCTAATACAAAACATTGACAAGGATATGGAGAAATAGGAACCATCAAACACAGTATGAGTTTTTTGAAACATAGTGGTTTATTTCCACTAGCAACCACTTTGGAAAACAATTTGGCATTATCTAGTGGTACTGAAAATGTGCATATAACCTAGCAATTCTACTTTAAGGCATATATCCTAGGGACATACTTGCATATGTACCCAAGGAGTCATGCACAAGGATACTCATTGCAACATTGTGTATAACAGCAAAATAACTGGCATCAATCTAAATGTTCCTTAACAAAGGTTTTCAAATAGTGGGATGCTAAACTAAGCTGTACACGGAGCTACATGTAACAACATAGAAAACTACTAAAACACTATCTGTGTGTGTATGTGGTAGGGGGGATACAATGAAGACAGATATATATGACAAACTATAAAGAACAGATACTGCCAGGCGGGCACAGTGGCTCATGCCTGTAATCCCAGCACTGTGGGAGGCCAAGGCGGGTGGAGCAAGAGGTCAGGAGTTTGAGACCAGCCTGACCAACATAGTGAAACCCCGTCTCTACTAAAAATACAAAAATTAGCTGGGCGTGGTGGCGGGCGCCTATAGTCCCAGCTACTCAGGAGGCTGAGGCAGGAGAATGGTGTGAACCCGGGAGGCAGAGGTTGCCGTGAGCCAAGTCGCGCCACTGCACTCCAGCCTGGGTGACAAAGTGAGACTCCGTCTAAAAAAAAAAAAGAATAGATACAATAGGCCAGGAGTGATGGCTCACGGCTGTAATCCTAGGACTTTAATAGGCTAAGGCAGGCCTATCACTTGAGCTCAGGAGTTCGAGACCAGCCTGGGCAACATGGTGAAACCCTGTCTCTACAAAAAATATAAAAATTACCCAGGTGTGGTGGCACTCACCTGTAGTCCCAGCTACCTGGGGGACTGGGGCAAGAGGATTGCTTGAACCCAGGAGGTCGGGCTGCAGTGAACCAAGATCATGCCACTGCATTCCAGCCTGGGTAACAAAAGTGAGAACCTGTCTCAAAAAAAAAAAAAATAGATATGATACACACCAAATTCAGAACAGTGGTTACCTCCGGGGGTGAACAAAGGGAAATACAAAGGATTATGAAAGGGTCATCAACTATATCTAATATCTTATTTCTTTAAAAAATCTGAAGCAAATATAGCAAATTTTAGTTTATTAAATCTGGGTAGTGAGCGTAAGATTTTCTGAACTCCTCTTTGAAATATTTCATATTTTTGAAATAATACAAAAATAAATAAATACTCATTGCAGAAAAGGCTTTACTAAGTATCTCATAAAAAAATAGAAACCATGAAATAAGCATCCATTTTCTCTAAATAAACATTTTAAACTTCCATATAGAAATGTATCATAAATAAGGATGAAAGAGAAATACAAATTTGGGGAAATATTTGCAAAACAGAAGATTAATCCCTGAAACATAAAGAGCTGTATTGTTTTCAACAATGTCCTAGGGCACAAATTGCTCCACAAATGAATCAAATCAACTTTGCCCCCTTTGAAGGAATAGTTGCTGAGGTTACTGTTTGATATTTCTTCTGATCCTAGGAGGGCTCCTTCCAACTGGCTTACTCCCCGGTTCCCTCCTGAGAACTAGCCCACGTATAGTTTGATTCTGATGCTATATCCATGAATCTCTCCCAGTTTCATTTCACCACAACCTCCACAGTTCTTCAAAGTGTCCTTAGGTTTGAACTTCTGCATGCTCTGTTGCAAATGCAGTCAGTTCCTTCGGGAAGAGATTAAGAGCTATCTGTTTTATGGCCTAACTCAGGCCAAACCTCTGAGTTAGGACCCTGGAGCTAGAGGTGGAAACAATAACAAGGTTCTGAGTGCTCAGTGAGTTGGGGGACAGCAGCCCAAGGCCCTTCGTCACATGGAACCACCATCTCAGGAGCTGGGGAAAGGCAATTAGGACTCTAGTATTCTCTGTGTGCCACAGCCAAGATCCAAGATAGAGCTTCCATTCTACAAGCAGGAGATGAGCTGAAGAAGGGACTCTCCCACCCCCCAACTCCCAAACTCTCAAATGCAGTTGCCTGGGACTTGGCCTTAGCAACAGGTAGCAAGGGGCAGGAGAGAAGTGTTAACAGTCTGCTCCTTCTGGGAAGCAAGCCCTTGGACTTGGGGGAAAGGGAGCTCTGGGTGCTTGGCTGCAGCAGTTTGGAATGGCGTCTCCACTTCACCAAGCTGGAAGCAGGCAGTGAGGGAGACGTCTTATGTGAGATAACACAGACTCCCACCTTTCACACCAAATTTCACAGATTTCCTTGAGCAGATGTTTCTTTATTTACTCTTTGCCCTTGGGACTATTCCCAAAGACTAATTTTTAAATAACGTACACAAGTTTTACTAGGAGTGGGTCAACAAAGCTCCTCACACTGTCAAGACAGAAGATGATGTCTCCTGTATCATTTAAATATTTTATGATGAGCATATATATTATCTGCAAAACCAAGGAGGACATTAAAAATAAAAACAGAGAAAGAGAGAGAAACTGAAAGCTGGTAGGAGGTAAGAAAGTAAGAACTTCCAGAACAGTAAGAGAAGCCCATGCTGGCTGGTGGCCTCCTTGCCAGTCTCTGTAGTTCCATTCTTCTCTTTGCTTCAATAAATGAATTATACTCTTTCTAATAACCTCAGCCCGTGAACAGGACCTTAATGAGAAAACAGGCACACCTGAAATAACTCCAACTTTGGGAAGCACAGTGGATTTTTCCTTGAATCCAGATGTCTAACGGGAGGTGAGTGGAACACCAAGAGAGGAATGTTGTAGGCAATGGAACCACAGTGGAAACAGCTGTGGAGAACTGATGAAAATTATATCAAACAGAGCCTAGTGTCAGGCCAAGCAACTAGGCTAAGAATACCAAAAGCACTGTCTTCCCTCTTTCCCCACTCCTGGTACTTTGCAGCTAATCTGTCTTCATTATTATTCGCCTGCTTTAATTTTTAATTATTAGTTTTTGAGATAGGGTCTTGTTATGTTTCCCAGGCTGGTCTTGAATTCCTGGCCTCAAGTGATCCTTCCACCTCAGCCTCCCAAAGTGCTGAGATTACAGGTGTGAGCCACTGTACCTGGCCTCTGTTTTTATAACCCAGTCTTTCTGTGGTTTCACTGTTACCAGAAATGGATTTCTCCTGAATCACTGTGCATGGGATTCAGTGGATTTCCTGAATCAGAATTCATGTATTTTATCAATTTAAAGAGGTTTGGAAAAGTATCAGCCAAACCTCTTTAAATAGAGGTTTATTCTCTTTATTCTTCTGAAACTCATGTGAGACCTTTATATTCAAATCTTCACATCTCTTAACCTCTTTTTTCATTTTTCTGTCTATGCTGCACTTTAGGTAATTTCTTCCATTCTATACTCTAGTTTACTTAATTACTCTTCAGCTGTGTCTAACCAGCTATTTACCTTGTCTACTGAATTCCTAACTGCAATTAGATTTTCAACTTCAAGAAGTTCTATTTGTGAATCAACCTAACTGTCCATTAATGAATGAATGGATAAAGAAAATGTGATGTACACACACAATGGAGTATTATTCAGCCAGAAAAAAATAAAGAAAAACTGCCATTTGTGACAATACAAATGAAACTAGAGGACATTATGTTAAGTGACATAAGCCAGGCACAGAAAGACAAGTATTGCATCATCTTGTGCATACGTGGAATCTAAAAAAATTTATCTCATAAAAGTAGAGTAGAATGGTACTTACCAAGGGCTGGGGTAAAAGATAGGATGTCGGGCCAGGTTGCTGGGGCAGGGGAGTATTGAGATGTTGGTCAAAGGATACGAAATTTCAGATGGACAGGAGGATTAAGTCCAAGATATCTATCATATAGCATGGTGACTGTAGTTAATAACAATACATTGCATTCCTGAAAAATGCTGAGGCAGGGATGTTAAGTGCTCTCACCACAAAAATGATAACTTATGTGAGCAAGATTAGTCATTCCAGAATGTATATATATTTTGAAATATCATGTTTTACAAAATAAATACATATAATTTTATCTGCCAAGTAAAAAAAAATTTTTTTTAATTTAAAAGAAGTTCTAGTTGTGTCATTTTCTAATCTGTCCATTGTCACTTTTGATAGCCTATTGTTTTTTTGCCCATACTTTTGATAAAATCTTATTTAAGCGTATTATTTTATATTCTGTTTTCTGTGAATTTTACTACCTATAATTTTTTAAATTTTTATTTATTTATTTATTTATTTTTTCTTCCTTTTTTTTTTATTATACTTTAAGTTTTAGGGTACATGTGCACATTGTGCAGGTTAGTTACATATGTATACATGTGCCATGCTGGTGCGCTGCGCCCACTAACTCATCATCTAGCATTAGGTATATCTCCCAATGCTATCCCTCCCCCCTCCCCCCACCCCACCACAGTCCCCAGAGTGTGATATTCCCCTTCCTGTGTCCATGTGATCTCATTGTTCAATTCCCACCTATGAGTGAGAATATGCGGTGTTTGGTTTTTTGTTCTTGCGATAGTTTACTGAGAATGATGATTTCCAATTTCATCCATGTCCCTACAAAGGACATGAACTCATCATTTTTTATGGCTGCATAGTATTCCATGGTGTATATGTGCCACATTTTCTTAATCCAGTCTATCATTGTTGGACATTTGGGTTGGTTCCAAGTCTTTGCTATTGTGAATAATGCCGCAATAAACATACGTATGCATGTGTCTTTATAGCAGCATGATTTATAGTCATTTGGGTATATACCCAGTAATGGGATGGCTGGGTCAAATGGTATTTCTAGTTCTAGATCCCTGAGGAATCGCCACACTGACTTCCACAATGGTTGAACTAGTTTACAGTCCCACCAACAGTGTAAAAGTGTTCCTATTTCTCCACATCCTCTCCAGCACCTGTTGTTTCCTGACTTTTTAATGATTGCCATTCTAACTGGTGTGAGATGGTATCTCATAGTGGTTTTGATTTGCATTTCTCTGATGGCCAGTGATGATGAGCATTTTTTCATGTGTTTTTTGGCTGCATAAATGTCTTCTTTTGAGAAGTGTCTGTTCATGTCCTTCGCCCACTTTTTGATGGGGTTGTTTGTTTTTTTCTTGTAAATTTGTTTGAGTTCATTGTAGATTCTGGATATTAGCCCTTTGTCAGATGAGTAGGTTGCGAAAATTTTCTCCCATTTTGTAGGTTGCCTGTTCACTCTGATGGTAGTTTCTTTTGCTGTGCAGAAGCTCTTTAGTTTAATTAGATCCCATTTGTCAATTTTGGCTTTTGTTGCCATTGCTTTTGGTGTTTTGGACATGAAGTCCTTGCCCACGCCTATGTCCTGAATGGTAATGCCTAGGTTTTCTTCTAGGGTTTTTATGGTTTTAGGTCTAACGTTTAAATCTTTTTTTTTAATCCATCTTGAATTGATTTTTGTATAAGGTGTAAGGAAGGGATCCAGTTTCAGCTTTCTACATATGGCTAGCCAGTTTTCCCAGCACCATTTATTAAATAGGGAATCCTTTCCCCATTGCTTGTTTTTCTCAGGTTTGTCAAAGATCAGACAGTTGTAGGTATGCGGCGTTATTTCTGAGGGCTCTGTTCTGTTCCATTGATCTATATCTCTGTTTTGGTACCAGTACCATGCTGTTTTGGTTACTGTAGCCTTGTAGTATAGTTTGAAGTCAGGTAGTGTGATGCCTCCAGCTTTGTTCTTTTGGCTTAGGATTGACTTGGTGATGCAGGCTCTTTTTTGGTTCCATATGAACTTTAAAGTAGTTTTTTCCAATTCTGTGAAGAAAGTCATTGGTAGCTTGATGGGGATGGCATTGAATCTGTAAATTACCTTGGGCAGTATGGCCATTTTCATGATATTGATTCTTCCTACCCATGAGCATGGAATGTTCTTCCATTTGTTTGTATCCTCTTTTATTTCATTGAGCAGTGTTTTGTAGTTCTCCTTGAAGAGGTCCTTCACATCCCTTGTAAGTTGGATTCCTAGGTATTTTATTCTCTTTGAAGCAATTGTGAATGGGAGTTCACTCATGATTTGGCTCTCTGTTTGTCTGTTGTTGGTGTATAAGAATGCTTGTGATTTTTGTACATTGATTTTGTATCCTGAGACTTTGCTGAAGTTGCTGATCAGCTTAAGGAGATTTTGGGCTGAGACAATGGGGTTTTCTAGATATACAATCATGTCGTCTGCAAACAGGGACAATTTGACTTCCTCTTTTCCTAATTGAATATCCTTTATTTCCTTTTCCTGCCTAATTGCCCTGGCCAGAACTTCCAACACTATGTTGAATAGGAGTGGTGAGAGAGGGCATCCCTGTCTTGTGCCAGTTTTCAAAGGGAATGCTTCCAGTTTTTGCCCATTCAGTATGATATTGGCTGTGGGTTTGTCATAGATAGCTCTTATTATTTTGAAATACGTCCCATCAATACCTAATTTATTGAGAGTTTTTAGCATGAAGGGTTGTTGAATTTTGTCAAAGGCTTTTTCTGCATCTATTGAGATAATCATGTGGTTTTTGTCTTTGGCTCTGTTTATATGCTGGATTACATTTATTGGTTTGCGTATATTGAACCAGCCTTGCATCCCAGGGATGAAGCCCACTTGATCATGGTGGATAAGCTTTTTGATGTGCTGCTGGATTCGGTTTGCCAGTATTTTATTGAGGATTTTTGCATCAATGTTCATCAAGGATATTGGTCTAAAATTCTCTTTTTTTGTTGTGTCTCTGCCAGGCTTTGGTATCAGGATGATGCTGGCCTCATAAAATGAGTTAGGGAGGATTCCCTCTTTTTCTATTGATTGGAATAGTTTCAGAAGGAATGGTACCAGTTCCTCCCTGTACCTCTGGTAGAATTCAGCTGTGAATCCATCTGGTCCTGGACTCTTTTTGGTTGGTAAGCTATTGATTATTGCCACAATTTCAGCTCCTGTTATTGGTCTATTAAGAGATTCAACTTCTTCCTGGTTTAGTCTTGGGAGAGTGTATGTGTCGAGGAATTTATCCATTTCTTCTAGATTTTCTAATTTATTTGCGTAGAGGTGTTTGTAGTATTCTCTGATGGTAGTTTGTATTTCTGTGGGATTGGTGGTGATATCCCCTTTATCATTTTTTATTGTGTCTATTTGATTCTTCTCTCTTTTTTTCTTTATTAGTCTTGCTAGCGGTCTATCAATTTTGTTGATCCTTTCAAAAAACCAGCTCCTGGATTCATTGATTTTTTGAAGGGTTTTTTGTGTCTCTATTTCCTTCAGTTCTGCTCTGAATTTAGTTATTTCTTGCCTTCTGCTAGCTTTTGAATGTGTTTGCTCTTGCTTTTCTAGTTCTTTTAATTGTGGTGTTAGGGTGTCAATTTTGGATCTTTCCTGCTTTCTCTTGTGGGCATTTAGTGCTATAAATTTCCCTCTACACACTGCTTTGAATGCGTCCCAGAGATTCTGGTATGTTGTGTCTTTGTTCTCATTGGTTTCAAAGAACATCTTTATTTCTGCCTTCATTTCGTT
Organism: Homo sapiens; assembly: GCF_000001405.40. Classification (NCBI taxonomy): domain Eukaryota; kingdom Metazoa; phylum Chordata; class Mammalia; order Primates; family Hominidae; genus Homo; species Homo sapiens. Next base: position 139,008,715 of record NC_000005.10, read on the forward strand.
ATGTACCCAGTAGTCATTCAGGAGCAGGTTGTTCAGCTTCCATGTAGTTGAGCGGCTTTGAGTGAGATTCTTAATCCTGAGTTCTAGTTTGATTGCACTGTGGTCTGAGAGATAGTTTGTTATAACTTCTGTTCTTTTACATTTGCTGAGGAGTGCTTTACTTCCAAGTATGTGGTCAATTTTGGAATAGGTGTGGTGTGGTGCTGAAAAAAATGTATATTCTGTTGATTTGGGGTGGAGAGTTCTGTAGATGTCTATTAGGTCCGTTTGGTGCAGAGCTGAGTTCAATTCCTGGGTATCCTTGTTGACTTTCTGTCTCGTTGATCTGTCTAATGTTGACAGTGGGGTGTTAAAGTCTCCCATTATTATTGTGTGGGAGTCTAAGTCTCTTTGTAGGTCACTCAGGACTTGCGTTATGAATCTGGGTGCTCCTGTATTGGGTGCATATATATTTAGGATAGTTAGCTCTTCTTGTTGAATTGATCCCTTTACCATTATGTAATGGCCTTCTTTGTCTCTTTTGATCTTTGTTGGTTTAAAGTCTGTTTTATCAGAGACTAGGATTGCAACCCCTGCCTTTTTTTGTTTTCCATTTGCTTGGTAGATCTTCCTCCATCCTTTTATTTTGAGCCTATGTGTGTCTCTGCACGTGAGATGGGTTTCCTGAACACAGCACACTGATGGGTCTTGACTCTTTATCCAATTTGCCAGTCTGTGTCTTTTAATTGGAGAATTTAGTCCATTTACATTTAAAGTTAATATTGTTATGTGTGAATTTGATCCTGTCATTATGATGTTAGCTGGTGATTTTGCTCGTTAGTTGATGCAGTTTCTTCCTAGTCTCGATGGTCTTTACATTTTGGCATGATTTTGCAGCGGCTGGTACTGGTTGTTCCTTTCCATGTTTAGCGCTTCCTTCAGGAGCTCTTTTAGGGGAGGTCTGGTGGTGACAAAATCTCTCAGCATTTGCTTGTCTGTAAAGTATTTTATTTCTCCTTCACTTATGAAGCTTAGCTTGGCTGGATATGAAATTCTGGGTTGAAAATTCTTTTCTTTAAGAATGTTGAATATTGGCCCCCACTCTCTTCTGGCTTGTAGGGTTTCTGCCGAGAGATCCGCTGTTAGTCTGATGGGCTTCCCTTTGAGGGTAACCCGACCTTTCTCTCTGGCTGCCCTTAACATTTTTTCCTTCATTTCAACTTTGGTGAATCTGACAATTATGTGTCTTGGAGTTGCTCTTCTTGAGGAGCATCTTTGTGGCGTTCTCTGTATTTCCTGAATCTGAATATTGGCCTGCCTTGCTAGATTGGGGAAGTTCTCCTGGATAATATCCTGCAGAGTGTTTTCCAACTTGGTTCCATTCTCCCCATCACTTTCAGGTACACCAATCAGACGTAGATTTGGTCTTTTCACATAGTCCCATATTTCTTGGAGGCTTTGCTCATTTCTTTTTATTCTTTTTTCTCTAAACTTCCCTTCTCGCTTCATTTCATTCATTTCATCTTCCATTACTGATACCCTTTCTTCCAGTTGATCGCATCGGCTCCTGAGGCTTCTGCATTCTTCACGTAGTTCTCGAGCCTTGGTTTTCAGCTCCATCAGCTCCTTTAAGCACTTCTCTGTATTGGTTATTCTAGTTATACATTCTTCTAATTTTTTTTCAAAGTTTTCAACTTCTTTGCCTTTGGTTTGAATGTCCTCCCATAGCTCAGAGTAATTTGATCGTCTGAAGCCTTCTTCTCTCAGCTCGTCAAAGTCATTCTCCATCCAGCTTTGTTCCGTTGCTGGTGAGGAGCTGCATTCCTTTGGAGGAGGAGAGGCGCTCTGATTTTTAGAGCTTCCAGTTTTTCTGTTCTGTTTTTTCCCCATCTTTGTGGTTTTATCTACTTTTGGTCTTTGATGATGGTGATGTACAGATGGGTTTTTGGTGTGGATGTCCTTTCTGTTTGTTAGTTTTCCTTCTAACAGACAGGACCCTCAGCTGCAGGTCTGTTGGAATACCCTGCCGTGTGATGTGTCAGTGTGCCCCTGCTGGGGGGTGCCTCCCAGTTAGGCTGCTCGGGGGTCAGGGGTCAGGGACCCACTTGAAGAGGCAGTCTGCCGGTTCTCAGATCTCCAGCTGCGTGCTGGGAGAACCACTGCTCCCTTCAAAGCTGTCAGACAGGGACATTTAAGTCTGCAGAGGTTACTGCTGTCTTTTTGTTTGTCTGTGCCCTGCCCCCAGAGGTGGAGCCTACAGAGGCAGGCAGGCCTCCTTGAGCTGTGGTGGGCTCCACCCAGTTCGAGCTTCCCGGCTGCTTTGTTTACCTAAGCAAGCCTGGGCAATGGCGGGCGCCCCTCCCCCAGCCTCGCTGCCGCCTTGCAGTTTGATCTCAGACTGCTGTGCTAGCAATCAGCGAGATTCCGTGGGTGTAGGACCCTCTGAGCCAGGTGTGGGATATAGTCTCGTGGTGCGCCGTTTTTTAAGCCGGTCTGAAAAGCGCAATATTCGGGTGGGAGTGACCCGATTTTCCAGGTGCGTCCGTCACCCCTTTCTTTGACTCGGAAAGGGAACTCCCTGACCCCTTGCGCTTCCCAGGTGAGGCAATGCCTCGCCCTGCTTCGGCTCCCGCACCGTGCGCGCACCCACTGGCCTGCGCCCACTGTCTGGCACTCCCTAGTGAGATGAACCCGGTACCTCAGATGGAAATGCAGAAATCACCCATCTTCTGCGTCGGTCACGCTGGGAGCTGTAGACCGGAGCTGTTCCTATTCGGCCATCTTGGCTCCTCCAATTTTTATTTATTTTAAAAAATTATTAATAGAGACAGGTTCTCGCTTTGTTGCCCAGGCTGGTCTCAAGCTCCTGGCTTCAAGTGATCCTCCTGCCTCAGCCTCCCAAAGTGCTGTGATTACAAGTGTGAGCCACTGCACCCCATCTAGCTATAGTTTTAAAAGTTTGATTATCTGTTTCTGCTGTCTTTCACTCATAGTGCCTTATTTTTTATGTGCTTTGTGATGTTTTGGTTGTGAGCTCATGATCATAGGAAGATTTTTGTTTGTGGGGATGCTCTGAGGCCTGGATGTGAGTTCCTCCAAAGAGGATTTGTTTCTGCATCTACCAGTAACCCAGAAATTCTGCCAATTTCAAACTACGTTTTAAAAAAAACCTTTTCCCATGGAAATTTTCATGTATATACTAAAATACAGAGAATGGTATAATAATCCCCATGGACTCTTCACTCAGCTTTCAAAATTATGAAGTCATAGCTAGCACTATTTTATCTATACCCCGACTCAGCCACCTACCCACCTCCTCAGATCTCAAAATAAAGCATAATGGAGACATCCTATCTTTGGTTTTTGTTGTTGTTTTCTGAGATGGAGTCTCGCTCTGTTGCCCAGGCTACAGTGCAGTGGCATGATCATGGCTCACTGCAGCCTCAACTTCCATTCTCAGGCAATCCTCCCACCTCAGCCTTCTGAGTAGCTGGGACCACAGAAACATACCACCAGACCCAGCTAAATTAAAATATTTCTTTGTAGAGACGGGGTCTCCTTATGTTGCCCAGGCTGGTCTTGAACTCCTGGGCTCAAGCAATCCTTTCACTTTGGCCTCCCAAAGTGCTTTGATTATCTATGACCATGCTACCCTGAATGTGCCTGATCTCATCTGATCTTGGAAGCTAAGCAAGGTTGGGCCCGGTTAGTACTTGGATGGGAGACCAAAGTGCTGGCATTACAGGCACGAGCCACTGTGCCTGGCCCGACATCCTATCTTTTACCCATAAATTTTTCAGCATACTTCTTCTCTAAAAAGGCTCTTTTTTACAAAAACAAAACAATACCATTTTCACACCAAAAATTTAATATTATCCTTCATATTATCAAATATCAAGTAATTGTTTAAATGTTCCCAATTATGTCATGATTTTTTCTTTTTTCTTTTTTTGCAGATTGCTGATTTGGTCAAGATGTAAACATATCGTAGAGCTCCAGCATGGGGGCTCACGCCTGTAATACAAACACTTTGGAAGGCCAAGGTGGGAGAATCACTCAAGCCCAGGAGTTTAAGATCAACCTGGGCAACAAAGTAAGACCCTGTCTCTACAAAACAATAAAAAGTAAAAACTAGCCAGGCATGGAGCATATGCCTGTGGTCTCAGCTAGACAGGAGGCTGAGGCAGGAGACTGAGTCTGCAGTAAGCCGTGTTTGCACCACTGCACTCTAGGCTTGGGTGATACAGCAAGATCTGTCTCAAAAAATAAAACAAAAAGTACATACATTGTAACTATAATTGGCTGATATTCATCTTAAATATCTTTTAATTTATGGGCTTCATCCCATCTCTTTATTTTTTTCTCTTGTATCTTATTTTGTGAAAAAGCCAGTAATTTGCCTGCTCTACGGTTTTCCACAGTCTGGTCTTTGCTGATTGCAAGTCTATTATATCATTGAACCTATCACCTGTCCCCAATATTTCCCTTAAATTGGACATCAGATCTAGAAGTATGTTCAAATTCAGATTAGATTTTCTATCAAGAGTGCTTCCTATGTGGTGTTACACTGTTTTCAGAAGGCATGTCAGACTCAGTTTCCTTAGGAAACAGACTGAAGATCTGCAGGCATTTTTCTCCCTTCCACTCAAAGCCAATTTGCCTTAATAATTCCTTTTTAGTGGAAGATTTTCATTTTTCTAATTATTTCATGGCCCCTAAGCTTTGTCTCTTGTCCCCTAAATTATGATTCCTGTTGAAACCAAGAGCTCACAGTCACTAGGGAATAGCAAATGTTCCCAGGTCAGCTGTCAGGTTCAGTGTTTTGTATCTCTTAGGATTTGAGCTTTCCATTATATTTGCTTTAGAATTTCTCTCACTTTCTTACAGGGCTACCACATAAAGAATATGACATTATTAAATTCCCCTGCAGTTACACAGAGCAGTGGCTCTACAGTTTCTTGTTGGCTGAATTAAGCATTTAAAGAAATGTTTAAGTATTTAATACAACATCTTCAGGTATTTGAACTAAGAGAGTTTCTTGGGAAATGTGCTATTTGATAGATTGAGAAGTCTCCCAGTGCTGTTTTGCTTTGTTTCATCACTCACTATTTAAATGTTAATTACAAAAATAATACATACTCACTGGAAGAAAAATCAAACAAACTCAAAGCACAGAAAAATTTTAAAGCCTCCTTGCTCTTGGTGGCTTTCTTTCTCCCACCAATTTTTGGTGACTTCAATTTTTGTGTTAGACCATTTATGTTCAAAGCATCCACATGAAACTTACCCTCTATAAGGTGCTGTGAGCACCACAGACTTGAATACCAGTTCCCATGCTCAAGAAGCCTTCAATCTTGTTGAGGAGATAGATGAAAGAACTGGCTTACAACAGAGAAGTAGATGTATTAAAGAGTCAGTTTTCCCAGCACTCTGGGAGGCTGAGGCAGGTGGATCACCTGAGGTCTGGAGTTCGAGACCAGCCTGACCAACATGGAGAAACCCCATCTCTACTAAAAATACAAAATTAGCCGGGCATGGTGGCACACACCTGTAATCCCAGCTACTCGGGAGGCTGAGGCAGGAAAATTACTTGAACCCAGGAAGCAGAAGTTACAGTGAGCCAAGATCGCGTCTTTGCACCCCAGCCTGGGCAACAAGAGTGAAACTTCGTCTCAAAAAAAAAAAAAAAAGAGTCAGTTTAGGAGTCCAACAACAAATGCTAATAAAGATGATGATAAAACAAAGAACTTTGTGTGCTGAGAGTTATGTAAGGAAGAAATTAAGAAGGGGATAGTAGTGAAAAAATCTGAAGACAGCCACATAGAGGATGTGGAGAAGGCAGAGGTACATCACAAAGACAAATTCAAGCGAAATGCTGAAGGGACAAGTTTATTAAGCAAAGTGGTGCCTCCCTCCCCAGAATGAAGGCTTAGTTTCTGCAGTACTCAGGATAGCTGGTCAGAGTCAGAGGTCATTTTCCATTCGTCATTATTTGCCATTTGAAAAAAGTAATCAGACTTTGAATGTAGCTTAAGAGAGCTATGACTATCCAATTTCCTAGGCCAATCTCGGTTAATATGCTAATCAGTTTATCAGATGCAAAAGGCTTGAGCACCTCTCCTGTCACTATAAGAGTGTGGAAAAATGAGCTACTAGAGACAAGAGGTCAGACAAGTCCTAGGGGTCACATTTGAACTTTTATTCAAACACTGGCATCTCCAGTGTGTGACCTCATCCCAATCTCCAACCTTCTATTTTCTGGGCCTTCAGCCAGTGGGGCTATACACTCATTTCCATGGCCTTAGATTTTAAAGGGTCAAGGTGCGGTATCTGAATCATCCATGATTACATCATTAATAATAAAAACAGCACCGTCCACTCAGCCTCCAACGTTCTCTGAAAAACAATTCATGTCCAAGGTATCAATTTATTCCTTTGTTTTTCATGTATTCATTCAATAATTATTTCCTGAGCACCCACCCAATACTAGGTCCTATGCTATATATTAGAGAGACAGCAGAATAAAGATAGAAAAGAGATCTTATCCCCTAAGTACTATCTAATAAGGGAGATTAACAGTAAACAGGTAACCAACCAAATATATAACTGCAAATTGAGATGAATGCTATGAAGATCAACAGGATTTTTTTTTCATTTAAAAGATCTGAGAGGGATTTTGGAAATATCCAGATGAATTCATATCAATATGAATATATGCTCAGTTGCAAGTAATGGAATCATGATTAACATTGATCTTAAAAAACAAAGACATTTCATTACCTCTCATAAGAAAAATCTGGAAGTAGATGGTTCCAAAATCACGAAAGTGGCTAAACTACATCATAAATAACCCAGTTTCCTCCTCCTGTCTTTCGCCTCTATTATCCTCCTCAGCATGTTGGCTTTTTGTTCTTGTGCTTCTCACCTCACTGGTCCAAGATAGCTGCTGCAGCTCCAAGACAGCTGCAGTCAAGGCAGGAAGAAGTGGGTAGGGTCTCCTTACTATGTTATTATAAGAACAAAATCCTTCCCAGAGGCTTCCAAGCAAACATCTCTTTATGTCTCATTGGTCAGAACTGGGCCACATGGCCATCTCTAAACTAATACACATCCATAGAGAATGGGATTTCCATGTTTGCTTTAGACCATTCATAGCGCATTTCCTAGAACTGGGGAAGGGAATCTTCTGCCTAAACATGTTGCTGCCCTCACATTATCGAGGTTCCTTAGTAGATGAAAAAGGGGGAGGCCAGGCACAGTGATGCATACCTGTAATCCCAGCCACTCAGAAAGCTGGGGCAAGAAGACTGCTTGAGCCCAGGAGTTCAAGCTGTAGTATGCTATGATCACACCTGTGAAGAGCCCCTGCACTCCAGCCTGGGCAACACAGTGAGACCCTGTCTCTAAAAAAAAACCTTAAAAACCAGAAAAATGGGGAATGATTGTCTAGTAGACAACAATAGTAGAAATTAAAATCCACAGGACTTGTTCACTAAGTTAATGAGAAAGTGAAGAAGGAAGTAGACTCAAATATCACTCAAAAGTTTCAAGCTTGGAGAACTACAATAGTCACAATGCCAAGAACAGATAAAAAGAGAATGTGGGAGGAAAAATCTAGTTTGTGAAACAATAATGAGTTCCACTTTCTTGAGTTTGAGGTGCGATGAGACAGTGTGGTAGAAACGTAGAAGACCACAGGAGAAAGGCTGGACTTAAATGTAGACACTAGAGTCATCCACAGTGAGGTTGGATTCGAAACCACAGGAATAGATAGTACCATTATGGGAGAAAATGAAAAGAGAGAAGGAGGACAAGGCTGGAGGAATCTTTGTGAATAGCTACAATTATTAACAGAAGATAGTAAGATGATGATGTTGCCAAAAAAGGAAAAGGGGAGTGAGTGATTAATTACAATCATCCCCAAACCAAGGGACTATAATGACATGGCAGCCAAGAGGTAAAGTTCCCTAAGGAAAGTGGCAGCCAACAGTTTGACTGCCACAAAGATGCCAATGATGACAAAGTACTCTTGAAAAATTTCAGGGATAGTACTCTTGAAAAATTTCAGGGACAGAAACCAGATTGTAGGAATAGTAGTTTCAAGTACATTAATTTAATGCCCATGTGCACTCATTTGTATTCCTTTCTGTCTACTCTTTTTTTTTTCCCCCCTGACAGGGCCTCACTCTGTCACCTAGGCTGGAGTGCAATGGTGTGATCATGGCTCACTGCAGCCTTGACTTTCCAAGTTCAAGCAATCCTCCCACTTCAGCCTCTCGAGTAGCATAGCTGGGACCACAGGCACATGCTACCATGCCCAGCTAATTTTTGTATTTTTTGTAGAGACAGGGTTTCACCATGTTGCCCAGGTTGGTCTTGAACCCTGGCTCAAGCAATCCACCTGCCGTGGCCTCCCAAAGTGCTGGAATTATGGGCGTAAGCCATTGCACCCAGGTTCAAAGAGTTAAAATTAATTGGTAAACCCTCAGCAGGAAGAGCACAACTAAGGAAATTAAGAGAGCCAACAAAGCATGAGGTGAGAGGGGACAAGGTTGGGGGAGGGGGATACGTTCATTTTATAAAGGGATATATATAACCCAAAATCTGCCAAGGAGGTTCCAAGGATGATGCCAAGGATAAAGGGGGAAGAACAGAAACCTGTTCTGGGGATCCATTGTAAAAGTACATAATCTCACCATGACTAATGGCACATGTACATCCTTTTTTGTACTAGGTTCAGTTCCATGACATCCTGCAAACTGTGGAAAGTTCAAAAGTACTGCAAACATGAATGCTTATAAGCCCATGTAATTGCATAGTAATTCATACATGTGCAGATGAGAACATGGGTTATTAAAGAAGGATACAGGACTCCAAAGGTGACTGAGGCAGGGGCATGAGAACAGCAAAGTCAGTGTTACATGGGGCAGGCATACTAGTTACTTGATAGTTTAACTCCTGACGGTTACGAGGTAAAGGAGATATATAGGGAGCTAAGAGGAAAACAAAAGCAGGCGGCTAGTTTGCTAAGAACCAAAACCAGATTACAGAAGGCTGCCTGGCCTCTGAAATTCACAAAGCCTTTTCGAGACTCCCCTTATACAGAAACACAAATGACTTGTCTGGAACTCCAGAGACTCCTGGTAGGTCAGACTGCAGACAGACACACACAAGTGCCATTATGAGATTAAATCAGGTCACAGAAAGGCCAATGAAAGTATTTACTTGAAGAAGGAGAAAGCAGGTTTGAGATAAAAGAAAAACCATTAAAAGACGAAGCTGCTAAAAGCATCAGCACCCCTACCCCTGCATATCTTTTTATGTAAGAGCTTGACCTGCCTTATATGTGGGCAAAAACAGGAAAATGAACGTGTGTGACCCATATATAAGTGTGAATAGTATTTAAATAAACTTTATTTCAGTGGTCATGTAACATTTAGTAGTCATGTCAATTACATTTACATGTACTCTCTCTTCTCGATCTTGGAATAATTGCTTCATGTTTAACACCAGGAAATAGATCTCTTCATCCACACAAATGTATATCAAAACCTTATTAAGCAATTAACCCAAGCAGGCAAATAAATGCCCTCAATGAAGCAGCAGGATTAGCAACAAGAGACCGGACATGGTGGCTCATGCCTATAAGCCCAGCACTTTGGGAAGCCAACATGGACAGATTGCTTGAGTCCGGGAGACTGGCCTGGACAACATGGTGAAACCTTGCCTCTACAAAAATTATAAAAATTAGCCAGATGTGGTGCCGCGTACCTGTAGTCCCAGCTACAGAGATGGCTGAGGTGGAAGGATCACCTGAGCCCAGGAGGCAGAGGTTGCAGTGAGCCAAGATCGGGCCACTGTACTCCAGCCTGAGTGAAAAGAATGAGACCCTGACTCAAAAAAAAAAAAAAAAAAAAGGGTAGCACCAAGAGATACATGGTAGAATATAAGCGACTTAACAGAAGAGAAAATGAGGAAGATAAAGGTTTTTATTGCAGAAAGAAAAGAAATAAGAATTACTATAGCAGAAACTCATAGTATAAAGGACACATCCTGATGAGGGGGATGATATTGATACCATCTTGTCACTGACAGGTGCTTTACAACCGTTTTCACAGGTCATTGTATATTATTTGATACTCACTCAATTTTATGAAATGCAGAGAACACCTATTATTGTTCCCTGTTAACGTAAGAAAAAGGTGAGGCTTAGAAAGGTTGTCCATGGGCACACAGATAGGAAATAGTAGAAACTAAACTTGAAACTAGATTGACTGTAGGTCCAGTGGTCTGCCTAATCCTCCTAAATACCCAAACATCTGGACTGACTGAGCAGTATTCATGCCCATCAGCAGAAAACTAGAAAGAATATCTTCTAGATACTATCCCCAGTGCTAGGACTCCATGATTCCAGAGTGCTCACTATCATCTGAACACCCTCTTGATAAAGAGCAAGCTCATCCCATCACTGTGTTGTGTATTTGTGCACATGTGTGGCAGGTGTATACACACCTGTATACTAGAAGCGGTTACAGAGGTGCAGAGCCAATACTTAAGACATGAAGAGTAAATGATGAATATCAGACTAGAGTACTGAAACCTACCTCTCCATGTAGAAATATCCTTACCTTGCATCAAGTTCCTCTTTGCAGAAAACATTGACATTTCCATGGTGTTTGGGAGCCTGCTGTTGGCTTCCAAAAGCTCTGGCGCCATACCATGCTGTCACGGTAACAGCCCTCCAGTGAGCCATCAAAAACCTAGCTAGAACATTTTGAATACAGCAGTTTGCTTGCCACCAAAACACTAAATTGCAATATTTTATATTTATCTCTATTTAAATTTTAGTTGATGCTGCATAAATGTTAACATGGTCTTAAGCTAATACAATCACAGAAAAGTCTTAATAACACCACACATTGGCACAGCCCCTGGGTGAGTTACGGGTCTGCAAAGCAGGCCCAACGCATGTTTCTCAAGTCACTTAATTAGTCCCCTTTAACTAGGATGTGACATGAAAATGCTACACAGTTTCCCCCAAGTAATGTATTTCCAGAAGCAACGGCAAGGGACGTATAGGATAATTTGTTCATATTAAAGGTAGAATAAAAGTACTCGGGAGTAAGGCAAAGATTTCCAAAAAGGGTCTGGAGAGAGGTTAATAATGTTGGATTTAGTTCTTTTCTGGCCTGAGAAGTAAAAAGTGAGCTTTAGTAAGTTCTCAAGCCTCTAAAGCCTTATAAGGCTAAGACCCTGGATTTCCTGGACTTCCTCATGACTGAAACCGCAGATACTAACGTCAAACATGCAGATTTTCCATCTTTCCAGTGGCTGCACAGGAGGAGATTTCCCTGGGCTTCCTGGGAGACTTTGGTTCTGGGAGGTGAGACCAAGGGAGGTGGAGTTGCCCTTGAGGCCAGAGCCTTGACTGTCAACACCACCAACACAGGGAGCCAGGGCTTGAAGATCCAGGCAGAGTGGTGATAACGGAAACAAAGGCCGGCAGTGCCTCTCCTCATGGAACAACTCCTCCAGCTTTCCCAGCTCTGCCCTTCAACTTACTAAGAAAATATGCTGAATGCCTTTCAGAGTGAGAGAGCATCAGACTGAGATTCTGATTTAAAAAACAAGCACAGATAAAGCACAAAGGAAATCTTCTCGAAACAAAGCCTATAATGGTAAATATGTTCAGAATAGCTTTTCTCCTGTAACATCGTGACCTGCATCTAAGCATCTAATAGCCTCCACCCATGCCCTTGCAGCAAGAATCAGAATATTTGTTCCTGTTTTAAAGGCACAAATGGTCCTAAGAGCAGATTTTCAAAAATGGGAGGAACAATAGCTCCAATGGACCAATTGCAGCATGCAGATATCTTGACCTTTGCAGGTGGTGTAGAATGATGTGGTGCCTACATATCTTTTGGCATCTACTCTTTCGAGATGCTACCTCCCCACTCCTCTTGCCTTATCAGTCTTCCATCACAAGCCAGACTAACTGAAATTCTCAACAATTTCCAACCTAGAGAGGGCGATAATCTGACGGCATGTACATTGGTTCCAGACAACTAGGGCAAGACACATTCCTCCCTGAAAGCACCCCCTTGGTCAGGCTCATCATTTATTCGTCACTAGATGTAGCTTTACTGCCAAAAGACCTACTCTTGTTTATTCCCCTCCCTCTCTACTATTTATAGTTGGTCTAACTTTTTACAAGCTTTGAATAAAACAGAGAATGTGACCTAAGATGTGTTATTAAATGTCCATACACATAAGATGGGGGAACAGAGAGTCACAGATGGTGACAACATGGGTAAAAATTCCTATCTACTTGGAATAAGGGCAGAATCAAATTTTACTCTAGTTTCATTGAGATGACACTGAAATGTCAGTAGCAACAGGCACATTCAAGTGTACCCTTCTTCCAAGCAGATCAGGCCAAGCAATTCTGGCCATTGGGACGTCCATTATACTGCTCACCTGGAAAAGGCAGCGCCCAGCACAAACGCAGCATACTCCTTCACGAGGGGCTCTGTGCTGTTCAGCCCATTGATCACCACTTGAAGACCACCAAAGGAAAGCAGGTCCTGCGCATTGTCCATCTGCAACAGAGCCACTGCTTAGTACAGCATAGCCATCAGGGACAGGAAAGCTGTTCTTAGAGCCTTTCTTTTGGTGACTACCCAAAAACAAATTAAAAAGCCATGGAAAAATCAATAATGGCCTTTTTGACTAAGAAAAGGTTTGTAAAAACCAATTTTTTAATACTCTTAAATTTGAGAACTCCTAATTCATCTAACACGATTGATGAGCACCTGCGTGGGAATCAGCAGAAATGACACCTAGCTATTGCTTATGCCAAACATGTCCTGGAAAATTCTAATATCATAATGAGTCACAAAGCTTGCTCCTAATGTACAAGCTGTTAACACAAAGAATCTGGCGTCATCAGCACCACTAAATGGTGCCATGCTTCCTGCTGATGTCCAATCCCAATGGGGACAGTGGAGGCAGATTTTTAAAGCTGATTTTAAATTAGAAGCTAGGGACTATAAAAGGAGCCCTGTTATTGGGAGGGGGGTTGCCGTAAGAGTGCTGGGGAGGGGGGAATAACAATAGTACCTTTCTCTTGCATCTCAGGTTGACTGCATCTGAAGACATTCATGATAAAATATGCAAGAAAATCGCTCTCCCAAAGGTTTCTGTCTAAGCCTGTGCTACTGGCTAGTGGCTATGTATCAGACAGTGCAGAACATTTCTATCATTACATAAAGTTCTATTCAACAGCATTGGTCTAGGCTATCATTTAAGCTCCAAATCCCCAAGTCCGGATTCTCTCTTTTACTCTATAGCGGATCTCATTACCCACAGTTTATTAGTACCCTGGAACAAGACAACTCGCTTTCCTCAGAAAGGTCACTGGATCCTGTTTTCTACATGTACCCGCTACAGTCTCCCTCGAATATATCTTTGTTGCCACAAAGGCTGCATCTTGCCCATATGCTAATCCCACGCTATCAATCATGAGGAAAACTCAGGAAGCTGAAGCCCAACAACTGTGGCTGCTACCCATCTTTCTCCTCCAGATTCCACAGGGCCCCTTCCCAACTGCATCCTTGCCTCTCTGAACTAGGAGAGGACTCTGACAGAGAAATCAAGTGTGAGGATTGGTATTTGACTGTGCTAGTGTTTTGTGGTGGCCTAGCCTGTTGTTGCCACTTGAAAAATCATATTCATACACATTTGGATGGAATCTCCATGACAGCAGGGGTTTTGTCTGTCTGTCCACGCTTGTAGCTCCAGGGACTAGGATGGTGCTGAGCATATGGTTAGGTGTTCAATGAATAACTGTTGCATTAATGAGTATGAATTTGATCAGAAAAGAATGTTCCTGAAATAAAGCTCCAGTGTGAATAAAAAGGCAATCTGGGGTATCTGTGCCAACAAAATGAATGGGCCTCTGGTACCGCAGACATGAAGTAATGGCTAAACCAGGTTGTGAAGTAAGCATGAAGTCTGCTCTGCCATGTGGCCCCAGGCCATGGACATTTTTCTGCCCCAAACTGTTCTTATGAAGAGGAATAACTGGTTGAGCCACAGCCCAGCTAACTAGGGAGACTCAGGGTTGGGTGCTTTGCTGACATAAGCACCTTCCTTCCTTCCCTACATGCTCTAATTTTACAATGTAAGAATTCACTACCTATTCTTTGGTTGTCCTTCCTCTGGGTTTTCTGGATACAAAACTATGGCTCAGAATCCTGTCATACCACGCCTGGAATGGCCACTTATAAAGCTGGTATGAGTTCCTAGCAGAGCAGCTGCCACTCGGTCAGCTCCAAAGCAACACAGCCCAGAATCATGGACCTTCTGTTCTAGAGTCAGTTTATCTACTATTACTACAATGATAATTCAGCATGATAGAAATGCAGACATTTATATAAGCACTTCAGCCTTTTTGGGATGTTTTCTCATGGTTTACTTCACTAACAGTGAGGAAGAAACGATTCATTCTGCCCAGTGCACATCAAAAGCTGGGCCCCCCCCTGGTGACATACAGGAGAAACCATGACCATAGCCCAGGTCCACAGCTCCCCATCTCGGTCTGGGGCCAAAACTGTTCTCAGGCTGCCTTCGGGGTGGGGTGGGACAGGCAGAGAGGAAGAGGAGGAGGGAGTGCAGGAGGGAACTATGCCAACACCCTGGAGGAAAGGAAAGAAGCAGGGCACTGATAAGACAATGAGAGAATGGGAAACAGCGAAGGGGAAAAATGGTGGCACACAGCTGAGGAGACACGTGGGAGAAGGCAAATGTACTGCCCGAGGTAGATGGGGCGGACGGAGGCCGCTCCTCATAAATAACTCACCATCTGTTTCCACACACAAGGTTTTGCTTTTCACATATCCTGTTTAATAATTCAAATATGGCTGTGAGGAAGCCTGGCAGACCTGGTTTGGGTCCTTGGAGCCTACAGCTCCTCAAACCACCATTCAGTGAGTCTGGAATGAGAAAGGACTGGGGAAGTTCCTGGCTAGGAAAGTGCCATCTTCCTTAAAACTAGTACTACATCACCCCAAGCCCCCATCACAACTGGGACTCGGGCCGAGTTGTGTCTTACTTAATCCCCCAGTGAAATCACAGCTTAACATTGCTGCATGGCAGCCTGATGCACCAGCCCTTCCAGTCAAAACACCAATGATCCAGAACATTTCTCTGCCAACAGACAAATTTGGCTTCTGCCAGGGACTGATTTTGGGATGACCTCAGGATGGGTCTGGTGAGGTGGCCTGTGAAAGCAGAATGGGGATGTCACCTTAGGGAAGACACTGCCAAGTGACAAAGAGCCTACAAGGGAAAACAAAGAACTTTGTTGGGGCAATGCTAGCCCAAGCCTCCTGTGGACTCACACCCTTCCAGGTATGATAAGCTCTCCAGTCATTTTGGTGTTTCATGTGCAAGAGCCCATGGTGACCTGATACCTAAAGATTCATCCAAATATGTTAAGATGAGAAAAAATAGAAGCTGTCAACATCAAAGGAGGACTGAGTTGGCAAATAACCCCTTATATCCTTAATCCTTTAAATATCTCTAATGGAAAAGCTGTTGGAGTTCTTGGTTTTTACCCTGGAGAGTAAGACTGGAAAGGGGAAAGAGAACCGAGGTTCATTTTTTTTCTCTAAGAGGATCAGAGTCCTGCTATTTGAGGCCTGAGAAAGAGTTATGAGCAGAGAAAGAAGATGAAGAGGCTGCCCCATAATTCCTATGGATACAGTGCATACTCATCCTCTTTCACCACAGATGCTGGCAAAATCCTAAAGGAAGAAAGCATGTCTTTTAGCCCAGTTTACAGAGAACAAGGGCACTGTCGTGCATGGTGCATGGGAGGACATTGAGGATCTGTGTCTTGACAAGGATCTCAAACAAGCCTTTGATTATGATTACACAGCCTCCTGGGCCACTGTTGCCCCTAGTCTGGATTACTGCAATAGCCTCCTATCTGGTCTCTGCTTCTACCAAGCCCCCCACCTGCAGTCTAATTCTCAACACAGTAGCTGGAGGAATCCTTTTAAAAGTAAGTCAGATCACATCATTCTTCTGCTCAATATCCTTCAATAATATGCAAGTTCACTCTTTTCCATGGCCTACAGGCCCTCTATATTCTTCCTCCCATTATCTCTCTGAGCTGTATGTACTTCTTCTCTGCCTGCTCTCAGCTCCAGCTGATTCAAACACACTAGGCATGTTCCCACCACCGGGCTTCCACACTTGCTCTTCCTCCAGCCAGAGATGCCCCTTCTCAATGCTGCCAGTTCCTATCTCGCCATAGTTTCTATTTTTCTACAGTATTTATTACCTACAAACATATTACATATAATTACTTCTTTCTTATGCTTGTCTATCTGCTTCTGCTAGAAGGTTAAGCCCTAATTTTGTTCATAGACGTATCTCAAGTGCCTGGAACAGTGCCTGGGAGTTAGTAGACACTTGATTTATTTATTGAATAAATCAATGGCTTTTATTGGCTCCTTGTTAGCTCCACCTTTTGAGCTTAATTCAAAAGGTACCAGTTGCCTTTGAGAAACAGAGTGGCCAAAAGTTTTAGAGCACAGAGTTTAGGGTCAGACAGACCTTGCTGCAAATTCCAGCTCTACCACTCACTAGGCTGGATGATCTTGAGCAATTACATAATCTCTCTGTGCCTCATTTTCCTCGGTTATAAAATGGGATTAATAGTGGTACCTACTCATAGGGCAGCCACGGAAGTCAATGAATTAATGCATACAGAGCACTTGAAGCAGTGCCTGGTATATGACAACACTCAACAAATATTAGTTATTATAAGTCTGATCAGTTACTTCCCTGCTTCAAACTCTCTAGTGGTTCTTAGGATCAAGGCTAAAATCATAAAGAGCATGATATCTCCAACCTCACCTCTCCAGCCCCCGAACCTTCCCACTTCATCTATGCTCCCCTCCAGGCCGCTGTGCTCCAGTCACTCCAATCTTTTCCAGGCCCTCAATCTCCCCAAGCTTGTCCCTGCCCTAGAATCTCTGCACATGTTGTTTCCTCTAGCTGGAATGCTCTAATCTAAGGATTGGCAAACTTTTTCTAAAGGGCCTGGTAGTAAATATTTTTGACTTTGTGAGCCATATGGTCTCTGTCACAACTACTCAATTCTGCCATTGTGGCATAAAAACAGCAATAAACAATGCATGAACAAATAGGGGTTGCTGTGCCCCAATAAAATTTTATTTAGGAAAGGAGGTGTTGGGCCAGATTTGACCTATGGGCAGTAGTTTGCCATCCCCTGCTCTAGTCCCCCCTCTTCACCCAGCCAACCCCAATCATCCTATAACGCTTGGCCTAAATGTCACATCCTCTGAGAAGCCTCCCTTATTGTCCATGACTAGGCTCTAAGTTCTCCAGTTACATATTCTTACATCACCCTCTGGAGCCCTCATTACAATCTTAAATTATCTCATTATTTAATTAATTTGTTCAATTGTTCATTATTCAATTACTTCCTCTTCCAGGCTATAAGCTGCATAACTAGGACTATGTCTATTTTATCTCTGTGGTACCCTCAGAGGTACTAAAGAAGGTACCACTCCACATGAAAAAGAGGTTGGCTGGCCAGGCATGGTGGCTCAAGCCTGTAATCCCAGCACTTTGGGAGGACAAGGTGGGTGGATCACTTGAGGTTAGGAGTTCAAGACCAGCCTGGCCAACATAGTGAAACCCTATCTCTATCAAAAATACAAAAAATTAGCTGGGCGTGGTGGTGCACACCTGTAATCCCTGTTGCTCGGAAGGCTGAGGCAGGAGAATAGCTTGAACCCAGGAGGTGGAGGTTGCAGTGAGCCGAGATCGCGCCACTGCACTCCAGGCTGGGTGACCGAGTGAGACTCTGACTCAGACAAAAAAAGAAAAAGAAGTTGGCTCTGGCCTCTAAGACTGTATCTTACTACAAAAGATAACAAGACTAGATTAAAAATAGTCTGTGCTCTGGGAGAGAAGTAAAGATGTTGATGCTATTTTCTTAGGGCTTAGGGAAGGGGGATTTATTTTTGGAGCTGTTAAAAGTCTGACTTATGGACGAAGAAATACAGTACCTGATGGACATAATATTCAAGATCAAAGAGCGCAGCAATCTTCTCTTCCAAACTGGAGCTGGAACTATTGAACTTGTTGATCAGCCGTACCATGATCTGCATGTCAGTCTCAATGACAACATTCAGCTCATCAAAGTCTTTCTTCAGTTCCTCAATGGGGCGGAAGAGCCGCTTTACCTCAGCCTGCCTTGCCTAAGGAGAGCAGCAAAGAGGTGATTAAATTGGTTGGAGACATCTGCCCAAGATGTCTGTGGTCTACCATGGATGCCCATCCTCAAAAAACTGCTGCTCCAAGACTCACAGTCTTCTCTCATCTATGCTATCAAAAATACTAATACTTTCTAAGATGCCCAGAGAAGACAGCCCTCAAAGTCTGCCTATATAGGCCTCAGCTCTAAAAACACACTCAAGATGTTCCAAGATTCGCTTATTCAAGTCCGATTTCCAATATTCAGGAAGAATAGAAAGGCTTTTTGTCACAACCACTGAGTTAAGGGGAAGTAATGCAAGTTCATCTTCAACCTCAAACCACATATGAAACAGCTGAGACCTAAGGTAGAATAACCCACACCCTACTTCTCCACTTCTCACAATCATAGACTATCTTGGCCTTGCCCTACCCAATCCAACAACATTTTAGGGAAACTTGGACATAGAAAACTATGGGTAAGAGCTGTCACAGCAGGAGCAATTTGCTGATGAAAATTAAATCACTGTCATTACTGTCAATCTAACCACAGGTGTACAATTTGTTCAACTGTTTGAAATGGCTAAATTACTATATGTACTATACTCAAATCTCGAACAATTTTCTCTGAATCCTTCCCCACTCCACTCACATATAAAAACTTTAAAAATGAAGTTACATTAGAGGTGAATAAAAGACTTTAATTAAATATTTTATACATGTGACACTGTTTTCTTCCCAATTTGAGAAGATAGTGCCTATAAAGAGAGTCTGAAAAGTCACAGTGGCTTATGTATCTGTCTTCCAAGAAAAACTAAAAGGCACAGATATTTATAAAAAGCCGGATGATGAACAGCTGTCAGCTCCAAATTGCTCATCTATTACCTATGGGTTTTTCTCCCCAGTTACAAGCACTCCATAGAAACACCAACCAAAGAAATGAATCAGCCTCTCTTAAAAAAGACCAAGCTCCTAGCGGAGCAATCACATCCATGGGGCGCCACATCCTGATTCTCTGGGCTAAAATAATATGAGATACTCTCCCTGCACCCAGCTAGAGGTCTCTGGATGGCTGCCAAAGCCAAGCAAAGAGGTCTGGGAAGGCTGAGTCACTTTCTAGAACTGTGAGATGATAGGCAAGTGAGCACAATAAGAAACTAGTGACATCTGTCTCACAAAAACGATGTGTGCCTGGCTCTCAAGAAGGCCTCAAAAAAAAAAAAAGGTTTTGGCCGGGCACAGTGGCTCACACCTGTAATCCCAGCACTTTGGTAGGCCGAGGCAGGCAGATCACGAGGTCAGGAGTTCAAGACCAGCCTGACCAATATGGTGAAACCCCATCTCTACTAAAAATACAAAAATTAGCCGGGCATGGTGGCTCACACCTGTAGTCCCAGCTACTCGGGAGGCTGAGGCAGGAGAATCGCTTGAACCCAGAAGGCAGAGGTTGCAGTGAGCGGAGATCGTGCCACTGCACTCCAGCCTAAGCGACAGAGCGAGACTCCATCACAAAACAAAACAAAACAAAACAAAACAAAACAAAACAAAACAAAACAAAACTTTTACTTTGAAATAATTATAAATTCCCAAGAAATAACAAAAAATAGTACAGAGAGTGTCATGTACCCTTCATCCAGCTTCCCTCAATGTTAACATTTTACATAAGGATATTACATAAGGATACAATGTCAAAATCAAGAAAAGGACACAGGTACCATACTGTTAACTAGACTAAACACCTTGTTTGGATTTCACCAGTTTTTACATATACTCACTTACATGTATGTGTGTATGTGTATCATTCTATGTAATTTTACCTGAGATGTAGACTTGTGTAACTACCAGAACAATCATGCTAGAGAACTGTCCCACCATGATCACATAATCTACTATGTACTACTCCTTTACAGTTATACTTTATCCTCCCATGCTACTCTCTTACATCCCTGTGCCCTGGTTGTCACTAATTTATTCTCCATGTTTATAATTCTGGCATTTAAAAAATGTTATATACACAGTGGTTCATGCCTGTAATCCTAGAAGTTTGGGAGGCCAAGGCAGGTGGACAACTTGAGCTCAGGAGTTCCAGACCAGTCTGGGCAATATAGTGAGACTCTCTGTATTTATATTTTTTAAATTCTATTTTTTTAAACAGAGAACTGGCCAGCAAAGATGAAAGCGCAGCAAATAAATGAAAGGTGGTAACTTTGGCAATGAAATTTGAATTGAATGTACATGGAGTTATAGAAGAAATGGCTGACTGTGGGAATGTTAACACTGCCACTGTTGATGAGCTCTAGATGTGCAGACAGAGGGACTCAGCAAAGGCAAACTTACAGACACAAATTAGGAAAGTGATAAAAAGGATGAAATGACACTGGCAAAAAACTTCACATTACAGGAACTCTCTGAGAAATTTCACAACATTGAAAGTACGAAGGGTGAAATGTTGGAGGCTCATCCATACTTAGAAAGATGTATGATAATTAGCCAAGAGAGAAAAGATGCTTGCTCTATGTCATAATTTTTTTGGAGTCAGGGTCTCGCTCTATTGCTCACGTTGAAGTGCAGTGGTACAATCACAGCTCGCTGCAGTCTCACCCTCCTGGACTCAAGTGATCCTTCCACCCCAGCGTGAGTAGTTAGGACTACAGGCACAAGTCACCACGCCTGGCTAAAATTTTTAGTTTTTTGTAGACATGGGGTTTCGCCATGTTGCCCAGGCTGGTCTTGAACTCCTGGCTCAAGCGATCCACCCACCTCAGCCTCCCAAAGTGCTGAGATTACAGATGTGGGCCACCATACCCAGCCAAGTTTTTAGTTTTCTGTAAAAACTAAAAATTTTAGCCAGGCATGGTGATGTGTGCCCATAGTCCTAACTACTCAGGCTGAGGTGGGAGGATCACTTGAGTCCAGGAGGGTGAGACTGCAGTGAGCTGTGATCGTACCACTTCAACCTGAGCAATAGAGTGAGACTCTGACTCCAAAAAAATTGTGACACAGAGCAAGCATCTTTTCTCTCTTGGCTAATTATCATACTTCTTTCTAACGAGATTAGGTTATAATTAGATTATAATCTCAGCACTTTGGGAAGCTGAGGTGGGTGGATCGCTTGAGCCAGGAGTTCGAGAACAGCCTAGGCAACATGGCAAAACCCTGTGTCTACAAAAAACACAAAAATTATTTGAATTTTTTGGCCAGGCGCAGTGGCTCACGCCTGTAATCTCAGCACTTTGGAAGGTCAAGGCAGGTGGATCACCTGAGGCCAGGAGTTCAAAACCAGCCTGGCCAACTAGAGAAGGTGAAATTAGAGAGAAGATGAAACCCCTTCTCTGCTAAAAATACAAAAATGACCAGGCATGGTGACACATGCCTGTAACTTGGGAGGCTGGGGCAGGAGAATCACTTGAACCTGGGAGGTGGAGGCTGCAGTGAGCCAAGATCATACCACTGTACTCCCGTGTGGGCGACAGAGCAAGACTCTGTCTCAAAAAAAAAAATGTATTTTTTGGTGTGGCATGGTGGCACACACCTGTAGTCCCAGCTACCCGGGAGGCTGAGGTGGGAGGATCACTTGAGCTGTAATCCTGCCACTGCACTCCAGCCTGGGTGACAGAGACCCTGTCAAAAAAAAAAAAGCAAGAAAGAAAAAAAAAAGAATTCTTTTTTTTGGGGGGTAGAAAAAAACTATTTTTTGTAGAAAACATAGACCATTTCCGGGCTATGTTGCCCAGGCTAGTCTCAAACTCCTAGAATCAAGCGATCCTCCCAAAGTGCTAGGATTGCAGGTGTGAGCCATTGTGCCCGGCATAATTCTAAATGTTTCTAATGTTTTAAATTACAGTGTGCTAAATAAATATTACTATTGCTTTTTCATTTCTATATATACTTATAACCAATAGCAATGTAGTTGCTTTAATGTCTGGCAAAACATTTCAAGGATCATGGAACAATCATAATTTTTCCCTTGATTATGTTAAGATTGTTTTGCATAGTTTCAGTGTGCACATTTTCACAATTCCACATAACATAAAATGAGGACTGCTGGTATATGATATGCAAATATTTCCTTCCAGTAGTTTATCTTCTGATCATCTTAACAGGGTATTTGACAAAACAAAACTTTTTAATTTTGGTGAAGTCCAATTTATCAATTTTTTTCTTTTATAAATCTTACATTTGGTGCCATGTCATAAGAACTCTTTACCTGGTCCTAGTTCCCAAAGATGTTCTATGTTTCATTCTAGAAGATTTTTTTTTTCTTTTTAGTTTCACATTTTACATTTAAATCTATGATCTATTTTGAATTAATTTTTTTTAAGGTATGAGGTTTAAGTGACAGCTCATTTTTTGCTTATGGATGCCCACTATTTGCTGAAAAGACTATTTGTCTTCCATTGAACTACTTTTGCACCTGTCAAAAATCAGTCAGTTGTATTAGTGTGGGTCTATTTCTAGGTTCTCTACTCTGTTCCATTGATCTATGATTCTTTCTCTCCACCAATACCACATTGTCTTGATTACTATAGCTACAGAGTAAGCCTTAAAATCAGGTGGTGTGTTTTCTTCCACTTATTCTTCTTTTTAAAATTCTAGCTATTCTAGTTCCTTCAACTTTCCATACAAACTTTAGAATAAGCTCATCTACAAAAAAATCCTGCTGAAATTTTGATAGGAATTGCACTAAACTTATACATTCAGAGAGAGTTAACATTTTTACTATGTTGAATGTTTCAATCCATGGACACAGTGTGTCACTCCATTTAATTAAGTCTTCTTTGATTTAACTCCATCATCATCTTTCACCCAACTTTTATACTTTTGAGCATATAGATCTTATATCTGTCTTGTTAGATTTATTCCTAAATATTTCATTTTTAGGGGAGCAACTGTAAATGGTACATATGTTTTTAATTTCAATTTCCAAATATTCTTTGTTAGTATATAGAAATACAATTGATTTGCATTGTCTGTATATCTTGTGACATTGCTGAACTCACTTATTAATTCTAGAAGACTTTTTTTTGGAGGCTCTTTGGGAGTTATACATGGACAACTGTGTCATCTGGAAAATGAGATAGTTTTATTTTTTCCTTGCCTTGCCTTACTGCATTGGCTATGACTGTGTTGAATGAGTGGTAAGAGTGAACATCCTTGGCTTGTTTCTGACCTCAGTGGCAAAGTATTCAGTCTTTCACTGTTAAGTATAATATTCCATGCAGACTTTTTGTAAATGCTTGTTATCAAGTAAGGTTTCTATTCCTAGATTTCTGAGTTATCATGAATGGGTACTGAATATGGTCAAATGCTCTTTGTGTATTAACTGACATAAGATGATGTGATTTTTCTTCTTTAGCCTACTGATATGTTGGGTTATACTGATTATTTTTTGTACACTGAACCAGCCTTGCATTCTGGTAATAAACTCCATGTGATTATATATAATGCATAATTCTTTTTACATATTGCTGGATTTGATTGGCTAAATTTTGGTGAGGATTTTTGTTTCCATGTTCGTGAGGAATGTTGCTATGTAGTTTATTTTGTACTCTGTCTGGTTCAGGTATTAGTGTGACACTGGCCTCATAAAGTAAGTTGGGAAGTGTTCCTCCCTCTTACATTTTCTGGAACAAACTGTGTAGAATTGACGCCAGTGGTTTTTAAATGTTTGGTTAATATCTCCAGTGAAACTATCTGAACCTGGAGACTTCCTTTATAGAAGGTTTTTCACTACAAATTCAAGTTTTTTTAATGGTTATAGGACTACTCGTATTATTTCATATTGGGTAAATTTGGATAATATGTGCTTATAAAACAGCTGGACTATTTCATGAAAGTTATCAAATTTATATGCATAGAGTTGTTCATAGTATTCTCTTACTGTATTTTCCTTTTAATTTCTGCAGGATCTGTAATGATATTCCTGGTTTCATTCTTGATACAGGTAATTTTTATCTTAGTGCTTTATGTGTTTGTCAGTCTTGTGGATTTTTTGTTTTTGTTTTTGTTTTGTTTTTTGTTTTTGAAACAGAGTCTCGTTCTGTTGCTCAGACTGGAGTGCAGTGGTGCAATCTTGGCTCACTGCAGCCTCTGTTTCCTGGGCTCAAGTGATTCTCCTGCCTCAGTCTCCCGAGTAGCTCGGACTACAAGCGTGCGCCACCATGCCTGGCTCATTTTTTTTACTTTTAGTAGAGAAGGGGTTTCACCATATTAGCCAGACTGGTCTCGAACTCCTGACCTCAGGTGATCTGCCCACCTCAGCCTCCCAAAGTGCTGGGATTATAGGCGTGAGCCACCGTGCCCAGCCATGTTTGTCAGTCTTGATAGAAGTTTATCACCTTTTGGTTTCACTGATTTTTCTCTACTGTTTTCATGTTTTCAATTTCATTGATTTCTGCTCTTTATTTCCTTCCTTCTGCTTGCTTTGAGCTTGTTTCGATCATCTTTTCCTAGTTTCTTGAAGTAGGACCTTCCATTATAGGTATGAGACCTTACTTCTTCTCTAATATAAGCAAATTTCCCTTCCAGCTTTAGTTGGATCCTGCAAATTTTGATAAAGTGCATTTTCATTTTTAATCAGTTCAATGTATCTTTTTTTTTTAACCTCCCCTGAGATTTCCTCTTTGACTTGACTGGAGATTTTCTTCCTATCTATGACTGGTTTCTAGTTTGATTCCATTATAATGAGAGAACATACTCTGCCTAATTTCAGTTCTTTTAAAACTGTTGAGATCTGTTTGATTACTCAGGATATACTCTATTTTGAGGAGTGTTTCATGGACACTTAAAAAGAATGTATATTCTGCTGTTGTAGAATGGAATGTTCCATAAATGTCAATTAAATTTTTCTGGTTGAAGGTGTTATTCAGCTCTTTAATACCCTTACTGATCCGCTGTCTAGTAGTTCTAGCAATTCTGAGAAAGGGATGTTGAAATCCCCAACTGTAATTGCGGATTTGTCTGTTTCTTTCTTTTAGTTCTGTTAGTTTTTGCTTCAGGTATTTTTATATACAAATAAAAGTGGTACATACACATTTAGAATTACTGTATATTTTAATGGACTGGCCCTTTTATCATTATGTAAATTGCTCTTGTTCCTAATAATTTCCTTTAATCTAAAGTCAACTTTGATATTAATATAGTAACTCCTGCTTTTTAATTAATATCTGTATGATATGCTTTCCATTCTTTTACTTTCAACCTACTGTCTTTATCATTATATTTGAATTTCTTGTAGAAAGCATATTTTTGAAATTCATTTAAAATTCATTATGAAAATCTGTTTAATTGGTATATTTAGACCAATTATAAAACATTTTACAATTATTATACATTTATGTTTTAAGGTAATATTTTTATATGTTAGAGCTTAAATACACCATTTTATTTATTTTTTTTGTTTCCTCCAGTTTTTGTTCCTGTTTCCCATTTCTCACCTTCCTGTGACAAACCAAGGTACATTTTATATAATTCCTTTTTGGATTACCTATGCTTTTGAGTGTAACTGTTTGTATAGTTTTTAATAATGATTGTTCTAAGTATTATAATATACATAAGTAACATCATAATCTACTGGTATCAATGTTTTATCACTTTGAGTGAAATGTAGAAACCTTACCTCCAATTATGTTTAATCCTTTCTTCCTCCTAATTGTCTTCAAAATTCCTCACTATACATTCAGAAACAGATCTTGTCATAATTTTTGCTTCAACTATCAAACAATTTTAAAAACTCAAAAACATATGCATGTGTGTCTTTATAACAGAACAATTTCTATTCCTTTAGGTATATACCCAGTAATGGGATTGCTGGGTCAAATGCTATTTCTGTCTTTAGGTCTTTGAGGAATTGCCACACTGTTTTCCACAATGTGGAATTAATTTACACTCCCACCAACAGTGTATAAGCATTCCTTTTTCTCTACAACCCTTGCCAGCATCTATTATTTTTTGACTTTTTAACAATAGCCATTATAGTTGGTGTGAGATGGTATCTCACTGTGGTTTTGATTTGCTTTTCTCTAATGATCAGTGATGTTGAGCTTTTTTTCATATGATTGTTGCCCACATGTATGTCTTCTTTTGAAAAGTGTCTATGTCCTTTGCCCACTTTTCTTTTAGTTGTCAAATGAACCTTTATTGAAATATTTTCCTTTGTGCTTAACTAGCTGGGCATTCCACTGCACCACTGTTGATGTCATCTATGATGTCATGAGGTGACGGCCATCAACACTGCAGCCCACAAACTGAGCAGTCCCCAGGATCTCTTTAATGGTTCTAGAGAGTTCTCTGGCTAAAGATTGGTGCCGCATCTGTCAAGTAATGTTGACAATCTCATCACAAGTGATATTTCCACTGTGTTTGATGTTTTTCCATTTCTTTCTGTCCCTTGGCAGTTCCTTGAGGGCTTTGACGATCAGGGCAGAGGCAGAAGGCACTGCCTCAATCAGGGCCTGTCTGTTCTGAATGGCCAGTTTCACTGTAATCCTCAGACCCCTCCAGTCACCGGCTGCCTTGGCAATGTCATCACCAACCTTTTTCGGAGACAGACCCAGGGGGCCAATCTTGGGGGCCAGTGCCAGATACCAGCAATGATACCTGTGCCAGCACAGACATGGCGCCCATTTCACCCTCCGTGCATCTCAGGTATACAACTTTTTTTTTTTTTTTTTTTTTTTTTGAGATGGACTCCTGCTCAGTCGCCAGGCTGGAGTGCAGCGGCGTGATCTTGGCTCACTGCAAGCTCCGCCTCCCAGGTTCACGCCATTCTCCTGCCTCAGCCTCCTGAGTAGCTGGGACTACAGGCGCCAACCGCCACGCCCGGCTAATTTTTTTTGTATTTTTAGTAGAGACGGGGTTTCACCATGTTAGCCAGAATGGTCTCTATCTTCTGACCCGTGATCCACCCGCCTTGGCCTCCCAAAGTGCTGGGATTACAGGCGAGAGCCACCACGCCCGGCCAGGCATACAACTTTGATGTCGCTGGGGTCAAACTTCAGCAGTTTGCCCAGTTTGTAATGGGGTTGTTTTTTTCTTGTAAATTTGTTCAAGTTTCTTACAGATGCTGGATATCAGACCTTTGTTGGATGCATAGTTTGCAAAAATTTTCTCCCATTCTGTAGGTTGTTTATTGATAGTTTCTTTTGCTGTGCAAAAGCTCTTTAGTTTAATTAGATCCCATTTGTTAATTTTTGCTTTTGTTGCAATTGGTTTTGGCATCTTCGTCATGAAATCTTTGCCCATGCCTATGTCCTGAATGGTATTGCC
This sequence comes from Homo sapiens, assembly GCF_000001405.40. Taxonomy (NCBI): domain Eukaryota; kingdom Metazoa; phylum Chordata; class Mammalia; order Primates; family Hominidae; genus Homo; species Homo sapiens. The sequence continues at coordinate 139,036,255 of NC_000005.10, forward strand.
TAAGTTGTCTTCCAGGGTTTTCATAGTTTTAGGTTAAGTCTTTAATCCATCTTGAGTTCATTTTTGTATATGGTATAAGGAAAGGGTCCAGTTTCAATATTCCGTGTATGGCTAGCCAGTTATCCCAGCAACATTTATTGAATAGGGAATCCTTTCCCCATTGCTTGTTTTTGTCAGATTTGTCAAAATAGCAAACACATGGAATCAACCTAAATGCCCATCAAAGATAGACTGGGCAAAGACCATGGAATACTACGCAGCCATAAAAAAGAATGAGATCTATCCCTTCAAGAAACATGGATGGAGCTGGAGGCCATTATTCTTAACAAACTAATGCAGGAACAGAAAACCAAATACCACATGTTCTCTCTTATAAGTGGGAGTTAAATGATGATAACACACGGATACTTAGAGGGGAACAACACACACTGGGGCCTATTGGGTGGAGGATGGGAATAGGGAGGGGATCAGGAAAAATAACTGTTGGGTACTTGGGCTTAATACCTGGGTGATGAAATAATCTATACAACAAACCCCTATGACACAAGTTTATCTATATAACAAACCTGAACATGTACCCCTGAACTTAAAAGTTAAAAATTAGAAAATAAATAATAAAAACTCAAGAAGAAAAGGATAGGCTGCATTTTCCCTATTTTTTATTCATTACATTGTTCTTTCTTTATTCCTGATATTTCAAGTTTCTTTCTATTATTCTTTTTTCATTCTATTTGGAGAATATCCTTTAGTCATTCTTTCAGAGTAGGTCTGCTGGTGAGAAATTTTCTTAATTTTCCTCTCTCTAAAAGTGTCTTGACTTCCCTTTCACTCCTGAAATATATTCACGGCTATAAAATTCTGTGTGGACAGTTCATTTTTTCCCCCAGCAATTGAAAAATATTCCACATACTTCTGGCCTCTATGGTTTCAGATAAAAAATTCAATATCGCTCAATCATTGTTCCCCTATAGTTGTGTTATTTTTTCTAGTTGCTTTGAAGATTTTTCTGTCTTTAGTTTTCAGAAGTTTAACTGTGATGTATCTTGGTGTTGATTTCTTTGAGTTTATCCTGTCTGGAGTTCACCTGGATTCACTGGATTCACTTTATGAATCTGTGAGTTTATGCCTTTCACCACATTTGGGAATTTGTTAGCCCTTGTTTCTTGATTATTTTCTAGCCCCATATTCTTTCTACTCTCCATCTGGAATTCCAATGACACAAATGTTAGATCTTTTGTTACAGTTCCACAGGTCCCTAAAGCTCTGTTATTTTTTTTCTCCAATCTATCTTCTCTTTGTTGTTCAGACTGTGTAATTTTTATTTATCTGTCTTTAAGTTTACTGATTCTTTTCTCTGTCATCTCTGTTCTGCTACTGAGCCTATCTGGTGACTTTTAAAGTTTTAGTTATTATATTGTTCAGTTCTATAATTCCATTTGGTTCTTTTTTCTTATCTTCTGTTTCCTTGCTGAGACTTTGCTTCAAGGGTGCTCATAATTGCTTGCTGAAGCAATTTTATAATAGTTGTTTTAAAATTCTTGTTAGATGATTTCAACTTCTGAGTCATTTCAGTATTAGCATCTGTCTCAGTCTTCTCAGGCTGCTATAACAAAATATCATATACTGGGCAGCTTAAACAACATACATTTATTTCTCACAATTCTGGATGCTGGGGAAGTCCAAGATCAAGGAATGAGTCGACGTGGTTCCTGGTGAGGGTCCCCTTTCTGGCTTACAGATAATCACCTTCTAGCTGTGTCTTCACACGGTAGAGAGAGAGAGTACTGGTCTCTCTTATTCTTCTAAGGACATTAATCCCTCTTGAGCCTAACCCTCATGACCTCACCTAAATCTAATTACCTTCCAAAGGTCCCACCTCCAAACATCACATTGCAGGGTTAGGGCTTCAACTTATAAATTTGGGGGAGACACAAACATTCAATCCATAACAGCATCTGTTGATTGTCTAATTCAAGTTGTGATTGTCCTGGTTCTTGGTATGAAAAGTAATTTTTAATTATATCCTAGACATTTTGGGTATTAAGTTATGAAATTCCAGATCCTACTTCATCTTTTTCAGTAGGTAGACATCCTATTTAGGCTTAGTATACTGGTTCTGGCTTACTTGTGTGGGTTGTGGCTCCAACAACAATTTAGTTTTCAGAGCATTGTAGTGCTATTCTGGTCTGCTTCCTTTGTGTGCTACCCAGAGGCCAATCTAAAAACCTGGGCAGCATTCCACACTATAGTTCAGTTCCTAAACTTTTTGTTGTATTAATTCTGGTCAGTTTCTTGTATGGGTCACTGAACGGGTATGTCTAGGACTTCATATGCAAAATCCCTTTCTCTAGCTCTCCTCTCTCCCAAATCGTACCCCTACTCTCTAGTTGAGAAGGGAAACAACTTCACCTGCCACCACTGGATGCTGGCCACTGGGAGTGGAAGTCTAGGTTCCTCCCTGGGCCTCTACTGACACCACTTTGGCGGGAGAATCGAGCACTGTTTCACTGCTGCTGGCCTGAGGGTGGAAGTTCATACTTCTCACTTATTCCACTGGCCCCGCCCCAGAGAGGGAAGCAGAATGCTGCCTCACACTGTCTCACTGCCTCCAAGTTGGGGGTGGAAGTACAGACTCTTCATTCACCCCAACAGACACCATGTTATCAGGGAAAAGTAAAAAACCATGTTGGTGCTACCAGGCAGAGGACAGATATTCAAGTTCCCTGCTTAGCCTCTGCTGACACCACTCCAGCAGGATAAACAGCCTGCTACTGTCAGATGGGAGATGGAAAATCAGGGTGCACACTTGGTCTGTTGGTAATACACCAGCAGGGGAAGCAGAGAGTATCCATTGGGCAGAGGATGAAAAGTCAAGCTCTCTGCTCAGCTCCCACTGACACCATCTTGGTGGAGGAAGCAGAACACTGCCTTCTACCACTTTTTACTGCCTTCTACCACTTTTTGCTGCCAGGAGCAGACGTGAGTTCAGGCCGTCCACTTGGCTCCTGGCGACCCTGGTGGAGGAATCAGAGTACAGCTTGCTACTACCACCAAATAGCAGGCAGAAATCCAGACTCCCCACCTCAATGTCCACTGCACTGGCACTAAGTGGGGTGGGGAGATTTTCATTATCTTTGGCAGGAGTTGGACAGGTATTGTAAATAAGGTTTCTATCCTGTTAGGATGCCCTTTGCTCAATTCTTTGTCTAGAAATAGCAGGCTTTTCTTATAACTTTTTAAAATCTGCACCAGTTGACATTTTCAGGATGTGGGATTTGCCAACACTCAGTCTAAAATATATAGAGGACAAAAAGAAAATCCAAGGAACTCACTGATGTCATTCCCCAAGCTCCAAGGTCCCTAGCCAGTCTGCTGCCTTCTGACTGTGTTTTAGAGTCTTCCTACATTTGCCTTTAGTATTATGTCCAGGGTTTTTAGTTACCCTTAGCTGGGGGAATAGGGAGAAATAAGTCTATTACATCTTGCCAAGAATCAAAAGCTTAAAAAGGCCATATCTTAAAAAACAATAATTTGTAGAATACAGGTGAACAATAGCAGACATAATAAAACATAAAAGCATCAAGCAATTTGTATGGAAATAGAGGGATAAGTAGACGAGATTCAACCATAACAACCAAATCTGCTGGGAGAGACAGCTTTTCCAAGAACCAAGGAACTCCGGGAAAGACTGATTCACTTAAACCTACCAAGCTACCGATGGATACAATATAATTGATGTTCTCGTCCCCAAAAACATCCAGTTCCCAAAAACCCACTCATTTAATTAAGAGGATATGGCCGAATATCTGACAGTATTGTCTATATAAATCACAAAAGCACCATCCTGTACTAACAAGACACCACATAGGCTAGGTTTAAAGATTAATAAACAAAAATAGGATGATATCTGTAGCCAAAAGCTTGATATATGTAAGAAACTCCCCAACCAATTTCAAATCCATTTATTTGCCAATCCCAGTGCCAGCTCGATGAGCACATTGGCAGTGAGCTGAGTCAGTCCAGATAGGCTCCAAATGAAAAGCAGGAGAAGGATGCCAGGACTTAGCACCTCAGTGATGGTGCTAACAACCTAAGTTCCACATAAGTAAGGAAAGAGTATGATAGCCAGACCTCAGAGGTGTGCAGCTGGTGCAAATGAGCTGGAGCTTGGGTCTTGCATTTGGGTGCTGATATTGGGATCCCCTTGCAAGGGGAGAGGAGTATTTTTTCTTTTTTCTTTTTTCTTTTTTTTTTTTTTTTTGAGACAGAGTTTCTCTCTTGTCACCCAGGCTGGAGTGCAATGGTGCAATCTAGGCTCACTGCAACCTCCACCTCCCGGTTTCAAGTGATTCTCCCACCTCAGCCTCTGGACTATCTGGGACTACAGACACATACCATCATGCCCGGCTAATTTTTGCATTTTCAGTAGAGACGGGGTTTCACCATGTTGGCCAGGCTAGTCTCAAACTCCTGACCTCAGATGATCCACCCGCCTTGTCCTCCCAAAGTGCTGCACCCAGCCGAGAGGAGTATTTTTAATTACAAAAACCAGCAACTAAAACTTTTAAGTAATCTCTTGGTTATACATTTTGAAATACTTTTATAAATATTCATACTTTTCTACACTAATTGAATTACTGGGGTGGGGGGAAATGCCATCACCTGAGAAAAGAAAAGCCAAACACACTCCCAGGGAAAGCAAAGAGAAGAGAACAAGGTTAAGTGGGTCCTCCATCCACAGAGAAGACGCTGAATAGGAGCTGTTTAATGTTCCCATCAGTCCCACATGGAACCGACAGTGGGTGGGAAGGAGCCAAAGCCCTGGCCAGTCCCTGTCCTAGGCACCCAGGCACTCCTCTGCTGGCCTCACCTGTACCAGGCAGAAGATGTGCTTCTCCTCAGCCCCTTGGCTAATACATCTGTGGTAGGACACAATTGCGAGCATTGCCTTCCTTCACCCACTGCTGCTGCCACCAAGCCACGTGCCCTCCCACACCACATACACTCTCCGTGTAGGAGAAGTGACTTTGGTAAGATGAGTAAAGACGTGGAGACTGAGCCTGCATTTCACACTTCTTAAACAGGTAAACACCAGTTTCCTATCCCCCAAAAAGGTTCATTTTCCCAGAAATATTTAGTTCTAAAGGATCAGAACAACCTATGGCTTCTTCCAGTAATACACAAGCTGTCAAGAGGCTAATGCTGTCTCTCTAGGACATTACCTGGATTCAGGGGAAGGAGTGAAGAGGTAAATAAAGGCAAATGAGTGCCCAGCACGGTGGTTCATGCCTGTAATCCTAGCACTTTGGGAGGCCAAGGTGGGCAGATCATTTGAGGTCAGGAGTTCGAGAGCAACCTGGCCAACATGGTGAAACCCCATCTCTACTGAAAACATAAAAATTAGCTGAGTGTAGTGGCAAGCACCTGTAATCCCAGCTACTCAGGAGGCTGAGGCAGGAGAATCGCTTGAACCCAGGAGGTGGACCTTGCAGTGAGCCAAGATCGTACCACCGCACAAACAACAAGGCCATCTGGGCGACAGAGCAAGACTCCAACTCAAAAACAAAAAAAAAAAAAAACAAAAAAAAGCAAATGGGGACTGTAAGGAGAAGAGGGAGGGAGAACTTAGGTCTCTAAGGCAGCCATCAGAGAAGGTTCTTTCAAAAACTGACAGGACTCAAACAGAAATACAGAGAAATGACTCCAAGAGCTCATGATCTTCCTGGTATAGACCTGCACCTGTGAGCCCTCCCAGACATTAGGGGCATGGCCAAGGGGCTGTAATTCTTCACCTTTTCCTCCTCTCATTCCCTTAGCTTGTAGAGAAATTTAGAGCTGGAGGAAACCTCAGTCATCCTCTTGTTCCAGCCCCATGTTTTAAATTTAAGGAATCTGAAGCCTAGAAGAAACACATTTGCTACATGTTCAAAGGACAAGGACAAGGATTCCGGCTTCTTGCTTCCTGGGCCAGCTCCTCTGTTCTTTTGGAACAAGCTTGTGTCTAATCCAAGTGTAAGTGAGGCAGAGATCTGGGCCATAAAGTCTACTCACTCCACTCAGGCCTGTGATAATGGAGAGAATGGCTACCCCTGCTCAGTGCCTCAATTTCTCCAAACATGGGGAGCTGTTTGAAGACATGGGATGGCAAATAGAATTCTAACCTAAACCATGACAGAAATGCTCCCAGCACTTTTTTTTTAATAGTCTAAAAGGGTTTCTTATTTGTCATTAATGTTCTTTAAATTATTTTACAATATTGTTATCCCATGTTTATTGCAAGAGTTCCCATAAAAATGATTCCATTCTCTGCAAAGACAACAAGGCCATGCTGCAGGCTTATACTCACAGGAAAAATAATCACACACCTTGTCTTCCTTTGAACTCTCCATCTCTGCCCCCTCCTTGAATTTTGCCAGTGCACTCTTGAGATCCTGAGATGTGTAGGTGTTGGTGTTGATATCCAGCCTGTCCAAAGAAAACTGAGAGTAAAGAGGGAGGCATGGCTAGGCTTGGTGGCTCACAGTTGTAATCCCAGTACTCTGGGTGGCCAAGATGGAAGGATACCAAGATCCCATCTCTACAAAAAATTTAAAAATATTAGTTAGGATGTGATGGTATGTGCCTGTGGTCCCAGCTACGTGGGAAGCAGGAGGATCACTTGAGCCCAGGGGTTCGAGGCTGTGGTAAACTATGATTGTGCCACCATACTCCCACAGCTGGGCAACAGAGTCAGACCCTGTCTCTAAAAATAAATAAGAGGGGAGCATCATATTCCCCAAGAAAGAAAATGTCCCTGGGTGAATGGCACCCTAAGGTAAGTGAGGCCAGGCCAGCTGAGTGTACTATCATACCTTTGTCTTCAGTCAGCCAAGGGTCTAACAGAGTGACCTTACCTTGAAGCTAGAAGAGGAAAGACGCAGCTGAAAATGGGATCATTTCATGAAAGAGGAAGCAATGGCATGGGGCAGACAGAAGCCATCCACGAACAGAGGGCTCTCAGCCAGCTTCTCAGGAAGAAATAAGCCTGGCATAACTGTGCAATGCTCTCCCTCAGCACGCTGCCAGGGCAGGACCTCTCAGAGGGAAGTGGGCCCAGCCACAAGGAGTAGCATGCACCCTTATCTATTAATATATTTTTCCATGAAAGGGGACAACAGGGCCCTGAGCCCCACAGTGTGTGCCTGAACTGATTAGACAAGGCAGCCTGTCTTTACAAAAACAAGTTGGATAGATTCACACCATAAGACCAACCTATGAGCACAAAGGAGAGGCAGGAGGTATGTCTCAACCTGACCAAGGAATGGATTTGAGATACTAAGGAGTAGAATCAAGGTCAGCCCCTTCCACAGCCAGCCTCCAAAGGGAGGAGGGAAAGGAACCAATGTGGCTATAATCTCAGGAACCTGCCAAAGACCAGAATGGTCTCCTCACAAAATTCCCTGGAGCTGATCCAAGCCACAGCTACACATCTTGACCAGAGAGAGGACATCCATCATGTGGGAGCAAGGTTTTACCACTAGCATTCATTTTAGTTCAATGAACAGAGGTAAGCACAAGAATGATGTGCACGAAGGGAAGAGTGGAGTATGGAATGTGCTTAACAAGACTGTCAGGTTGGTGTTGGGTTCAGGATTCCATATATCCTGGAATGCCCACAAGATTTCAGAGGTGAGGAGGAAGGGGCTACTGGCCTGCTCTACTCCAGGCAGGAAGAGCACATCAGTCTCATAGTCTGAGATTCCAGCAGGCCTCAGCTCTCATGTACCAAGGGCTTTCATTCTTCCTAGAGACCTTTTAGGGCTCTGAGAAGAACACTCGTCTTCTCTAAACCTCAGTCCTCCTAAACTAATTAATAATAGCTAGTAACTCATTTATTGAGCATTTAGCCATGTGTTAGGCAGTGTGTTAATCCCTTCAAAGTAATATTTCATTCAAATAGTTATCACAATGCTACAAAGTAGGGAGAGAATCCTGAATCCCTCTCCCTACAGAGCATCATCCACTGCCAATGTGTGAGGATACCACTGCCCCACCCCACATACCCAAGAGGGAGCTAAGTATTCAGGAACCATAGCTTGAACACATTATCTCCTCCCTCTTGTAAGACTTGGTCAGGACTAATCCCATTATTCCGTGCATCTCTGTTTACGCCTTAAGTCTCAACTCTCCCAAGCCATCTCTCATCACCCACTCTCAGTCCCAACTACATACACACAAGCATGCACATGTGCACTCAAGTTCACGCACACACACGAAACAGTCATCTGGTGTTCTTACTTCATTCTTCACTAAGAAAAATAGACCAAAACTTCATTTTCCCATGATCAGCTCTACAAGCCAACCTGCACCTAAGTCTATGTTTTCTACTTTCCTTCCTATTATAATGGATGAGTGTCCCTGATCCTATTAAACTTAGTTCCAGATCGCAGTTGCCTTTACAAAAGCTTTAACTCCCATAATTACACCGCTCCCTCCTGCCTGCATCATCAATTTCTCCCTTCAGCTGGATTATTCCCATCAGCACACCAATTCTCCTGTCACTCCACAGTCTCTTCTGGTTATCCTGCCATTTCCCTGCTCTCACTCAGAGTAACACTTTATGAACACATTGTTTTCACTCACTATCCCCAGCTTTTTTATTCCTATTTATATTGCCATTTACTGTAATCTGGATTCTGTCCTCACAACTGTACTCACACTACTAATCAAAATTACCAATAATTGATGACCAAATCCGATGGACCCTTCTTCACTCACTTCATGTTCCTCAACCACTAAGCAGCATTTGCACAGTTGACCCTCCCTTCTTGAAAAACTCTCAGTCGGGTGTGGTGGGTCATGCCTGTAATTCCGGCACTTTGGGAGGCTGAGGAGGGAGGATTGCTTGAGCCCAGGAGTTCAAGACCAGTAAGGGCAACATAGTAAGATTCTGTCTCTACAAAAAAATTGAAAATTAGCCAGGCAAGGTGGTGTGCACCTGTGGCCCCAGCTACTCAGAAGCCTGAGGTGGGAGGATTGCTTGAGCCCAGGCTGTAGTGAGCCATGATTAGGCCACTGCACTCCAGTCTGGGCGACAAAGCAAAACCCTGTCTCAAAACAAACAAACAAACAAAAAAAACCTCCTTTCCTGGCTTGTTACCTCACTCTCATGGCTCTTCCTCTTCCTTACTCCTTCTCCAACTCTTGCTGGTTCCTCATCTCCTACCTGAGCCACATAGCCCAGAATGCCTTGGAGTTCAGCCCTGTCAATCTTCTCCACCTCGACATCCTCCCCTAGTTACTTTAAAAACCTATCTGCCAGTAATCTCCACATTTACATCTCCAGCCCAACCTCTCCCCTGAGCACCAATCAGACTCTTGTACAACTACCTGATAGATCTGTATCTCAAATGTTTAACAAGTATTTCAAACTTATTGAATCTAAAACATGGCTCTTGATTCTTCTCCTTATAAGTCTGTCCCCCTCCCAACTTTTCTATTTCAATAAATAGTACCAACAACCACCCAGTTGCTCAAGTTCCAAAATGAGGCTTTATCCTGAATCTGTGCCCCTCCCTGCACCTTCCTTCAACCTCTACACTGAAATCATAAGCAAGTCCTCTTGAGTCTACCTCCAAATTAAATCTCCAAATTCATTCAGTCTCTGTTATGATACCCTAGACTAAGCCACCATTATGTCCTACCTGATCTACTGAAATGACATCCTAATTCTGTCTTCTTTTGTCCACCTTCAATCTCATCTCCAGACACATAGTAACTAAATCACTCTCCTGCCTAAAATCTTCCAATGGCAGCTGGGCGCGGTGGCTCATGCCTGCAATTCCGGCACTTTGGGAGGCCGAGGCGGGCAGATCACGAGGTCAGAATTTCAAGACCAGCCTGGCCAACATGGTGAAACTCCGTCTCTACTAAAAATACAAAAATTGGCTGGGTGTGGTGGCAGGCACCTGTAATCCCAGCTACTCGGGAGGCTGAGGCAGGAGAATTGCTTGAAGCCAGGAGGCGGAGGTTGCAGTGAGCTGAGATGGTGCCACTGCACTCCAGCCTGGGTAGCAGAGCAAGACACCGTCTTATGGGGAAAAAAAAAATCTTCCAATGGCTTTCCATTACAATTAAAGGTGAATGAAGAACATACAAAATCTTCCTCAAAAGCCACATGATCTGGCCCCCACATACCTCTCCAATCTCATCTCCTATCGATTTCCTTCCTTCTCTCTTCTCCTATAGTCACCTTGATCATTTTCTTGCTTCTCATACTTGACAAAGCCTTTTCCTTGATAAAGCCTGGGACTTCCTGTTGTTCCATCTGTCTGAAATGCCCTAACTCCTAAACCTATAAACCTAACCCTTTACATAAAGAGTTAATTATTCTTTTTGTCCATATCATCCTTGTTCTTACCTCTGTTCCCTGAATTGAAATAAGGACTAGTGGTAAAACCTTGCTCCCCAATGGATGTCTTCTCTCTAGTCAAGCTACATGGCTGTGGTTTGGATCAGCTCCAGGGATCTCAGTGAGGATACCAATCCAGTCTTTGACAGGTTCCTGGGATCAGCCACATTGGTTCCTTTCCTTCCTCCCTTTGGGGCCAGTTAATTAATCTATGATTAATTCCCAATACTTTCATGTTTTAGAACAGGGTCAGCAAACTATCAGTAATGACCAGATAATATCTTACTTCTGTGCTTATGTACCTGGTTTTCTGTCTGCCAGCCTTGTGGAGGCTGTTTTGTTTATTACTGTATCCCAATGCCTGGCACGTGGGCACTCAATAGGTTTTTGTGAAATAAATAAATGGAGGAAGTAAATGGCCCTGTCCTTAGCCCAACCTTTTAACCACTATACCATATTGGACCTTGGTAAATGTTCAACCCAAGATGGCACAACTTGAACGTGGTTTTACCCTCAGTCCTCCAAACCTAGGAGGAAGAGTCCAAGAAGCTGGTTATTCCAGGGCAAAAAGAGAGATGTACTACGTTGACAGGGATATGGACTAAAACCACTAGAGATGGCAAAGCCTAAAGCATAAATAGCAAGTGGAAACCTGTTGCTAAGGGCCAACTACATGCAATGAAATAAGGCAGTGCTAAAGGAACTCTCTGAGACAAGCCAGAGTCAGGGTCTTCTGTCCCAGGCTTTAGAGCCCACAAGCATTGCAGCTCTAGGTAGCAATGTGGCCAGCCACACAACCAGTAAAAATAGTAGAAAGACTGCCATGAATTTTGGATTAATGGGCTGTCCCCATCTCCCTCTAGGCCAATGGTTCTTAACTCTGTGGGATCACTAACTTCTTGGACAATTTCATGGAAAGCTATGGATTTTGTCCTCTAAAACAGAATAAGGATATAAGCAAAATACTCTAACAATTTCAGGGAACTGACCCTGCCCTTAGGCCTCTGTTCCTATTCCAGTGCTAAGGGGCCAGGAAGACACCATGAAATGGAATTGGAGGAGCTCCATCCCAGAAGTAGGAAGTCACCATCAAAGGCTCACTGAGCTCACAGCACTGAATGTTCACACCACCTTGTCAGTGCCTTTGGACTTCTATTCAGATAGGTTTGCCATTAGCTATAAATGCTGAGAAGGAAGAAGAAAGGTCCAGCATATGCTAGGGGCCATTTCAGGCAGAGACTCTCCAAAGGAGGAAAGTAAAAAGGCAGGAGTAGGGACAAATATTTCTCCCTTATGGTGTGTCTCTACAGTTCACATGGACGGCTCTGCTGTCTATTCGTAAAAGATATGAGTAACAGACAAAGCAGTACGTGTTCACACTGATAATCTATAGTCAGGTGGTAGAGAAGTGAGTTCTCATAGTATAAAAACCAACAAATAAACTCCAAATTAATAAAATTCCTCAGTATTATTTTTGTAAAGGGATTTTATTTTTTATTTATATATTTTGCTTATTTATTTTTTCAGATAGGGTCTCACTGTGTCACCCAGGCTGCAGTACAGTGGCATAATCACGGCTTATTGCAGCCTCAACCTCCCCAGGCTCAGGTAATCCTCCCATCTCAGCCTCCTGAGTAGCTGGGACTACAGGCATAATACACACCACACACCCAGCTAATTTTTGGTTTTGGTGTTTTTTTCTGTTTTGCTTTTTTTTGTTGTTGGTTTTTTTTTTTTTTTTTTTTTTTTGAGACAGGGTCTGGCTCTGCCACCCAGGCTGGAATGCAGTGGTACGATCTTGACTCACTGCAACCTCTGCCTCCCAGGCTCAAGTGATCCTCCCAACTCAGCCCCACGAGTAGCTGGGACTACAGGCGTGTGCCACCACCTCCAGCTAATTTTTATATGTTTTGCAGACACACACCCTGTCGCTGGTGTGTGTCTTCAAATCCTAGGCTCAAACGATCCACCCGCCTCAGCCTCCCAAAATGTTGGTATTACAGGTGTGAACCACTGTACCCGGCCCCTAACTCAATATTCATAAGCTAAGAAAAGAATAGATTGTTTTCTTCAGAAAATAAGACTTGGATTACATGTGAGAAAAGACTTCCTAAAAGTACTTTGAGGCACTGAAATATGTGTGTATTGTGGACGAAAGAAGTTTGGCAGGGGCCGTGACAATGACAGCTGATTATTTCTTACATGGTTGTTAGAAAGGAGTAATTGTCTGACCTGGGCCACTCCAAGTATAGGCCTACCTGGAGGAATGAGGGAAGATGAAAGATCCTTCCCAATTTGGAGTGACTGTAAGGAGAACAAATGCCTCTATCTCAATATGAAGTAGAATTTTCTAACAGTGAAAACTGTCTAAATCTGAACAGGCTGTTTTGTGGGGTGAGTGCCACCTGAAAAAAGTGCACATGGACCAGCTGAGTGACCTTCTGACAGGCATGTCAAGGAAAAGACTAGGGTAAGAAGTGAGTCTCTAGGACCTCCTTCTGATTACATCTAACTGCAAAATACTGGGTTTTTGTTTTAGTTTTTCTGAGACAGAGTCTCGCTCTGCCACCCAGGCTGGAGTGCTGTGGCAAGATCTTGGCTCATTGCAATTTCTGCCTCCCAGGTTCAAGCGATTCTTCTGCCTCAGCCTTCTGAGTATCTGGGATTACAGGCACCTGCCACCACACCCAGCTAATTTTTGTTTGTATTTTTAGTAGAGACAGGGTTTCATCATGTTGGCCAGGCTGGTCTCGAACTGCTGACCTTAGGTGATCCGCCGGCCTCGGCCTCCCAAAGTGCTGGGATTACAGGTGTGAGCCACCACGCCCGACCTGCAAAATACTGTTTAAATTATAAAATCCAGGCTGGGCACAGTGGTCCACATCTGTTATCCCAGCACTTTGGGAGGCCAGGGCAGGAAGATCACTTGAGTCCAGGAGTTTAAGACCAGCCTGAGCAATAAAGTGAGACCCTGTCTCTACAAAAAAATTTAAAAAAATTAGCCAGGCATAGTGGCACACACCTGTAGCCCCAGCCTACTCAGGAGGTTGAGACAATGAGATTGCTTGAGCCCAGGAGTTTGAGGTTACAGTGAACTATGATCACACCACTTTACTCCAGCCTAGGCAACAGAGCAAGACCCTATCTCTAAAAAAAAAAAAAAAAAAATCATCATCATCATCATCCAAGGACTGAGTAACACTAACCACACTCAATCCATAACTAATAATTCCCAGTGCTTACACGTGTTAGCACAGGGTCAGCAAACTGTCTGTAATGACTGGATACTATTTTAGGCTCTGTGATCCATATGGTGTCTGTCCCAATTAATCAACTCTGTCATTGTAGCAAGAAAGCAGCCATAGACAATATGTAAACAAATGAGCATGGCTGTGTCCCATTAAAACTTTATTTATGGACATTTAAATCTGAATTTCATACATTTTCATGAGTCATGAAATACTACCTTTTGATTTTTTTCCAACCTTTAAGAAATGTAAAAACCAATTTCACTTGCAGGCTGAACCAAAGCAGGGAGCAGTCCCAATAAGGCCCACAGGCCATAATTTGCTGGTCCCTGTGTTAGAAATTTCATGGCTGGTATTTCTACTGAGCTTTCAAAATGCACAATTTCAGCAACCCCTGCAACTCCATGCCTCAACCTCCTTCCCCCTCATTCAGGAAATATCAAGCAAAGAAAGCATGCTAATTCAAGGCAACAAAAGAAAAATAGTGACACTGAATTCTCTAAAATTGAATAATATAACCTGGTTATTGAGAAATAAGGCAACCTCTAGCCAGTGGAGAATGGCAGTAGCTTCTACTTTTATACTATAAGAAGGCCTGTTTTAATACTGACTAATGAGAGGAAAAGTTAGCCTGAATTAAAGACTTTAAAATGCAATTTTATTGTTCACCAAGGAAGTATTACTGCAAAGCAGAAGGCCTAACAGGCCTGTTTTAATGAATAGATGACTCATCTGTAATCAGTGCATTAATTGTTGGGATTCAAATGGGTGCTCTTAAAGTACTGGGAAAAATAGTTTCATTTTTAAAGCAGGTTAAGCATTCCCCCTACAGCCTTTTTTAAAGTATCAATTTGCTTTGCAAACTATCTCTTTCCAAAGACTGTAGAAGTAAACTTTCATAAAACCCTGACAGATTTATCACAAATTCTATGCTATTAAATTTCAAATTAAAAAAAGCCACATGAATTTGGGTAACATTTTAAGTATTACAATACAAAATCAACGTTATCACTTAGCCTCCCAGTCCCTAGGGTTGACACTGTACCTTTTGCCTTTCAAATTATTTCGGAACTTGTCCTCATATTGGAGTTTTGCCTCTCTTTCCCCAGTCTGAAGATTCAGCCGTACGTGGGATCCTGCAGGGACAGCCTGCCCTAAAAGCCAAGAAGAGAAAAGGCTCATGAGGTACAAGGTCTTTGGAAGGCTGTCGGGATGGCCAGCAAGCCAACAGGACTTACTAGTTCATGAAGACACGACTCAGCTGTGTTCAGTTACCTCCTCAATCCACCCATCCCTCTCCCTTGAACACACACACCACTCGCATAAACTCACTTTGCTAATCTATAAGGAAATCTGTAAGGGAATGACGTAAGATGGGCAAGAGGATTCACACTTGAATCTAGAGACCAATGTCCCCCAGTTAGAACCTGCATATTTAAGCTCTTCTATGTCTTCTTGAGCTAATAAAAGCTTTGTGTTACGTGCAGCAGGTAAGTGGTAGATAACTACTCATTCCTCAGGACATGCTACTTTACCGTCTCTTCCATGACACCCTTCCTGCCCCTCCTCGACAGTCAGTCCCACAGGGCCCCAGACAGCCTGCCATCCCAGCAAGCTTACACCTCACCACCTGCATCTGTTTAATTAGGCTCCTTCTATGAGGCTCTCTCCTTCCTAAGCACAGGGACTGTATTTCCTCCTTTTTGATTTCCCAGCCCTTAGGCCAGGGCTTGGCACATAAAAGTGTGGCACTTAACGTTATGAAAAGGAAGAAGGAAGAGACTGGAAGGCAAGAGGACAGAGCAAGCCAAGGAGGCAGGGAGTGGAGCCAAGAGAAACTGAAAACCTACACCCACCTATCTATGGAGCTGATCCACAGCTGGGAAAAACAAGTGTTGTGAATCGATGGGCTATTCCTATGCACTGCACAAAACTACTCAAGTATAGTTAAAAAGCAACTGTGCAGTAGCACATACTACAAATGGAATGCTACACACATTCATTCATTCATGAAACTGCTGTAGGGATGGAGAATTTCAGGGAAAAGGTTTTTCAGGAGATGGGAGATTTGAAGCAAAGATGGTGCTTCTGACAACCTGGACTTTGACTCTGCTTTCTCCTGCCAGAGGACAGCATTGCCTTGCTGGTGTTAAGTTTGATTTAAGAACCCAAATCAATGACTTTCAGAAAAAATTCCTCCGAAGGAAGCACACAGCACAAGTTCTCTCAAATAATCAGGTAAACTCAAGTATAGAAGGATAATGATATAGGCAAGTATTCACCAGTTCTCGCAATTCTGGGAGGCCCATAGAGAACTCTGAGTTCCACCAGTCACTCTATCCCCAATCAAGATGCCAGGGATATCGCACACCATGCTGTTGCTGTTCCTGCCGTCCCACTTCAGTAGGGAGTTTCTGTATGTTTTACTTTAAAAAATGGGAACCTACATACAGTATATAGAAGTATGTGCATAATGATCTCCCTCTAACCCCAACCATTATTTTCAAGGATAAAAAATACATTCAGGCCAGGCATGGTTGCTCACACTTTGGGAGGCCAAGGCAGGTGGATCACCTGAGGTCAGGAGTTCGAGACCAGCCTTGGCAAATGGTGAAACCCCATCTCTACTAAAAATACAAAAATTAGCCAAGTGTGGTGGCAGGAACCTGTAATCTCAGCTACTTGGGAGGCTGAGGCAGGAGAACTGCTTGAACCTGAATGGTGGAGGTTGCAGTAAGCCAAGATCACGCCACTGCACTCCAGCCTGGGCAACAGTGCAAGACTCCGTCTCAAAAAAAAAAGTTCAGAGCGCAGTGGAAAAATCCTTCTCTGGGGTGGCCCTCCTGATAAAGTTGGGGTCAAATGAAGAAAAAAGCGAGTCCCAGACTAGGAATAAAGGGAATACCAGAGTAAGGAAGCCCCATGTGCAAATGCACTGACACGGAACCCAATAGGCCACAGAAGCTGAGGAGAGACTAGGCCACAGAACTAACTGGAAGGGCTGTGGGGGCTGCTGGCTTGGTACCACCAGGAAGCCTGGGTTCATATTCCTAGGATGGGAAAATATTCATCAAACAGCGGCGGAAGATGGTTCTGGGAGGAGAGGAGGCTGAATACTGGCAAGAATAACAAAGAACTGGCAACTTCTATCCTATTACTATGATCACAGGGCAAGAGGTAATTTCTTTAGTACTAATCTAATCTCTGAATGTGTGAAGGGGAGAGGCTGCCTCACCTGGAGAGATCCCAAACTGACAAGACAATAGTCCCTTCCTGGATGAATGCTAAACAAGACAATAGTCCCTTCCTGGATGAATGCTAAACAAGACAATAGTCTCTTCCTGGATGAATGCTAAAATGCCAGCCCCCTTTACTCTACCACATTGATACCCAATCTACCTCCCAAACTGGTTGATTTTTCCTGCTATGTATGTCTTGAATGCATACTCTTCTCTCCATCTTCCCCCACTGCTTTTGTCTGAACCATCACCATCTCTGATCTGCGCCCTATCACAGCTTTCTAACTGGCCTCCCCGATTCACCTCCCAATCAAACTGTTCTTTAAAGCGAATGATTTTTCTTTTCCAAAATACCAAACCTATGTCATTCTCCTGCTTCAAACCTTTTCATGGCTTCCTACTATTCTGAGGATAAAAATGAAAATCCTCACCCTGGTCCATGAGGCCCTGCAGTATCTGGCCCCAGCCTACCTCTCCAGCCTTGTCCACTCCTCATTCCTGTGCTCTAGGCACACTGGTCTTTTTCCATCCTTCTGAAAGAACCATGCTACCTCCTACCAGGGGGCCATTCCATCTGCTGTTCCCTTTGTCCAGAAGAGTCTTCCCACCCTCAGCCTCCATCTCCTCATCCTTCCAATCCCAGCTAAAGTCACTTCTTCTGAAAGGCATCCTCTATTTTCTCAGACTAGATTTACCTGCCTCCAAAAGATTTCACAGCACCATGAATCCTTTATAGCACTCACCACAATCAGTAATTACACATTAGTTTTTTTATTTATGTAGTGAATATAAATGCTCACCATTTTATCCTCAGGGCCTATAACATGACCTGGCTGGCATATAGTGAACTCTCAATAATTATTTGTTGGTCAAGTGAGGAGGCCCTTGCCTATAGTCCCAGCACTTTGGGAGGCTGAGACGAGGGGATCACCTGAGCCCAGGAGTTAGAGACCAGCCTGAGCAACACAATGAGATCCCATCTCTAGAAAATAATTTAAAATTAGCTGAGTGTGGTGGCTCACACCTGTAATTCCAGCACTTTGGGAGGCCAAGGCAAGTGGATCACTTGAGGCCATGGGTTGGGCAACACAGTGAGACCCCGTCTGTACAAAAAAATTAAAATAAAAAAATTAGCCAGGCACAATGGCATGCTCCTATAGTCCTAGCCACTTGAAGTCTGAGGTGGGAAGATTGCCTGAGCTCAGGAGTTCAAGGCAGCAATGGGCTATGATCATGCCACTGCACTCTAGCCTGGGCAACAGAGTGAGAACTTGTCTCTAAATTAAAAAAATAATAATTATTTGTTAAGTGAAAATGTTTAAAAGAAAGAGGGAATTCCTAGCTGATCTAGAGTTATATGGAAAGGCCAAGAAGGATTTTTACTAGGGCAGGTTGAGTTATAATAGTAATTAGTCATGTTAATAGTTATTTTTAGTAATAATGGTACTAATACTAGTAATATAATAAAAATAGTATTTAAAATTTTCAAACTTTTGACCAAAGTTAGAAATGGAAAAGAAAAAAGCATGTAAGTGTATAAGCTTCAGAAGTAATAGGTTATAGTGTGCTAAGCTCGCCAAAGAAGAGACTAGGTTCTTATGTGAATCTAGTTATTTTGATGAAAATTCCAAAATTACTCCCTTCACATAAGCCACCACAGGGGGCAAGAGCAACCACAACAGCATTAACTCAAAATACAGGTTGTGTTCATTTAAAATATACTAAACACGTCATGGCAGCAGCAGTGGCAAAAGCAACAGGAAATGCAGTATTTCAAATACTTCTCCACTGGGGAAATGTCCAAGTTAGAAAGATAGTATAATCTGACCTGTATCCTTCGAGAGCCCCTGTGACAGATGAAAATGTACCAGAACACAGGGGAAGGGCAAATCAGAGCAAAGAGAAAACAAGATACATACAGGTAACAAGTTAGGGGGATGGAGAGCAAGGGTACAGGCAGAAAATAATGTCTGGATCCAGGAAGGCAAACAGGCCTGCAAAGCCTACAGTGTCTGTTTTCCCACCTCCAGCTCCTTCAGAGCTGATCCCAAGGCTGACTATCCTAGCCTAGAAAACCCATCCATATTAAGCAGAAGCCCTGTCCATATTGAGTAAGGCCACCTCATGCTTGAATTTTGACTCCCACTGACACTGTCACTGACTTCAGTCACAGGCCAGGACCCAGATAACAACTCTTGTTTTCTGGGTTGGGGGATAATCTATGGTAGACTGCAACATCGTCACCAATTTTTTTCCTCCCTGCTTGTCACACTCTCTGCCATGTGACTTTACAGTTCCTCCTACTGCAGAGTGTGCCTTCTCACACCTTGACTTTGGATTTTGCTTATCACATGCATTGGCCAGTGGGATGCTAGCAAATGGGCCGCAAACAGATGTTTGAAATGTGCTTGCATGGTTGTATCATGTTCTGCTATTGTCATGAAAAGAACATCACTGACTCTCCCTCTCCCTCTCCCTCTCCCTCTCCCCCTCTCCCCCTCTCCCCCTCTCCCTCTCCCCACGGTCTCCCTCTCCCTCTCCCCACGGTCTCCCTCTCCCTCTCTTTCCACGGTCTCCCTCTGATGCCTAGCCGAAGCTGGACTGTACTGCTGCCATCTCGGCTCACTGCAACCTCCCTGCCTGATTCTCCTGCCTCAGCCTGCCGAGTGCCTGCGATTGCAGGCACGCGCCGCCACGCCTGACTGGTTTTCGTATTTTTTTGGTGGAGACGGGGTTTCACTGTGTTGGCCGGGCCAGTCTCCAGCTCCTAACCGCGAGTGATCCGCCAGCCTCGACCTCCCGAAGTGCCGGGATTGCAGACAGAGTCTCCTTCACTCAGTGCTCAATGGTGCCCAGGCTGGAGTGCAGTGGCGTGATCTCGGCTCGCTACAACCTCCACCTCCCAGCCGCCTGCCTTGGCCTCCCAAAGTGCCGAGATTGCAGCCTCTGCCCGGCCGCCACCCCGTCTGGGAAGTGAGGAGCGTCTCTGCTTGGCCACCCATCGTCTGGGATGTGAGGAGCCCCTCTGCCTGGCTGCCCAGTCTGGAAAGTGAGGAGCGTCTCTGCCCGGCCGCCATCCCATCTAGGAAGTGAGGAGCGCCTCTTCCCGGCCGCCATCCCATCTAGGAAGTGAGGAGCGTCTCTGCCCGGCCGCCCATCGTCTGAGATGTGGGGAGCGCCTCTGCCCTGCCGCCCCGTCTGGGAGGTGAGGAGCATCTCTGCCCGGCCAACCCGTCTGAGAAGTGAGGAGACCCTCTGCCCCACAACCACCCCGACTGAGAAGTGAGGAGCCCCTCCGCCCGGCAGCCACCCCGTCTGGGAAGTGAGGAGCGTCTCCGCCCGGCAGCCACCCCGTCCGGGAGGGAGGTGGGGGTCAGCCCCCCGCCAGGCCAGCCGCCCCGTCCGGGAGGGAGGTGGGGGGGTCAGCCCCCCGACCGGCCAGCCGCCCCGTCCGGGAGGGAGGTGGGGGGGTCAGCCCCCCGCCCGGCCAGCCGCCCCATCAAGGAGGGAGGTGGGGGGGTCAGCCCCCCGCCTGGCCAGCCGCCCCGTCCGGGAGGGAGGTGGGGGCGTCAGCCCCCCGCCCGGCCAGCCGCCCCGCCCGGGAGGTGAGGGGCGCCTCTGCCTGCCCGCCCCTACTGGGAAGTGAGGAGCCCCTCTGCCCGGCCACCACCCCGTCTGGGAGGTGTACCCAACAGCTCATTGAGAACGGGCCATGATGACAATGGCGGTTTTGTGGAATAGAAAGGGGGGAAAGGTGGGGAAAAGATTGAGAAATCGGATGGTTGCCGTGTCTGTGTAGAAAGAAGTAGACATGGGAGACTTTTCATTTTGTTCTGTACTAAGAAAAATTCTTCTGCCTTGGGATCCTGTTGATGGGTGACCTTACCCCCAACCCTGTGCTCTCTGAAACATGTGCTGTGTCCACTCAGGGTTAAATGGATTAAGGGCGCTGCAAGATGTGCTTTGTTAAACAGATGCTTGAAGGCAGCATGCTCGTTAAGAGTCATCACCACTCCCTAATCTCAAGTACCCAGGGACACAAACACTGCGGAAGGCCGCAGAGTCCTCTGCCTAGGAAAACCAGAGACCTTTGTTCACTTGTTTATCTGCTGACCTTCCCTCCACTATTGTCCTATGACCCAGCCAAATCCCCCTCTGCGAGAAACACCCAAGAATGATCAATAAAAAAAAAAAAAAGAAAAGAAAAGAACATCACTGCTAGCCTTCTGGTCCAAGAAGGATGAGACACCCACGGAGAAGAAACAAGTCAGGGCTTCATGTGCACATGGTTTATTAAGGGGTGCTCTCCAGTTGACAGGAAATGAGGAGGCAGGGAGGACTTTGTACCCCCACCTGCCCCCTCCTGGCAGTCAGAGGCCGCAGGCTACCAGAGCAGGTGGAGGCAGAAGCTCTGGGCAAAGAAGCTTTGGCTCCTCAGAGGGGTCCAGGAACAGGTGGCAAGAGTGAGTCTTGAACCCCCACAGAGGCTGGGGAAGAAACACCCCCTATAGGAAAAGGAGATCCCAGGAAGTATGGGCAGGGAACCAAAAGCATCTGCTTTAATGGCTGTCTTAGAGTGTGTCCTAGTCCATTAGGAATCCTATAACAGAGTAACTTAGACTGGGTAATTTATAAACAATACAAATTTATTGCTCACAATTCTGGAGACTGGGAAGTCCAAGATCACACCAGCAGTTTCAGTGTCTGGTGAGAGCCTGTTCCTCACAGAAGGTGCCTTCTAAGTGTTTTCACATGGTGGAAGGGGCCAGGAGGCACCCTCAAGCCTCTTCACTAATCCTATTCATGAGGCGTGGAACTCTCATGACCTCATCACCTCCTAAAGGCCCCACCTTCTAATACTATCATACTGGGTATCAGGGGACAACCCAAATGTCCATCATGTGATAAATGAATTAATAAAAGTAGTATATCCATATAATATTATTCACCATTAAAAGGAGCAATAAATACTGCTACATCCTACAACATTGATGAACCTTGAAAACATTGTGCTAAGTGAAAGCCAGATACAAAAAAGCATGTATCATATGATTACTTTTACATGAAATGTACAGAATAGGCAAATCCATAGAAACCGTAGATTAATGGCTGTCAGGGGCTGTGGGAAGGAAGGAATGAGGATTGACCACTCGTGGTCTGGAGTTAGACAGTGGCAGTAATTGCACAACACTGTGGGTAAACTAAAAAAAAAAACACCAAATTACCAAGAAAAAAATCATGGGGGAAATACTTTCAGATTATACAAATCCATCCCTTGACTCTAAAAACCATTGCATGCCATTAGAGGAATCCATCTGCAACATTTACCACTGTGGTAATCATCTAATGGGAATTTGCTACTTCCCTCCTTCTTTACACATTTATTAATTGGGATTTATTTCACTCCAAGAAAAAATTGTCACTCCTCTAATTATTTGTATGAGTATGAACTCATGGATATTTTATTCTATGGGTCCAACACTATTATTATTTATTTTGTTACTCAAATTGTTTCAGCCTTAGCAATCAGAAGTGCCTTCAGGTTGGCTCTTACATTCCTTTGAAAAACCCTTCCTCCCCACCATCATTTTCTTTTTAAAAGTATTTCCTTACTTTCTGGTTCCATAAGATGTTCCAGGTTCATCTTGTATTTTCATTTCCCCAGCCCTGGAATCAGCCACTTCTAACGAGCCCTAGTTTTTTTTCTTTTTCTTTCTTTTTTCTTTTTTCAATTGGAGAACAGTGTTTAGAAGCCAAGATCTGGATGCTAGGTGTGTTCATTAATACTAGGGTGTTGGTATTTCTAAGCCCTCTCAGTAGGCGGAGCTAGAAATGTGTATGTGTGTGTGTGTGTGTAACAAAATACCTTAGACTGGGTAATTTATAAACAATACAAATTATATATACACACACAAATGTTAATTATATATATGTATATGTACACACACACATAGACATACATACATTTGTATATATATATGTGGTGATAAGGTTTGGCTGTGTCTCCACTTAAATCTCATCTTGAATTGTAGCTCCCTTAATTCCCACATGTCATGGGAGCCACCTGGTAGGAGGTAATTAAATCATGGGGGTGGGTCTTTCCTGTGCTGTTCCTGTGATGGTGAATAAGCCTCAGGAGATCTGATGGTTTTATAAAGGGCAGTTCCCCTGCACACGCTCTCTTTCCTGCTGCCATGTAAAGACATGACTTTGCTACTCATTCACCTTCCACCATGATTGTAAGGCCCCACCGGCCATGTGGAACTGTGAGTCCATTAAACCTCTTTCCTTTATAAATTACCCAGTCTCAGGTATGTCTTTATTAGCAGCATGGAAACTAATATATACAGCTTAGAATATTATATTACATATATTCTAAACCACATATACATATATGATTTAGAATAACATTCAGGCCCTCCATGTAATCATCAATCATTAATGTTTAAGGGACACTGAGTTCACTTTCTCTAATAATCTGTGCCAAAAGTAACAAAAGAGGACATCAACAGATGTACAATATATATACATACAGACATCTATATACATGCACACACCTATATTTCTTGCTATATTATTGTTGTGTGTATATATCCACACATCTATATTTCTATATCTATTTATCTGTATATATTTTTAAAACTACAAGTTTATACTGATAGTTCAGATTCCAATCTAATACACGGGCTCATTTGTCTTCTCACTTTACTTATTTATAACTTCTTTCTCTAACACTGAGAAACCTGCTCTTATTATCTACAATATATTTTTGTTCTAGTATACAAATAAACTAGTTTCAAAACTGTTAACCCATATCCCTGTGAGAAATACATTTACCAAACTAGATTACAGCATGTATGTACAGTTCTGTTTTTAGCTTTACAGTACCTGGTCAAAATATTGCTTCACAAAGTCACTTGGGTTAGTTCTTCCCTGTCCAATTCATTAAGGTTATGTTATTAATTAGTAATACTTGGTTCATTTGTTAGTATTTGTATTCCATTTTATGGCTCCTGCCCCTCCATATCCTGATTGGCTTAACTGTTTATTTGGTGAGCCTATGAAGAGTATGTGAACTATTACTGTGGTTCTAAGAGTCGGAGCTATAAAAAAGAACAGTGTTCTGTTCTCTTACATACTTTTTTTTTGTATAGTTACTGTTTTTTTAAGCCACCAGGATTTGAGGTGTTTATTGTGGCATTCATTCCAATGGTCCCGAAACAAGAAATTAAAAGTGCCCAATATAAATAACAGTTTTTTCTGAAATTATATAGTTGCTTTTTTGTGTTAAAATGTCCTTTTAAAAGATGAGATAATGATAGTAGATAGTGTGTTGTTTCCATGTTAAGGCCCTTAACTCAGCAAAATAAAAAGTTGGCCTTAGTCCTCCAATTTTTTTTTTTTTTTTAAGTTTTTCTGGTCCATAAAACACCATAGCCTAGAAACCACCTCTCCATTCTACCAATCTTCCCTAGGACATTTGAGAATTATTCCCATTGTACACTTTAAATAGGTGAATTGGATAGTATATAAATTATATCTCGATAAAGTGGTTGTAGAAATATATTCCTCCACCATCTCTTTTTAAATCCTTGAACAGCAATTAGTCTATCAGACACAGTTCAATGTGACAGTAAATATTTCTAGGGGCCAGGAAAGAGAACTAAGGCTCAGGGCCTAGACACAGACCCAGGAATGAAGTTCTTGGAACGTTAGGAAGGGGAAAATTAGCCTAGGAAGCCTGAGGCCATGAAGCACCAGGACAAGAGGAACCCTGGCAGAAGGACAGGTAAGAAATAGTGATCAGGAGGTAGGAGCCATGTCAAATGCCCACAGGAGGCAGGAGGCAAGAGAGTGAGGAGGTTCATCTGTAAGAAAACATGAATGGTGAGGGCTGTGAAAAATGCCCCTTCTAAAAGTATTCCACCTTAAATACAGAAAAGGCAAACAAAACATATGGCCAGTTTGTAACTGCTGAAATGATAGTTTTACCTATTAACAAATTATACCTGGCTCTGTCTTTGCCCCAACTCATCCCAGTGTCCAGTGCTTAGAAACTTGTCCCTCCTGGACTCCCAGTGACAGGGCCTGCTCAGGTGGTGCCCACAGTGAGGTTGCTGTGGAGCCTGGCTGCCCTGCTTCAACGAAGACAGGCCAACTGGAATGAATGCATGGTGCTCTTGGGTCTGCCTTGGCATTAAGAGCTTTGGTAGTTATGGGACTTCAGGAGGGGTGAAAAGGACAGGATGTCCTCCATAGGCTCCTGCCTGGAAACTTCCTGCTCCAGGGACTTCCAGTCATACGTGGACACAATGGCAGAAAGCCAGAGGCTGCCCCGGCTGGCCATGCCGCAAGCCCTGGGACTCTGCTCCTCACTTGGCTATCTTTGTTGGCTGGGTGACTCTAGCCAAATTCCTTTATGTTTCTGAATCTTCATGCCCTTATGTGTCAACTGAAAAGAATTTATCGTGTCTGTTTTCCCTAATGTGCTACATTGTTGTGAAGAACAAATGAAAAAAGAACTGTGTCAGTGCTCAGAAGAAATAAAAAGTACACCAGAAAAAGCAGTCCCAAAAACAACCCAAAAAGGTAAATGTCAACCCGGATGAAGCAAAGACAGCTTATTTGTCAAGTCCTACAGGTAGGTGTTAAGAGTAAAAACTCCCGGTTATGCTGAGTTTCTGAAGGGCAGGAACCAATTATTGGTGCCCACAGCTCAAGCTCAGCTCAAGGCACACAGTAGGCCTCCATAAAGGTCAGCTTGAATGCCAGCTCCCTCTTCCCCAGACCAAAAGGAATACAAAAATATAGAACAGGAAGCAATGCCACTCACCTCGCTGGGGCCTCCAAGCTCCTAATAGGGCTGGTCAGAGCTGAGGCTTTACAGGCCCAGTTGCCATGACTACTAAAGCCCTCTCCTCCTGCTTCTT
Source organism: Homo sapiens (assembly GCF_000001405.40). NCBI lineage: Eukaryota > Metazoa > Chordata > Mammalia > Primates > Hominidae > Homo > Homo sapiens. The sequence continues at coordinate 139,062,062 of NC_000005.10, forward strand.
TATTCAAAACCCCCGAACAAGTCTTGGCAAGATCCCTGCCTTACACAAATGAGCATCTATCCTGTCTCCAGGACTTGAACGGAACCAGTAACAAATAACGTGCACAAACCTCTCTAGGGTGCTGAACCCTGAAACAACACTTAATGTTATTGTGTTTTTAAGGGAACCAAAAATGGAGACCTTTTTTTTAAACAGCAAAATACATAATGAGCCATTCTGGATCATAGTCATATTTATGTATTTTTTAGAAGGACTAAACAATGACAAACTGAGAAAAATAGGAATATTCTCCAAATGTATTTTTACTCTGAATCACAGAGAATCTAGAATCTGGGCCGGGTCTTAGAAGAGTTACCCAGCATGGCTTCCAGGCAAGGGTAGAAATCCCCAAGCTGCATGAAAGCCGCTCAGAAAAAAAGACGCCAGTTTCCCCCAGGGAACAGCTACCCTGACAGCTCCCACCATACCCTTGCACCACTACCCCACTACCCTCCAAAATCTCATCCACAGCACCCTAACCCATGTCTCCTTTCCAGTCCTCAAGGAGGACAAACTACAGCTGGTGACCAACCATTCTACACAGAATTCACAAGAGTAACGCTTTCCACAGACAAGGACTATCAATGCTACTTAGATTTCCTGTGTTCTAGTGAGAGAGGTACCTTGAACCATCATCAGCACAAGGCTCAAAGTAACCACATTTAGGACATGGTGAGCCTCTTTCCATAAGTGGCTAGTCCACAAGCATCTCCTGAGGACTGGGCAAGAGTCTGCTCTTTTCCAGGCATTCCTTCTGCCACAGCTTACCATGTGCCCACAAAGGGCCACTGCTGTGTTGGGCACTGGGAAGTATACTGGGAAGTGAACAAGACCAATGCCTGCCATTGAGAAGTATGACATAAATGGGGAGAGAAGTAGCAACACTTAGATTTCCAAGTCCAGAGAACAGCTTTCAAGCAAGCAATGAGGAACTCCATATGAAGCACCTGGAGCTCAGCATATAAAACAGGCAGACAAGAAGCAGGGAGGCCACTTGGCAGGCTGTTATCATTGTCCTAATCAGACATAATAAACCCTGACCCAGAGGAATGGGTAGGAAATGAAGATTGAGACAGCAGTAAAGGATGATAGTATTTTGACCAGAAAAACTAGGAATCTTGTTGTGGCCCTGCCAGCCCTCCTACTGAGAAAAGCATCAGACCTTTAAGCATGTGCAGTTACTCACTCCTTCCACCAGCCTAGGGGGCCTACCACAGCCCCCAAATTTAATAAATCCAGGGATGGAATAAAGAAAACTGGGGCTAAAGGGGGCCACTTTCATGTGGAGACCCATCCTGGGCATCTCACACCTGTTTCCTAGCTAGTTGATGCCTCCACTCCCCTTTGATCTCTACCCTCAATGTCTCCCATGTTCCTCCAAGAAACCAAAGGTCAGGCAGTTGGGAGTATACCACAGCATGGCTATAGCTCTTCCGGCTCTCTAATCCCACTTGGAAATTACTGAGTCAAAAATACATTTTTTTAAATTCTCACTATAATTGAAGTTAACCCTGAGATACTGATAATGAGCTTTACTTCATAATAAGGAGGGAAACAAATTGGAAGTGAAGGAGTTAAATGTGTCTGTTTCCCAGAGGCCTTAGCACCACTACTGCTCATTTTCTGGAGAAGACTCTTGAGGATTCCAGAGTGCCTGCATTTCCCACCCAGGTACAATTTCATTAGCAGCTCATTAGCAGGAGTGGTGCAACCATTTCTGACTCTTGTTTTTCATAATATTTATTGGTTAATTGACACTCTGAATACAGGTTGACTGAGACCCAAATGAAAGTGCTAAAACCACTCATTAGTCAAATTTAAAACAGAGATTGTATTCTAAACATACCCTTTGTTCTCATTTATTTTCCTCAAACAGAAGTCATGATTGAATAAAAGGGTTAAAAAAGCAAAGTGCCAAGATATTGTACTTCAATTTTTAATCCTTTTTTCCCCGTACCCTATCAGTCCCCAGGAATCCTGTCATCATAATTGGCTCTTATTGTTCTCGTTTACAGCACCTGTTACCTCCACAGACAAATATGGTTCTATGAATTATTTCAGACCAGTATCAGCTACTACTGACTTCTACAATTTCCCTAGTGGCCCTGCCACAAAAGCCCCTCAGTTTGGATACTCCCAGCAATGAAAAGGGGAAAAAAATCCATAGGGATGCCTGCAGCAAAATTCTTAGGGTAGAATTTCTCTCTAGACCAGCTCTAAAGGATGGGACTCCACATCATTCTATTTATTGTTGTGGGGTGGTGTGTGCAGGGATCAGGGAGGTGAAAATGACAATCAGAGTGGGAGAAGAGGCAGATGGAGCAACAGGTACAGTGCAGAGACGGCAGTCATATAAACAACTGGTCCTAAGTCCTTGTCCACCTCCCATTGGGGGAGCCCACCCTCCTTAAATATAGGCAACTTTAACAAAACGAGGTTATTCACCTGAGCCTCCTTTCACCTGTCAAAGTGTAATGACAATCCAAATTTTCTGCCTTTTAGTTTAAAGTTTTGGATCGTTGGTATTGAGAGACCTACTAAGTAGTGTTGTGCTTTGCTTTCTTCACTTGTATTGCTGGTTTCACTAGAAGGAATTGCAGCCTTTAGCACTCGGATGACCTAGGCAATTGTTCAGCTGGTGGCAGAGGGCACAGACTCAGGAAGATCTGGTTCCAGGTCCAGTTCCACCACTTAATAGCTCTGAGACCTTGAGCAAATAACACCTATGACTCATCTGCAGAATGGGCATCAGAGTACCCACTTCACAGGGCTCACAGGGTTCACTGCCAGGAATAAGAGATCATGCATAGGAGATGCTCAGAGCTGACACCAGAGAGTTCTCAATAATGTTCTCTGCCTGGCTCTTGCCTCTCTGTGACTTGTTCAGTTTTCCCAGCTATGAGAAAAAGACCAGGGCCATGCCATGATAGATGCTCAAACTGAGTGTTAATCGGCTCTCAATACATACTTGATTGAGTTCTGCAGAGGAAAGAAGAGTACATGATTTTTTAGAATATTCATGTCAGGCTGTCTTGTTAAGGCTGCAAAAAATTCAGTAACAATGAGGGCTGCGGGGCATCCAAACTGAGAGGGCAGCAAATGAGCTGTTTAAACTTAGCCTGTACCACATCGAAAACACCCACTACAGCTTTCCTTGGCTCAGCCAACCTGCAGGCCACCAAACCCACTTAAGATGGGTCAGTCTCTGTCTCACTCCCCAAGACATCAGAATAGAAATCAAAGAGGCCATATCCAGCAGCAAAACTGAAGCAAATGTGGGGAGGATTTAAAGGAGCACAACTGCCAGCTGGCAACAAGGAAGAAGGGCTTCAGGTTTCCTGATAAACTTAGCTCAGTCACAAACTTAAGCCAGTTTTGCAACAATGCACCAAAGAGCTTATAAAAGCAGCTACCCTGCTCTGGGTTTCTGCTCCTCAGAGGGCTGTGCTGACAGGTGCCCACCCAAGCATGGGCAAGGAGGCCTGGATGTTCTAGGCCAATGCACACAAGGTTGGTGCTCCAGCAAAGCTGCTGCTGTGCACACTTCCAACAAGCAGCCTGCCTCACACCTCCACCCCACCTTCACAACAGCTGATGCTGCCCCCAACTGCACCCCCATACACCCAATCCTGGGCAACTAATGGGAACTCTGTGCTGTCACTTGATGAGAAACACTCTACCCACTATACACTCCTGAGTCTTCTCCAAGTACCCAGGCAGAAGTATATGGAACCTCTGGCCTTGGTGCTCCCTCCTATTCATAGGCAGATTCAGGCCCTACTGACTACTTGTGGTCTGGATCACTTTTGACAGAAGTCGTCTCCCAACAAGTCATCTCTCTGATATCCTCTTTCAAACTTCCATTTCAGATTTATAAAAGAGAAGGCAAATCCCTCATAACTTCAGGACCTCAGCATTCTGAGCTAGAAAGAACTTCAGGAGATCATGAGACCCAGCCCCCACTGAAAAGATAAATGTTCCCTCCTTGTGCCACTGCAGTTAAGTACAGCATCCCCCAGGACAGGCTTGTTGGCACTCTCCTTCTTACAAGCCTTCAGTGGCTCCCTGCTGCCCTCCGAAGTACCAATAATACTATCTCATGGTGTTCAAGGCCTGCCTAACCTAATGAAATCCTTGCTGATATTCTCTGCCTTATCGCCCCTCATCCACAGCTACCCCACGCTCTGGCTAAACTCCCCCTATGCTTTTCTTAGTCCTTAATGCCATCTCTTTCCTTGCTTTTTGCCTGTCAAATTTCAATGCTTTTTTTTTTTGAGATGGAGTCTTGCTCTGCCACCCAGGCTGGAGTACAGTGGTGCAGTCACAGCTCACTGCAGCCTTGACCTCCCAAGCTCAAGTGACAGTCCATTTTTTAATAGGCTAGCTTGAGCAACAACTCCATGCAGTTTTATACATTATCTTTCCATCCTTTCAATCTCTAGTGCCTTGCTTATTCTTTTCTAATGACACTTCCTCTATTCATTTTCTCTTAGTCATTTGGCTTCTTGTTAATCATTAAACAGACATTTACTGACCATCTACTATGTGCCAGGTTTTAGGAAAATTAAAAGTGAGACATGGCCTCTCTACTCTTTTTACTTTACTTTTATTTATTATTTTTTTGAGACAGGGTCTCACTCTGTTGCCCACGCTGGGGTGCAGTGGTATGATCACGGCTCACTGCAGCCTTGACCTCCCAGGCTCGAGTGATCATCCCACCTCAGCCTCCCTGGTACCTGGGACTACAAGCATGCACACCACACCCAGATAATTTTTGTATTTTTGTACAGACAGGGTTTCGCCATGTTGCCTCTCTACTCTTGAAGAGATCACTGGTCTAGTGAGGGAAACAAATCCATAAAAATTATAATACTTGCCAAGTTTTCCCCAATAGATTGTATTATTCTTGAAGTCAGAACATCTTTATATTCCCTGCATTGCTGAACAGAGTGCTTGGTACATAGCGAATGTCCATTGTGTATATGTTCTAAAACAAAGATGAGTGAGCATTATGGAAAGAAAAACAATTTCCTCTTTCTGAAATGTGGGGCAGAAGGATGTTGCAAAGATAGCCTTTAACTTGGGATAAGGGGAAAATAAACTTCTTATTTTTAAATGTATTTTAATTCCACAGCATCACTCCTCAACCCACAAGGAAAATAAGAGAAAGATACAAAGACTGAGAATTGCAAAGACAGAAACAAGCAAGCATCAAAATAGAATGGGATAGAAGTGTTGTTTAGTTCTTAACTACTACTAAACCACACACATCAGACTTTATCATGGGCTTCAGAGTATTATCACCTCTGATAACAGGATTTGATGAACTATTGGTCATAGCTCTACAACTGCTCTTTATCCTTAAACATTCAAGTATTTCCTAGTTCATCAAGCAGAAGTGGTTGGTGGTTAGGAAAACAAGAATAAGAACAATATTACTAGAGACCAGCTGGTGAAGCCTCTGAGATTATATGTGAAAGTTTTAAGTACACATTTACATTTTTCTAAAAAGGTCCATAGGTCTCATGAGTTTCTTAGAGAAAACTGTAAATCACTCTCAAAACACATACATAAACACTCATACCTTGAAGAGCCTCTGGGCCAATAATGGCAAGGCCTTGCAGCAACCGGCATCCTAATAACTGTAGGTAAGGATAAATTAGTGCAAGGCTTTTGGGCATCTGGCAACATCTATCAAAACTGTAACTGTTCATTCCATTTGACCCAGCAGATGCTATGTCTAGGAATTTATCTAATAGAAATGTTCACAGAAGTGCACAATGATATATGGATAGAGTGTTCACTATAGCATTCTAATAATTGTAAACAATGAGAAGCAATACAAATGTCCATCAGTAGGGGATTTGTTACACAATACAGCATATCCCTTCAATGGAATATATTAGTCTTCAACAAAAAAGAGGGAGCTTTGTACTGACATAAACAAGATCACTAAAACTAAGCAAAAATAAGTTGCATATATATGATTTCATCTTTCTTTTTAAAGAACATATGTTAATGTGGCAAAAGCAACGTCGTCTAATCTACCAAATCCTCACATAAAAACAGACTGACTAGAGAGCAAAACTAAACCCATGAGCAACATTTCTATCAAAACCAAGTGCAAAGGTATTGGGAAGCAACAAGTTGGCTGAGAGACCTAAGAACAAGAAAACACCTAAGTAGCTGATAGGCATTCACTAAAAATTATAGTGGGCCAATGGGTAACAGCAAGTGAACCTATGTCTAACAGTGGACAAGGACAAGAAGTCTGGGGTAGGACTTCAAGGGGCCACAGCTGTCTAGTCCCCTGAACTCTCAAAATTAACCAGTGCTCCCTACCAGGACAGGGCCCCACACTGAGAAAATACGGCTAGAAGTGAAATCAAAACTGAGTAGACTTGGACGACAGAAATAAAGGAAACAGAGTCCAGATAAAACTGGAGGAGTAAAACAGAGCCAGGAAACCTCATAAAGCAAGCTGCCATGTTTTTGAACACTACCTGAAAACAAGAGAAGAGAAAACTTTCTCAAGCTTGACTCAGAATGAAAAGGAAAAAAAAAAAAAAAAAAAGAAGAGAAAGCACTATGGATTTAGAAAAGGTAATTAAAGCCATGCTTTTTTCTAAAAGTTCAAGAAACCTAATTTCACATAAAAATGAGCAATAGAAAGTATTATGGTACAATCCTATACAATAAAATTATAATAAAAAGAAGAAGAAAGAAAAGAATAACATCCCTACATACAATGAAAGTAAGCCAGAAAGACATGGCCACAAACATATAAAAACTGTAACTTCCTGTTTCAAAATGCACTAAAGACATTTGTTAAATGGTACAAGATACTCAATAACAAAAATCAGAAATGAGGTGCTAGAGGCTGTGTATGGTGACTCACACCTGTAATCCCAGCACTTTGAGAAGCTGAGGCAGCAGGATCACTTGAGGCCAGGAGTTTGAGACCAGCCTGGGCAACCAGGATTTCAGGATCAGCCCAGGTAACACAGCAAGACCTCATCTTTACTAAAAATAAAAAAGTCAGTCAGGAATGGTGGCATGCACCTGCAGTCCCAGCTACTTGGGAGGCTGAGGTGGGAGGATCACTTGAGCCCAGGAGCTCAAGATTGCAGTGAGCTATGATAGCACCACTGCACTCCAGCCTGGGTAACAGAGCGAGATTCTGCCTCTAAAAAAAAATTAAATAAAAAGAAATGAGGTGCTAGAACTCAATGAAGAATCAGAAATAAAAGAACAAATAATCACAACAGAAAATGCCTTAAGATAAATAGAACATGAAAAGGAGGAAAGTTGGAAAAACCAAACAGAAATGGAAAAAGTAAGGTTTGTAACAAACTAATAAACAATGAAGAAAGACAAAAGAAGACCCAACATAAATATAAGAAACCCTAAACAAGCAAACAGAATACCAAAAACCATGTTTCTTTTTAAAAGCTCAAGAAATCTAATTTCACATAAAAACGAGCAACAAAAAAGAATTATAATTCAAGAAAGCTTTCCTGAAATGAAAAAAATACTTAAAACTATGTATTGAAATAACACACTGTATACCTAAGAATACTGACCAGGGATGTCCAACAGTAAGGCATATTCTAGTAAAATAATTGGATTTTAAAGGCAAAGGAAAGATCACTTGGGCATATAAGCAAAAATCAGCAAGTAACTTATAAAGAAAATTAGATTGTCATCAGCATTTTTAACAGCAAAGCCTACTGCCAGCAGAAGATGAAGTACTCAAAGAAAGAAAATGTGAGCCAAGGATTTTATATCCTACCAAAGTGCTTTGGGATGTAAAGAACACTGACAAAGTTAACATACAAAAACACAGAGATTACTGTTTCGATGGGCTCTTCCTGAAGAATTTACTAGAAAATACATCCCAGACAATGAAAATAAGTAAGACCGGCGGTAAACATTACATATATAGTTATTTGTATAAATGCCTTAAATAAGGGCTAAAAAGGAAGTATATAATGGCTACTCTGAGAATATACATACAACACAGCTGGTTAAGAACAATGAGAGCACACACAAAAAAATGTTTTAAACTATTTTCAGTAATCATATCAGGGATAGTATTACTGCCATTCTGAAACTGTTGCATGTACAAAATGAGACAGATCAAATCAGTAAAATTATTACATATTCTAATTGTATAATCCCCTGTGTCCAGAATCAGGACTCTCGGTGTGGGAAAAAAAGAGGCAGATGTAATATCGAAGAGATTAAATAAAAACCCTGCCAGCCGGAATATGAATAGGCAGTACCCACTTGAATGTATGAGGATTATAACATATATTTCCTATCTCTTGTCAACAGAAAAGGCCTAGAAACAATGACCAACACAGCAGTAATGAGCGACCTAATGGCCAGAATGTAGTCTTAAAACTTCTTAGAGAAACAGCTAATTCCAGTCCTGGGAAGGAAATGTACAAGACGAGCTTAGAATATCTTGTCAAACCAGACAGCAAGAAAACTATCAAAGACTATTAGAGTAACATGAAAAGAACTCATTTGAAAACCTTCAACTGACCAAAAATCAAACAATTTCAACTTCAATAAAAGTAATAATTACAATGAATTAAAGCCCATAAAATATGCTTTGAACCTGTGAGTTTGTAAAGGGAAAAAAAACATCTTAATTGGTCATCTTCAGAGGATCAACTCATTATCTTGAAAACTGGTAAATAAGGAAAAAAGAACCAAACATTTATCCTGTCTTTCCTGTATGAATTTTACCACTGAGTAACAAAATAATATATATGGGGAAATACCTCTTTATAAAAGTAGTGCAGCTAAAAATAAAAAAGAAATGATAGATTTGAGTATCACCCTCTTGCAATCCCACAAAAAGAGAATCAATCAGACATTAAGCACTTCCTAATGAAAGAGCACAAAACTGCCTATAGTTTTCCCAAAGGAATGGAACCTGTGTCCGATTGAGCCCCTGGATCCAGCTGACAATTTGCAAGAAATACAGAGGTTGGAGAAACATGCCGAACTGCATCATTTATGAAATCAGCAAAATTTAGCCTGGGAAATGGCCTGAGCTCTTCAACAGACAATTTATAAGAAGAAGAAGAAAAAAAAAAGCAGGGGGTGGGGGTGGGGAATAGATAGGTAACCTGTAGATTCAAAGAGACTTAAAGGATATAACAACGTTTCTTAAATGGGCAACACTATAGTCTTGGGTGCAAAACTTAGTCATAAACTATTTGAAAATGCAAAGGAGCAATTATTGTAAAAATCAGGAGAGTGGTTACATTTGGTAGGAGGGAAATATTACAGTTGGAGGGACCTGCTGAAGTGCTCGGCAAAGTTCTATTTCCTGACTTGGGTGTGACTTCACCTGGTAATAACTCATTAAGCTACATATTTTGTATAATTTTCTATATCTGTGTTTAACTTTATAATAAAAAGAGTCTTAAAGGAGTATATGTTATCTCTGGTGAAGAAACTGGACTTAGAAGGACTTGTACTTCCTAAATTATACATTTCTATAATTAGGATTTTTTTATAGTGAGCATTCATACCTTTTATTATTAGCATTTTTTTTTTTTTTTTTTTGAGACGGAGTCTCACTCTGTCGCCCAGGCTGGAGTGCAGTGGTGCGATCTCAGCTCACTGCAACCTCCACCTTCCCGGTTCAAGCGATTCTCTGCCTCAGCCTCTCAAGTAGCTGGGATTGCAGGCACCCACCATCAAATCTGGCTAATTTTTGTATTTTTAGTAGAGACGGGGTTTCACCATCTTGGTCAGGCTGGTCTTGAACTCCTGACCTCATGGTCCCCCCGCCTCAGCCTCCCAAAGTGCTGGGATTACAGTCATGAGCCACCGCTCCTGGCAAGCAAATTTTTATTTATTTAATTTTTCTGGGATTACAAGTTGCTAAAAACATGACACATTCATGGAAAAAATACATAATTCCTTTTCTAGGCACAAAATAAATTACTTCAAAACTATTAAAAGTATAAAACTGTGGCATATATTTTAAAAAGAAAAAGGGGAGGTAGCTGCAAAAAACAAACCAATCATTTGGTATCTTTTATTATAGGAAGGGTCCATTTGGGCTTCTTTAAAATATGCTGTTATAATTGGGGTCTATTATAAATTATATACCTAAAACATATTAATACATTCTAAAATGAAAAATAACTCAGAATACCAGTCATAAATAACATACACTATTCAAACACGTACTAACACATCCTGCGAAATAGAGATGAATTCAACGAATCAAAAGTATATTGCGAATATAAAACCAGAAATAAATCCATACATGCATTTACAGCCAATTGATTTTTGACAAAGGTGCCACAAAGATAAAATGGGGAAAGGACAGTCTCTTCAATAAATGGTATTGGCAAAATGGAATATCCACATGTAAAAGAATGAAATTAGACCCTTGGTATATTTGTCATATACCATATGCAAAATCAAATCAAAATAGATTGAAGACTTAAATATAAGACCCCAAACCATGAAACTACTGGAAGAAAATACAGTGGGAAAGCTCCATGACATTAGTCTGAGAATGACTTTTTAGATTTGACCCCTAAAAGCACAGGCATCAAAAGCAAAAATAGACAAATAGGATTACATCAAACTAAAAAGCTTCTGCACAGCAAATAAAACAATCAATAGAGTGAAGAGACAATCTACAGAATGGGAGAAAATACTTGCAAACTGTACATCTGATAGTGATAAATACCCAAAATAAATATGGAACTCAACTCAACAGCAAAAAACAAATAACCTGATTTTAAAATGGGCAAAGGACCTAAATAGGCAGTTGCCAAAAGAAGACATACAAATGGCCAACAGGTATATAAAAAAAAGATCAACATCACTAATCATCAGGGAAACACAAATTAAAATCACAATGAAGTATCACCAGACACCTGTCAGAATGGCTACTACCAAAAAGACAAAAGAAAAGTGTTGGCAAGGATGTACAGAAAAGAGAAGCTTTGTACACTGCTGATGGGAATGTGAATTAGAATAGTCATTATGAAAAATAGTATGGAGGTTCCTTTAAAAATTAAAAATAAAACTACCATATGATCCAGTAATGCCACTACTGGGTAAATAACCATAGGAAATAAAATCAGCATGTCATAGAGACGTCTGCACTCCCATGTTTACTACGTTATTCACAATAGCCAAGACATGGAATCATCCTCAATCTCCATCAATGCAGGAATAGAATACAGAAAATATGGAATACTGTTTAACCATAAAAAATAAGGAAATCCTGTCATTTGCAATAATATGGGTGAGCCTAGAAGAATTATGTGAAGTGAAATAAGCCAGGCACAGAAAGACAAATACACATTATCTCCCTTACATGTGGAATCTAAAAAAGTTGATCTCATAGAAGCAGAGAGCAGAATCATAGTTAACCAGGACTGCGGTAGTTGAGGAGGTGGGGTAGAGGCTGGGGAGATGTTGGTCAAAGGATACAAAGTTTCAGTTAGATAGGAGGAATAAATTCAAGAGATCTATTGTATAACATGGTAACTATAGTTAATAATATATTGTGGCTGGGTGCAGTTGCTCACACCTGTAATCCCAGCACTTTGGGAGACCGAGGCAGGTGGATCACCTGAGGTCAGGAGTTTGAGACCAGCCTGGCCAACATGGTAAAAATACAAAAAATTCGCCAGGCTTGGTGGTGGGCACCTATAATCCCAGCTACTTGGGAGGCTGGGGCGGAGGTTGCAGTGAGCCAAGACCACACCATTGCACTCCAGCCTGGGCAACAAGAGCAAAACTCCATCTCAAAAAAAAAAATACATAAATAATAATAATACATTGTATTCCTGAAAAATGCCAAGAGAAAGAATGTAAAGTGTTCTCACCAAAAATATGATAACTATGTGAGGTAATGCATATGTTAATTAGCTAGATTTAGTCATTCCACAACATAGCTATACTTTAGTTTGTTTTGTTGTTTGAGACAAGGACTCACTCTGTCACCCAGGCTGGAATGCAGTAGTGCAATCACAGCTCACTGCAACCTTGAACTCTTGGACTCAAGAGATCCTCGCACCCCAGCCTCCGGAGTAGCTGGGACTACAAGCATGCATCACCACACCCAGCTAATGTTTTAATTTTTTGTAGAGACAAGGTCTTACTATGTTTCCCAGGCTGGTCTTGAACTCCTGGGTTCAAGCAATCCTCCTGCCTTGGCCTCCCAAAGTGCTGGGATTATAGGCATGAGCCATCATGGCTGGTCTATTTATACTTTAAAACATCATGTTGTACATGGAAAATACATACAAATTTTCCTGTCAATTTTTAACAAATAATATACATAAATAAAAATATAAACTATATATTCACAATGAAATACCTGACAGATATTTTGCTAGGGTTAGGCTTTACAAGGAAATGGTCCAGAAGTCTGGGAACAGGGGCCTTGCACAAATGCAAATCAACGAACAAGATGCTGAGTTCAACCTCAATGCCTTTATTCCACATGACCTTGAACAGAGCCCTCACCTGACCAGCCAATCTGACCCTCAAGGATCGCACAGTGAAGCCAGAGTGAAAGAGAATGTGTACTTCAGGAGGATTTGCTCCCACATTGGCCGTAGTTTGTGAGGTGGGAGTGGAAGGGATTAAAGAGTTTTTTAAAATAGGAATCATTTCCCTTCATCCCCTCTTGCCTTCAGAACTAAGCATCTCTTTCTCTCTCTGTCTTTTTTATTTTTATTTTTTTTGAGGCACAGTCTTGCTCTGTCACCCAGGCTGCAGTGCAATGGCACAATCTTGGCTCACTGCACCTCCGCCTCCCGGATTCAAGCGATTCTCCTGCCTCAGCCTCCTGAGTAGCTGGGATTACAGGCACATGCTACCATGTCTAGCTGATTTTTGTATTTTTAGTAGAGATGGGGTTTCACCATGTTTGCCAGGCTGGTCTTGAACTTCTGACCTCATGATCTGCCCGCCTTGGCCTCTCAAAGTGCTGGGATTATAGGCGTGAGCCATCGTGCCTGGCCAGAATCTCTTTTTATGAGGTTATGTTTAATACTAAACACCCATTATGACTGAGAAGCAGAAATTACCAACCAGAGTCTGAAAGCACTATCCACAGAAACCTCTGAAAGAAGAGTGTCCTAACCAACCTGGACAGGGTTCAGTGCAGTTCTGCCTGGAGGCAGATGGATGGAAGCATGACATTTTAAAAACTCCCATCCCCTAGAACTTTATTTTCCCTCTGCAGCAGGAGATATCTCAAAACAAGGACATTAGTCCAAACTACTCTATAGAGGAAAAGCAATAATCCAAGGACTTTTCTGAGTATGTAGCAACCACTGAGATGCATGAAAATGATACGTGTGCCTAGTTTTTATGTCTACTCCTACTAACTATGCAAAACTGAAACTAGTTCCTTAAAAACAAACTGCTCCTGGACACCCTACACAGTCGCTGCCGCCTCCCTGACTCTGCAGACATCAGTAACAGAGCATGTCATAGGGAATAAAACACAATCATAAGGTAATGCTACATAAACGCTAGTGTGTTTATGGGGAATAAATGTCAAGGTAAAGCAGGAATATCTATTTTCTATGTGGGAGATGGTGATTCTGTGTGTCAATGCCCCATTATACTGAATTGATTTTAGTTTTGCCAAATCACTAAAATATTTCACAATCTCCTTTTGGAGGCTGTGGCTGTCATAATGACAGAATCTGCAATGACCTTTCACAAGGTCTACTTTCCAGGCATCTGGACTTCACAATCTCCTCCATTCTAAGGTTCCATTTTCCCAGGAAAGAGGCACAGTAGGGCATGGAAAGCTGGCCAGTTGTGATTCATTCCCAATACGATCTGCCAAGCAGGCCCATCCATGCTCTTGGTATCTTGAAATTCCAGAGAAGCTAGACTTCAAGTCCTTCCCAAGACCCTAATGTCCTGTCATTTAGTCCCTTCTGAAAGTTGCTTAAAGTGACATAAGGGAAGCAGCTAATTTACAGTCCTATTCTTTTAATCTTGGTCAGCCAGATTTTCACAGACATCAGTTTATTTCACTTTATAATATATTAGACAAAACAACAGTACCGGAATCAGTTCCAAGGCAGCAACTCACTCTCAGGGGTTCTGCTGACATTTATAAACTGATCCTATTTCTCTCTTGTGTTTTGTTATCAGCTAAACCTGTCAACTTAAATTATTGCCTTGTAACAAAATCAGAGTTATCTATTACTCTGGTATGTGTACATTTCTGAAGCTTTGTACCTATATCAAGTTTTGCAAGGGTAGAAAACAAGACCATAAATAAACAAATGGAAAACAGAATATGTTACCATTTCACTTTAGTAACAGAAGCTAAAAGTCAAATGCATTACATGGAAAGCCACTAAAACAGCCAAATATATAGACCTTGGGAATAGCAAAGCTGATACTGATACAGTCATTTGCGCTTTGCCCCATCCTGCAATCAATCTCTGGGCTACAGTACCTCAGAGTTCCTCCATTTCCAATTTGGAGGAGTAAATCTGATTATTCCTAGGGCCTGTAACAAGTGAGTAGACATAAAAAAACTGAGGACACAATGTCAAAAAGCTCAAATTTATAGCCACTTCATTATTTCACCAGTACAGTGGACTAAGAAACCAATTCCCCTTCTATTGGTATGGCTAATGGTCACTCTTACTCAAAGACCGCAGTGACCTAAACTGAGCAACAAAAGAGTCACCAGAAAGAAAGAAAAAAGCAATTCTCGGCCGGGCACAGTGGCTCATGCCTATAATCCCAGCACTTTGGGAGGCCAAGGCAGGCGGATCACGAGGTCAGGAGAGGAGATAAGACCATCCTGGCCAACATGGTAAAACCCTGTCTCTACTAAAAATACAAAAAATTAGCTGCGCATGGCAGCACACACCTGTAAACCCAGCTATTTGGGAGGCTGAGGCAGGAGAATTGCTTGAACCCAGGATGTGGAGGTTGCAGTGAGCCGAGACCATACCACTGCACTCCAACCTTGGCGACACAGTAAGACTCCATCTCAAAAAAGAAAAAGCAATTCTTCCCCACCACCTCTGACCCTGCCCCAGGGCTAATTCTTATTCTTTAACTATTCCCTCCCCCACATTCAATCTAAAAACAAGTTGTTTCCCAAATTTTTCTGGGATTTCATGTGGCTTAATACATAATACCTTTATGAACAAAATACAATTCCTTTTTTGGATACAAAATAAATAAATCACTTCCAAACTACAAAAAGAATAAAACCGTGATATATATCTCAATTTCCCCTACATTTCTACTATCCAAACCCAAGCCAAGATTTTCTTGTTATTTTACATTTTTAGACACTTTACAGTGACCCAATCTACAACAAAACTCCATCTCCCTAAACTGTTGTTTTACGGACTGTGATTCCAGTCTAGCAACCTTTTTAATTCTCTCAGGAACTGACTGTTTAACCCCCTTAGCTTTTCCCAACAGCTACTACCTTACCTCTTAAGCTCAGAAACAGAGATCTCACCATACAGCAAGAACTTTCCCAAAAGCCTCCTCTTTGAGAAAACCTCAACCTGAAAGGGCAGAGTAGAGGGCACAGTTCCACACAGAGGCACCAAAACAGTCACTGGAGTGATGGGAGTTGAGAGGTATCAAAAAGACACTTGATAACCCCAACACACCCAAAATCCTACTAATCAAATCTCATTGTTACAGAGTCAGCTCTTTGATCCAAATCTTCAGATTATGCTAGGCCAAATCATATGCTTTAGTGCACCCTAGGAGGAGGAGATTATAGTGTTGCGGGGGAGTGGTATACATGATTGTGCTTCCTCATCATCCTCATTCTCTCTATCACACTCCAGACAAACTATAGCACAGAGCAAGAAGGCACCCATCCAGAGGGGAACTGAGAGATGAGATATTTAGTTTGGGTCCTGAGCCACTTGTGCAATATGGATGTATTTTTCCATGCAAAATCTCACATTCACATCTCTGGGTACACAAACAATATTTGGTTACTGCACACTTTTCTTTGACCAATCTCACCTTGCCTAAAAATAGTTACAAAGGGCTAAGCCTGGTGGCTCACATCTGTAATCCCAGCACTTCGGGTTTCCAAGGTGAGAGGATCTCTTGGGTCCAAGAGTTTGAGACCAGCCTGAGCAACACAGTGAGACCATATCTCTACCAAAAAAAAATTTTTTAAGTTACAAAGAATTATAATGGGCAAAAATTGTAATTGACAAAAAACTTCCTAATTCTCATTCCAGGTTTCAAAGGAATTTAAAAAAAAAAGGGGAGGCCTTAATTTCTGGAATCATCTCTCCTGAAGCCCTCCAGACTTGATTTTTAGAATATAGGTCTTGAAAGCTAAGCATTTTCTCAGCTGATCCTTTAGGTTTCACCAGACCTGCTTTCTCCACCACTTCCTGCTGGGGAGACGCAGAACAGCAGGAGAAGGCAAGGCAACTTGCACAGGCCAGCTGCACTACCAGTTGTGGCTTCTCTGCTCGGCCTCACAACCTGCATGTCAACTCTTCCCGATCCCAGTGGATAAAAAACCACTACCACACTGCACACATCAAATGCCAGGCACGAGGCAGAGACCTGGCATTATTGCCAGTGGCTTTAGCTAGAAAAATCTAGCACTTTTCACTTGATGACTTTCAATTAACAAAACTGCCAAATAATAATGATAGTCACCAAGCAGCTGTTTAAGAGATACAGTGAGAGAGGGGACACTGTGTTTCCACATCAGCAGTCAATGAAGCTAGACCAGTATTGGCCATTCACTTTCTAGACCAGCACTGTCCAATAGAACTTTCTGCAATGACAGAAATGTTCTATATCTATGCTGGCCCTTACAGTAGCCCCTGGTCACATGTGGCTTTTGAGTACTTGAAATGTGACTAGTGATACTAAGAAACTGAATTTTTAATTTTTAAAATGTTAATTTTAATTTGAATAATCACAAATGGTTAGTGACTACCATATCAGATAGCACAGAAGTAGATCTTCATTTCACAAATAGTGCATCCCTGGAATATTGTGGGGGCCCAGTGAAACATCAGATGAAAAGGGGCTTTGAGAGGCATGGTGGGCAGCACAAGCATGAGTGGAATCCTGGCGCCTTGCAGCAAAGGCCCCTTTGGGGGACTCAAATCTGGTTTACCACACTGAGTACCTCCTGCCAGTTCCAATTCAGGAGACCCTGAGCCAAGGAGTAAACCAGAGCAGTGGCTCTCCAGAGTAGTCAGCTAGGACACCAGGGGCCCATTAGCACTACATCTCTTCTGAGGACAAGAATTATGGGTAATTCGCTCTCTCCATAGCTAATTGTTATAGCAGATACCCAACTCCCTGAAACAAAAAAGCTCAAGGGCCATCTCCACAATTGAAAGGAAGGCTGAGTATAATTGAATGCAAACATAAATAATGGATAAAAACAAGTACAGAATGTGCTGCCCTCCCAAACAATTCAAGAGAACTCTTTCAGAGATGGAGGAAGACAGGATAGAAAATAACTTACTAACAAAGGGCAAAGGGACAATGAACTGCACTGTATTTTAGTTCAAGTGGCTGCAAATAGAACAAAATGGAAAGTTAAACTCTACTGAATAATGTCTTATAAGACTAACTAAAACCAAAAGTTCAAAAAAGTAAGAAAATCACTTCACAACCATTTTATTCAAATACAGCCCTTGGGGTTTTCCCCATTTCTGAGGTTTGAAGGAATCATCTCCATTAGCAAATATGCACTGGCTACACCAACATTTTACAATGACTTTTTTCTTCCCCACACAAAGTCCAACTTTAGAAAACCAAAAGCAAGTACTTGAAAACCTGGGATTCCTACTTTCTCTCATGTAGCCACAGCTATCATCTCTCAGCAAGTCTCCAAAACCTATATTTACACTTCTGATCTTAAACAAAATAATTTCTTACATAACTGAAAGCTACCAACTTTACTGGGGGTGGGGGGTGGCACATATTATTGTACTTGGCAATAGACCGTGAATGATGTATTTTTCTCCAAATAAAACTAAATATAAACATAAAACTTGCTGGATACAGATTTTACCACCCATTGGACACACTAATGAAAACAGTTAAATCATTAGGTTTTTTAATTAAGAAGTCAACATACGTCCATTCATTTTCACACAATGCATACAGTGTGGACACAAATGGATCATTCCACAGAAAAAGCTGTGGGCTAATGTTGTCCTGAAAGATTGAACACTGGCTAGCTAGATTATGCCAAGTCCTGGCTAGAGCTTTTAATCTTAATCTGACTACTGTTCAGTCTCTGCCAAAAACCAACCTGACAGAGCAGATATTTGAGAAAGATAGCCTAAAGGACAGGCTCTTCATGTATTCTACTAAGAGGATTCTATATTGCACTCTAGTACCAGCTTAAGACAGAAGCATACACATTAGATTTGTCCCATAAAAGACAAACTCATACAACACCACTTGTATGTCCTCAAATTTTGTTCAGGGTCTATTACATAAGGAACAGACTGCAAAATCCATTCCTGTCTTTTCTGAAACAAGCTTGTCATTGTCCAGTACATGGTTAATCTCTATGATAAAAATGCTTTTAGATCAATTCTTACCAGCACCAGGAAAAAGCTGCTTTCTCAGCAGACAACTGACTGCTGAGAACTATTAGCTTTTTAATTAAGTGACAATTATGTGATTCATCATATTTCCCTTTTTGTCTTGGCTACCAGGATGTTCAGAAACTATATTTAATATTTGGAACCTATAACCAAAGTAGCCAAGTTGGTTATGATATTTGTTTTTCGCCAGTCCCATACCCATAGAATTTAAATTAGTTTCAATTTATATTTAAGCAGTCTTCCATATATGTGTATTTCACTAAAAGCTAATTAAAATCCTTTTTATTAGCAGGCAGCCCTAAAAAAGAGTTGGACTACCTCACTAAGCACAGCATTAACCACTGTTATCGCAATATGGCGTCAATGTTGATCCACGTGATAAATTCCTGTCCTACGACAGACATTCAAGGGAAGGGAAGTGGGTGCAGGCAGGGCACTGGGAAGGGCAGCATGCTACAGGACACAGAGTCACTCAAGAATAATGAAGGTGAGAAAATGCCCTTTCAAAAACAATTAGATGTGGCCTGCAATATAAATTTTTTTATTTATTTTTCTGAGACTGGGTCTCACTCTGTAGCCCAGGCTGGAGTGCAGTGGCACAATTATGGCTCACTGCAACTTCTGCCTTCTGGACTCAAGCCATCCTCGTGCCTTAGCCTCCCAAGTAGCTAGGACTACAGGTACATGCCTCCATACCCAGCTAACAATATAAATTTTAGACAGGGCAGATATTTTCTACAAATAAGAAAACATGACAAAGAGCTCAAGAAACCCTCCCTAGTTCTTGGCCCTCTACAGTGTACCACCCTGCTGTGCCATGAACCACTGTCATGAATGGAGCCTCCGTAGACTATGTGAATGGCTACAAGAACCACAGAAGACCAGGCACGGTGGCTCACACCTGTAATCCCAGCACTCTGGGAGGCCAAGGCAGGCAGATCACCTGAGGTCAGGAGTTTGAGACCAGCCTGGCCAACATGGTGAAACCCCATCTCTACTAAAAATACAAAAATTGGCCAGGCACGGTGGCACAAGCCTGTAATCCCAGCTACTCAGGAGGCTGAGGCAGGAGAATCGCTTGAACCCAGGAGGCAGAGGTTGCAGTGAGCTGAGATCGTGCCACTGCACTCCAGCCTGGGCAACAGAGCAAGACTCTGTCTTAAAAAAAAAAAACAAAAAAAACAAAAACACACTGAGACCAGCCCAAGCCATTCTCATTGCAGCCTAGTAAATATGTACAGAGGAAGTGAGAAGACTTCTAATCTTTAACAGCATAAGGGGGAAGAGGGCAGAATTCTAAAAGAAATCTAGCATTACAAATTACCACTTGGTACTGGGCATCAGAATAGCTGCTATACACACATCATCTTGTTTAATTTTCACAACAATCATATGGGGCAGGTATTCCCATTTTACAGATGAGAATTCTTTGGTTACACAACTAGTACAATTCGACAAATGTTTACCAAACAGAAATTACCAGGCATTTTGTATCCTGCAACTCACAGTGGTCCCTGCCTAGAGCAGCCTTCAGGCTGATGATAGAACTGAGTCTCTAACCAGGTTTGTATGGCTTCAAAAGCAGCTCTTCCATTGCCCAACACTGCCTCTTCTCTGTGTCTGAGCCAGTGTGAGGGTATGCTGAGTCTGACAGCACCTCAGGAACAACCAAATCCTGACTAGCTGTCAACACCTTCCCTGCCCACCCCAAGAAAGCTGATTGAAACAAAATAGGAAAGTCTCTCCCCATGTGCTACAAGTCATTTGATACAAAGACCAGAATCTATGTTCCAAGATAGGGCCTGGAAGCCCCCGCAAAGCAGACATTATTAAAGCTCAAAAGAGAAATTGGTGGAGACTGGTATAATAATGGATTCCCTAAGGGCTGAACAGCTCAGCCCCTTTGGTCCAAAGCCCTTCTATCATTCTTCCTGTCATTCTTGGAAGGCAGCAATCCACACTTCAATTACTTGGTGTCTTGATGAACTGCTGAACTGAATTTATCTAATGCCAGGTTAGGGCCAAGGTTGCTATGTGGGAATGGATTCCTCTAGAGATCAGTAGGAACACACGTGAAACTTCCAATCACGTTCTTATCAATCATAATCAGTGAGATCCTAGTCAGGAAGCTGATCATGGATTAAGCCCATCAGATCAGCCCCATCAGTCATATAGCTCCAGCCATGGAAAGTCAGTCCCTCCCGAACTAGACGAACAGGAAGGCCCCAGGATACCCAGGAGAGAGCAGGCCAACTCAAAAAGCACTGAAGCAGCAGTCTTTGAGCATGGGCACTGGGCCAGGCCCTGCAGGGGCTCAAGGATTCAAATGATACCAACTGCTCCTGATTTAGGAGCAAGAAGCAGGGAATAAAGCAAGTCCATAAATTACTGTAACCTGAGGCTTGATGTGAGCTTCATGAAAGAGGGTGTGGAGGGGAAGGGGAATATAAGTAAGAGCACCTGCCACTGGGAGAAACTAGGGAGGTGAAAATTCAGATGTACCTTGAAGGTTGAGGACAATTTTTTTTCTTGCTTTATGTTTTCTCATCACTACAAAAATACACAAACATTATTTTTAAAAAATCAAATGTGTTCCTATTTCTCCACATCCTCTCCAGCACCTGTTGTTTCCTGACTTTTTAATGATTGCCATTCTAACTGGTGTGAGATGATATCTCATAGTGGTTTTGATTTGCATTTCTCTGATGGCCAGTGATGATGAGCATTTCTTCATGTGTTTTTTGGCTGCATAAATGTCTTCTTTTGAGAAGTGTCTGTTCATGTCCTTCGCCCACTTTTTGATGGGGTTGTTTGTTTTTTTCTTGTAAATTTGTTTGAGTTCATTGTAGATTCTGGATATTAGCCCTTTGTCAGATGAGTAGGTTGCAAAAATTTTCTCCCATGTTGTAGGTTGCCTGTTCACTCTGATGGTAGTTTCTTTTGCTGTGCAGAAGCTCTTTAGTTTAATTAGATCCCATTTGTCAATTTTGGCTTTTGTTGCCATTGCTTTTGGTGTTTTGGACATGAAGTCCTTGCCCACGCCTATGTCCTGAATGGTAATGCCTAGGTTTTCTTCTAGGGTTTTTATGGTTTTAGGTCTAACGTTTAAATCTTTAATCCATCTTGAATTGATTTTTGTATAAGGTGTAAGGAAGGGATCCAGTTTCAGCTTTCTACATATGGCTAGCCAGTTTTCCCAGCACCATTTATTAAATAGGGAATCCTTTCCCCATTGCTTGTTTTTCTCAGGTTTGTCAAAGATCAGATAGTTGTAGATATGCGGCATTATTTCTGAGGGCTCTGTTCTGTTCCATTGATCTATATCTCTGTTTTGGTACCAGTACCATGCTGTTTTGGTTACTGTAGCCTTGTAGTATAGTTTGAAGTCAGGTAGTGTGATGCCTCCAGCTTTGTTCTTTTGGCTTAGGATTGACTTGGCGATGCGGGAACACTTTTACACTGTTGGTGGGACTGTAAACTAGTTCAACCATTGTGGAAGTCAGTGTGGCGATTCCTCAGGGATCTAGAACTAGAAATACCATTTGACCCAGCCATCCCATTACTGGGTATATACCCAAAGGGCTATAAATCATGCTGCTATAAAGACACATGCACACGTATGTTTATTGCGGCACTATTCACAATAGCAAAGACTTGGAACCAACCCAAATGTCCAACAATGATAGACTGGATTAAGAAAATGTGGCACATATACACCATGGAATACTATGCAGCCATAAAAAATGATGAGTTCATATCCTTTGTAGGGACATGGATGAAATTGGAAACCATCATTCTCAGTAAACTATCGCAAGAACAAAAAACCAAACACCGCATATTCTCACTCATAGGTGGGAATTGAACAATGAGATCACATGGACACAGGAAGGGGAATATCACACTCTGGGAACTGTGGTGGGGTCGGGGGAGGGGGGAGGGATAGCATTGGGAGATATACCTAATGCTAGATGACACATTAGTGGGTGCAGCGCACCAGCATGGCACATGTATACATATGTAACTAACCTGCACAATGTGCACATGTACCCTAAAACTTAGAGTATAATAAAAATAAAAATAAATAAAAAAAAATAAAAAATCAAATGTTACAGGAATATATTCTCACACTGTAATTCCCATAATCATCATTTCTCAAGTATAGTAATTAACAAGGGCACAGTTTTGATTTTTTTCTCTATATACATTTACACTTATCACTAATAATTTTTTCTAGAATGGAATCATACCATACATACTGTTGTGCAACATGCTTCACCATCTAGCAGCATGCCGTGAATAGCATTCTGTGGCAACAAATGTACATCCCAACAGTGCCACAGTATTCCATTGCAATGGATATAAAAGAATATGGTTTTAACAGGTAAAAATGATACAGGCTAAGGGACGGGGGAGTGGAGAAGGAGAGAAGAGAAAAAGCTACAGGGTGAAAAGTAGCATGAACAAAAACAGGGAGGAAGGAAAGTCCAGGGCACAATCAGGGGAAACAGAAGCAGTCCCATGGCTAGAAAATGAAGTGAGTGTGTACAGGACCACAGTGGAAAGAAAGGGGGAGGTCGTGGGGCCTCACAGTTCAGGTTGAGAAGTTGGATCTTAACTCTAAACAGTGGGAAACCACTTCGGTTTCTTCAGGGAAAAATCTTGTGACAATAAGAACAGTGGCTTTGAAAGACTAATATGGTGGCCAGCAATTGTATGATGCACTGAGAGGCAAATACACCTGGCGTTGGGAAAACTAGGTAGGGAGCTGTTGGCATGGCTTTGAAAGAAGTCATGGAGTGGAAACGAGAGCAGTGGGAATGGAAATAAGTGATGGGACAGAGCAATGCAAGTGACTAGGCTGGGAGAAAGGAAGGAAGGAGATGCCCAAGTTTCAAGGTGAGGTAACTGGGAGAATGCTGATGTCATGATTCAACAGGAAGAACAAGTTTGGAGGGAAATTATCATAAGGCTGGTTTAGAAGACTGTGGAGCATGAATGGGACAGGCAAATATATACCAGGGGCTGAAAACATGGGATGGGGCACAGCAAGTGAGGATGAGGCTGGAAACACAGGCTTGGATGTCATCTGCATGGCAATGAGGGCTCGAGCCAGAAATCTCTGAGGGAGAAAGTGAAGACAGAAGAAACAATATTTATGACAGCCTTGATAAATGGCTACATCTTTCCAGATGAAAGAAGAAAAGGAGTCAGGAAAGAGCTAACAATGGACTCCAGTGAAACAACAGATGTAGAAGCAATTTGCCGGCCAGCTTGGTGGTTCACATCTGTAATCCCAACACTTTGGGAGGCCAAGGCAGGAGGATGGCTTGAGCCCAGGAGTTTGAGACCAACTGCTCTCCTGGGCAACATACTGAAACCCCGACTCTACCGAAAAAAAAAAAAAAATTAGCTGGGTGTGGTGGTGCACACCTGTGGCCCCAGTTACTCAGGAGGTTGAGGCAGGAGGATCCCTTGAATCTGGGAGGTCAAGGCTGCAGTGAGCCATGACTGCACCACTGCACTCCAGCCTGAGCAACAGAGTGAGACCGTCTTAAAAAAAAAAAAAAAAAAGAAGAAGAAGAAGAAGCAATTTGCCAAATTTAACTTCTACATAAATGAGTTTCATTTTTTTATTTTTATTTTATTTTATTATTATTAGTTTTTGAGACGGAGTTTTGCTCTTATTGCCCAGGCTGGAGTGCAATGGCACTATCTCGGCTCACTGCAACCTCTACCTCCCAGGTTCAAACAATTCTCCTGCCTCAGCCTCCCAAGTAGCTGAAATTACAGGCATGCACCCAGCTAATTTTTTTTGTTTTTAGTAGAGATGGGGTTTCACCAGTTGGCCAGGCTGGTCTCGAAATCCTAACCTCAAGTGATCCCCCTGCCTCGGCCTCCCAAAGTGCTGGGATTACAGGCATAAGCCACCGCGCCTGGCCATAAATGAATTTTAAAATAAATTATTGGCCGGGCATGGTGGCTCATGCCTGTAATCCCAGTTCTTTGGGGGCTGAGGTGGATCACTTGAGGTCAGGTGTTCGAGACCAGCCTGGCCAAAATGGTGAAAACCTGTCTCTACTAAAAATACAAAAATTAGCTGGGCCTGGTGGCACATGCCTGTAATCCCAGCTACTTGGGAGGCTGAGGCAGGGGAATAACTTGAACTCGGGAGGCGGAGGTTGCAGTGAGTTGGGATCGCGCCATTGAGCTCCAGCCTGGGCAACAGAGTGAGACTCCATTTGAAAAAGATAATAATAATAATTAATTATATTTCTTTTTTTAAAAAAATTATATAAATAGAAATGGGGTCTTGCCATGTTGCCCAGGCTGGACTCGAACTCCTGGACTCAAGCAATCCACCCACCACAGCCTCCACAAATAGTAGGATTACAGGTATGAGCCACTGCACCTAGCCAATATATTTCTTTCTTCATCCCCAACTCATACTCCACTCTTCAGGCCAACAATCAGACATCAACACCAGCCCAGACCCCAGGATCCTAACTTCCACCCTCTAGGCATTACTTCATTCCTAATCCAACATCCTGCTACAATCCCATCTCTTTCCCATATGACAACAGGGTAAGGGAATCAAAGGGGTTGGTAAGTATCTTAGAAATGATAGGTGCCATGAGGTCCATGCTGTGTGGGGAAGAGTGAGGCCACAAGGACATTGAAAGACTCTAAGAACCAAGACAGGCCTATAATCCCAGCTACTTAGGAGGCGGAGGCGGGAGAACTGCTTGAGCCCAGGAGTTTCCAGGCTGCAGTGAGCTATGATGATGCCACTGCACCCCAGCTTGGGTGACAGAGCGAGACCCTATCTCAAAAAATAAAAATAAGATGACTGCTGATGGGCTACAGTCCTGGCTCCCTGAGGTGAAACAATAGGCTTATGGGAACTGGGGGAGCAATCATACTGTTTTGAGGGAGCAGTCATACTGTTTTAAGTTCTGGGAGAGAAGACAATAGAGGAGGTGAGGCTGACAGGTTATGAGAGGAAAATGTCAAAAGTAGGGGAAGGCCACAGGAGAAGTGGGTATGGACCCTAGAGTTTCTCAGGATATAGGAGCAACTGGGCTTAAGAGAAAACCTTCTCCCTTACACCAAGTTCTCAAACAATGGGAAGAAGAAAAAGCCTCCTCAGGGAGAGGTTACCAGACCACCCCTCCACATCCCAAGTGGCTAATGTGGCTAGCATCCAGCCACCCACCCACAGCCAGGTGCTCACTCCCTCCCTCCTCCAAACCAGCCAAGGCAGCTGGCATCCATGTCCACCATAATGTAGGTACCTCCCTGGCCCACCATGGAACACTGCCTCTGCTCCAGGTTCTATCCTTTGCCCTCTCTTTCCATGCTAAGCAATCATTAGGCCCGTGGAGCTGCTGCCACTGGAGCTCAGACTCCTCTGAAAAGATGACAGAGAATCTGACCCTCTGCTTCCTGCTGCTGTTCTGCCCACAATGATTCTTTCATTCACTTGTTCAGCAAACAGTTGCTGACTGCTGACTAAGTGCCCTTTCCTTTTTGTCATTTCTCTGACAAATAACAGTGAAGTCAAAAATATCATGATACATTTTCAAAATCCAAATCATTCCTGGTCAGTTGACTGGCTGACAATAAAGCCTTTCTAATAAGTGGGATTTCATTCCCCATGGGAACACATGCCCTGTCCTCAAATGCCAGGGCTGAGCTCATTCTACCTGAAAAGCAGAGTGTAACTTCTGATGCCACCTCCACTACCCCACCCAGCTCCTGTCCATCAGCTCAGTTTCTAAGAACAATTTCTGGGGCAATAATGGGAAGAGTCCTTGTGAAGGAAGTCCAGTGCGCACATGCCTGGACTCCAAGCTATTCCAGCTGGACTCCCAACTAGACTGCCTATACTGTGGCAGATAAGCCCAGAATCCTCCATGGCCCTTTCAAGGGAAGACTTGGCTTTGGTCAGCAGACAGTCTACACTTTTCAGCTCCTGCAGGGTCTGCCTCAGTTGCAGAGAGCTACTTTGCATGAAGTCATGATTGTTTAGGACAGCCTGTAACTAGTGACTGAGCCAGGCATGGATATAAAAACCTAACCATTTTAGCCTAATTCAGGATCATCTGAAGGACAATACTCACTTCAGAACTCCTCACTGGGATGCACAAGACTTCATCAGGCTTACATCAAAGTTTGACTGCTTCCTCTGCCCGATCCTACTTCCTCCCCCTTCCTTTTGTAGGGGTCGATCTCTAATAAACATACTGCATTCAAACCTCTATCTCAGCATCGGCTTCAGGAGAACCCAACCCACAACACTTACCAAAAGTTTTTCAAATTTGAGAAGCTGCTACACCTTGTGGGTTCTGTTTGTGGCAGAACTCCAAGCTCTAGTATATACGGTTGGAACACTGTCTTAGAAAGGAGGAGGCAGAAATAGTAAATATCCCCTCTGTGACTATTTAACATTTGAAAGACTCCTGAGAAGGCCTTTTCTGAACTGAAACAGTGGGAAAAGATTTCAACTGTCCAGCACCACCCATAAATCATAACCACATTCTCTAGTTAGCACATACTACTCACTACTCAATCACTAGTTCAGATTCTTACCCTTCCCTTGAACTTCTGACTCTCCACTCTCAGTGGAGGCCTGGCCTTCTACATCACAGAGCAAACAGAAGCTGTCAGACAGGGTCTCCCCAGCTTCCCACCAGCAAACAGATGGAGTCCACCTTTTGAAGAACTTTACTTCTTACCCACCCTCTCTCCTGAAGCTTCCACCTGTCCCTATGTACTAGAGTCTCTCATCAGCATTTATAAATAGTTTCTTTTTGTTAAAAAAGACATAAAGAGTCCATCAGCAGATGAATAAACAAATTTGTCCATACAATGGTATCTCCATACAATGATACATTATTCAGCCATAAAAAGGCATGAAGTATTGATACATGCTACATCATGGGTGAACTTCAAAAATTATTATGCTCAGTGAAAGAAGACAGACACAAAAACTCATGTATGTATGACTCCATTTACATGAAATATCCAAAATGAGTAGATCCATAAAGACAGAAAGGAGCTTTGTGGTTGTCAGATGTTAGAGGATAGGGAAATGTGGATAAACTGCTCAGCGGGTATGGGATTTCCTTTTGAGGTGATGAAAATGTTTTCGGATTAAATAGAAGCGGTGATTGCACAACATAATGAATGTACTAAATACCACTGAGCTTCTCACTTTAAAATGATTAATTTTATATTATATAAATTTAACCTCAATGTAAGAAAAAGAATAAAGAAAAACTTCCCTAGACCTCTTCTGGGTAGCATCTTTTCTCATCTCCTTTCATTTTTCTTATACTGATAACTTCTCAAGGAATGTCTAGACCTCCTTACCCGCCATTCACTCCAAAGCCCACTCCACACCACTCCACTCTCACCCAGTGACAACCACTGATGCTTCTCACTCCTCCCCTCCTGAGATTTCTTGGCAGCACATGACACAGGAGGCCAGTTCCTCAGTCCTAAAGTAAGTATTCTGCCCTGACTTCCTTGAGACTGAATACCTGATGAGTTCCTGCCACTACAGCCTCTCCTTTGCCAGCTCACCCTCTTCTACCTGACTGTTAAGAGTTGAAACTTCTCAGGATGCTCTTGATTCTCTTCTGGGGCTCATCAGTTCTCATGTCTCCAACTGCCATCTAGATACACATACACACAAACAGGAGCGCACAGAAATAAAACTAGAATGACCTACTGGATAATAAAACATATTGCAAAACCTCTACAATTAAAATGGTTTGATACTGGTGCATGAATAGACAGAATTACCAATGAAGCAGAAAAGAACATTCAAAAACAGACCCAACTGCACACAGAAATTTAATATACAGTAAGAGCAGCATCTCAAATCTATAGGGAAAGCACTTTCTTTTTTAGACAGGGTCTCGCTCTGTCGGCCAGGCTGGAGTGCAGTAGTATGATCACTGCAACCTCAAACTCTTGGGCCCAAGCGATTCTCCCACCTCAGCTTCTGGAGTAGCTAGGACTACAGGCACGCACCACTACACCTGGCTAATTTTTTTTCTTTTTTGTAGAGACAGGATCTCTCTCTGTTGCCCAGACTGGTCTCAAATACCTGGCTTCAATCCATCTGCCCACCTCAGCCTCCCAAAGGGCCGGGATTGTAACAGGAGTGAGCCACTGCACCTGGCCAAGTCAAACTTTTTAATAAGCAGTGTTGGGATAACTCAACAGACATACTGAAAAAGGTAAAAATTAACCCCATGTCTTATGCCTACATGTCAAGATAAATTCCAAACAAATTAAATCTTTAAATATACAAAATGAAAACATATAAGTACCAAAAGAAAGCATAGGTCAACTACTCTATAATCTGGGAGTAGTAAATAATAACTTTCCTAATTATAAGTTGGTGGCAACAACTTGTTGAAAGTAAATAACTTTCCTAATTATAATTCAAAATCCAAAAGAAATCACAAAAATATTAATTTGATTATGCAAAAATAAAAAGTTTTATAAAAAATAAAAATGCATGGAAAAATATCATAAGCAAAAAAGACAAATGTCAAACTAGGTAAAGTATCTGCAATTTAATATCATAGAGTGTTAATATCCCCAATATATAAAAAACTTTTAAAAAATAAGGAGAAAAAGACCAAAAACACAATAGAAAAAAAAGACTACAGATATAAACAGGCAGGTCACAGAAAAAGAAATACAATGCTATTTGACTCTATGAAAAGATGTTCAACTTTGCTCATCACATGACAAAGATAAAATAAAACTACAGTAGAAAACTGCTTTCCACCTATTAGGTTGTAAGTACTTTGCAGGCGAGACTAGGGAAATGAAATTTGCATATACAGCCCCTATAAAGGGGAATTTGACAACATCTAATAAAATTATAACTGCATTTACCCTCTGACCCAGAAGTCTGACTTCTAGGAAGTGACTGCAAAGATATGTTGGCAATAACCTGGATGAGCCTGGAAGTAGATTCTTTTCCAGAGCCACCAGAAAGGGACACAGGCTGGCCAACACCCTGGTTTCAGGCTGTGAGACCCTGAACAGAAGACTCGGCTAACCAGGACCTAGATTTCTGACCTACATCAACTATGAAATAATAAATGAGACGGTGTTTGAAGCCACTAAGTTGGTGGCAATTTGTTTCACAGCTGTAATTTGCAATACAGCCCTGCAGATGGGGGAAAGGGTTCACACCAAGGCTGGAAATGGGAGTAAGTGGACTGTGTGAGATCTTAGGCCATCTAGTTTGGCTGAAACAGCAGACAGGCAGAGCTAAGGACTTAGAATAGCTGAGGTTCTTGAGGCCAGCCCTCCTTGCCTGACCATCCAACGGGAGTATGGGAGCAGGAGGTGAAGAAAAAGGTCAAGGAGGGGAAACCCCTGGCAGGCTGCATCGCTGGTACTGATAAAAAGCATATGATCACTAAGACTTCAGATTTACCCTAAAGAATCTATAAGTACTTCTGTTTCTTCTACTTTCCCTTCTCCCTCTAGGCCTCCCCTCCCTTCTTTCTTGGACACTCAGACTTTAAACTGGATGACCTTGAAAAAGGTAGGAAAAAAATTTTAACAAAAAGGGAGCCCATTATTTGGTAGAAATTTCTCCTTTGTAAGTTTTCCTTTTATATAAGTCTATTTCTGTAGATAAATTGAACCCAACTGTGATATTTAAATCGTTTTAAGAAAGTACATTCTGTTTTACTTGCAAAAAGAGGGGACCCTTGGCCTCTTCCTTGAGACAGGCGAAATGGAAGGGGATGCAAGATACCCTGCTTATTTATCTCCAAAAGAAATCTATAGCCCCAAGCCCAGCCCAATTTTTGTGCCCAGCAGGAACAGGCCTTTGTTCAGAGAACACCACAGGTATGATGGGCACCACACCAAAAACAGAAAGCAGAACCGCTACATCTTTGGGCTCAAGACAACGGGAACATGAAAACAACAGGAGATGGAGAGTGCCAGGCACAAGGGAAATACCTTTTATCTTACATTTTGTTGCTCCTAATGACCTTGTTCAGGCCTCAAATCAGTATGACTTCATTCTTTGGGAAGTATATTCTATGGAAGCTTTAAAATATATTATGAGGTTGCTATGGTTTAAATGTGGCCTCCAAAGTTCATGTGTTGGAAACTTAATCCTGAATGTGACAATGTTGAAAGAGGTGATTAGGTCATGAGGGCTTTGCCCTCATGAATGATTAATGTCACTATCACAGGAGTGGGTAAGTTTTCGCAAGAGTAGTTTATTAAAAAAGCAAGTCCAGCTGGGTGCAGTGGTGTGCCCCTATAGTCCTAGCTTCCCAACTACATGGAAGGCTGAAACGCGAGGACTTGCTTGAGCCCAGGAGTCCAGCCCAGGCAACATAGCAACACTCCGTCTCTTTTGTTCCCCCCCACAAAAGGCAAGTTCAGCCCCATTCTGCTCTCTCTCCAGCACCTGCTCTGTCACCACATGATGCCTTTGGCCACGTATGCCACAGCAACTAGGCCCACAACAGATGCAGCTCCTCAAACTTGGATATCCCAGTCTCTAGAATTGTAAGAAATAAATCTATGCTCTTTAGAAATTACCCAGTCTCAATTATTCTGTTACAGCAGCATAAAATGTACTAAGACAGAGATAAATCAAGTTCTAACACAGGGAGACAGGTGTTATTGAACAGGTGCCGTCCACAATCCTTCAGAGCGCAGTTAGCTCCATCTCTCTTCCCACACTAACCCAGTCCGTGTGTGTGAAAAGGTAATAACCTGACACAATCTCCATACCCTGGCCATTGCGCTGAGGATAGAAGAGATTGGTTCTTCTCCGTGATGGTTAATGGAGGTCTTCAAAACTCTTTCAATCCCTTACCCATTACATTTTTCTAAGGTACTTTTAAATCCTTTCAACTCTGTATCTACAACACACTGTGTGAGGTAAATTTTCTTTCATTTGTCCCAAATTTAATTCCCTTGGGATCACATGATGTCAGGCTCTACTGAACAGGATTTGTTGAACCAGTCCACATTCCCACTATCTTTACCCTATAAATTTTCAGTGCATGGCAAAGAGAAGCTCAATACATACTGTGAGTAGATGAATTTTCCTTCTCTGGCTTTACTCCACATCAAAAAGTCCCATGCTTTCCCCCACTGTCTTCAAATCCACACATACTCCACATCTGTCATGGGCTGAACTAGAATCAGAAATAAGTGTTCCTCCTCTCAGGAAGCCAGTCCTGGATCATGTTTCAGGTTTAAACATGAAATGGGGAGGGTATCATCATAAACCAGCCCTCACCTGCAGCGGAAACAATTTCTGCCAGGAAAGTAGTAAATGAAGCTATTTATTTGCTCTTCCTGCTGATGGAGTGAACACATCGTGTTTCTGTACAACCCACCTCCAACCTGACTCTCATTTCCATGCTGAGCAAAAGTGGAAAAGAAACAATAGGAATCATGTCCCCATTGGAATGGGAAACCACTGGAAATCTCAAAAGAGAAACAAAGGCCTAAACACAAACTCCTCACACACCTTAAGAATAAACAGGTGATACAACAGAATTCATTCTATCATTCATTAGCCAATCTTTATTGAATACCTGTTATGAGCCAAGCACAGCCCTGGGCTCTGAAGATCCAGATGTGAGCAAGACAGACCAAAATCTCTGTCCACTCAGGGCTTACATTCTAGTAGTGGAAACAGACAATAAACAACACTAAGTAAAATCTATAGATTAAATAATAAGTGCTAAGGAGCAAAATAATGCAGGGAAAGGGATATGAAATGTTAAGAAAGGCTAAAACATTTTTGAAAGGGTAGACAGAGATGGCCTCATAGACAAGGTTAGTTTTGTTTTTGGTATTATTTTGGACTTACAGAAAACTCAGTGATAATACAGAGAGTTCCTAGAATTTCTGTACAACATTTACTCAGTTTCAGTTCCCCTAATGCTATCATCTTATATTACCATAGTACAGTTGTCAAAACTAAGAAACCAACATTGGTATATTAGTGTTAACTAGACTCCAGACTCTTTATGTTTCACTAGTTTTTCCATGAATATCCTCTTCCTGTTCCAGCATCCAATTCACAATACCACAATGCATTTACATGTCATGTCCTCTCTGGTCTATGCCAGTTTCTCAGTCTTTCCTTGTTTATCAAAACCATGATAGTTTGCAGAGTACTGGTCAGGTATTTTACAGAATGTTCCACCATCTGGGTTTGTCTGATGTTTTTCTCATTAGACTGGGGTCGTTGGTTTTGAGGAAGAATACCACAAAGGTAAAGTGTCCCTTTGTCTCATCATACCATAGGGTGCATCATATCCACATGACAACACTGGTGATATTACCCTGGCTCACTTGATACCCTTGATCACAGGTAGTACTTACCAGATTTCTCCACTGTAAAGTGACTATTTTTCCTTTTCCAAAATGTGTTCTTTAGAAATGAGTCAGTAAGTCTAGCCCAACTGGAAAGATGTAAGCTCCACCTTCTAGAGGGGGGAGTATCTATATATATATATTATTGGAATTCTTTTTTTTTTTTTTTTTTGAGAGCATCTCACTCTGTCTCCCAGGCTGGAGTACGGTGGTGCGATCTCAGCTCAATGCAACCTCCACCTCCTGGGTTCAAACAATTCTCGTGCCTCACCTCCTGAGTAGCTGAATTACAGGCGTGCGCCACCATACCCAGCTAATTTTTGTATTTTTAGCAGAGATGGGGTTTCACCATGTTGGCCACGCTGGTCTTGAACTCCTGGCCTCAAGTGATCCACTTGCCTTGGCCTCTCAAACTGCTGGGATTACAGGCATAAGCCACATGCCCAGCCCTATTATTGGAATTCTTCTGCAAGAAAGATTTAACTTTTGGCTGGGTGCAGTGGCTCACGCCTGTAATCCAAGCACTTTGAGAAGTGCAAAAAATACAAAATTACAAAAAATACAAAAATGAGCCATTGTGGTGGCACACACCTGTAGTCCCAGCTACTCAGGAGGCTGAGGTGGGAGGACTGGTGGAGCCAGGGAGGTCAAGGCTGCGGTGAGTCGTGACTGTGCCACTGCACTCCAGCTGGAGCAACAGAGCAAGACCCTGTGTCAAAATTTAAAAAAAAAAAAAATTTAAAGAAAGAAAGATTTAACTTTTGAGAAGACACAGAACAAGATGGTGGAATAGAAGGCTCCATCAATTGTCCCTCCTGCAAGGACACCAATTTAACAACTATCTGCACAAGAAAAGCACCTTCATGAAAACCAAAAATCAGGTGAGCATTCACAGTGCCTCTTTTAACTCTGTGTCGCTGAAAGACGCACTGAAGAGATAGAAAAGATAGCCTTGGATTGCTAACGCCCACCCCCCCAACAGTGGCAGTATGGTATGAAGAATGTCTCTGGGCACTGGCAGAGGGAGAGCACAGCAACTGTGAGGCACTGAACTCCACACTGTCCTATTAGAGCAGATAGAAAAACTGGACCAAACTCAGCTGACGCCCACCCATGGAGGGAGCATTTAAACCAGCCCACACCAACAGGGAATCACCGATCCCGGCAGTTTAAACCTGAGTTCCCACAAACCTTGCCGCCACAGGCTAAAGTGCTCTGGGTCTCTAAGTAAACTTGAAAGCCTGTCTAGACCGCAAGGACTGTAACTCTCAGGTGAGTCCAAATGCTGAACTGGAACCAGAGACAGTAGACGGTGGGGCGGCAGAAGAGTGGGAAACACAATCTCCTAAGACACTAGCCAAGGCGCCTAAGGGAATCCTGGCATCATCCCTCCTCTAACCCTAGGCTGCACAACTCACAGCTCCAAAAGAGGCCCCTTCCTTCTGCTTGAGAAGAAGAGAGAAAAGAGTGGGGAGGACTTCATCTTGCATCTTGAATACCGGCTCAGCCACAGCAGAACAGGGCACCAGTCAGAGTTGTGAGGCACCTGTTCTAGGCCCTAGCTCCCAGATGACATTTCTAGACACACCCTGGCCAAAAGGGAACTTGCTGCCTTAAAGGGAAGGACCCAGTCCTGGCAGCATTCGTCATCTGCTAACTGAAAAGCCCTTAGACCCTGAATAACCAGCAATGATGCCCAGGTACCATGCTGAGGGCCTTGGGTAAGCCTCTGAGACAGCTCAGCCACAGGTGGGTAGAGCACCAAGCAGGGCCCTGGGGTCCCAGATTCCAGGATCTGACTCTTGGATGACATTTCTGGACCTACCCTGGGCCAGAAGGGAGCCCACTGCGCTGAAGGGTGAGTCCCAGGCCAGGCAGCATTTACCACAAGCTGACTTAAGAGCCCTTGGGCCTTAAGGGAACATCGGTGGTAGTCTGGCAGTACTCCCCATGGGCCTGTAGTGGTGGTGGCCACACTTTCCAAAGGTGGCCTTTGGAAAGGGGAGGGAAGACTGTGTCTTGTGGTTTAAGTGCCACCTCAGCTGCAATACCACAGAATACCAGGTAGATGTCTAAGGTTTTTTACTCTAGTCCCTGACTCCCAGGCGGCACCTCTAGAGCGAGGTGCCGTCTGGGAATGATGTCCCACATAGCACCTGGGGGAGCTGGCTGCCCTGAAGGGAAGGATATGGGCCTGGCTGGCTTTGCTACCTGCTCATTGTAGAACCCCAGGGCCTTGAGTGAACATAGGCAATAGCCAGGGAATGGTTACAGCATTGGAATAACTTAAAGACTCCCCCAAAAAACTATTAGAATTAACAAACAAATTCAGTAAAGATACAAAATCAACATACAAAAATCAGTAGCATTTCTCTTTTTTTTTTTTTTTAAGACTTCTCACCGTCACCCAGGCTGGAGTGCAGTGGCTTGATCTCAGCTCACTGCAACCTCCACCTCCCCAGTTCAAGCAATTCTCCTGCCTCAGCCTCCCAAGCAGCTGGGACTACAGGAACACGCCACTACGCCTGGCTAATTTTTGTATTTTTAGTAGAGACACGGTTTCACCATATTGGCCAGGCTGGTCTTGGACTCCTGATCTCATGATCTGCCCACCTCGGCCTCCCAAAGTGCTGGGATTACAGGAGAGAGCCACCGTGCCCAGCCCTAAAAATCAGTAGCATTTCTATATGCCAACAGTGAACAATCTGAAAAAGAAATTTAAAAAGTAATCTCATTTACACACTAAAATTAAATATCTAGGAATTAACTTAACCAAAGAAGTGAAAGATCTCTACAATGAAAACTATAAAACACTGATGAATGAAATGGAAAAGGACACCAAAAAATGGAAAGAGATTCCATGTCCATGGATTGGAAGAATCAATGTTGTTAAAATGTCCATAGTACCCAAAGCAATCTACAGATTCATGCAATCCCTATTAAAATACCAATGACATTCTTCATAGAAATAGAAAAACCAATCCTAAAATTTATATGGAACCACAGAAGAACCAGAATAGCCAAAGCTATTCTTAGCAAAAAGAACAAAACTGGAGGAATCACATTACCTGACTTCAAATTATACTACAGCGCTATGGTAACCCAAACAGCATGGTACTGGCATAAAAACAGACACATATGCCAATGGAAAGAAGAGAGAACCCAGAAACAAATGCACATACCTACAGTAAACTCATTTTTGACAAAGGTGCCAAGAACATACACTGGGGAATAGATGGTCTCTTCAATAAATGGTGCTGGGAAAACTGGATATCCATATGCAGAAGAATAAAATTAGACCCCTATCTCTCACCATATACAAAAATCAAATCAAAATGGATTAAATGTTTAAATCTAAGATCCCAAACTATGAAACTACTACAAGAAAACATTGGGGAAAATCTCCAGGACACTGGTCTGGGCAAAGATTTCTTGAGCAGTACCACACAAGCACAAATAACCAAAGCAAAAATGAACAAATGGGATCATATCAAATTAAAAAGCTTCTGCACAGCAAAGGAAACAATCGACAAGGTGAAGAGACAACCCACAGAATTGGAGAAAATATCTGCAAACTACCCATCTGACAAGACACTAATAACCAGAATATCTAAGAAGCTCAAACAACTATAGGAAAAACAAACTTAATAATTCCATCAAAAAAATGTGCAAAAGATTTGAATAGACTTTTCTTACTCTTTTTTTTTTTTTTTTTTTTTTTTTGAGAGGGAGTCTCGCTCTGTCACTCAGGCTGGAGTGCAGTGGTGTGATCTCAGCTCACCACAACCTCTGCCTCCCAGGTTCAAGTGATTCTCCTGTCTCAGCCTCCTGAGTAGCTGGGATTACAGGCACCCACCACCAGGCCTGGCTAATTTTTGTATTTTTTGTAGAGATGGGGTTTCACCATGTTGGCCAGGTTGTTCTCAAACTCCCAACCTCAAGTGATCTCCCCCTCTCAGCCTCCCAAAGTGCTGGGATTACAGGTGTGAGCCACCACACCTGGCCTGAATAGACATTTCTTAAAAGAAGACATACAAATGGCAAACGGGTATATGAAAAGGTACTTAACATCACTGATCGTCAGAGAAATGTGCATCAAAACTACAATGAGATATCATCTCATCTCACCCCAGTTAAAATGGCTTATATCCAAAAAACAGGCAATAGCAAATGCTGGAGAGGATGTGGAAAAAAGGGAACCCTCATACACTGTTGGTGGGAATGTAAATTACTACACCACTATGGAGAATAATTGGAAGTTCCTCAAAAAACTAAAAATAGAGCTACCATATGATCCAGCAATTCCACTGCCGGATATATACCCAAAAGAAAAGAAATCAGTATATCAAAGAGATATCTGTACTCCATGTTTGTAGCAGCACTGTTCACAATAGCCAACATTGGAAGCAACTTAAGTGTCCATCAACAGATGAATGGATTTTTAAAAATGTGGTACATATACACAATGGAATACTATTCAGTCATTAAAAAAAAAGAATGAGATCCTATCATTTGCAACAACATGGATGAAACTAGAGATCATTATGTTAAATAAGCCAGGCACAGAAAGACAAACATCATATGTTCTTACTTATTTGTGGGATCTAAAAATCAAAACAATTGAACTCATGGATACAGCAGGTAGAAGGATGGTTACCATAGGCTAGGAAAGGGAGTGGGGAAGGGGAACAAGGAGATAGGGATGGTTAATGGATATTAAAAAAATAGAAAGAATAAGTAAGACCTACTTTTGATAGCACAACACGGTGACTGTAGTCAATAATAATCTAATTGTACATTTAAATAACTAAAAGAGTATAACTGGACTGTTCATAACACAAAGGATAAATGCTTGAGGGGAAGGATACCCCATTCTCCATAATGTGATTATTACCCATTGCATGCCTGTATCAAAACATCTCATGTACCTCATAAATATATACACCTATAATGTATGCACAAAAAGTAACATGAAATTTTTTTAAAAAGATTTAACTTCTTCTCCCCTAGTCATTTATTTAAATGAGTTTAGACTCATGTACATTTATTTTATAATTTGAGTTATAATCCAATATTACCTTACTTATTTTGTTGCTTCATATCAATCCAGCTTTGGACACTGGAAAAGAAGAAAGTCACTTCTGAGGAAAGACTAAGGGAAGTGAGGGAGCTAGCCACAAAGCCATCCAGTAGAAGAACATTCTAGGTCCCAAGGTGTGACAGCCTGATGTGTTTAGGGAACAAGAGCAAGACCAGAGTGACTAGAGGAGAGGAAATATAAGGGAGAGTAGCAGCAAATGAAATGACAGAGGTAATGGTGAGCCGCATCACAGAGCTGTGCAGGCCAAAGAAGGAGCTAACCCTTACTTTATGTGAGAAGGAACACCAGAGGATATTTCTAAGCACAGGAAGGCATGGTAGAAGGATCACTGGCTGCTGTGTTGAGAAATAACTGCAGGTAATTAGGACAGAATGAGGGAGGCTAATTAGATGTCTATTCAATAATCCAGGTGAGAGATCATGGTGATCACACGGGTGATGAGAAGTGGTCAAATTCTGGATATATTTTTTGAAGACAGAGCTGTTGGGATCGGCTGTCAGACAGAATGTGGGGTCTTAGAGAAAGAAAGGGGTCGAGAATGACTGTGAGGATTTTGACCTGAAAAATTAAAGGGATAGAATAGCCATTAACTGAAGTGGGGAAAGCTGCAGGAGCTCAGTTTTAGACATGTTAAATTTAAGATGCCTATCCAAGTAAAGGTGTCTAGTAGGCAGATGGATCTGAAGTTCAGAGAAGCCTAGGTTGGAGATAAAAAAAAAACCTAGCAGTCATCAGCATACAGATGAAACATGAAGCCATCAGACTAGATGAGTCACCAACGCCTTAAGTGTAGACAGAGAAGAGCAGAGGTCCAAGGACTGAGCCTGGGGCGTTCTGGCACTGAGAAAAATCAAGACTTTCTTACCTTCCCTTTAATCAGATACAAATGTAGCAAGTTTTTTTTCTCATCCACTGTGTACCTAGTACTGCTCTGGATTCCCTAACTCTCAGAATATAACCTTAACTCTCCCTCACCTCTCTGTAATTCTCCATCCTCTGTTCTGTGCTGCCGTACACCTGGTCACCATCATAAGACAGTCATTACTGCCACTACCTCTTTGCAAGCTGCTCCTCCCACCTGGAAAACCCTTTATACTCCACCTCATCAAATACCAGCTTTTCCAAGCCCCAATTAATCTCCTATCTTTTCTCTGAAATTTACCTAATTACTCTCATAGTGAATGAGCTTCTCCACCAAAGCAACCCTAACACTTCAATGACTACCAACGTTGAACTTAATGTCTGTACAATCAGATATTTATCAGTTATTGACCTGTGTGGCTAACTGTATATAAACTGTGTATAAATGCTGTAGCTTCCTTTAAGAAGAAAAGCACATCTACCTTTTCTCTTCCCCCCAAAATAGCCTAGAACAAATACCTACCACATAGCAAGTGCTCAATAAATTGTGTGTGAATTCTTTCATGTTAATTCTGTTATTCAATCAGTCACCATGCTCCCTGAGAGTAGAGACCTGTTTTGTATCTCCTCCATTTGATTCTGGGTTAGACACAGGTAGGTAGGCATTCAATAACTGCTTGCTATCAAAGGGGATGATGACAATGTGAGGTCTCTGGGGACCTTACGATCTTGGCACAAAACAATGAGAATGTGTATTCTGTTCTTGCTACCCATCTCACCTGAACCCAGCTATTTCCTGGACAAAGAAGAAGAATCCAGGGACCACATAGAGAAGAAATTCCAGGGCATCTGATGTTAGTGCAGAGAGATACTCAAAATCATGGTATTATCTAAAACGCCTGGAAAAGAGTTTGCCCTCGCTGAAATGCTGGGTGAAAAGAATCAGAAAAGACACGCACTTGGGTGTGAATCCTAAGAACACAGAGAATACATCAAAATAAATACAAGTATATTCACTAATGAATTATTTACAACAGTGAAAAACTGGAAACCATCTAAATGCCCAACCGTAAGAATTAAGTATAATTTGGTATATTCATACACTTGAATATATTAAAGAACAGCACCTGGAAAATGTTCACTTTATGCCTAAGGCTCACTTTATACCTATATGCTGGAGGCTCTAACTTTCAGTCTCCATTTCTAAAGGGAAAGTATCTGTCTCAAAATAGTCTGTACAGTATGACTGCACTTTTGTGCAAACAACTGGAAGAACACAAGCCATAATGTTAATTTTACATCTGCACAGTGGGATTTGGGTGATTTTGTTGTTGTTGTTGTTGTCTCCCTTTGTGTTTTTCTATGTTTTCCAAGTATTCTGCTTTGAAAACATATTACTTTGTCAGCAGGCAAAAAAAAAAAAAAAAAGAGAGAGAGAGAGAGAGAAAGTCATTTTAAAAACAAACATATAAGAGCCAAATTCTCAACTCTCTAGGCATCTGACTGCTGAAAGTATCCTACTTCCAATATAATATGCAAGAATCCTAAGGTCCAGCCCCCTCCTCCCATTCCTTCCCCTCCCATAGCACCCAAGACAGAAAACAGATGAAACTAAGATCAAGGGCTGCTTTTTTCTTTTTTTTTTTTTTTGTTTTTTGAGACGGAGTTTTTGCTCTTGTTGCCCAGGCTGGAGTGCAATGGTGCAATCTCAGCTCACCGCAACCTCCGCCTCCCAGGTTCAAGCAGTTCTCCTGCCTCAGCCTCCTGAGTAGCTGGGATTACAGGCATGCACCACCACGCCTGGCTAATTTTGTATTTTTAGTAGAGATGGGGTTTCTCCATGTTGGTCAGGCTGGTCTCAAACTCCCAACCTCAGGTGATCCACCTGCCTCAGCCTCCCAAAGTGCTGGGATTACAGGTGTGAGCCACCATGCCCAGCCTATCAAGAGCTTCTTAAGGGAAAGATCCTGTCCTTTTGATCTTTGGTCTCCCACCTCAAAATTCTCAGCACCCTGTGAGGCATTAGGCGCTCAGTAAACAAGAAAGGGAAGGAAGAAGATGTAGTGAACTTACAAGGCATAGATACCACTACCGCAATGACATCCCCACCCAAGGTACCGCTCCACCCTATTCTAGGTCTGATCCCTTTCTCTCCTATCTCTGAGCATTGCACAGGCCTGTCAAGCAGCTCTTAGAATAAGAGTTCTGATTCTTTGCACCACAGCAAGTATTCCT
The DNA here is from genome assembly GCF_000001405.40 of Homo sapiens. Taxonomy (NCBI): domain Eukaryota; kingdom Metazoa; phylum Chordata; class Mammalia; order Primates; family Hominidae; genus Homo; species Homo sapiens. The sequence continues at coordinate 139,103,309 of NC_000005.10, forward strand.
CTTTTGCCTTTCCCCCTGCCCCTTTCCTTCCTCCCTCTTTTTAAAAGGTGATCTTGCCTTTCGGCTAGTACAATGTGCTGCACTGAACCAGCGTGCCAGTCAGTCTGTGGAGAATCAGAGAGAATGAATTTGAATAATAAAAGCCAGAACAAGGCGATACCTTGGAGAGAGACTTGGTGTAGTACCTTCAATTTAGAACCTCATTTCAGTGGCTAATGCAGTTGTTGGAGACATTAGCCTAATTTTTGCCAGGAGAGTCCAGCAACACAGCAGTACTAAACATGGGCACAGTGGACCCTGCTCATCTCAGAGACAAAGTGTGGAGAATGAAATTAGCAGCACTGCACTTCTGGTGCAGAGGAAAGCAAATTCTCACTCCCCTCCCCCAATTCATTACCAATCATCTTTAAAATGAAAAACACAGACATGTGTGTGGGAGTCAGCATAAGCATGAAGTTCAAGGGAAGCCAGGACCCTGAAGAAACTCCCAGGAGGCACTTATGGACCATGGGAAAGTTAATTTCAAAGGACATCCAATAAATGCTGCCCTACCACAGATCTTGTCATTGCCAAGCCCTATTTGCTGCAGGCCTGGGAAGGCTCCAGAACCTGCTGGCAGGTCAGTTTGTTGAGGCCAGAAATGGGAAGGAGAGCCCACAAAGGCCAAACTGGAAGAAAGAGGCTCAGCTCTAGACACATCTACACAGACTGGGGTGAGGGTTCCTACAACAAGTGCTTCCTATTGGCTAGGTTAAAAAGAAGCCACACCTGGTCTGGTCCAGATTTGTCCTAAGTCTCTCCCTGTGTGTCAGCCTCCATGCTGCAGGAGCCAAGCAGCTCAGGACCTTTCACTCTGCTGTAGCTGTGAGCCTTTAAAGACGGCAGCACGTGGCTCAGAGGTAGCAACAATAATTGTAGGTAACAGACTGGGCAGGGGCCTCCTGGCTCCTCCTAGACCACGCCAACAATGGGTCGAGCATGGGTGTCCCTGGCTAGCCAGGCTGAAGAAGGGACTCCTTTCTCTTGTTCTAACAGGCTGGTAGGCCAGAAGTCCTCTCTCTGTTCCTGCTGGTCTCTCACTGCCTCTGATTCCCCAAAGTCCCACTCTGCTCCCTACTCTGTTATTCAGGGTCCTTTTGTCTTGTCCAGAGATGGGTAAAAGGAAGACAAAGTTTAACCAAAGTCTTCACAGACAAGGATTTTCTAGAACCTAATGCCCCTTTTCCTCTCCTCTCCCCTAGCAGAGGGCAAAGGAAAACCCAACGTTACCAGTAACTCACTTTCAACAGTATCACAGCATCACCAGCACTAGCCTGGAGGCCTCAACGACCCTGACATATCAACATAATGACAGACACAAGGACACCTGTATATCCAGATCCTTGAGTGGGTTAGTAAGACTGCCAATCTTTTTGTTTGAATTGATTCCCAGGTAGGCTGTGGTTAAGGATTAAGACTTAAGGCCCAGGCACTCTGCTATGACCTCACTGTATTTAATGCAGCAGTAGGCACATGGCAAGTACCCAAACACCTCAGGACTTGAACTCTTCCTAAGGGTCTCTCTGTGAAGTCCCAGGAACGTGAGAGACTGTCCTCTTTTCCTGACAGATACTGAAGGCCAATCCTAGAGAAGAAGGAAGGGCTGCTTAGAGGAAAAGCGGAAGAAATGAGAGGCTAGGCAACCCAGACTCCACCCAAGAAGCACACGCAATGAGGGGAGCAGGGCAGGGATAGGGCGGCAGGACTCGCTCTCCGTACACACAGCCTGCCTGCCAAAATTTACTGGATGGCAGGAATCCTAGATCCGTGGGTGAGGATTGAGTCATGTTATGAATCTCCTTTTTCTAAGCAGCATGTGAAAAAACTCCTCCATCTCAGGAAGAGAAGGTGGGGAAGAGGGGGGCGATATGTGGGGAAGGTGGTGGTCGGCAACTGGAAGCCCAGATTTCATTCTAATGCCAGAACAGCCTCCTCAAATTACAAGGGGTCCATTCCAGAAGAAGCTAGGCAGGCCAAGGAGGCTGGACTGTGGCTTTGGATAGTCAAAATACCACTGACATGAAACTGTATCATCGCAGTGTTGATAATTTCCCTGGAAGAAGCAAATCCTCCCATAACTATAAATCAATCCCTCACTGCAATTGCAGAAATCTATCAAAAAAAAAATTCAGCTGTTACCAGAAATTCTAAATGCTTGGCACTAGAAGCATAATTAGGGGAGATTCTGAAAGGTGTCCTGAGGCAGGCCATACAAGAACAGAGTAGAAAGGAGTTATATACCCTTAGAAAGCTCATTTAGGGAATGGGCTGTGCATAATGCATGCAGGCCCGGGAGTGCAGACATTCCCTCCCGGCGGCCTGCTCAGAGGCAGGCTGTGAGCCGCGACACTGGCAGATGGCTGCCCCGGTAGCAATCGTGCACGCTCCAACGGCCGCCTCCTCCAGTCCACCCTTGAGCACAGGCTTATGTTCCCAAAAGGGGTGGAGAGCACCAGCAAACATTACCCCCAAAGAATAGTGGCTTTCCCTAGGGAAGGTAAACATTTCCATCAGAAGGCAGAAGCCGGCACAAGGCAATTTCTCTCTGTGCAGGGAAAAGGAGCCGCAAACATAAAGTTGCTCAGTCAAAAGAGACAGATGATCTCTGCAAGCGAAGCCGTGCCAAACTGTCTGTAAAGGATTTGCACATCCATCAGCATAAGTGGCTGTGTAGGGGAGGGGGACGCAGGAGTGGGGAAGGCCCACTCATGGTGCAGGATTCTCAGGACTCAGAAGCCCCAGGAGAGGAGAAGCCAGTTATTTTTCTGCTAGTGCTCTAGCCTGAGCAAAGGTATAGCAAAAGGCTTGATTTCCAGCAGATTCTCTCTGCTCTCTCAATCCTCCCAATCCATACTCAAGGTCTGTCCACTTCAAGCCTCTGCATTCACAAGGTTTTGGGGCCACTGGCTATTCAATCTTGAGCCAGCCACTTCTCCTTCCCACTGGCATCCTCCACCTTTTTAAAGTCACGTGTGACTAAAAGAGAAATGGCAGTTCACTAGTCTTATGCCTAAAATAACCTACAGAAAAATATGGTTTATGAACTATCCTGTAATATAATACACAATTCGGAGCCTAGCCATTTGTCACAGCATTGAGTAATCCACATACATCCCAAGGGTCTGACAATAAGATGTGTAAATCAACAGCAAAAAGCAGCATAGCTTAGCCATTGAGTTAAAATACAAAGAATGTTTTTTAGCATTGATTTTTTTTAACTTAGAAAATATGGGCTTCTGAGGGTAAATGCTTGTAAGGGAGTTGTGTGCTAGAATGAAAGACTCTATACTTTCCAGAACCCCCGATACCTGACTTCAAAGCAAAAATAAAAACTCCAAGACTCACATTCTTCCAATGATGATAATGGCTTTCTTCTACAAACCCTGCTATTAGCATGACAGGGATGGCCACATCAGTCATAAGAAAAGCACATGTACCTTTTACACTTAAGAAAAGCAAGCAAAATACCTGCTTTGTGCAAAAGCAAGCCACTTGGCAGGAAAGAAAATAATAAATTACTGCAAAGGCTTGAAATTATTTTTCTTTCTCTGGATGATCAAACAATGAGCGTAGGGGTAGGCATCACAATCCACAAACATACTGCCATAGTGATTGGTGCTTAGGTAGGATAAAACAGGCAGAATTTCATTTATATTCCAAAGAACAGAGACAAGTGCCCTGATCACTCAGCCCTGCAGAGAGTCCTAATGCCACATGAGTGGCCTCCTCCCCAGTTGCTGTATGGCCCCGCTGCAGGATCTGATCTGGGGTGTGTGTCTGCATTGCTATCTGACCAATTATCTGCCTAGAACAGACCTTGCCTGAGGATGCAGCAGGTGTGCAGGTGCTTAAGAGGCAGGTGTTGGGATCCCTGAGTAAGAGCCCTCCTTCTGACATGGGAGGCAAGACTGACTCAGGTGTTACCTGTTATGCTGGGGGCACAGCTATACCCTGGTGAGTTTCTCCTTTACTTAAAAAGATCACTTAGACATTATTCTATTTTAGCTTTTTATTTTGAAACAATTTTAGACTTACAGAAAAGTTGCAAAAAAAAGAAAAAAAAATACAGAGTTTCCCATATACTCTTCATCCAGATTTTCCTGCTATTAACGTCTTACAAAACTATAGGACAATTATCAAAACTAAGAAATTATACAACAGTAGTAACTAAACTATAGACTCTACTTGGATTTCACCAGTTTTTCCACTAATGTTTTTCTCTCTTGCACAGTCTAATCCAGGATATCACACTGTATTTGGTCGTCAGGTCTCCTTTGTCTCCTCCAATCTGTGACAGTTCCTCAGTCTTTGTCTTTCATCACCTGGACATACTTGAAAAGTGCTGGTAGTTATTCTGCAGACTGTACCTCAATTTGGGTTCATCTGATGTCCACTGATTTTTAATACAACAGAAAAAACAACAGCTAACATTTACTGAGCTATTACTATGCACCTGGCATCACAGTAAACATTTCATGTTTACCTTATTTACTATTTAAAATAACCCTCTGAAGTAGGCATTATTACTACCCCTATTTTACAGAGAGGGATAGTTCATTAATCTTTACTGTAATTAAGTAACTTGCCCAGCTACTAGCTATAAAAGACAGAGCAGAGGTGTGAACCCAGGTAGACTGACTCTAAAACACTATACTACATGCTATATTCAAGGCACGGCAGCAACAATCAAATGCCAAAATACAATCTGGGCTCAGCTCTTGGCCATTCCCTCTCCGAAGAATGTGTCTCATTGAAGAAAGGGCATTATAGGCTTTATCTTTCTTCCAAAGACGACGAAATACTCCACTTGAATTTCTGCCCATAGAACCAGAAGATTTTTTTTCTCTTGACAAGAAGCACCTTCCTGGATTAAGGGTAAAGAAAAGGCCATTGTTCTCCTGAGACCTCACTCTGGACTGGTGCCAGATGGAGGGAAAAATAGATGAGCATGTAGGTGTGCTCAATTCAAGAGAGTTCTATTCCGAAGCCTTTTCAAGCCTATGGAAACACGGAGGTCACAAAAAGGGGAAAAAGCTCCTGGGATTGCTTTTTTTCCCATGTTATGCCCAGAAATATCCAATGATGGGCAACACAAACGGACACCTTGTCGTTAGTATTAGGATCTTTGGGAAAGTTGAGGTACAAACTATTCATGTGGCACATGGTGTGTGTGTCAAGGGACAGGGCTGTGGGAGGCAGGCTGGGAAGAATTCCAGCTGCACTCCAGGATTTGTTTTTAATGCTTATGACTTTAGATCACTCAGTTCCACAGACTTGATTTTTCCCAAATCCCCTCTCTGGCAACGCTAATGTGTTTTTCCTCTAGTTCTGACTGATCAGCGAAATACGTGGCTGGAAGAATAGGCTGGGAAATCATTTCTTTGATGCTAGCAGAATTGAGAAAATATTCCCCCAGCTACAGACCTCTCCATCTATTCATCCCTGCCACCTGCCAGTCAGCTGCAGGTAGAGGCAGCTAGGAAGGTAAGGTGGCAGGGAGGGCAGGATGTGAAGGAGGGGAAAAGGGAAAAGAACTGAGAGCATGAAAACAAGGAAAAGAAAAAAAAAAAAGAGTATTGTGTTCAAACGGCCACTTTAGAACCAAGACTTTCATTGATATGCATCAGCAGTGTCAGATGAAGCCAGCAAATAGGTGAAAAATGCTCAGCCTTCCTTAGAACTTTTCTTCTGCTCTTCACCCCACAAAGTACATCCCTTAACTTCAAAACTAAGATGGACTCCTGTAAATGAAACACTTTATCTGGGTGCCTCCATTACTGCCAGCTTTGTAAAAGAGCCCTCTCCTTTGAAATCTACTGTTCTATACCTAACTCCAAAGTATCCTCAGCTAGATACTTTGATCAAATACTGGAAGCTAAAATGCTAACCATCTTTAGGGAACAATTCCTCCAGCCTCTACATCTACAATTTAACCCAGTGGGAATCTAAAGCCAGCTAACAGCCCTCAAATCACACTGCACACAGGGCTGCTTACTCTGCTGTGTTTAGGGACATAAGAATTAATCCCTAAGATCCAACTTAGAAACCCAAACAGGGCAGCTTGATAATTCTGTGTCTGCTTGAATAATTTCCCCCTCTCAGTGTCAAAGGCCTTCAAAATTCACATTATTTTGTTCCCATGTAGACGTCAAATAAAACTGCTTTCAGATCATGACCCCGCAGATTCCATCTTCAGAAGAAAGGAAATCTGGGAAAAGCAATGAGATCTGAAGCCCCTTTACCAATGGACCATGGGCTCCAAAAGAGACCAAGAGAAAACATAACTACTCCCTTATGGGGTATCTTGAGGACTTAATATACACAAAGCACCTAGCACAAGGGGATGTTAAAAAAAAAAAAAAAAAAAGCAGTTTTCTTCCTTTCCCCATCCAACTGCTAGACTGGAATTCCTGGGTCCTATTTCCCCTCTGTCTTTTTTTTTTTTTTTTGGTAAACCCCTTCCATTCTAGGATCCTCTCAGTCATTTCTTGGTCATGAGATACTAGACAACCTCCTCATCCTCTAAGAGCCTGAATGACTTGGCCAGGCACGGAGGCTCACGTCTATAATCTCAGCACTTTGGGAGGACAAGGCTGGCAGATCACGAGGTCAGGAGTTCAAGACTAGCCTGGCCAGCATGGTGAAACCCCGTCTCTACTAAAAATGCAAAAATTAGCCAGGCATGGTGGCACGCGCCTGTAGTCCTAGCTACTCAGGAGGCTGAGGCAGGAGAATTGCTTGAACCCGGCAGATGGAGGTTGCAGTGAGCCGAGATCACGCCATTGCACTCCAGCCTGGGTGACAGAGCAAGACTCTGTCTCGAAAAAAAAAAAAAAGAAGAGCCTGAATGACTTGACCAAACTGGGAGATGATGGAATAGAGATTAAAAAGATGATGTTTATATAACATTTAGAGGGCTACTGGGGTGGGGAGCAGGGGTCGTTTCTTTTTTCCCCTAAGGAAAAAGAACTTTACAAATATACCATATTACTATTCCTTAAAAACTCACCCCTGCCCAGATAAACTCATTATGGCCATAGGTAATCAAATCTGAAGACTTTTAATCCAAAGAAATGGTTCTCTTCTTCCAAACAGCTGCATTACACAAACCATAAACAGACTGTTCTGGGAATTAAATAAATTAAACTAAAACTCAATCTTTGTTTGCCCAAATCCACATATTATGGGAAATAAGGAAAAACCAACAACTTATGAGTTTATGAATAATAACAAAACAAAACCCCCACATGAACAGAAATATAATCAGCTTGATTAGCACCCAGGCAACAAAAGGCTCACAGAGCCCCTGCACACAAGGCTGTGCTTCATGTGGGCTCTTGACAGGCTGCCAAAAGATCAGTGGCTAGTGGGGTGCCACCCCCACCCTGCCCTGTGCACTGCCAGGGCCTCAAAGAGTTCCCTTGATGTTCCCTGTCTTCAGAAGAGGGAAGGTTGGAGCAGGTTCAGAGGAGCTTCCAAAAAGCTCTCCAGAGCTTGCCAGAAACCTGGCTTCACAAAGCCCCATGGGCCAGATGGACAAAAGTCTCCCTTACCATACCCAGAGACAACCCAAGAGTCCCCAGAATGATCTGCCTATCATTCCTCAGACTCCAGCCATCTCACTGTCCACCTATGTATGCACTGCCCAGGGCTCAGATTACTCAAGGAAGTCAACAAACCTCACCCACCACAGTGTCAGGTTGTCAGATGTTAACTGGACTTTTCCTAATACTGGGTGATGCTCAGTTCTGACCTCTTGGTTGTCCAAGCACCTTCCCCACAGTAGTTCTTCCCAACCTTCCATTTCTCAAGCACCCAAATGGGTACTTCTCTTTCATTGCTCAAAGCAGAAGACCACCCTCAGCTTGGCTCAGAAAACTGAAGACATCTAATAGGAGCTTCTTCAATTTCTGTCTATATCCCTACCACCTTTCTGTGTCCCTTTCTAGCCTCTGCTTCTAATTTCTCAGTCTCATCACATTTATGAAGCCAAGACTGTCCATCTGCTACCTAAATAACTTTGCCCCATCAATGATCTCCTCTATGGGATTATAAATCTGTCAACACTGATTCCTTTCCCCTCTGCCTTCCAACATACAGAAAACCTCTCTCCATCCAGCTCCAATGACCCCACCTCAGGGAAGCCTTTCCTTCAGTGTCCTCTGCATTCTCACTGAGCCACCTTCCTGTAGGGGGTCCTCCATCACTATAAGCCCAAGTGAGCAACCTCTGTCATGCCCACCATGGTATCCCTGGCATCAAGCACTATACTTCCAGGAGTTCAACAAATGGAATATGAAATGAACAAGTTTTTTGATATGGCTATCGCTAACTGAAATTGCCCTTTCAGTTCTCCTCTTCTACTATCAAACTCCTCAAACCCAGGAGTTTACATCATCTTTCTTCATCTCCTCATCTCCCAGCACAGCTCCTGGTTGGATTCTATGACAGACTAATCTGTTACACTTAAGTTTCACACCTCTCCCCTCTCCCCACTCCCCACGGTCTCCCTCTCCCTCTCTTTCCACGGTCTCCCTCTGATGCCGAGCCAAAGCTGGACTGTACTGCTGCCATCTCGGCTCACTGCAACCTCCCTGCCTGATTCTCCTGCCTCAGCCTGCCGAGCGCCTGCGATTGCAGGTGCGCGCCGCCACGCCTGACTGGTTTTCGTATTTTTTTGCTGGAGACGGGGTTTCGCTGTGTTGGCCGGGCTGGTCTCCAGCTCCTAACCGCGAGTGATCCGCCAGCCTCGGCCTCCCGAGGTGCCGGGATTGCAGACGGAGTCTAGTTCACTCAGTGCTCAATGTTGCCCAGGCTGGAGTGCAGTGGCGTGATCTCAGCTAGCTACAACCTCCACCTCCCAGCAGCCTGCCTTGGCCTCCCAAAGTGCCGAGATTGCAGCCTCTGCCCGGCCGCCACCCCGTCCGAGAAGTGAGGAGCGTCTCTGCCTGGCCGCCCATCATCTGGGATGTGAGGAGCCCCTCTGCCCGGCTGCCCAGTCTGGGAAGTGAGGAGCGCCTCTTCCCGGCTGCCATCCCGTCTAGGAAGTGAGGAGCGTCTCTGCCCGGCTGCCCATCGTCTGAGATGTAGGGAGCGCCTCTGCCCCGCCACCCAGTCTGGGATGTGAGGAGCGCCTCTGCCCGGCCGCGACCCCGTCTGGGAGGTGAGGAGCGCCTCTGCCCGGCCGCCCCGTCTGAGAAGTGAGGAGCCCCTCCGCCCGGCAGCCGCCCCGTCTGGGAAGTGAGGAGTGTCTCCGCCCGGCAGCCAACCCCTCCGGGAGGGAGGTGGGGGCCAGCCCCCGCCCGGCCAGCCGCCCCATCCGGGAGGGAGGTGGCGGGCGCCTCCGCCCGGCCGCCGCCCCGTGCGGGAGGTGGGGGGCGCCTCTGCCCGGCCGCCCCTTCTGGGAAGTGAGGAGCCCCTCTGCCCGGCCACCACCCCGTCTGGGAGGTGCACCCAACAGCTCATTGAGAACGGGCCATGATGACAATGGCAGTTTTGTGGAACAGAAAAGGGGGAAATGTGGGGAAAAGATAGAGAAATCAGATTGTTGCTGTGTCTGTGTAGAAAGAAGTAGACATAGGAGACTCCATTTTGTTCTGTACTAAGAAAGATTCTTCTGCCTTGGGATGCTGTTCATCTATGACCTTGCCCCCAACCCTGTGCTCTCTGAAACATGTGCTGTGTCCACTCAGGGTTAAATGGATTAAGGGTGGTGCAAGATGTGCTTTGTTAAACAGATGCTTGAAGGCAGCATGCTCGTTAAGAGTCATCACCACTCCCTAATCTCAAGTACCCAGGGACACAAACACTGCGGAAGGCCGCAGGGTCCTCTGCCTAGGAAAACCAGAAACCTTTGTTCACTTGTTTATCTGCTGACCTTCCCTCCACTATTGTCCTATGACCCTGCCAAATCCCCCTCTGCGAGAAACACCCAAGAATGATCAATAAAAAATAAAATAAAAAATAAATAAATAAATAAATTTAAAAAAAAAAGTTTCACACCTTTAAATCTACTGGCTTGTCAGTTCTCCTCCTGATCTCCTCCCTCTCCCTCACTGGCCCCCACCTCTGACAGAGTGGATGCTGCCCACCCCCACCACCTCATTTTTCCCTTACACACACCTGCCACTCCAGACAAGCAGATATACTCTCACTTCAGGTCTCTGTTCATATTATCCCCACCAACACCACTACTCATACTTTGTTCTCTTCTCTATCTAGTGAAGTACTGTCTCTAAGTTATAGATCAATTCCTACCTCCAAGGCTCTGACAAAACTAAGAATGCAACAGGTTCTGGGAAAGGGCCTCTCATTCAAGCTCTAGGCCAGCCCTTGAGAACTACTCCTAGCCCTGGTTAGTCTTAACCGTGGAGATGCCCTGGGCTGTCTTGGCCAGTGGGGTGAGGCCAATATTAGAAAAGGAAGCAAAGTCAGAGCTACAAAGGTTCTCTGAACTAAAACAAAGTCTGTGGCATGAGGGCTGGGACTATTTTGGCAGCTAGTTTTCCATCATCCCTACTTGGTCTAAGTTTTCCATCTCAGACATTTGGGTGTCCCAACCTTTGAGAGTTGAGGCTATGCCACTCTGCTCAGCACTCCTGATTAAACCTCAGAGAGAACAGGTGGATAGAAGCAGAGGAAGGGGAGGATAAGGGCTTCAGGGTGCATGTTAAGCATACAAATGCTTGTTAGAAAGAGGATGGCCAACAGCTGCTCTCCATCACCACCCAAATGCACAGATTGCAAACTGGACCCTGGCCTGTCCCATCCGGGTAATGAAGGCCAAAGCCAGGGCAGACATGCTTTGGTGTCAGAGCAGAACTCAGCCAGCCGGCTGCAAAGTGGCCTCAGTCTTGGCAGTGGCTGCCATGGAGGTTGCAGTCCTTCCTGGCCTGGCCTCCACCTGCTCTCCCAGGGGGCTGTGGGATTTAGCTGCTGAGGGGCAGTGATCAGCCATCCTGAGAGGCTAGTGAAGAGACCTCCCTACATGAGAAATGAGGTCTCTCTGCAATGAAGAGATCTAAATGATCCTCATGGAGCCTCCTGGGGCCTTCCTGTATTCCAGCCCACCATCTTTTTTTCTCTCCCAGTACAGGATAATTTGAAGCCTCAGAAACTGCTCCTATAGGCCTCAAGAGACCTGGCATCCTTCCATCCCCCAAGTGGTTCTCCCTAACAAGCTTGTATTACCAAGGAGCAAAGGAGATGCTCAGAGTCGAGAATGCTTAGCAAAGGCTGGGAAGGTGGAAGTTATAGAGGGAGGGACCAGAAGTATAGGTAGAAGAGGAACAAATGAAGTTCTAAGGAAATCCCCAGAAGACTAGAAAGCCCTCAAAGTAAGAAGGGTGGCACTGTGCAGAAAGAAGTAGCACCAAAAGTAAGCTCTGTTGAATACTTCATCCTGAAAAGTTGCCAGAGATAGCAACTTATGTCCAAGAAGACAGACCACCCCAACAGAATCAGGCTGTTTCTTCTATTTAGCCCCTGCCCCACATTTCCAGCACTGTGCTTGAGCCAGGGTGAAACATCATCCAACAAAGACCCCTGGCTATCCCCCTCCCTTAAGTCATTACTTCCTTAACAGCAGCTAAGAAGTCCCACTGTCACACTTTGATGAGCCGCAGGGGCTTAGGCATGAAGTGTCCTGAACCAACAACCTTGCTCCCACCCAATTTCTTGGGCCTCACATGTGTGTGCATGTCTATGTATAAAGGATGGGACAGAAGAGATTATACTCTTGGGGACCATGGGGAATGAGAAGACCCGTAAGGAAGATCCTTCCAGGATCAGGGAGGGAGGGAGGGTCACCTGCCTCCCAACCACAGACCTGGGGAGGGGGCAGAACACACTGGGAGCTTTGCCCCCCTTAGTCTCACTTTTATTGCAACTGTGGTATAATAAAAAATATGTGTAGTCTTTGACCCTGGTTCCTGGCTCATTGTTTCTAAAACTCTTGGAATTTTTTGAGCCATAAGAGTGTACTTTGTTATTCCTACCAAACCCCTTTCAACTATGGGGCTTTTATACTGATTAGGTGACTCTTGGTTGGAGGTTCTAAATAGCTTCAGGATGGAGGCTGGTTGCCAGAAAGACCAACCCAGGATTAGAGGGCTGGAACTTTCAGCCCCAGCCCCACTCTGACCTCAGGGGAGGGAAGGAGGACTGGAGATTGAGCTAAATTATCAATGGCCAATGCTTTAATCAATTATGCCTACATAATAAAACCTCCATAAAAGCCCTGAAACAACAGGATTCAGAGAGCTTCCTGAACTCCACTTGAGCATGAGGGTTGGCGGACACACTGAAGTGCTAGAAGGCTCTGCACACCACTCCCTACCCCCACTCCAATATCTTGCCGCATCTAAACTCTTCCGTTTGGCTGTCACTGAGTTGCATTTTCATAACAAACCAATAAACATAAAGTGTTTTCCTGAGAGCCATTCTAGCAAATTATTAATGTCAAACCTGAGAAGGAGATTGTGAGAATCCCCAACTTATACCTGGTCAGTCAGAAATACAGGTGGCCCAGGACTTGCAACTGCCATATGAAATGGAAGCAGTCTTATGGACTTAGCCCTTTAACTTGAGGGATCTGAGACTAATTCCACATAGACATTGGCAGATTTGAATTGAATTGTTGCACACCCACTTGGTGTCAGAGGAGTGGAGAACCACGCCGCCCCTCCAAAGCTGCAAAGAGCCAGAGGCCCAACAGAAACAGTGTCACAGAGTCACCCAGACCAGAGTCAGGTGCTCCTTCAGACAGATGTCCAGGGCCTGCAGGAAATCAGACTCCTCTCTTAAATACTTGAAACCAGAGTAGTTGGTCTACTATAAATGAGGTTTTTAAAATTCAATTCCCTCTTATTGCTCGTGCAGATCTGAAATGATCTGACCAGATGGCTGGTGCTCTATAATTCTTGGATTGCTCTCATCAGTTGTTGATGATTTGGAATTTTTTTCTTTTTCTTTTTTTTCCCCCTCACATGAACGTGTTCCTGCACAGGCTTCCTGCGTGCTCACATTGAGTGGGCTCTTTGTGCTAATGCCAATATTTCAGAGACTCTCACAGCCGCCTGGAGTCAGATCAGGTCAATAAGGAGCCCCAGGTCTGCTCCTGGCTGGCTACGCTTCCCTGAGCCCACATGGGGCCAACATGCAGCACTGGGTAATGAGCAGAACAAGGGGCCCTCTGCCAGGGCTGCCTCCTTACCTCCACTTCCCCTTCAGGTCCCCAAGGAAAGGGAGGTAGCAAAGGTGTATATACATAGATATATATTTTTAAAAAGACTATGTTGCCAAGGCTGGAGTGCAGTAGCTATTCACAGACACCAAGTTACCAATGATGCAAACTCCTAGGCTCAAGCAATCCTCCCACCTCAGCCTCCTGAGTAGCTGGGACTACATTCGCACGCCACTGTGCCCAGAACAAAGGTATATATTTTTAAATGACAACTATAGCCACTTATTGAATATGGCCTATGTGCCAGGCCCTGTGTTGAACATTTTACATATGTTAACCTTGTTTCATTCTTACATCATCTCTGCGAAGTAGGTATTATATTTTCATCCCTATCATCAGATGAGGAAACTAAGGTTCTGAGATTCTAAGCAACCTGAGCAAGGCCACACAGCTCAAAGAGAGAGCTGCAGATGGAGTTGGAGATTCAGCATCATAAAATTTGATGAACTGCCCCACACAGATCTCAGGGTTAAAGAGAAAAGGCCCTGGCCTTGCCATACCATCTTTATGCCCTCACTGAGCACAAAATACTTCCACCAAGACATCCAAAACACTTTGGTGGCTGTTTTTGTCTTTGTTCTCTGTATCCTTTGTAAGATTATGAGCTGGATAGAGGGCAGGGGTCACGTCCTTTTTGCTACACAAGAAGATAGTATGGCACAGTGGTTAGGAGCTGGGGCTTAGAGCCAGACAAATCTAGGTTTGAGTCCCAACTCTACCACTTTTTGGTTGTTTGGCTGAGTCCTTCCTTCTGAGACTCAGTTGTATCTGTAAAAATGAGGATAGTTATAGCACCTGCCCTCAAAGGATGCCTGGCAGAGTCAGTGCTCAGTAAATGTGAGCTGTTACCTATATCTCTGGCTATAGATGATGCCCAGGGTGCAGGAGCCCATTGAAGTGGCTGTGACCAGCATTCTGTAATACCAACTGCACAGGTCCAAAGTCCTAGTGTTCAGCCTCAGGTCCTCAGCCTCAGGACAAATTCCTGAGTTCCCTGCCCAGAACCCCCAGGACCTGCCAGCAAACAGCTTTCCTCTGCTTGCTTGTGAACAGCTAATGCTGTATCCACCCTCAAATGCTTGCTGTGCCTCCGTAAGGTGAGGCAGATCCCAAAATAAACCAGAAGAAAGAGACAGGAAAATCACTTCTAGGAACAAGCAGCTCCCAGTGAGGATGCTGACAGTAATAACAGGGGCAGATAGACTTCAGGAGATTCACCTGCAGCTGTTCCAGGACTGAGTGACTGGGGCCCAATTCCTACCTGGACTGCAGGGAAGGCCCACGAAGTCATGAGTTTGTCCCCTGGTGTTCCAGGCAGCAGGCAGTCTGGAAATCTGCCTTCAAATGAGCACAGCCAAAACAGCCCACGAAACCTAGTTCCCCTCTTGGGAGCCTAAGGACAACACAGCTGTGGTCCTCCCTTAAGAGCCCTGAGGGGACAGAAGGTACTGAACTGGGGACAATAACTGTCCATATAAACTTGCAATTTTCTTAAAGTCCACCGTCTTCCTGTGCCATGCCACTGACTCTCAGACAGGAAACACTCTGCTAACCCCTTTTGCTCGTGCTTACCCTTGCTCCTTGATCAAAGTCTCTGTTGAGGGAGAGAGGACATTTCATGAACATGCAAGTCTCTTCTTCACATCGTAAGTTCCCTTTCCCATGTAAAGCCATAGGGACAGAAGCCTACATGCTCATGTACCCTCACCGGCATCCAGTGATTCCACAATGGGATTGAAGGGATGGCCAAGTGGAGAATTTACCACTGAAAATCAGAACAGCTGTGTACTGAGTGATTTCTCCATGTTAGGAAGTAGGCAGAGGGCTTTGCATCTACCATCTCACTCCATACAACAGCCTCCGCAGCAGGCAGGGCAGGACACTTCCCCCATGCCACCCCATGCAAAACCAAGGAACAGAAATATTCTGTGACTTGCCCAAGATCCCCTAAGTATCAAGGCTAGGGTTTGAACCCCAAACTGGCTGAATCTAGTCTGTCCTCTTTACCACTAAATTATACCACCTCCCCATTTACCTACCCATCCAGTTCCCAGGACTGGCTACATTCCTTTTAATCTTTAGGTAGATGTGTTGGGAAGCTCCCAGGCAGAATTCAGAATGTGGTAAATTAAGTACCATAATCTGGTTGAAGGCAAGTGCCAGCTATCCACACACACCCTTGAGAGGTCAGTTTCCTAACAGTATACATAGAAAACATGTCAATTCTTTACTGGGGCCTCCACTGGTCTGACACCATGACACCAGATTCTGAATCACCCCACATCAGATACTGAGGCCAGAACAAGCCTCCCACCTAACCTCCCCTCACCAGTCCTGCTTTTGAGATGTAGTGTAGGCAAAAAATGCTCCTGGGATGGGGCAGGCATGACCGGAACCAGAGTTGCTTTGCCCTCTGAGCTACAGGGCCTCTGCGTCTGGGTGCAACTGCAACACACCAGCCTTTGGGACAACTCCAAGGGAATTTTGTGCAGAAGAGTTTACCAGGGACTCTTGAGAAACTCCAAGGCAGAGGGTGATGCCAATGAAACATCAAGTTAACTGTAAAAATCAGTGCTCTACTCCAATTCTCCAGGAGTCTCTCAGAGTCCACAGTCCACTCTTGTCACACAGGCTCTGGCTGTCCCTCCCCAAGGATACAGAGAGGGGCTCTTTTTAGCCATTAATAGCAGCCCCACTGCCCAGAGGGTTGGGCAAGGGGCCAGGGTCAGAACCATCAACATCGTTCAGTCTGCAACATGAACCAGGATGCTACTGGATGAAGGGAGCTACTGACTCAACCACAGAAACAGATAGAGTAGGAGTCGAGGCCACAGGACACTGACTTCCATCTGCTCCAGGAACTTGCCTGGTTAAAAGTGGTACAAGAAAGCCAGGTGCGGTGGCTCACGTCTGTAATCCTAGGACTTTGGCAGGCTGAGGCAGGTGGATTGCTCGAGCCCAGGAGTTCGAGATTAGCCTGGGCAACAGGGCAAAACCTAGTCTCTACAAAAAATACAAAAATTAGCTGGGTGTGGTGGCTTGCACCTATAGTCCCAGCTACTCTGGAGGCTGAGATGGGAGGATTACTTGAGCCCAGGAGGCAGAGGTTGCAGTGAGCCAAGATCGCAACATGGCACTCCAGCCTGGGTGACAGAGCAAGACCCTGTCTCAAAAAAGTGAAAGTGATACAAGCAACACTATATACATAAAATCAGCGGATATAGTCCGTATCTTCCACGCCCTACCCCTGACAGCCTCTGGTTTTAGTCCTTAAGGACCAGTGGGACTAAGTTCTCAAGTGAAGCCAGGTTGGCAAGGGGTGGGTGGTGGCAGGCAGAGGTTGGATCTGCTGAACCCAGTACCTCTATTCCTAAAAGTTCCCTCTGCTCAATGCCATTAGCTCCCACCTGGCTTCCTCGGTGCTTCATCACTCTTCTGTGGCAGCAACTACCCATGTGCAAACACAGCAGGAGCAATATTGCTACCAGAAAGCTGGCTGGCACAGCAAATGCTGCCCTGCCAGCACAGCAGCAGTGGGGGCAGTGAGGACATGGTGATGAATATCAGCAAGAAGCTGGTGAAACTACACTGTGGCAGCTGCTGGGGCTTGCCATCCACCTTGCCACTCCTGAGAACAGTCCCAAGTGTCAGAGTAGTAGGCTCCAGCCAAGGACAGCTAGGACTGGGAAGAAGTGGGAAGAGAGTAGGCCCAGGCTCTGGGGTCAATGGCATAGGGCAAGTTAGCTGGATGACATAGGACAAGTTGCTTAACCTCACTGAGCCTCAGTGCTTTCATCTGAACATAAGGATAATAATAGTTCCTATTATTGTGAAAATTCAACAAGATTATGCATACGAAGCACCTAGTACAGTACCTGAATATGGTGAAGACTCTGCAATTGTTGACTATTCTCATTATTTTAAGCCTTGGGCCCAGGCTCATGAAAGGGTTAGAAAATTGTTCCTTCTGAGGATGCACTATTTAAAAACCAGGCCAGGACCAGCCTGTTTCTTGGCACAGGTTCCTTTAACAACAGAATACTCCTGCCCCACACCAGTGCTCAGGACTCTCCCAAGAACAATATTTCAGCAGCACTGAGCCGAGCAGCAGAGCCCAAAATAGCATTTGCAGAGCAAGGCACATGTCACTGCCTCTCTGGTGCTTCAGAAGTGCAGGGAAAGAAAGTTTTCAATCACTTGCTCAGAAACCACGGCCACCCACCACCTGCCTTCCTTCCAGGGCACTAAGATGCTGCAATCTCTGTTCTGCTGGAAAACGAAGGTCCCTGAGCCCTGCAGCAGCAGCTACCACTCTGACGGACCATGCTGTTTCCCTCCCGCAGGCCAGAGAAGAGCAGCCTGAAGGAGCAGCCCTCTGGGGACAAAGGACATATGCAGTTTGAATTCAAAGTGTGTTTTGTGGGGACAGGGCTGGGCCTGATACCTGGCTGAAGGGCCTGCCACTCATGCGTCGGGTGGAACACCTCCAGGACTTCGGCATCCAGCTCCTCCTCGGCTTTGGTTTCTTTTCTCTCTGTTTCTTTGGTGCTGCTCTTCTCTGGGTTGGTCAGGGCAAACTCCTTCTGAGAAAAGAAAACACAGGGCATGACCCACTGCAACTAGGCGCCAGGTAAGCAGAAAAAAAATGGCCTAGGGTGGCACGTTCTTTTCCTCCATGCCCCTCTCCCCCACAGCCTGATATGTCTGGACACTCGCAATTCCTTTCCCAAGGTCAGCCTCAGAACCAGCACATGTGAGGTGATATGGCTAAATGAATGCAGCATGTTGTCCTGTGCGTATGTGGTACTTTTGAAAATGCACAGGGAATGACTCTAGAAGATCCCATGTATCTTGAGCAGGTTAAGGGAACACATTAGGGACAGGGGCTGGCAAAACGAAACAATAAGAGCCTTTTACTTTTTGACATGCTATTATACTGTTTGATGTTTAAAACTCGCACATATTATTTTTACAATAAAAATAAACATATTTAGAAAAGAAAAAAACACATACATGAATGGGAGAGTAAGGCCTCAAATGGCCACTACAGATGTACAAAAGCTGGCAGCTAAGGCCCAACTGATTCCCAAGCAGCCCAGCAGGGCACAATTCCCCAGTGTGCCTATGAGCCATTGCAAACCATGGAGGAAGCGTGCAAGTGGGAAGGAGAGAATCCAGCTGGGCTGAGGGAGGAAGATGCTCAGGTTGGAAACCACTTCCTAAAACCTGTTGCCTTCCACCCTGTGTAGAACATAGAGGATTAATGAGATGGTGTCTCTGGAGCATTCTCAGCTCAGGAGACAGCGATGCAAGATAAATACAAAGTATTATTCATTTTGCTCTTTCCTGGACTCTCATCCTTCCTATCCCATTTTTAAACCCGTTCTTGCAAAAAAAGTAATAAGGCCTCAGGAAATTCGAACCAGAGGGTTCCGGAGCTCTGGGAAATTACATTTGGGAAAACAAGGAGGAACCCACATTAGCACATGGGGAGGTATTTCAGCCTGCCCACCTCCCCTGTCATCGCTTTTTCTCTGCTTCCCAATCCCTCCCCTAGTAATAAAAAGTATATTTCTTGGAATCTTCCTATGAGCCCAGACCCGTGCTGGGTACTTTACATAGATCTCATTTTGGTCTCCCAACAATTCTAACCACAACTGGGAGATGTTATATGCATACATCTGTAAAGTTATTTAACTTTCAACTAACACCTCATTCTCAGCCAGGCATGGTGGCTCACACCTATAATCCCAGCACTTTGAGAGGCCAAGGCAGGTGGATTGCTTGAACCCAAGAGTTCAAGACCAGCCTGGGCAACACCACAAAACCCCACCTCTACAAAAAATACAAAAAAATTAGCCAGGTGTGGTGGTGTATGTCTGTAGTCCCAGCTACTTGGGCGGCTGAGGCAACAGGATCGTTAGAGCCCAGGAGGCAGAGGCTGCAGTGACCTGAGATGGCACCACCACACTTCAGCCTGTGTGACAGAGCAAGACCCTGTCTCAAAAAAAAAAAAAAGTGCCTGGCTCCAGATAAGGACTCCCTCCTGCCTGGGTCCCTCAATGTCTGATCTTTAGTTGTCGAGGAAAAGTTAAAATGTTAAGGTGCTGGTGATGCCAATGTAGAGCCCCTCCAAGAATTTTTACATTTTAACAAGAAATAAAGGCATGAAATTTAGATGGCAGAATTTCAGGCCTTACTAAGGACCAATAAGGAAAATATCTTGGCAAGAAGAAGCTCTCAAATCTAACCACACCTGGGAGATGTAATATGCATAGTTATGAGAGGCACTGACTCCAGCATAGTGCTTAAGATGCTGGAATAACTCAAATCCCAGTTTCTTGTGTCTCGGGAAAGTTATTTAACCTCCTAAGCTTCAGTTTCCACATTTTCAACATGAAAATAATAACAACATCTAGCTCATAGTTAGATGAGGTACTACATTGTAAACCACTGGCTTTGGGTACATGGTGGCTGCTACTATTACTTATGAAGGCAGTCATAGATTCCAGGCTGTGTTGTGACATCCAGGAGTGACTATACAATATGGCATCATTCAAGCAGGTCACCTGCGCAGCCTGGTGCCTCAAACCCCTCCTATCCCTTCAACTTAAAGTTTGCACAAATCTGAGCTCAAAAGAAAACTAGGAATAGAAGAATAGGTGTGCTTATGAGACTACAGAGAAGACTGACTGGCAGGAGGCATCCTCCATTCTGAGGACATGGACATCAAGAACTTCCAACAGCTGAGTTTCCAGAGGGCAGGCACCATGTCAGTCTCCTTCATCACCCCCATGCCTAGCACAGGGCTTAGTTTGAAGCTGCTGAAAAAACAGATGAATGAATGCCCCTTCCCATAGGCAGGTGTGTCTTCTGGGTGCCTTAGACTGAGGAAAGCCCAAAGCACCTGAGTCTGCTCCAGGTACTTGCCTCACATTCCAGAACAAAGACCACCCTGTCTGCTAAGTACCCAGAGCCTACATACACTAGGATCAGCCCTGGTCAGAAGCATTAGACTGCAGGACCAGGAGAAAGTTAATAAAATTTACCTTGGAGGTGTGTCAATGAAATGCCCCAGGGGCCAGGCAGGGATGCAGGGAAATCAGTGGACCAGGTGTAAACAATAGGGAGTGGTGGGACTGCAGAAACTGGAGCCCTCTTGCCTTGACTAAGGGAAGCAGCTGCTACTCCGCTGGTCTACCACTGTCACGCAGGCATTCAACTTGAAAACAGAAATCCAGATTTTTATGTGAAATGTTCTTATTTTTAGAACACTAAGAAGGCCAAACTAAAATATCTAAGCATCAATTTGCAACCTTCTTTTTTTCTTTTAATTTTTAGTAGAGACAAGGTCTCCCTGTGTTTCCCAGGCTGGTCTTGAACTCCTGGACTTAAGCAATCCTCCCTCCTCTGCCTCCCAAAGTGCTGGGATTACAGGCATGAGCCACCACACCCAGCCTCAATCCTTGTTTCAGTTTACCTATTAGCCGGGTAATTTCTGGCAGGCTGTAAGCAAGCAGCAAAATTCTCATCAAGAGAAGCAGAAAGGGGTAAGGGAGATGGTGATAAGAAGGTAGCACAGGAAATCCTCCAAAATCCAGGTAGGCTGATGTTCATTTTAACTACTAAGGGTTCGGAAAGCCTCTTTTTCTAGATTTCATTAACAAGATTAATAGAGTGGATTCAAGAAGGAGGGTTAGAACGAGACTGATGAACCACCGAGCTACATGCTTCAAGTCCTAAGGAGGCCAGACTCTTTTGCAACAATCCTGTCACTGTTCAAAATGTTTTTTGCACCTCCTTTTGGTATCATCTTTGAATCAGATTTTAAGACACAAACACAAAACCTGTACATTTAAAAGTATATTTTAAAGTACACCTCAGTTTTTAGTGGAGATTGACACAAAATTGGTTCTCCCCTATCTATGCTTACCCTGTTTACGAGCCCTGGCTATAAAAGTCTTTAGATGCTTTGCCCAAAACACACCTAGCTATCCTCAAAGGCCAAGGGCTCAGAAGCCTTGAGAGAGGTTCAATGATATGAACAAACCACAGGCTGGACAGTGAGTTCAAAAGCAGAGTTCCAGAAAAGGTTTTGAGAAAAAGCAGCATCAAGAGGATGAGGTTGTAATGATAACAGCAGCTACCATTTATTAAGCCCTGATCATATGTCAGGCACTGGGGCAAGGTGCCTTCCATTCCTCAATTCATCCAAGTGTCATCTGTGAAGCACATCATATTAGTCCCATAGGAGGACAGATATGGGGCTTTTCAAAATCACACTGCTCAGAAAAGCAGAGCAGAGATTGAAGTCCAGACCTGCCTGGCTCCAAAGCCCATACACAAGTTTTGACTCACTGCTATGATTCTTTCTTGGTCAGATGTCCTAATAAGTTGTGCCCTGAGAGCTGAGGGAATGACGCGGGATACTGAGATCACCTTAGCATATCTACCAGCACATGCCCTTCCTCGGCAAAGACTTCCATGGGCCAGGTAAGAAACCATAGTCCCAGTAAAAGAACAAGCACAACTAGCCTCACTCTGCCTAGGCAGTGTCCTGAACAGGAGAGAGAGAGAGGCAGGCCAGCCCTTGGTCAGCTGTGAAGTAAACCCCGTGCTCTGGTGCCTTCCCAGCTGGCTTCTCAGGGCTGCCTTCCACGCTGGATCATCAGTGCTCTCTTCTCCCTATCACCATCATTCCAAATACCAATTTCCTCTCAAGTGACTGGCAAGAAATCCTAGCTAAGGTGTTAGCTGACAACAGCTTACCATGTCACACTTCCTTGCGCTTGTATCCGAATAAGAGATTCTTAAAAACCAAAGCCTTCAAGATCCAAGAGAATAAATGAATCTCTAATGGTGGGTTGACAGACACTGTAACAGAGACAGACTGCCAGGGCAACGTTTTGGGACAGAAGCCTGCTTGACACAGCCCAAATTAAACCATAGAAGCAGCATCCCCATACTAAAAAACAACAGCTGACATTCATTAACCATTTATTGGCCATATTGTGCCAGTTTCAATGCCAGGTGCTTTATATATAATCATATTTAATCTACACTAAAACCTTAAGAGGGAGGTACCAACCCTGTTTTACAGATTAGGAAACAAAGCTCAGAAAGGGTCAAATTGCCAAAGTGGGAGGCAAAAGGGATCTTACGAAGGGCCTGTGCGCCTTCCACAAGGCTCCACTACTGTACCCGCCTCATTGTTTACCACCTTTTTCAAGGCCAGTAACACACAACCACAGCCCTTCAGCATCTACACGCCTCCTGAGATGTGGCATCCCGGGGAAGTACCACAGCAGGAGCCAGGAAGGAAAGCTGGCTCCAGATCATACTGTGATACACACAGCCGGCC
Organism: Homo sapiens; assembly: GCF_000001405.40. Classification (NCBI taxonomy): domain Eukaryota; kingdom Metazoa; phylum Chordata; class Mammalia; order Primates; family Hominidae; genus Homo; species Homo sapiens. The sequence goes on from NC_000005.10 coordinate 139,125,952, forward strand.
TTTCCTGGGTGGGCATTAACCTGCCCCAATGCCTTTGGGGAGGACAATTCTAGGTCATCAGGAGCACTTACCTGGACTCCAGGCTCTGAAGAAAGGATCATAACCACCTCCACCCCATTTTCACTGTTGTGAAGGTGGCTGGCTGCATAATTTAGATTTTAAATGACATCAGGGCAGCAATTTTTATGGTATGAGAGAAAAGATGCTTCAACTCCTACTTGTGCTTAGCACATGATGAAAGATTATGACAAATGGATACAGCTTAGGAACAGACATAAGGATAAAAGCAGCTTCTGTTGATGAAAGTCAGTATTAACATTTTTCTGAGACTAGACTCAATAGAGCTAATATAAATGGGCCAGAATAATTATGCTCTGAAAGCTCATCTATTTGGTTGGACTATTATCCAAAAGGGACTTCCTAACTCGGTCCTTAAGTAAATTCATCAGCATGCCTTTGTTAATTGTGCATCTGCTAAAGCTCACGATGGGGAGCATGGCATCCTCATGAGGTACAAGTTGGGGAGGGGACACAGCCCTGGGCCCTGAAGGTTCTTTTCTGGGCCATTCCACCGCCAACCCATGCCAGAGACAGCCCCAACCTCACGCTGTAGCCAGTCCCATTCTCAGGGGCCCCTGGGATCCCATTCTTACTGTCCTTGAAGAAGAGGCAAATAAACAGCACCAACAGGATCTCAGAGGGCATTAAAAACTCAAAAGGACTCGTGACTCCTAACTGTATGTTTTCCCCTGCTCCACGAAGTGGGGGGAAAGGCAGAGAGGAAACAAATGATTTCAGAGAGAAGGTGGAAGCTTGCCATGAGCCAGAGGTGAACCACAGCTAAGCTGGATTGTTATTAAATTCATCACAATTGTCATTTGCACTTCAAGGACCTCCCGCTCCAGAGCTTCCAGCGCTTTATCCAACATTTAGTGGGAGCCCTGGGGGTTGGGGAAGGTGGCCAGGGGAGGGTGAAACTGTCAAATAACTGACAGTGGGAGCTTATCAAGGGAGAGGAGAGGGAGGGCATTAGGAGCTGGTCAAGGGCAGGCTGTTGCTGGGACAAGCCAAGTAAACAGGGCCAGGAACCGTAGTGTGCTGCAGCCAGGCCAAGCTCAGGGCCTTTCTGGGCATTCTCCTCCTGCCAGTGGCAATGGCAGAAGCCCTGAGCAGTAAGCTCTAGGTTAATGAAGTGTGGCCCAGAAAGAACAGGGAGCTACAGACAAAAGGAAGGAGGATACAGAGATGGAGATGAACTGAGAAAGTACAAGGGAGAGAGGAGTAGAGGAAGAAAAAGAGTCTTACTTGGAACTGATGCCCACCACACAGGCACTCAGCTTTTGGGAAGAATCCTGACATTCACAGCTCTCACAAACTGGCTGTGTGATTTTGGCCAAGTTACTTAATGTCTCTGAGTCTTAGTCTTCTCCTCAAAAGGAGAATAAAAACTGTAGCTGCCTACTTCATAGTGTTGTTGGGAGGATTAAATGAGAATACATATAAAGCACTCACTACAAGGTTTGGTAAATGGAAGATTATAATTATGAATTTATCATCATCATCATATTTTCCCCAAAGGGAAACTGTGTCATAAGCTTTAAACAGAGGCCAGAAGACACAGGGATGGGGAGGAAGAAGTCTACCTACTCCATGATCCACTGCCAGCCACACTCACATAAGAAAGAAACATAGAAGCCCACACCCTACTCCCACAACAGCCCTGGTGACAGGGAGGCCTTCTCAAGACCTCATCAAGGGTCCCTCCCATTTACAATAAAGATATTTACCAGGTTCTGATGACTGAGGCAGAAGGTGAAGCAGGCGGCCATCAGCAGCCCAAGCAGCATGCCCAGAGGAGCCATCCTAGATGAAGGCAGGCTCTGGGGAGCCATAGTCAGGGACCTGCAGGTGCAAGCATAGACAACAGAAGGTCAATGAAAAGCTAATGCTTGGTTCCCCCGCACTGTGATTCCCATGTCGTCACTTGCTCACATGTCAGACATTTCCTGCATAGAGGTATAACGAGTCTTCTACCACTTCTAGATAATTCTGAAGCCTCCATCTACCATGGTGGGTCCAGCCATCCAACAAGAGATATGCCCTGGGTAGAACCATACAGTCGATCAGGACTCCTGCATAAGCTATTACAGCCCTAGTCCCTTCCTTCTTCATTAGAACTTGTTATCAGGTTGTGGCGGGTGGTCTTGACTATAAGGAGAGAGGGAAACTAACCAACTGATCTGCATGTGAACAAACATGGGCACAAATCCACATAAGCCTTTATAACCACCCACTTCTAAAACACACCCATTATCCTACCTGAAGACAGATGGCATCAATATCCTCTAAGACAGCAAAGTTCGATATTCCCAAGTCACAAAACCTCTCACATCAGCTTTCAAACAGTCAAACAAATAAAAGTACAAGCCCCAGTAGCTATTAAAAGGACAGGCAAAGGTGGGAGGATCACTTGAGGCCAGAAGTTCACGACCAGCCTGAACAACACAGTGAGACCCTGTCTCCACAAAAAATTAAAAAAACAAAAAAATTAGCTAGGCATGGTGGTGTGAGCCTGTAGTCCCAACTATGTGGAAGGCTGAGGCAGGAAGACCACTTAAGCCCCAGAGGATGAGGCTGTAGTGATCCATGACTGCACTACTACAGTCCAGCCTGGGTGACAGAATGAGACCCCATCCCTCCAAAAAAAAAAAAAAAATTAAAAGAATATAAGGATGGAAGGACATCCCATGTTCATGAATTAGAGACTTCATACTGTTAACAACAGTACTACCCAAAGCAACATACAGATTCAGAGCAATCTCTGTTAAAATCCCAATGGAGAAACTCATCCCTAAAACTCATATGACATTTCGGGGGACCCAGAATAGCCAAAACAATCTTAAAAATGAAGAAAGGGTCGGGTCTGGTGGCTCACACCTATAGTTCCAGCACTTTGCAAGGCCAATGGGTGGAGTGCCTGAGCTCAGGAGTTCAAGACCAGCCTGGTCAACATGGCACAACCCCATCTCTACCAAAAATACAAAAATTTGCTGGGTGTGGTGGCACATGCCTGTAGTCCCAGCTACCTAGGAGGCTGAGGTGGGAGGATCGCGTAAGCCTGGGAGGCAAAGGTTGCGGTGAGCTGAGATCGCACCACTGCACTACAACCTGGGCAACAGAGTGAGTACCCATCTAAGAAAGTAAAAGAAGAAAGTTAGAGGACTCACTCTTCCTGATTTCAAAACTTACTACAAAGCTACAGTAATCAAAGGGTGATACTGGCATAAGGATGGACAGACAGACCAATGGAATAAAATTGAGAGTCCAGAAATAATCTCATATATGGCCAATTTTTGACAATGGTACCAAGACCATTCAATGAGAAAGGACAGTCTCTTTAACAAATGGTACTGGGACAACTGGATATCCACAAGTGTAAGAGTGAAGTTGGGGCCAGGTGTGGTGGCTCACGCCTGTAATCCCAGCCAAGGCGGGCAGATCACAAGGTCAGGAGATCAAGATCATCCTGGCTAACACAGTGAAACCCCATCTCTACTAAAAACACAAAAAATTAGCTGAGCATGGTGGCGGGTGCCTGTAGTCCCAGCTACTCAGGAGACTGAAGCCGGAGTATGGCGTGCACCCAGGAGGCAGAGCTTGCAGTGAGCCGAGATCACGCCACTGCATTCCAGCCTGGGCAACAGAGCGAGACTCCGTCTCAAAAATAATAATAAGAGTACAGTTGGACCCTTACCTTATATCATTTATAAAAACTAACTAGAAATGAATCAAAGACCTACATTTAAGAGCTAAAAGCATAAAACTTAGAAGGAAACATAGATGTAATCTTAACGACCTTGGATTTAGCACTGGTTTCTTAAATATGACACCAAAAGCATAGGCAACAAAAGAAAAATAGATATATTGGACTTCATCAAAATTAAAAAGCTTTTGGGTCTCAAAGGATATTATCAAATAGTGAAAAGACAGAATGGGAGAAAATATTTGTAAATCACATCTCTGTTATGGGTATATTGTCCAGAATGTGTTGAGAATTCCTAAATCTCAACAATAAAAAGACAAGTATCCCAATTTAAAAATGGGCAAAGGCAGGAGTTCAAGAACAGCCTGAGCAACATGGCTAGACCTCTTCTCTAAAAAAACAAATTAAAAATTTTTTAAATTAGCCAGGTGTGGTGGTGTGCACCTACAGTCCCAGCTACTTAGGAGGCTCGGGTGAGAAGATCTCTTGAGCCCAGGAGTTTGAGACCTCAGTGAGCTATGATAATGCCACTGTGCTCCGGCCTGGGCAACAGAGTGAGATTCTGCCACTAAAAAAAATAAAAAAAATTAAAATGGGCAAAGGACTTGAATAAACATTTCTCCAAAGAAGATATACAAATGGCCAATAGGGACACGAAAAGGTTCTCAACATCATTAACCATGAGGGAAATGCAAATCAAAACCACAATGATACACCACTTCACACCCACAATGATGGCTGTAATTTTTTTTTTAAGTAAAATAACAAGTGTTGGTGAAGATGTGGATTAACTGGAACCCTCGTACATTGCTGGTGTAGATATAAAACAGTGCAGCCACTTGGGAATAGCTTGGTGGCTCCTCAGAAAGCTAAATATAGAATTAACATATGTCCCGGCAATTCCACTCCTAGGCATATCCCCCAAAGAATTGAAAACAGGGACTCAAACAGATATATGTACATCAATGTTCATTGCAGCATTATTCACGATACCCAAAAGGTGGAAACAATCCAAGTGCCATCAAAAGATGGATTTTCAAAATGTGGTATATACATACAATGGAATATTATTCAGCCATAAAAGGAATGAAATTCTGATACATGCTGCAACATGGAAGCTTGAAAACATTATCCCAAGTGAAATAAGTCAGACACAAAAGCTCAGATATTGTATGATTCTAATTATATGAAATATTTAGAACAGACAAATTCATTTAGATAGAAAGTAGAAAAGCAGTTACCGGGTTAAGGAAAAGGGGAAATGGAGAGTTACTCCTTAATAGGTAAAGAGTTTCTATTTGGAATAGTGAAAATATTCTAGTAAACTAGGATAGACGTCAAGAAAACTTAATCCAAATTAGCAAATGATCTAGGAAAGAAAAACAAAATAAAACAAGCAAAACAAACAAGAAAACCTTATGAAAATTCAGGATGTGTCAGTATTAGCCCAGACCCTTATAAGAGGTTTTAATATTTATCCCTCAGCCCCAGTATACCTCATTAGGCAGTTTACTCAATTGAGGCTTAAGTGAGTTAATTACAGGGCAGCACCTCTGAAGAATGCGGTGTTTACTTTTTCTCTATCCCACTCCTGCCACATTCCTCCCTGCTTCACCTTAACAAATTGGACCTGTGGCATGATTGCAGTGGGACCCAAAGCGTGCCTGAACCCACTCTCAGAAGTCATTACCCCTCTGCCCTGCCCACATCTTCTCAGGGGTCGGAAGAAACTTTCCCTAAGGACATCTGCAGCCATGAAGGAAAACAGCCCTGCTGGACCGCCACTGTGCAAAAAAGCACAGCCAAATGGAAAAGCAAAGGCTCGGGTACTAAAAATAGCTGCTACACTCACCCAGCAGCAAAAGCCTTAGCTTTCTGCCAGCTCCCCCCCTCTTTTTTTGCCGACAAAATGGAACGGCTGAGTGCCACGAGAGCTTCCCCCAGCAACCTGGCTCCCTGGGGCACCAATCACACTGAAAGACAGGGATTGAGTTCACAGCACCACACCAGGCTCTGGATAGGTGACTGGCCATCCCTGGGTGTGAGCAGGAGAGGGGCCAGGCTGGGTGAGGATGAACAAGGGCAAGGCGTCACCACAACAGGAGGGAGAAGGCTAGGGAGGCCTAGGGAGATGGTTCCTGAGAGGGCACAACCCTAGAGCTGCCTATACTGCTCTATACTTCTGTTAACGCTGCAGCCTTGGCTGTGGGGAGAAAAAGAATAAAGAATAGAAGTGGGGGACTCACAGCATTATCAGGACAACATACAACAAAACAAAGATTAACCCAAAGCCACAGATATCCCTCCCCTTCCATGAGATACTCATGTGTATACACACACACACACAGACACACACATACAGACACACAGTTATGAGCTTCCTTCTTACAGCTAGGGATCAACAACGAAACTGGTGCTGGGGAAAAAGAAGAGGAGGAAGAGCTAAATGAGAAGGAAATAGTCAAGGGCAAAGAAGACAAATGAGCAGAAGGGGGAGGCCCAGAAGGGACTGAGGAAGAAGAGGTCAGGGGCAGCTGATGCACACACAGCAGCTTCCCCCACTCCTTGGAGTGGGAAGAGGAGTGGAGGGTGAGAGAAATGGTAGCTCCCACAGGGCTCCCAGCCATCTCTGTCTCCTGCACACACGCTAACACTGTCAGAAACATTTTCTGCCAATACTAAGGATGAGAGGTGGATTCACAAGTGGATCCTTCATCTTCCCTCAATAATTCCACATGGACTGCACAGCTGACCCAGTTATTGCCTCTATATATTTTTCCACAAAACAGGGAGAGAGAATGAGAGAGAGAAAGAGAGGACAAGAACATGGAGCTGAGGTGGGCAGTGGGAGAGGGATGGGGAGATTGAGAGGACTGAGGAGAGACCTAGGTGAGGCTGGGAGAAAGGTGTGAGATAGTTTCTCAGGCTTCACAGGGGCATCCAGAGAGCAAGAGCAAGTACAAACTACAGCATGCAGGCACGGAAAACAGTGTTCTCCGTCCTTTTAAGGCCTGGCCTGCAGCCACGTCACCTGGTCTTGGTCCTTACTCAAGAAGTGGCAGGCATAGTTTGCCCTGGGCTTTATGCTAAAGCTGAGGGAGAAGGGAAAGGGGGAAAGGGAAGTGGCACACAGCTATGCTTTGCCAGGATGGCCCACCATCACAAGCAGGGACAGAGGCAGCAGCAGTGGCAAAAGCCAGCTGCGGTCCCTGGCATAAGTAAAGCCAAAGTCATGGCATCCCATTGAGGCACAGTTTGGCACACCTGGCCTGATGATAGTGCCATTCCCAAACCACTTGCCACCCATAAACTCTGGGTTCACCTGATCAATGGCCCCTGCATACCCTGCAAAAAAAAAAAAATCCTTCTCATCATCCTTGGCTTTCAATGGAGGACAGACCTACATCTTTACATTTATGGCCCTCTTCTGACATAAAATACCATCACTCTGTCCAGGAAAGGGGAAACTATTTCAGTGTCTCACCGGTAACTCTTTCCTTAAGTATCCTTGGGCTTTGGGACAGAAGAGACAATAAGGTACTTGAGATGCCCATTTTTCTATCAAAAGTGTCCATTTGTAGGCTGTACCTCTGCTTAAATAGAGGTTGGATGCACTCACCAATCTGTATTGCCAGCTTACTGCAGCCCAGAGCAGATGTTTGGGGAGCAGGTGGGAGGAGGCCACTCGGCCCCCACCTCTCTCAGTGCCTCATGTCTTCCACACAATTCAGACAAGACTGGGGGTGGGGATTGGGCCCTGTGTAAACAAGACGTCTCTTCTTAATGTCTTTTCTCCAGAATGGAAAACAAAAGAATGGGATGAGGATGGCAAGAAGCCAATAAAGGGAGAGGGAGCAGTATTGCTGGGTCTCTGGCAGCTTCTGACACACCTGGCAGGACCCATGGGCAGTAGCTGAGTTTCAGGACCAGAGCACAGAAAGAACTGGAAAAGGTTCTAAGTGTCCTGGACAAGCAAAGCCAACTCAGTAGCCTGCCATGGAGCCCTTGGAATTCCATCTTATAAAATGCTCATGTTATTAACCTACACTGTATGTTCATGTATTTGTTTTCCTGAATCTCCTGGGAAAAGTGAAAGGGCAAGAATTCCTACTTCCATTTTATAAGGAAGAAACTGAAGCAAAGAGACAAAAGAAACAAAAACACTGGGTAGTATAACACATGGACTTGAAGTCAGACAGACCTAAGGCCAATTCTTGGCTCTGCCACTTCCTAGCTATGTGATCTTGGACACAACTTCACTAGGCCTCAGTTTCTTCACCTATAAAATAGGTACATTAAGAATTTCTACTTCAAAGGTTGGTAGCGAGGATTAAATAAAGCAATGAATAGGAAGTACTGGGTACAGCACCTAGCATCTAATCATCACTCCATTTTTTTATTAGTTGTTTTGTTTGTTTTCTGAGACAGGGCCTCACTCTGTCACCCAGGCTGGAGTGCAATGACACAATCTCAGCTCACTGCAACCTCTGCTTCCCAAGCTCAAGCAATCCTCCCATCTCAGCCTCCTGAGTAGCTGGGACTACTACCGAGTAGCAGATATGGTGTGCCACCATACCTGGCTTTTTAAAATTTATTATTTTTGTAGAGATGGGGTTTCACCATGTTGCCCAGGCTGGTCTCGAACTCCTGGGCTCAACTGATCCACCCATGTCAGCCTCCCAAAGTGTTGGGATTACAGTCCTGAGCCTCGGTGCCCGGCCCACTCCATCATTGGAATGGAAATGATGACTGCTGCCCTGGACCCGCAGCCCATCAGAGCCAGGCCAGGCAACTACTCTCCAAAGCTCCTGCTCCCTGTTAGATCCACACACTGTCCAGCTGACCCATGCCTCAAATGAGGACCAAAGCCTTTTGTTGGGTAGCTACTCCCAGGAGGTAAAGGAAATAAATGTTAAAGGATGACCCTCCTGGCTGAAAATGGAGAAACCCGAGGCAGTTTTCTGCTGAGCCCCAAGGCAGACCCAGCCCACTCAGTGCTTTTCCTAGCATATTGGCATCCAGAGAGCCAAGCCACCAACATGCAGAACTGCCAGCTGCAGGAACAGCTGTAAGACAATCACCTGCTTTACAAACTGAAGGTTAGAGGATGAGCTCTTCCACAGACACACATTCATTACTATTTATGGGCTGCACAAACTCATATGCACACATACAGTCACTCACCTCTACACAAACAGAAGTGCACTACCTAATTTAAGCAGACAAATATGAAGCTGGAGAAACAACGCAAAGAGGACACTGAAAGGACGCCCCTGACAAGGGAGAACAACGTGCAAAGGCTTAAGAAAAGAAATGGAATTTTAAAGAATAATTTGAAGGACAAGAAAAACAAGTTTGTAATAGTCAGGCAAACAAGCTTTTCCCGCCTGAGACAATACTAAACAGAAAGTCAAGAGGCAGACAGCAATTAAATGGAAAGTCTTTGAACAGCAAAACAAATGTGGCTTCTAACTAGTCCAGCCCCCAGCTGGCAAGGTGGCTGGACTGGAACATCCCTGAGCCAGTGGCCATTTGTACAATGGGGATAATATCTCCCCTATGTTTTGAAGTCATGCCTAGGGCCAAGCAAAGAGGGACTGCTCTCAACAAACCCAAGGCACCCAAGAAAAAAGGTTATTAGAGGAGGCTGTTGGAGGGTAGAGGGTTCACAATGGATCCAAGCCTCTGCCTAACCAGAGAGCTACAAAGAGCTACAGAGAGCTACAAAATCCACCGTGCAGCCTGCAAGGGAGAACAGTGGCAGTACAGATGTTAGCCCTGCCAGAGGGCACAGGGAGCCAAGAAGGGCTCCACAGGCCCAGCTGGGAATAGGCACCTGGAAGGAAGACAACATGGGATGGGATGAAATGGGAAGGGCAGTGAGGAGCATTCCTAGCCCTTTCTCTGTACTCCCAGAGGTGGAACACGACCTACTCCATTCCCACTCCAGTAGAGAAGAATACAGATCTTCAAGAAGGGAGCTAAACAAACTAGCAAAAAAAAAAAAAAAAAACTGCAATCACAGCGACAAAAGTTAGTGCATCCAATGAAAAGAAATCACATGACACAATCGGGCATGGTGGCTCACACCTGTAATCCCAGTACTTTGGGAGGCCAAGGCAGGCAGATCACTTGAGGTCAGGAGCTCGAGACCAGCCTGGCCAACATGGCAAAACCCCATCTCTACTAAAAATACAAAAAAATTAGCCGGGTGTCATGGTGCACGCCTGTAATCCCAGCTACTCGGGAGGCTGAGACAGGAGAATCTCTTGAACCTAGGAAGCAGAGGTTGCAGTGAGCCGAGATCATGCCTCTGCACTCTAGCCTGGGTGACAGAGTGAGGCTCTGTCTCAAAATTAGAAAAAAAAGAAATCACATGACAAGCAGAGTGACTGAATAAAAAGCCTAGCCTGGCCCTCTCCAGATCTCTCCTACTTGGCCACAGCTTGCAAAGAATCTGAATGCTAGAAGTGAGCTTAAGGCTCAATCTTTATTTGGACTGCTAAAGACCCAGAAGACATGGCAGGCACTCAATACCTACATAGAGAACAATTGGAATTCAATGCCATTAGGCGTGGAACTTATCAATGGATCCAGGAAGGCTGTGGCAACCTCATACCTGTTGAAGACGAAGAGGTAGACAGGGCTAAGGCAGGGCAAGAGTTTCAGTGCTATCAACACAGAGGTGATCATCAAAGCAACAGGAGCAGAGCGACTATCTTTCTAGGGAGAAACCTTAGAGAGAAAAGGACAGCGGACCAAGCATAGTCTTCAACTCATGGCTGCACGTTAGGAAAAGGGAGCAAGCAAGGAAACCAGAGGAGCAGCCACATGATTAGTGCAGACCTACACAGGTCAAAAGAGTGGAGAATCCTGAGAAAATCCAGTTGTAGGCAACAATGTCAGGAGATCAGTCACTGGATTTGGCAATGAGGCAGTCAGAGGGCCCTTCAAAAGAGTGTCCACAGATGAAGACATAGAGGCACAAGGGTAGGCCACTCCAAAAGGCTCAATGGGTCCACTAAATTTTGAAGATTTGAGGCCACATTTCTAAATGTGATTTTTCAACATTTCACTAAAGTCTTAATGAGAAAAGAGAAAAAAAAATTCCTCCATGGGTGCAACAGAGGGATTCTTCAATACCATACATAAGTTCCTATGATTGATGAAGAGCTACCCCACAACACACATGACCTCAGGACAATGATGGGCATCAGTCACTCCAGCAGAAGGAGGGGGCAGGGAGGTAAAATTTCTAAGAAGAAACTCCCATCAGACACAATTCTACCTTCTCTGGGCTCTCAGCCATGCCTCAGACTGCCCGGAGGCTTTAGTCCTTCCACTTTGTGGAAATGTAATAATAACTCCGCCATGGCGGAGACAGAGAAATACCCTAGTGCCACCCCTTCCCCCAGCATTCAAATATACTATCTGGGCATCCCAGAGGAAAATTAATTCTGTCAAATAATAATTATAGTCAACATTTATAGAGAACTTTCCATGTTGCAAGCAAAGTATTAGTTCATTTACTCTTCACGACAACCCTCTGAGGTGGTTCCAATATGCTGCTCATTTTACCCATGAGGGGACCAAAATTCAGAGAGGTTAAGTAACGTGCCAGAGTTCATGCAGCCACAGAGCAGTAGAGTCAGAATTCAAAGCCAGTTTGGCCCCAAAGCCATGCTCTTTCCATAGCCGTGCTGTCTCTCGAGGGGTCTGTGAAATCAGCCACAGAAACTGGACTCATCATTTTATTTGTTCTGCAACAGTATAAATAAAAAGGCACATTTTGTGTCAGGACAGAAATTTTTTTTTTAATTTTATTATTATTATACTTTAAGTTTTAGGGTACATGTGCACAATGTGCAGGTTTGTTACATATGTATGCATGTGCAATGTTGGTGTGCTGCACCCATTAACTCGTCATTTAGCATTAGGTATATCTCCTAATGCTATCCCTCCCCCCTCCCCCAACCCCACAACAGTCCCCGGTGTGTGATGTTCCCCTTCCTGTGTCCATGTGTTCTCATTGTTCAATTCCCACCTCTGAATGGGTGCTGGGAAAACTGGCTAGCCATATGTAGAAAGGACAGAAATTTTTAAATGAGCCTACTGGGGCCCTCTTGTGGAAAGACCCACCTCTACCATGTTCTAGTTTCTGCACCACACACAAACACACACCACACACACGCGCACACACACACATACCACACACAGGCACCTTGATTACTAAATGCCCTTGGCACAGACCAGCCAAGGCATAGGCACAGGCATTCAGGAAGAAGAAATCCCTTGACTCAGATTGCAGCCAGGCTTCCTTTGTGACTTGATCCCTTAAACTCCTATCACTCAAGCTTCCTAGCTATACACGAAGCAAAAGCATCCCTGCTCCCCTTCATGGAGCCCAGTGCCAGGCACACACACACATATACACACACACACACACACAAACCACAACCACACACACCACGTATATACACACACCCAACTGTCTGGCAAGAACTTGACACCTCGCCCCTCCATGCAGAAAATACACAAGACAGAAGTATTTCTACATGGCAGACAAAGACGGAGTCTTCTTTGGTGAATGGGGCTTGCCTAAGCATACCAGCAGTTGACCAGATGAATCAGAGGAATACTCAGGTCCTAGTCTGTACTTTCCAGTAGGTCCTAGACTGTAAGCTCCTAGCAAGATACAGACAAGGGGACCTACTCCTTATACCTGATCCTTGACCCTGCCTGAGGTACCGGGAGTGATCAGCCCATGTCTGATAACAACCAAGGTTACAAGAAGCTCCATTCCCTTCCAACCCACTACAGTGTAATAGGAAGAATGCAGGCTCTGGATTTTGAGCCAAGTCTCCCCTACTAGCTGTGTGACTTTGGGCCAGATGCTTAACCTCTACAAGTTTCAACCCCTTCATCTATAAGAGGACTTGATAGTAACTATTTAGTATGACTGTCTATATTAAATGAGATGACATAGAGCATATAGCACAGTGCCTGACACAAAATGAGGGCTCATAAAGCTTATAGCTCTCACTACTATTATTAGAGAAAATTCTGAGCAAAGAATAGGATAAGCAAAAGCAGCGAGGGCTTCACCCCCATACAGAACTGTCTTCTGTTCTGACAACCAAGCCCCTCTTTGGAGACTAGCTTCCCTGAGCCACAAGTCAGCCCACACACCTGGACTATACTCTGGGTGGTTACAGACACATTTCCATTGAAACCTTTAAGCGATGCTGGCTGGCTCTGCATCAGTGCCAGCTGACTGACATCAAACACTTCAGAGTCCCGCTTCCTGATGACTCAGGCCTGTCTCCAAATTCCTGCTGCCACTCTCCTACCTCTAAGGGGGAGTCAGGGAGAGTAGGAACAGCCGGGGCAAATGCAGCTGACCTAGACTGCTGGGACCACTGTAGACAGATGCAGCTAGCATCCAGGGACTAAGGGTCCCAGGGCTTTTCTTCCCTCCCCTTTTAAAATAGTAACTGGATCTCCTGACAGTATGTGCGATGGGCTTTCTCTATAGCCTGCTCCCAAAGAACACCAGGGACTTTCACACCACAGTCATCCAGATACCACGGTCAGGGTTCGAGGGGAGGAGAGATCAGAATTCATCTTTCCTTTCCCCTGATGTCTCTAAGCTTCCAGAAAACATCAGGGCCTCTTAAAGGGGCTAAAATAGGGAAGAAGGTATGATTTCCAGTCCATAGTTCTAAAGGAACTATCTGCTAACTGGTAAGTACAATTTGTTTGCCATTTCTATTGCAAGCATTCAGCACTCACACTCTAAAAGCAAATACCACACAAAGATAATTTCAGCATTAATGTCAGTTCCTTGAGCACACTGGGCACCATACTATGGAACAGAATATACAAAAGATATTGTCACTTGCCTCAGGTGGATGATGTCCTGTTCACATTCAGTGGATAATGTGGCCTTCCACATCTTAGTCTCAGACAGCATAATTATTAAAAAGAAAAGGACAGGCGCAGTGGCTCACACCTGTAATCCTAGCATTTTGGGAGGCTGAGGCAGGTGGATCACATGAGGTCAGGAGTTCAAGACCAGCCTGGCCAACATGGTGAAACCTCATCTCTACTAAAAAATACAAAAACTAGTTGGGGCCGGGCATGGTGGCTTACACCTGTAATCCCAAAACTTTGGGAGGCTGAGGCAGGTGGATCACCCGAGGTCAGGAGTTCAAGACCAGCCTGGCCAACATGGTGAAACCTCATCTCTACTAAAAAATACAAAAATTAGTTGAGGCTGGGTGCAGTGGCTCATGCCTGTAATCCCAGAACTTTGGGAGGCCGAGGCAGGTGGATCACTTGAGGCAGAAGTTCAAGACTAGCCTGGCCAACACGGTGAAACCCCGTCTCTACTAAAAATACAAAAATTAGCCAGGTGTGGTGATGGGTGCCTGTAATCCCAGCTACTCGGGAGCCTGAGGCAAGAGAATTGCTTGAGCCTGGGAGGCGGAGGTTGCAGTGAGCCGAGATCGAGCCACTGCCCTCCAGCCTGGGCGACAGAGCAAGACTCTGTCTCAAAAAAAAAAAAAAGACACTAATTACAACTTTGTAATAATGAGCTAGGCAATAATTAGGGTACTCCTTAAACTAATTGGGGAGCCCCAAGAAAATAGCATTTACTTACAGAAACACTTAGCAACAATACGAGGATGGGTCACCAAGCACAGGACTTGCTACTACCATGTTGGTATCAACTATGTCTTCCAGGTAAGTCAGCAACTGCAACATTTTATTTTTAACATGCCTGAGAGCCCAAGACTATTTATAATACCAGATCCTTAAAAACTTGAAAGGGAGATGAATTTTAAAATGTACACATTTACATATGTGGGCAGAAACACAAAAATCAGATGCCTCTCAACACAGCTCAGGGAGCCATAACTCACGGCTTTCACAATCCCACCGAATGCCCAGAGAAAATCCGGGCACCTTCTACAAGGGATGGTAGGAAGCTGGGTAGGTAGCCAAGAAACAAAGAAACCTAAACTCAGTACTTGGCAGGACAATTAAGGAGCAGAGGATTTTAAATGCATTGTTTCTGACTCTAAATATGGCTACATTTATTACCAATTTGGGATCAGAAACCACATTTAGTTCTGTCATGACCACATGCTAAAAATATTAAGCAGAGTATTGCCTAGGAAACAGCAGTTCTCCCTGCTGCGGCAGCTCCACTTCAGAGCCATCTCTGCCATGGTCACAGGGTTTCCATCCTGTGCTTTGCTGAGAGCACAGTTACAAGCAGAACTGACACTGTCCTGCCAAGACGTCCCCCCGCATTTTAGAAGGCAGCAATAGGAACCAGAGCTAGGGACTGCACAAACTCCTCATCCTCTCCAGGGCTGTTTTAGGTGTCAGTGAAGCTCTATTTCATAGGCCTATAACTAGAATCCATCTGACTGGGAGCTCCACAGCGGGAGGGACAATTGTCTGTGTAACATACCACTGTCTCCTCATTGCCCAGCACTTTTCCTGGCACTCAAAAAATAGCCATTGATTTAATAAAATCAATAATCTAAAAAGAACCATTTGGAAGAGTACAATGGAAAATAACACTGCCATTAAAATAGGTAAAAATATGGACTGTGGTAATACATAAAAACAGGTGCTGGCCAGGCACAATGGTTCACACCTGTAATCCCAGCACTTTGGGAGGCCTAGGTAGGAGGATGACTTGAAGCTAGGAGTTCAAGATCAGCCTGGGCAGCAAAGTAAGACTCTGTCTCTACAAAAAAAAAAAAAAAATTTTTTTTTCATTAGCAGGGCATGGTGATGCAACTATGGTCTCAACTACTCAGGAGGCTGAGGTGGGAGGATGGCTTGAGCCCAGGAGTTCAGGGCTGCAGTGAGCTATGATCACACCACTGCACTCCAGGTTGGGCAATAGCGAGACCCCTATCTTTAAAAGCAGATGCATAAAAAATTGTTGAGTGGAAGTGAAAGCAGCAGAACCTAATGGCATACATATGTAAATTACTACTTTGGAAAGAAGTGTGTGTGGCCACCTCTATGATCACATGTGAACTTAGAATTATGGAAAACTGTGCTCAATGGAATCTTTCACCCTGAAATGTTAAATATCTGAGAAAACACTTTAAAATACATTATTTTCAGCACAGAACCTACTCCCTTATCAGCTGACTTGTTCTGATCTCCTGAATGGCTCAGAGGCCTTGTTCTTGTTCAGCAAACCCAAGATCAGACCATACACTCATCAGCCAAAGGAAACAGAGAACACATGGAAAAAGCCGCAGTCTTAAAGTCCAACTTAGCAACTTGACCCTGTAAGGGCAGTTTCCAGGCTGCATAATCAGAATGGCTGGCTGCCCAGACAGGCGGCCAAGATGGAAGTGTCAAAACAAAAAAGTATGGAAAAGTTCACCTGGCCCAACTTCAAAGCCAAAGCTCCAAAAAGGTAGGAGTTTAACAGGCACTTACTGGCCAGCAAGGTGCCTGTTAAGAAGGGTAGCAGTACACTAATCCTTCTCAAACTCTTCACAAAAACCAAAGAGAAGGGAAACACTTCCTAATTCATTCTATGAAGTCAGCATTACCCTGAAACCAAAGCAAGACAAAGACACTATAAGAAGACTCCAGACCAATATCTCTTATAATATACATGCAAAAAATCCTGAACAAAATACTAGCAAGCCAAAATTCAGCAGCATATTAAGAGAATTATACAACATGATCAAGTGGTGTTTTATCCCAGGAATACAAGAGTGGCTCAACATATGAAATGCAATCAATGTAATACACCACATTAATAGAATGAAGGAAAAAAACCACATGATCATTTCAATGGATACTGAAAAAGCAACTGACAAAATCCAATATCCTTTCATAATAAAAAATACCCAATAAACCCGGAATAGAAAAGAACATCCTCAACATAATAAAAGGCATATATGAAAAACCCACAGCTAGCATCATATTTAATGGTGAAAGACTGAAAGCTTTTCCCCAAAGACCAAGAACACGACAAAGATACCCACTTTCACCACCTCTTTTACTTATTTATTTATTTTTTTTTGAGATAGAG
The DNA here is from genome assembly GCF_000001405.40 of Homo sapiens. Taxonomy (NCBI): domain Eukaryota; kingdom Metazoa; phylum Chordata; class Mammalia; order Primates; family Hominidae; genus Homo; species Homo sapiens. Next base: position 139,142,796 of record NC_000005.10, read on the forward strand.
TCTCGCTCTGTTGCCCAGGCTGGAGTGCAGTGGCGCGATCTCGGTTCACTGCAAGCTCTGCCTTCCGGGTTCACGCCATTCTCCTGCATCAGCCTCCTGAGTAGCTGGGACTACAGGTGCCCGCCACCACGCCTGGCTAATTTTTTTTGTATTTTTAGTAGACAGGGTTTCACTGTGTTAGCCAGGATGGTCTCAATCTCCTGACCTCGTGATCCGCCCACCTTGGCCTTCCAAAGTGCTGGGATTACAAGCGTGAGCCACCGCGCCCGGCCACCCACTTTCACCACTTCTATTCAACATAATACTATAAGTTCTAGCCAGAGCAATTAGGCAAGAAAAGAATAAAAGGCATCCATATTGGAAAGGAAGATGTAAAACTATTCTATGTGCAGATGATATATACATATATATGTGTATATACACATATAAATGTATATACATATATGTATATATACATATATAAACACATATATACACACATATGTATATACACATGTGTATATACATATATACACACACACACACACACACACACACACACACACACACATATATATATATATATATATATGGTTTTTTGTTTTGTTTTGTTAAGATGGAGTTTCGCTCTTGTTGCCCAGGTTAGAGTAGCGGGGCGTAATCTAGGCTCACTGCAACCTCTGCCTCCTGGGTTCAAGCGATTCTCATGCCTCAGCCTCCCAAGTAGCTGGGATTACAGGCATGTACCACCACACATGGCTAAGTTTTTGTATTTTTAGTAGAGATGGGGTTTCACCTTGTTGGCCAGGCTGGTCTCGAACTCCTGACCTCAGGCAATCCGCCCACCTTAGCCTCCCAAAGCTCTGGGATTACGGGCATAAGCCACCACGCCCAGCCAATGATATGATCTTATGCATAGAAAACCTTCACAAATAAAACCTGTTAGAGCTAATAAATTCAGTAAAGTTGCAGGACATAAAACCAACACACAAAAATCAGTTGTATTTCTATATCCCAGAGATGAACGATCCAAAAAGGAAACTAAGAAAGCAATTCCATTTAAAACAGTATCAAAAAGAACACTTAGGAATAAATTTTGCCAATGAAGCAAAAGACTTTACACTGAAAACTACAAAACGCTGCTGAAGAAATAAAAGAAGATCTCCATTTCAATTTTTCTGTACAACACATAAATAAATAAAAAGTCATTTTAGGTTCATGATTCAAAGATATGATATTGCTAAAATGATAGTATTACCCAAAGCAATACGCAGATGCAACGCAATCCCTTTCAAAATTCCAGTGGATTTTTTGCAGAAATGGAAAAACCCATCCTAAAATTCACATGGAGTTTCAAGGGACCCTGAATATCCAAAACAATCTTGAAGCAGGAGAACAAAACTGCTGGGCACAGTGATTCATGCCTGTAATCCCAGCTACTTGGGAGGCTGAGGCAGGAGGATTGCTTGAGGCTAGGAACTCAAGGCTGCAGTGGGCTATGACAGTGCCATTGCACTTTAGTCTGAGTGACAGAGCAAGATCCCATCTCTTAAAAAAACAAAAACAAAAAACAGCAAAGTTGAGGGGAAAAAAAGAACAAAGCTGGAGAATTCCACAAGTCCAATTTCAAAACTTACCATAAGGCTAGAGTAATCAAAAGTGTGGTAATGATGTAAGGATAAACATATAGACCAATGGAATAGAATTGTGAGACCAGAATTAAACCCTCACATCTCTATAGTCAACTGATTTTTACAAAAGTGTTATTGAGTAAAAAGGGATTTTTAAAGGACGAAATTTAAAAGGCTAAAACTGGCAGGGTGCGGTGGCTCACACCTGTAATCCCAGCACTTTGGGAGGCTGAGGCAGGCAGATCACCTGATGTCAGGAGTTCGAAACCAGCCTGGCCAACATGGCAAAACCCCGTCTCTACTAAAAATACAAAAATTAGCCGGGCGTGGTGGCGGGCACCTTTAGTCCCAGCTACTCGGGAGGCTGAAGCACAAGAATCACTTGAACCCGGGAGGTGGAGGTTGCAGTGAGCTGAGACTGAGCCACTGCACTCCAGCATGGGCAACAAAGCAAGCCTCCCATCTAAAAAAAAAAAGTTAAAACTATACAGTTCTTAGAAGAAAACATGGGCAAAACCTTCATGACCTTGGATTCGGCAATGATTTCTTAAATATTACACTAAAATCACAGGTGGTAAAAGAAAAATAAATTGAACTTCATTAAAATATTTTTAAAATTTTTGTGCAAAGGACGCGATCAAGAGAATGAAAAGACAAGGGAATGAAACAAAATATTTGCAAATCACACATCTGATAAGGGTTTAATATCCAGAATACAGAAACAACTCCTACAACAGAAAGACAAACAACCTAATTTTAAAATGGGCAATAATCTTGAATAGACATCTCTCCATTGTACAAATGGCCTGGAGGCACATGAAAAGATGCTCAGTATCATTAGTCATCATTAGAGAAATGCCAATCAAAGCCACTTCACACCTACTAGGTATGGTTATAATTATTGAAGAAAAGGAAAATAACAAGTGTTGGTGAAGATGTGAAGAAACTGGAACCCTCATACATCACTGGTGGGAGTATAAAATGTTGCAGCTGCTATGGAAAAGTTTGGTGGTTCTTCAAAAAGCTAAACATAAAATTACCATATGACCCAGCAATTCTTTGCTTAAGTAGATACCCAAAAGATGTGAAAACAGTGACTCAAACAGATGCTTGCATGTGAATGTTCACAGCAGCATTATTCACTATATCCAAAAGATGAAAATGACTCAAACAGCCATCACAGATAAGTGGATTTTTATAAAATGTGGGTGTGGGTGTGGGGGCGTGTGTGTGTGTGTGTGTGTGTGTGTGTGTGTGTGTGTGTGTGTGTGTGTGTATTTCCAATGGAATATTATTCAGCCTCAAAAAGGAATGAAGTTCTGATACATGCTACAATATGAATGAAACCTTAAAACACTATTCTAAGTGAAATAAGCCAGACACATAAAGGACAAATATTGCTGGGTGTGGTGGCCCACTAAAGTGGGAGGATAGCTTGAGCCCAGGGGTTTGAGGCCAGCCTGGGCAACACAGAGAGACCTCTATCTCTTAAAAAATAAATAAAAAAAAAAATAAAGAGGCATCATAATGACAAATTTTATGCTTTGTGTGTGTGTATATATAAGTATGTGAGTGTGTGTGTGTATGTATATGTATATGAGATTGTGTTGTGTGTTTTGGTAGAGATGGGGTCTCACTATATTGCCCAGGGCAGTCTCAAACTTCTGGGGTCAAGTGATTGCCCCACCTTGGCCTCCCAAAGTGCTGCGATTACAGCCATGAGCTGCTGTGCCCAGCCTTCTGCTGTATATATTTTATCATACTAAAAAATTAAAAAACAATGTAAGATTGCCCATGAGTTAGAAATTGTTAAAACCGGACATTGGGTACATGAATACATTATATTGCTCTCTTCTAAAAATTTAAGAAGGCCAGGAATGGTGGCTCACACCTATAATCCCAACACTTTAGGAGGCCAAGGTGAGACAATCACTTGAGCCCAGGAGTTCAAGATCAGCCTGGGCAACAAAGTGAGACCCTGTCTCTACAAAAAATTTAAAAACTCAGCCAGGCATGGAAGCACATGCCTGTGGTCCCAGGTATTCAGGAGGCTGAGGTGGGAGAATCATTTGAGCCCTGGAGGTGGAGGCTGCAGTTAGTCATGATGGCACCACTGTACTCTAGCCTGGGTGACAGGGTGAGACTCTGTTTCAAAAAATGTTTAATAAAATAAAAATAATAAAAATAAACTTAAGAAAGAAAAAAATATCTTTTCTGTAGTTTTTTGGTAGATATTCTTTGTCAAGGTAAAGAAATCCCCTTCTTTGCCTAAACTGCTAAGAGGTTTTATCATGAATGTGTGTTAAATTTTATCAAGTGTGTTTTCTACCTCTAAGATGATCATATAGTTTTACCTTTAACCTATTAATGTGGCTAATTTTATGTATAGATTTTCTAATATGAAACCACCCGTGAATTCTTGGGTAAGCTCAATTTGGTCAGATAATCACTTTTATTTTCTGTTGGATTTTATTTGCCATATTTTGTTGATTCTCCATGTACTCCCATAATTCTCTGTGCAACTATCATAAGATCCACAAAACTGTACTGTAAATATGAATTGCCTGAGTACATGGGACTCCTTCCTCATCCACTGTTTAATCTCTAGTTAGATCTAACACACAGCAAGCACTCAGTAAAGGTATAGCTGATGAACAAATAGGTGAATAAATGGGTGAGTGGACAGACGAACAGATAAGCAAATAAACACCTTAATCCAGAAGAGTGTCACTTGCCCTGGCAGGAGTATAGAGCAGCTCTTTTCAGGCAAGGGGTTTCCCTTGCCTTTTCAGCTCTTTTCAGCTCTTTTCCCAAGGGGTTTCCAACCACTCCAAAGAGGTATCTAATCTGTCTGTGGACAACTCAGTTTGTCTGCAGATCTGTAAGCTGAACCCTACCCTGAGACACTCATCTCACCACTTACCCTCATCAGCAACACTCTACAGATCAGTGCCTGCCTTCACCAACAGGATACAGCCCTGGTATCACAGCACACCACACAGCTTAGATCCTATGCTGGGGTTGAGGGGAAATGTGGCTTCAAACTCAGTGTTCCTCTCAATTTCAGAGTTTATTCCCAACAATCAAAATGGCCTCATCCCAACCCTGATTGGCATAGCAAGAGCCCATCCCATTAACAATTCACTGCCTCAGCACTCCAGAGGAGGAGAGCAATCAGCAAGAGAAACAGCTGAATTATTTCAGCAGCTGTAAATTATGTGTTCTCTCTTCCCCTCCTCCAAGTCCATGTTCAACTGTGCCCCACACCTCCACACTGAACTTGGGTCTGTCAAGTATCTATGTCAACTGCAGTAACCAAACTTAAGTTCAAGAAGCAATATTAAAAAGCACTAATTAGCTGATATTTAAATAACTGTGTTTAATGTCAACAAAATCACACTTTAAATATCCCCTAGTCTATTAGTTGCTTAATTAAATTCCTTAAGATCCTTGGACACTGGCACAGAGCACGCTGCCCTGGGGAGCCGTTCCCAGGCCCTGGCTTTGGCAGGATGTGGAAGGGGAGGAGCCCATATCCCTGGGGAAGTGCCAGGAGAGCCCTGGTTTTCTTCTAGAGTCTCCTAATGAGGTGGCTTCTCTTCACAGCTCTGCTGGTCTCCACAGGGCAGCAAGAACATGACAAATAAATACATTCTGAGCATGGAGAAGTGCCAAACCAGACTACAATTTATTTTTTAAAGTGCATTAAAAAAAAAAAAAGCACACATAAACCCAAGAGAGTTACTTTTCCCATCTGGTATCTGTTCTCTTTAAGAGTGGTATATCACAAAACATTCAGGCATGTGTACAGGGGGTACACAATAGGATTTGTGACAGCAGGTAGGGTCAGGGGGCCCTGCAAGATGCCACCAACCAAATCCCAGCCTGCCAAGAGTCATCAGCCTGCAACTGACAGGGGTACAGCTCAGCCAACAGCAGTGTCCTAGGCTGGAACTTGCAAAGGGACTCTGGGTTCCAGTGGGTGAGCTTGTGATAGGGATACCAGTGGGACCCCAGGAAGTCTCTCCTGCCACAGTAGGCTCCATGGGGATGGCTTGCCAGCCAGCCTTCTCACCAAACCAGATTTGCTGTAAGGGGATGACATGCCAGCTACCTGCCCAGGTAAACATATCCTGGAAACAGTCTGTCTCACTAACTGCCTCCAGGCAGAGCACATTCAGCCAAGGATCAGTAAGCATTAGGAGTCTACATTTTGGGCAGCAGACGCTCTGAACCCAATCCCACCGGGTCATGAATAAGAAAACATCATTTTAAGAGCAACAAGGGTGTGAGAGAGGCCAAGTGGCCGTCCTTTGCCTCACTCTTACAACAAGGGCCCCAGTTCTTTCTAGTTTCCTTACAGAACTACCAACTCACCTCTCAGTAAGTCTTACTTTTTTGTCTCTATCACTCAGCCCCTTCCTACACCTTCTATTTTGCCTAAAGGGCTTGCCCTCCTGCAAAGTAGGAGGCAATTCTTTCCAATTATTCCATCCTGAGTCTCACTGCTCAGGGATCCCTCTTATGGCAGCTCTCCTTAAAACAGCCACTGCAGCCCCTGGTAATGCCAGCGGAAAACACTGGGTAGAAGAAGCTTGGTTAATATCACAGACTCTCACCCTGAAATGCAACCACTCCCGTTAACAACTAGGCACAAACCCTGGCTTCGGAGAAGCCAGGTGCTTGGGTTGTAGCTCACAAAAATGTGAAGAGCACCCAGGAAAAAAAAAAAGAAACTGTGCTGCCCAGGCACATTGTTCACTTACTACCTGTGGTTACACACCCACGCCAAAGCCATTTCAACCCCAGGTGAGCAGTTAACAGTCACGCCAATCTGGAAAAATATATTTTTGCAAAAACATTTTTCATTCTCCCATACAGGACAGCTACCAAAAGAGCAAATATTTGTGCTCTACGAAAAGATGAATAAACCCATACTGCCTACTAGGGACCATACAACAAGTTGCCACCCCAAACACATCCAAACAGAAGATTATTCATCCTTCCACACATATTTGTTTGAGACCTGCTGCAATCCAGACATGTGCCAGGTGCTGCAGATACAAATAGGGGTCCTGTCCTCCAGGAGCTTCCACACAGGCAATGGAGATAGATTGGCAATACACACTCTTAAGGAGAACAGATACCAGATGGGAAAATCGGCAATTACAGCAAACACTGAGTTGAAAAGAGCCCTGACAGAGATGACTCTGAGGCAGAAGACAACAGACGTCTCATTCAGGAGATGGGGTCAGGGAGGACTTCCTAGAAGAGGTGAGCTTTGATGATTAAAAGAGGAAAAGGAATTACAGAAACAAAGACAATAAGAAAGGCATCCTAGGCAGGACAAGAGTGGTTTTTTAAAGGCCTGGAGGCATGAAACTAGGAACATGCATTAATTTCAACAATATATGCTGGAGCAAAGGGCTTATGGAGAGTAGCATGATGATATACAAGACCTCCTTGCCAGACAGGTTAGATAGAGTTCAAACACATAGCTCACTGCACTGTCTTAGCAAATCTCTCCTTTTTAGAACTTCCCCATGGTGAATGAGAGATAAGAGAAGGGAGAAGGAAGCCTGCTATAAGCCTGCAACTTGCATAACACAGTCACCACAGTTTGTGACCTCTGATTATGAATTCATTCCTGGCAGCTCAGTGGTTTGTTAGCTCTTGCAAACTCTCAACTTCTACTTCACTTAATAGAAGGAGCCAGTAAACAGAATTTGATTTGGACTGTATTATCTACCCATAGTGGCCTAAACCCCAGCGGATAACTTCAACAGAAAAGCAGCCTGAGATTTTAGGTAGTCTTCCTGCCATCTCTTCTGGGTGATATGCCTGCTGTACTCTCCTCTTGTATGTTCCACACTTAAGAAGTCCAAAGCTCAGCTCCTGCTCTTCCCTCCACACGTCTCATCCTCCTCCAGGACTGCCTAGTTCTACTGCACACGCTGGAAACCCAAGAGCTCTCAATCCCTCCTCTCCCTTCCCTGTCTTCTATCCCCTACTCAGCCATCATCAACTATTGTCAATTTTATCTACTAAATATGTCCCTCCCCCTATGCTCCTGTTCTCATGCCCAAATTATTATAGCCACTCCCCACTTCTCAGGTAGGAGCAACCGTCGCAAGCTGTCAATCAAGCCAGACCCAAGCAGAGCAGCAAAATGAGGAAGCCAAAGGCACATGGCTTTGACGAATCTCTCATTTGCTCAACTCAGGGTTTCTGGAATACCCAATATCCAGTCTCCTGAACCCCTCCTAAAGGCTCTCAATAAAAGCCACTTTCTTCTTCGGTTGAAGAGAGGCACTCAGGGAGCCTATTCAATAGCAGTAACAAGCTAGAACGTGGGCTGCGGGGAAGGTCTGGTGCTGGCGTGAGTCCTCCGGAAATGTCAACACTTTGGGAGCCTAGCCCAAAGCCAAGCCTTCAATTATGGGAATTATATCCCAGGCAAGGCAAGCTTGGCTCCCCACAGCCCCACCACTCACAGTGCACGGAGACATACCTACACAGCCCCTGAGTTGAAGAGGCTTCATCCCTACTCCCTCTGCCACCCTCCCTTGGCATAAGGAAAACCATTTGGTGAAAGCAGGTAGAAGGCAGCAATTTTCAGGAGGAGGATGCTGGTATTGATAATACCTTGAACATTTTCCAAAATAAAGGACAAAATAGGTATTGAAGAAGAAGGAGAGATCTGACTATGCCTCCCAGCCTCAACTCAATGGAAACCTTCCCTTTACCCCATTCCCAACCATTGGCCCCCACACCAGCCTAGAAAGAAAAAATATATGTTGAATGAATGAAGAAATGAACAAATAGACTGAGGACAGAGGAAGGGGGCAACAGGAGAAAAAGAAGACCCTGCTCAAAACTCTCCTTTTCATTCATTCAGATATCTCCAAGCACCTACCGTGTACTAGTGCAAGGTGCTGGGAACACACAGGCATGCATCAACTGTGAAAGAGAAGAACGACTGGGGAGAAAAACACACTATCTGTCTGGAATGCTGTCTTTCCAAATGCTACTTTAACAACACCTCCTGTTTTTCTGACATTAAAGCCATGCCAAACAGCATACATGCAAACAAAAACTTCACATTTTATTGTATCCAGTACTGTGGGGCCTTGTGGTTTCTTTTCTAAGGAAAAACTCATCATTCATCTCCTTGATTAAAAATTTATCTAATTTGGCTTTCATTAGGTAGGTACAAGGGGAAAACACAGATTCACAGGGAGAACTTGCCCAGCAACAGGACTGTGATGAGCTCCCGCAACTGCACAGTTGGGTCCCAACCCACCACCAAGGAAAGAAAATTAAAAAGCTCACAATGTGGAGTATAAGCTCTAGCCAAAAGGAATTATCTTCCCACAAGCATTTCTGTCGGATATTTGGTTAATGGAAAAAAAAACTTTCAAAAGAGAAGGAAAGGAAACCCCAAGGATATTTAACATGTAACTTAGAATTTCTATATTTTTCAAATTCCCTTGCAGGGAGAAAAGGCAAAGAAGTCTTTATTTCTCAATCCTACTTTCCAAAACTTTTCCAATTGATACAACATTGTCATAAAAAATTTCAATTTGTAGAGAGCATGGAGCAGAAGAAGGTGCAGTGGCTGAGGAATTTTAAGCTGCTGCAAAGAGGCTCTGAGGTGAGAGCAGGCAGAGCTGCAGCAGAGGTGGGAGCAGCAGCCCTGAACACCGCAGGCTCGGCAATGGTGCCTTGGGCCGTGCGTCTAAGATCAAACACCAGGGACTCAGGCCTGCGGCAGGCCACGCTCTCCACACAATTCTTCAGGTTCCTATGCTCAGACAGTGATTTGGAGTAAATGGTCAGGCTTTAATGCAACGTCAAAGTATCCTGGGGTAAAAGATCAGCAAATTACAAGTATACATCTTGATTAAATGTTTATTTAGAATGTAGAGGGATTGGCCAGGCACAGTGGCTCACACCTGTAATCCCAGCACTTTAGGAGGCCGAGGCAGGTGGACTGCCTGAGGTCAGGAGTTCGAGACCAGCCTGGCCAACATGGTGAAACCCCACCTCTACTAAAAATACAAAAATTAGCCGGGCATGGTGGAGGGTGCCTGTAATCCCAGCTACTCGGCAGGCTGAGGCAGGAGAATCCCTTGAACCCAGGAGGCAGAGGTTGCAGTGAGCCGAGATCATGCCACTACACTCCAGCCTGGGTGATAGAGTGAGACAACATCTTGGGAAAAAAAAAAAGAAAAGAAAAAAAAAAAGAATGTAGAGGGATTACTCTATAGCCAGACCATGAATCTGACCCTATCCTTCCCTGCTTGAAACCATTCAATGGTTTTCCAGGACCCTCAGAATAAAGGCCAAATTCCATACTCGCAACCTGCCACCATCCAGCCCTGATCAACATCAGCAGCTTCATCTCTTTCCTCTCCCTGCCTATTGAGATGGAGTTTTGCTCTTGTTGCCCAGGCTAGAGTGAGTGCAATGGCGCGATCTCAGCTCACCGCAACCTCTGCATCCCAGGTTCAAGGGATTCTCCTGCCTCGGCTTCCCAAGTAGCTGGGATTACAGGCATATGCCACCACGCCCGGCTAATTTTGTATTTTTAGTAGAGACGGGGTTTCTCCATGTTGGTCAGGCTGGTCTTGAACTCCTGACCTTAGGTGATCCGCCCCCCTTGGCCTCCCAAAGTGCTGGGATTACAGGCGTGAGCCACCGCACCTGGCCTAGAGTTGGTCTTATACAACATTTCTTACAATGCTGAAGACATCTCGTCTCCCACCTCCAGGCTTTTGCACATGTCATTCCCTCTGCTTGGAATGCCATTTCCCCTCCTCTTTATCTGACAAATTCCTACTCATCCTAAAGGCTACAGCTTAAAAGACACTTCCGCTTTGAGGCCTTCCCCAACCCTCCCCACTACAGCAAATTCAGTGCTGCCAGAGCACCTGTACTTCTCTGATCATAGCATTATTATACTTTCTTATATAGTTGTCCTTCTCCCCTTCCAGACCTTAACCATTGCAAGGACAGAGACCATGTTCATTCTGCCTAACTAGCTCAAGACTTGAGACAAAAGAGATGTTTAATAAATTACTGAGATGATTTAGAGTCTCTGTTAGACTCACTTCTCAGTTCTATCCTGGTTCACCCCCTAAGCCAGTTACACGCTTGCCACCACAACACCCACTTGCCTCCACAGACCCCTCACATTTCTGTCCTTAGTGGATGGCTCACTGAGGCCTTGACCTTAAGCACGTTCATCAGCTATCTGTTGCAGCATTTGCTATCTGATGGACACAGTGTTAAGTAACTGAGATACAAAGGTGACTATGCTCCCCCTCCTGCCTTCTAAGAGAAAAAAAGGGGCATATAAACAAATAATCACCACATAGTATGATAAGTGTCATAACGGTGAGGTATCGGAATGTAGGTGTTGTTAAACCATTTTTCCCAGTGCTCCTCTTTCCACAGTACCCCAAGCTAACTACACACTGTCCTTCCTCATTCTTACAGACAGAAATCCTTCCAGTGCTCTTTCCCCGAGTGTCCAGCCCAGACCCAACTTCTTCAAGCTGGGCTCCCATTCTGTTCCAGGTTAATTGAAATTCTTTCTGGCTTCTGCTTTCTCGCCTTCTTCAGTTCTTTTCTCAGGCATCTCACATACATCCCTGCCTCTTTTCTTATCCTGAGCCAACTTGTCCAAACTAGTATTTCTCCATCTCCTCTCTCAACTGTCTTGGATGATAACTTGGCATTTATAAGACATCTGCATTTACACAAAATGTAAATAACAGTCTCTGTCTATAATGAAGAAGGGACTGAGCCAAAATATCAGGTAAAAAAAAAGGCAAAATAAACCTTCATCAACAAAGTTTTCTCCCTCTACTGCTTCCTCTTACAGATCCAAGTGCTAGGGCATCATGGCCCTCAGAAGATGTTCCCAATTCTGTTACATTTCCAGGGACATTACAGTGCCCTTTACTCACTAATGCCCAGGCAGTGACCCTCTGGCCTGCCCTTTCAGTCTCTCTGAATGCTAAGGCCACTCTATCCAGCCATGTGCTCATTTAATCAACATGTGCTGAGCACCCCTGTGAGCCAAGAGCCATGTCTTCCACAATGCTGTGCACGCTCTGTACATAACACATGCTTGATTAATGTCTGTGATTGAATCACTGATAAGAAGGAAACCAGGTGAGCCTCTCCTGCCCCTTGCCCAGGAATACCCCGGTGTAAAAAATATTTTGCAATATAGCTGAGGTCAGAACCCCCACCCCGAAAGCCTCTTATTCATCTAAGCCTAGACCAGGGAGACCTTTACTCCAGCTAAGGAGATGCTGACACAGCCCTCACATCACCAAGCCAAGTGAGCCAGAGAAACTAGTGTTGTAAAACACCTTTTTAATCAAGTGACTTGTCTCCTGTTAGTGTAGATTTAGGGGAAATTTTTCTCAAGGAACCAGAAATAAATGGAGAGGAAGAAAAGAACAGAAACTAATGAACATAGTAATTATCCCCCAAAGTTGCAAATCAGAACAATTCTTCACCTGAAGACAAGTATGAAAAACAAGATTGAAATGCTTCAGGGATGTGTTTGTGAAACAGCAGGTAAAAGAACAGATAAAATGTATTTACAGTACCTCACTGGGGATACGTACCTTTTGGCTGATAGCTAACAGATACTAAATACCGCTGTAAAAATAATATTATTCTATCCTTCATTATGGAGTTATAGTTATCCACAGGAAAGCAGGAACATAAACTATTTTGAATGCTAATTAGGAATAATTTCAGAGTTCAAGTTTATTCTGAGATTTCTGGGCACAAGTGGGTATGAGCTGGGTTAGGCCCACTGTATTAGCCTGCTCAGGCTGCTCTAACAAAATACCACAGACTGATGGCTTCAACAACGGAAAATTTTCTCACAATTCTGAAGGCCAGAAGTCCAAGATCAAGGTTCCAGCTGAAGACTCTCATCTTAGCTTGCAGATGGCTGCCCTCTTGCCATGTCTTCACATGGCCTTTCCTCAGTATACACACACACGTACACAGAGTGAGAGAGAGAGAGAGAGAGAGAGAGAGAGAACGAGCTCTCGAGCTCTCTTTAATCTCTTCTTATGGAGACACTAATCCTGTGGGATCACGGCCCAAACCTGATGACTTCATTTAGCCTCACGTACTTCTTTACACCAAATACAGCCACACTTGGGATTAGGACTTCAACATATGAATTTTGGGAGACACAAGCATTCAGTCATTAATACCCCCTAAAGGGAGAGACCTGTTCCCCCAAAGACCAGCCCAAGCACTGATAAAAGAAAACAGAAGACTGGGTAAGAGGGTGGCCTTGGGGATATCTGCAGACCATAGCAGGTGACAGCCAAGGACCCCAGGGCACAGGAGGCCAAGGCAGGCATGAGGGGGAACTGTCCCAGGTCAAATAAACTCTTTTTTTTTTTAAGACAGTCTTGCTCTGTTGCCCAGGCTGGAGTGCAGTGGCGTGATCTGGGCTCACTGCAACCTCTGCCTCCCAGGTTCAAGCGATTTTCCCACCTCAGCCTCCCAAATAGCTGGGATTACAGGAACACACCACCATGCCCGGCTAACTTTTGTATTTTCAGTAGAGACGGGGTTTCTCCATGTTGGCCAGGCTGGTCTTGAACTACTGCCAGGTCAAACTCTTAAGGAACTATCCTCTCCCTTTCACAGAAGATGACTAAATAATAGTAATATAAAATATATGTTTACGTAATAATAATGCTTTCTGGATACCAGGCATCAACTACATACCTGGCCCATTTCCAAGTGCTTAGCAGGCAAGATTTCATTTAAATCTCATGGCAATTTAGTACAGAATATTTGATAATCATTTTTATTTTACAGATAAGAAAATAAGTTCACACTGATGAAAGTCACTTGCCCAAGGTAACCCAGTATGGTAGGCAGAAAAATAACATCCCAAAGATATCAGGTCCTAATCCCTAGAACCTATAAATGTTACCTTATTAAAAAAAAAAGAAGCCAGGTGTGATCACTCACACCTGTAATCCCAGCTACTTGGAAGGCTGGGGCAGAAGGATCCCTTGAGCCCAGGAGTTGAGTCTGGCTGAGGGAGGGAATAAGAAAAAAAAAGGATCTTTGCAGATGTTTTTACATTAAGGAACTTAAAATGATTATCCTGGATTATCAGCATAGGCCCTAAATCACAAGAAGCTGAGGGAGATTTGACAGAGACACAGAAAAGAAGGTGATTGAGATTTGTAGACATTGGCCTTGAAGACAGGAGTAATGTGTCCACAAGCCAAGGAATGCTGTTAGCCACCAGAAGCTAGAAGCAGCAAGGAAGAACAGATTTTGCCCTACAAGGTATAGAGGGAGCACAGCCCTGCCAATACCTTAACTTCAGCCCAGTGACACTGATTTCAGACTTCTGGCCTCCAAAACCATGAAAGGATAAATCTCTTGTTTTAAGCCACCAAGTTTGTGTTCATCTGTTACAGCAGCCACGTGAAACTAACACACCCAGCTAGCCAGACTCTAACCTGGGTCCTATGACTCCAGGCCAGCACTCTTGAGCCCTGTGCCTTGCTCCTTTTCTATACACAGCCTCCCCAAGCCAGACTTGTCCACTATCTGATGGGTGACCCTGCCAAGAATTGAAGCAATCAGCACTGACAGCTCCTCTGCTGCAAAGCCTTCTCATGAGCCTCTCCTTTCTCCCACCAACATCACTGCAAAAGCTTATCAGAGACTGAATTATCTTCTTGATGTTCTAATTATCAGGTGTGGAGAGAAATAGTCCAGAATCTATCATCCACAAGAGGAAGTAAATCAAACTGTCTAACAAAGGTTTTCATCTAATTTTTTGTTTGTACTTGTTTTTCCAATCACTGAGAAGCTCCTAACCTTTGTTGGTCTGCTCCATCCTGCCCACAATTTCTCCTTTCCCACAGAGACATGTTTGGAAGGTATCAGACCACGAGTAATTCAGTTTCCTCTCTGCCCCCTGAGAAGGACTGCTATTCACCACTTTGACTTCCCAGGAACACCAAGAGAAGGAGTGAGCCACCTGAGTCCTTCTCTGGAAGTTTTCAGGATGAGTGTTGGTGTGAGCAGGCTGGCCCAGAGGTACCTCAAGTTAACCAATTCTGGAATTAACAAGCAAGCTAATAAACACATTGTCAGGACAAAGGTAAAGCAACCCAAAATGCACTTTTTGAACCTATTCTGACAAGTGTGCTTCAGCTTTATCTGTTTATGACACTTCAAAATGCAGGTGGAGAAACACAGCAGTATGTTTTGTAAAAATAATGATGTCTTGGTAACAGAGGACACTGTGGCTGCTGTGGCTATGAAATCTTTGCAGAGGAGCCAGTAGAACCAGTTTGGGGTTCCTGGGAGAAAAATCAGTTTGGTGGAATAGCAAAGGGGAAGACTTGGAATTTACTAATGTAGTACAATAATAGTTAATTCATTAAAGTACCCAGAGTTCTACTTTTCTTTTTGCTAGATGCTTTTCCTCTCCCTCAACCCCATGTCTTCCTTCAATCCTTCAAGGTTATTCTAGCAACTCTCTACCTTCTTTTGTCAAGAAGGTTCAATCTGATTTTTCGTCAGTATCCCAAAACAATTATAGCTAACATTTAGAGAGTTGCAAAACTGGGTTCACAACAATCCTTCGTCATAGGAACCATCATTATTCCCCTATTACTGATGAGGCAGCTGAGATCAAAGAGGTTAGGCCACCTTCCCAAAGTCAGAGAGCTAATCAATGGCAGAGCCAGAATTAGAAAGCAGGTCTGACTCCAAAGCCCAAGATCTTAACTACAATATCAAACTGCCTGCCTCCAAATGACACCAAATGAATGGGGGAAAGTTAATAGTGTAAGCTAGAGAAGAACTAAAAGAGACAAATTACACATCTTTGGGTGAGCCTCTGAAGTGCTCAGAAAGACTCACAAAAATGTTCTTAGAATTCTGTCTAGAAAATTTCTTCCATTCCTGCATCCTCAGAGAGAATCATCTTGAAAATGCAGTTAGTCCCTAAGAATCCTTGTGGGAGGCAAATGAATCTAGAAATGACAGCAAGCTTACCCCTTCCCCAGATGAACCAAACCCCTCGGATTTAGCAGTACCTGAAGGGAGCCCACCCCTGCTCCCTCCACCTGCCTGATCTCAGCAGGCTGTCACCAGCAAGATCCTCATTCATCGCACCATGAGGGAAATAATGGAGAGTCCCCAAGTGTGGGGGAGAAAACCAAAAAGTAATGTAAAAAGATAAGGAGTAAGAAGAGAACAAAGCCTTTCAGTTAATGGCAGATGAGAAAAAAAGGTAAAATAATTTTTTAAAAAAAGAAAAGAACAAAGCTCAAGCTCCTATTTATTATGTATCCGCAGGTTCTAATTTTTTAAGCTTCTTAAGATATTCTGGCTCCAAATTAGCTTTCTTTGCTTAGTCCTAGTTATTGCTTTAGCTCTCTTCAAATGGGCCCCTAAAGATGTTGAAAAAATGTAACTGAAAGGTCAACTGGTTCCATGGGAACTGCAGGGAGACTCTCTGACATCTTGCTCTGAAATGCTATTTTGTAACTTTATAGGATAATACCCTAGAACTAATCATGGTAAAGAATTTCCCATTCCCCCTGGCAACAGGGCTAATGGAGGCTACAGGGGACAAGGGGAAAGAAAGATGGTACTAAAAGAGAGAGAGGGAAAAAAAAAAAGGCCCCATCTCCTCATTTAGCAGCACATGCGCAAAACAGTTTCCCAAATTCTACCCAAATCACTAGGCTAACACTGATGCCATCCAATTCCAAAGCAACATGTCACACATGACACTGTCCTTTCTGATGGAAGAAAGGCCAGCAGGATGTGAGGAGGTAAAGAACTGGGGCAGCAAAGAGGGGATGGAGAAGAAATATAAACCATAAATTAGGGCCGGAAGCCCTGCTGCTTGTCCTGCCAGGAGCTGGCAAGGAAGGACTGAATCAAGTTTCTGAAACGTAAGACCATGAAAGGGGATGTTAAAATAAATTGAGAGAAAACGGAAAAAGATCAGAGGAGAGAAGAGTCTTATTGCACCAGGTTTGCAATTTGTCTGCTTTCTGAGCTGAAGCTCTGAGTACCAGATTTTTTAAGATTTATTTTAAGAGCTTTGAGGCTTCTTGGGGAAAAAAAAAATCACTAATTGTACCTCTTTCAAAGTTTCCAGAATTTTGCTGCAATGGAGGGTATTTGCATGAAGCAGGACAAGTTCCTCTTAGAGAAGTGCCTATTCTTTATAACACAGTTGTGCTTGTGTGTGTGTGCATGTGTAAGAGAAGAGAGACCTTTGGAAGCTGTTTCCCCCACAGCAGTATATTAGTCCATCAGGTGCACAGGTGAAGAATACAGAGGCTGATCCACTCAATTCTTGTGAACACAAAGGTTGGCAACTGATTTTGAAGTTCTTACTCAGGATTTAAGAAAGAAGAGGAAATCAATGCAAGTCAAAATAAAAAGAGATGCAAGTATGTTTACTTTCTAAACAAAACAAAAACCCTCAACCTAAAAAAAAATTTCCTTTTAAAGGCAGCCTCATTAGGCATCACAGAAGTGCAGGCCATTACCATCCCTGAAGGTCAAGAGCATCTCAAGTTTGGGGACCCTGGCTGAGGTACCATTACATGACACAGATTCACAAATGACAGTCACAGTGGGGTGGGAGAGCCTAACTGTGCATTTTACCCATCCCAATCACATTTCCACAATCACACACACACACACACACACACACACACACACACACACACACAAAAGTTATAGCCTGGAGGAGTAGAAGAGATGGAGCCTAACATATTACCTACAACCCTAGCCAGAAGACAGCTGTGAAAACTTCCGAAAGAAAACACTCCTTTGAAGAACTGCAGAAACAACACAGGGGCCAGGAAACAGAGCAAGTGAAAAAAGATTAAAGGAATGAGGATCATCATTTAGCACTGAAAAGGGGCAGTAAAAGAAGTGAGCAGAGCCTTAATAATGATTTTTGAGCCCAAAGTTGGTTGAGAGAGCCACTCTACCAAAAAGCTGTTCTACCAAAAAACTACCTTCTGGTAACTACTAGAACCTTCAAATCCCTGTCTTGCTGGTGTATAGCTGAAATTCTTGCATAAAAAAGGGAGCGAGGCCAGGTGTCGTGGCTCATGCCTATAATCCCAGCAGTTTGGGAGGCCGAGGCAGGCAGACCACCTGAGGTTAGGAGTTGGAGACCAGCCTAACATGGTGAAAACCCGTCTCAAAATGCAAAAATTAGCTGGGTGTGGTGGCACACACCTGTAGTCCCAGCTACTCAGGAGGCTGAGACAGGAGAATTGCTTGAACCTGGGAGGTGGAGGTTGCGGTGAGCCAAGATCATGCCACAGCACTCCAGCCTGGGAAACAGAGCAAGACTCCATCACAAATAAAAAAGGGTGGGGGTAGCAAGAGTTTCACTAAAAGGGGACTTCTACATAAGTTTAAACATAAAGACTATTCCAGAAGGATAGGGGATAGTCAGTAACTAAAGCAAGTTAATAGTAACAAGAATAACAGGCTGGGCGCGGTGGCTCATGCCTGTAATCCCAGCAATTTGGGAGGCTGAGGCGGGTGGATCACCTGAGGTCAGGAGTTTGAGACCAGCCTGACCAACATGGTGAAACCTCGTCTCTACTAAAAACACAAAATTAGCTGGGCATGGTGGCGCATGCCTGTAATTCCAGCTACTCAGGAGGCTGAGGCAGGAGAATCGCTTGAACCTGGGAGGCAGAGGTTGCGATGAACTGAGATCGCGCCATTGCACTCCAGCCTGGGCAACAAGAGTGAAACTCTGACTCAAAAAAAAGAATAACCAAATACCCTCAGTCAGCCACAAGGCCAAATCTTTAAATAAGGGAAATGAAGGAGAAAGCTAACAAGCAGGCTGTCCAATATCCTTCATTTGAGAGCCGTATAGTGAAGAGTAGACAACATCTAAGTCAGGTTAAAGGTAACCATGTGCTTTGAGAAAAGGAAAAGGAGAAGCCAGCTTCAGGTGGGAAAAAGGAGCCCTAGACATGAGTAGAGACCAGTATCTGCAGGGCTACAGTTCTCAACACACAAAGAATTGTTTTTGGGAAAGCTAATGAACATCTGTCGGCTAACCCTGTTCTAGACACTCTCTCTTTCTCATATCCATCCCTGGGATTTTATTATCTTAAGAACCAGGTCTTTGAGCACCAATAACATTTAGGACTCAAACGTTTTCAAAAGTGACCAGAGTCCCACATCTTCCTTACTCCCAGGAGCTTGGAGCACTTCCCTAGAAAAGCAAAGAATTAGAATTGCTGGCCAGGTGCGGTGGCTCATGCCTGTAATCCCACCACTTTGGGAGGCTGAGGTGGGCAGATTGAGTCCAGGAGTTTGAGACCAGACTGGGCAACATGGCAAAACCCCATCTCTACTAAAAACACAAAAATTAGCTGGGCATGGTAGCACGCTCCCGTAGTCCCCACTACTTGGGAGGCTGAGGTGGGAGGATCATCTGAGGCTGGGAAGTGGTCGTTGCAGTGAGCCAAGATCATGCCACTGCACTCCAGCCTGGGCAACAGAGAGAGACTCTGTCTCAAAAAAAAAAAAAAATTAGGATTGCCTAGGCCTTACCAGGTGGGCACACCAGCACTGAGCAGTCCCCCTACAGTCTCTACAGCTCCCAAACATACAGGCCCTACGAAAGGAGAACAGTTACACTGGCCAATATTTGCCATGAAAAACCAGGCCACTACCAGAAAGAGAAGCACTATCCCCTCTGACCTCTCCATGTCTCACCCTGCCACCCACTCACATTCTGTGAATTTGTTTCTATCTGGCCATTGTCAATTCCTGTCTAATGACCTTATCTAAGAACTTAGGGAGTACTACAAAAAATGTCAGTAAAAAATCAGAGTGAGATAAATTTGCTATTCCTGGTGAGCTTTTGTGTTTGTTTTATTCCAAACCAATTCACTAAAGCTTGCTTCCTTATGACAGAAATCCTAAAAATCAATGCTCAAAGCCTAGCAACCACAAACTCCCCCTTCCAGTAACAAAATGCTAGGAAGAAAGAGAGCCACATAAAACGAAGGAAGGGGAAAATGGCCTCTCCACAGACTGTTCCAATTAATGGGAGTGGAGGAGCACAATAGTTAATGAATAAGAAAGAAAATCATCTTGATTACATTTATTTAAGGAACAAAGCAGTAGGAATGTGAATGTGAACACCTGTGTACCCAGGTTCAGCGTAATAAAAGAACACATTCTCATTCACAGCTCATTCATTCAACAAATGTTGTTTGATCATCTACTATATGCCAGGTACCTTTCCTAGGACTGGGAATACAGCTGTGAATGTGACAAACAGATCTCGTCCCTACTCTCATGAAACTTACGTTCTAGTGGAGGGAAAACAGAGTCAACAAGAAGCAGAAAAGCAAGAAAAATATCAAGTGGTTAAGTTATGGTGACTTAAGTAGTCACTTTATACCAGATAAAAGGAAGAGCCTTTCTTGTAAATAACAGCAGAACTGAGCTGAGAATGACAAAGAGCTCATCCAATGAAGACGAGAGAAAAATATTCTAGGCAGAGGGTACAGGTGGAGCAAAGGCCCTCTGTTTAAGAAGCAGAAAGTAAGTTACTGTGTCCAGAACACAGAAGGCAAGCAGAAGGGAGTAGGGGAGGTTAGGAGATAAAGCTGCCAAGGAAGGCAGGCAGGGATCGGAATATGAAAGGCCTTATAACCAGGCTAAGGAGTTTGGAGTTGATTCTAAGTATGATGGTGAGCCCAAAGGGCGTCAGGCAGCAAGGTGACGTGCTCCTTAAGAAATTGAGGGAAACTGATAACTGATTCCAAGATGGAAACTGACTTTTCAGAAAAGTTATCTAACCACAGAAATTTAAAACAGCTTAATTTCCCCAAAAGAAATGCTTCACTGTTTTGTTTTTTTTTCGGTTTTTTCTTTTGTGGAGACAAGGTATCGCTCTGTCACCCAGGCTGGAGTCAAGTGGCACCATCTCGTCTCATTGCAACCTCCACCTCCCAGGTTCAAGCGATTCTCCTGCCTCCGCCTCCTGAGTAGCTGGGATTACAGGTGCCCACCACCACGCCTGGCTATTTTTTGTGTTTTTGGTAGAGATGGGGTTTCACCATATTGGTCATGCTGGTGTTGAACTCCTGGGCTCAAGTGATCCGCCCGTCTCGGCCTCCCAAAGTGCTGGGATTACAGGCATGAGCCAACATGCCCAGCTGCTTCACTATTTTTTAATTTATCAGTTATTAAATATGCACTAAGTGAAGGGCACTGTACTAAATGTATTAAATATTGGGTTGGTGCAAAAGTAATTGTGGTTTTTGCCATTTAAAATTGCAATTATTTCATCCTCATCCAGCACTGTAAGTAGATATTATCATCTCACCTATAATTCCTATAATTCACGCCTATAATTCCAGCACTTTGGGAGGCTGGGCGGGCAGATCACTTGAGGCCAAGAGTTCAAGACTAGCCTGGCCAACAGGGTGAAACCCCGTCTCTACTAAAAATACAAACATTAGCTGGGTATGGTGGCGTAAGCCTGTAATCCCAGCTACTCGGGAGGCTAAGGCACAAGAATAGCTTGAGCCCAGGAGACAGAGGTTGCAGTAAGACAAGATCGTGCCACTGCACTCCAGCCTGGGCAACAACAAGAGAATGTCTCAAAAAAAAAAAAAAAAAGATATTATCATCTCCATTTTACAGATAAAGTAACCAAAGTTCAGACAGGAGGGGAAATGACTTGCCAAAGGCCACGCAACATGTACATGGCACAAAGCCAGGAAGGGACTCCAAGTCTCTCTGACTCAAAAGAGCCAGTGCACCAGCTACTTTCTCTAATGACTCCATCCCTTCCCTCACAAGAGGGAAGAGAAAAAACAGTTCTTTCTGGTTACTACTCAAAGCTTCTGCCCATTGCCTTCTCTCTACTTGAAGGAGCCGCTCACCTTCCCCAGTAAGGGACACAGATTGAGGCCTGACTCCAAATACCTTCTCCAAGAACCTTCCCTAACAAGGCAAACCCAACCCCACTGTCCCCATGTCGTTAGTCAGCCTCTCTCAGCCCCTAGGGTCGGGCCCATGGGTTCTGTCCCTAATGAAACTTGAGCTCTTTAAAGGCATTACAATCTTCACCATTCATTGAGCACCTACCATGTGCCAAGCACATGACCTCCATTATTTCATTTCATCCTAACTGCCCTAGGAGGTGGGTATCAGTACACACTTATTCAGATGAAGAAACTAAGTCACAGAAGTAATAAGAACAAAGTCCAAAAGCTAGTAAGGAAGAGGTGGGAAGATGGTAGAGTAGAAAGCAATGAGGACTAAACTCTGATTTTATCTGGCCCAAATTCCTATCTAAAAGGTCTGGGGAGTCATGTCCTACAAACAGTAAATTCTCATCAGATGGGTTTTATTTAACCATGTATATTGAGACTTACTTTCCAATCTGACTCTGGCATAACAAGGAAGAAAATAAAAATATTTTACCCCAAAACATGTTTCTCTGCCATATCTTGAATGGCCCTGCAAAGTGATCCCTTGTGGGAAAAATCCACATATTCTATAGAGAATCCCCTACCCCCTTGTTTTCCTTTCTTCCTTCCTTCCTTTCCAGATCCAGGAGATAATCAACTAAGAGTCACGCATTCTTTTAGGTCCGATAAGAAACATTTTACAACCTGCTCTCTCTGAAGTGTGCTACCTGAGAGCTTCCTCTGCACAATAAAACTTGGTCTCCACAATCCTTTATGTTAACCTAAACATTTCCTTTCTATTGATCCCAGATCTTCAGATAAACTCAACCGTCAGCCAGAAAATGTTTAAATTTACCTATAGCCTGGAAGCCCCCACTTTGAGTTGTCCCACCTTTCTGAACCAAACCAATGTATTTCTTGTTTGTTTGTTTTTTTGAGATGGAGTTTCATTCTTGTTGCCCAAGCTGGAGCACAAATGTGTGATCTCGGCTCACTGCAACCTCCACCTCCCAGGTTCAAGCAATTCTCATGCCTCAGCCTCCCGACTAGCTGGGATTACAGGCACATGCCACCACACCTGGCTAATTTTTTGTATTTTTAGTAGAAACAGGGTTTCACCATGTTAGCCAGGCTGGTCTTGAACTCCTGACCTCAGGTGATCCGCCCACCTTAGCCTCCCAAATTGCTGGGATTACAGGCCAAACCAATGTCTGTCTTTTTTATTATTTTTATTATTATTATTTTTTGAGACGGGGTCTCACCCTGTCACCAGGCTGGAATACAGTGACACGATCTCGGTTTACTGCAACCTCCGCTTCCTGTGTTCAAGTGATTCTCCTGCCTCAGACTCCTGAGTAGCTGGGGCTACAGGTACATGCCCACCATGCCCGGCTAATTTTTTTTTATTATTTTTTAGTAGAGATGGAGTTTCACCGTGTTAGCCAGGATGGTCTCGATCTCCTGACCTCAAGATCCGCCCACCTAGGCCTCCCAAAGTGCTGGGATTACAGGCCTGAGCCACCACGCCTGGCCTGTATTTCTTAAATGTATTTGATTGATGTCTTGTGCCTCCCTGAAATATATAAAACCAAGCTGTACCCCGAACACCTTGGGCACATGTTCTCAGGACCTCCTGAGGGCTATGTCATGGGCCATGGTCACTCAGGTTTGGCTCAGAATAAGTCTCTAAAAAATATTTTACAGAGTCTAACTCTTCGTCAACAGCACAGAAATCTGTCTCCCTAACTAGACAACAACTGCACTGACAGAATTTGTCTGATATAAATCAGAGTCATGTGCTGCACATTTCAGTCAACAACAGACCACTTATACGACAGTGGTCTCATAAGATGACAATGGAGCTGAAACATTCCTATCACCTAGTATTTACCATTAAATACTTCTTATTGCTATTTTAGAGGGTACTCATTCTACTTATTTTTTAAGAGGGGCCAGGCATAGTGGCTCATGCCTGCAATCCCAGAGCTTTAGAAGGTCAAGACAGGAGGATCCCTTGAGGCCACAAGTTCAAGATCAGCCTGAGCAATATAGCAAGATCCTGTCCTTACAAAAAATACAAAAATAGGCGTGGTGATGAGTACCTGTAGTCCCAGCTACTTGGAAGGCTGAGGCAGGAGGACTGCTTGAGCCAAGGAATTTGGGGTTGCAGTGGGCTATCATCATGCCATTGCATTACAGCCTGGGCAAGGAGTGACTTTTTTTCTTTTTCCTGAGACAGGATCTCATTCCCATAGCCCAGGCTGGAGTGCGGTGGCATGATAGCAGCTCACTGGAGCCTCAACTTTCCAGGCTCAGGTGATTTTCCCACCTCATCCTCCTAAGTAACGGGCACTACAGGCACACACCAGCACACCTGGCAATGTTTTTGTTTTTTTTGAGACAGAGTCTCACTCTGTCGCCCAGGCTGGAGTGCAGTGGCACAATCTCAGCTCACTGCAAGCTCTGCCTCCCAAGTGCATACCATTCTCCTGCCTCAGCCTCCCAAGTAGCTGGGAATACAGGCACCCACCACCACGCCCGGCTAATTATTTTTTTGTATTTTTAGTAGAGACGGGGTTTCACCGTGTTAGCCAGGATGGTCTCGATCTCCTGACCTTGTGATCCACCCGCCTCAGCCTCCCAAAGTGCTGAGATTACAGGCGTGAGCCACCGCGCCCAGCCTTTGTCTTGTATTTTTAGTAGAGACTACTAACACGGTTTCGCCATGTTGCCCAGGCTGATCCTGAACTCCTGGGCTCAAGTAACCCCCACCCCCCGCCTCAGCCTCCCAAAGTGCTGAAATTACAGGCGTGAGCCACAGTACCCAGCCAAGGAGTGGCTTTAAAAGAAAAACAAAGTTAACTGTAAACCAGCCTCAAGCAGGTCTTTCCAGAAGGCACTATTATCACAGGAAATGACAGTTCCAAGTGTGTGATTGCCCCTGAAGACCTTCCAGTGGGACTAAATGTGAAGATAGAAGACAGTGATGTTAATGATCCTGACCCTGTGTAGACCTAGGCTAATGTATTTTTGTCTTTATTTTTAACAAAAAAAGTTTAAAAAGTAAAATTAAAAACTGCTAATAGAAAAATGCTTACAGAATAATGTATAAATATTTTTGTGCCGTTGTACAATATGCATTTGTTTAAGCTGTTATTATGAGTCAACAGTTTTAAATTTTAAAGTATATAAAGTAAAAATATTACAGTAAGCTACAGCTACATTTATTATTGAAGAAAAAATTTTTTATAAATGTAGCGTAGCCTAAGTGTACAGTGTTTATAAAGTCTACAGTAGTATACAGTAACATCCTAGGCTTTCATATTCACTGACCACTTACTCACTGACTCACCTAGAGCAACTTCCAGTCCTGCAAGCTCCATTCATGTTAAGTGCACTGTACAGGGGTACTACTTTTTATTTTTTCTCTTTTAATAGGTTGGGGTCTCCTTCTGTTGCCCAGGCTGATCTTGAACTCCTGGGCTCAAGCAATCCTCCTACCTCAGCCTCCCAAGTAGCTGGGACTCCAGGCATGTGACACCCGTGTGCAGCTACCATTTTTTATCTTTTATACTACATTTTTACTGTACCTTTTCTATGTTTAGAAATGTTTAGGTACATAAATGCTTACCATTGTGTTACAATTGTCTATAATATTGAGTACAGTAGCAAGCTGTACAGGTTTTAGCCTAGGAGCAAGAGGCTATACAATAAAGCTTAGATGTGTGGTAGGCTATACCATCTAGGTTTATGTAAGTACACTTTATGAGGTTTGCACAAGGACAAAAATCACTTAACACATTTTTCAGAACTATCCCTGTTGTTAAGTGAAGTATGGCTGTATTTTGGAACTCTGGAAACAACTGAAGCCTTGCAACTTCCAGGGAAAGGCCTTGATGGCAAATTGCAGTTAATGTCTATCAATTTCAACTCTTAGCAGAGTAGCAGCTACGTTTCCCCCAACTTCACGGCAGGTAGTTGTGTATGTGTTCCTGGAGCAGCTTGCACACAGCTTGCACAAAAAGAACACTGTCTTCCAAATACTGGGGATCTGTGCTGATTCTGATTGCTGCTTCTGATTACAGAGGTGCAGACAAAGTAGTAGCAGAGATTGTTGTTGCTCCTCCCAGCCCGGTTGCAAGCCCCTTTCCCTCAGGCTGAAGTGACTTCCTGGAGATTTAAAGGGCCAATGCTTTTTTTTTTCCTCCCCTGATCATTTATCTTTTTCACCTTTTGGGAGTCAGACATTAAAGAACATTCAAGCAAGGCGCAGTGACTGACACCTGTAATCCCAGTATAGGAGGCCAAAACAGGCAGATCGCTTGAACCCAGGAGTTTAAGACCATCCTGGGCAACATGGCAAAACCCCATCTCTACAAAAAATTAAGTGGGCCTGACGGCACGTGTCTGTAGTCCCAGTTACTCTGGAGGCTGAGGTGGGAGAATCACCTGAGCCCAGGAAGTTAAGGCTGTAGTGACTTGTGATCACACCACTTCACTCCAGCCTGGGCAATGAAGACCCTGTCTCAAAAAAAAAAAAAAAAACTGAATTTTTAAAGGCAACTACATAAGCCTGTCCAGTCATGCATGCTTGTAGTCCCAGCTACTCAAAAGGCTGGGATGGGAGGATTGCATGAGCCCAGGAGTTGGATGGTATAGTGCATTATAATCATGTCTATGAATAGTCCCAGTACTCCTGATTGGACAACATAGCAAGATCCTGCCTCTAAACAAAAATGTTTTTAAGGCATCTACATGTGTAAGGAAAATCAGAAAGTCACTGCACATGCCCAGGGGAAAGTGCAGGCTCAAAAGAGACCTGAGAAGACCTTAAGTTTACACCTGAGGCTGATCCTCAGCACACAAAGCCTATGACAATAAAAACAAAAACGAAAACCACAAACACTGGGAAAGGCAAAAGATCTGCTTTCCAGGGTTACCACATTATTATATTCAAATGTCCAGTTTTGAACCCAAAACACAAGGCATACAATGAAACAGAAAAGTATGGTGTGTGTGTGTGTATGTGTGTGTGTATATAGATAGATTTTTTTTTTTTTTTTTTGAGACAGAGTCTTGCTCTATTGCCCAGGCTGGACTGGAGTGCAATGGCACAATCTCCACTCACTGCAACCTCCGCCTCCTGGGTTTAAGCGATTCTCCTGCCTCAGCCTCCCGAGTAGCTGGGACTACAGGTGCACACCACCACACCTGGCTAATTTTTTGAATTTTTAGTAGAGATGGGGTTTCACCATATTGGCCAGTCTGGTCTCAAACTCCTGACCTCATGATCCACCCACCTTGGCCTCCCAAAGTGCTGGGATTACAGGCGTGAGCCACCACGCCCGGCCCAAGTATGGTATATTTAAGAAAAAAAAAAGCTCTACTCCCTCTCCCCTCTCCCCTCTCCCTCTCCCCACGGTCTCCCTCTCCCTCTTTCCACGGTCTCCCTCTCCCTCTCTCTCCACAGTCTCCCTCTGATGCCGAGCCGAAGCTGGACTGTACTGCTGCCATCTCGGCTCACTGCAGCCTCCCTGCCTGATTCTCCTGCCTCAGCCTGCCAAGTGCCTGCGATTACAGGCGCGTGCTGCCACGCCTGACTGGTTTTCGTACTTTTTTGGTGGAGACGGGGTTTCGCTGTGTTGGCCGGGCTGGTCTCCAGCTCCTAACCGCGAGTGATCCGCCAGCCTCGGCCTCCCGAGGTGCTGGGATTGCAGACGGAGTCTGGTTCACTCAGTGCTCAATGGTGCCCAGGCTGGAGTGCAGTGGCGTGATCTCGGCTCGCTACAACCTCCACCTCCCAGCAGCCTGCCTTGGCCTCCCAAAGTGCCGAGATTGCAGCTTCTGCCCGGCCGCCACCCCGTCTGGGAAGTGAGGAGCGTCTCTGCTTGGCCGCCCATCGTGTGGGACGTGAGGAGCCCCTCTGCCTGGCTGCCCAGTCTGGAAAGTGAGGAGCGTCTCTGCCCGGCCGCCATCCCATCTAGGAAGTGAGGAGTGCCTCTTCCCAGCCGCCATCCCATCTAGGAAGTGAGGAGCGTCTCTGCCCGGCCGCCCATCGTCTGAGATGTGGGGAGCGCCTCTGCCCCACCACCCCATCTGGGATGTGAGAAGCACCTCTGCCCGGCCGCGACCCCGTCTGGGAGGTGAGGAGCGTCTCTGCCCGGCCGCCCCCATCTGAGAAGTGAGGAGACCCTCTGCCTGGCAACCGCCCCATCTGAGAAGTGAGGAGCCCCTCCGCCCAGCAGCCACCCCGTCTGAGAAGTGAGGAGCCCCTCCGCCCGGCAGCCACCCCGTCTGGGAAGTGAGGAGCGTCTCCGCCCGGCAGCCACCCCGTCCGGAAGGGAGGTGGGGGTCAGCCCTGGCCAGGCCAGCCGCCCCGTCCGGGAGGGAGGTGGGGGGGTCAGCCCCCCGCCCGGCCAGCCGCCCCGTCCGGGAGGTGAGGGGCGCCTCTGCCCAGCCGCCCCTACTGGGAAGTGAGGAGCCCCTCTGCCCAGCCAGCCGCCCCGTCCGGGAGGGAGGTGGGGGGGTCAGTCCCCCGCCCGGCCAGCCGCCCCGTCCGGGAGGTGAGGGGCGCCTCTGCCCAGCCGCCCCTACTGGGAAGTGAGGAGCCCCTCTGCCCGGCCAGCTGCCCCGTCCGGGAGGGAGGTGGGGGGGTCAGCCCCCTGCCCGGCCAGCCGCCCCGTCCGGGAGGTGAGGGGCGCCTCTGCCCCGCCGCCCCTACTGGGATGTGAGGAGCCCCTCTGCCCGGCCACCACCCCATCTGGGAGGTGTACCCAACAGCTCATTGAGAACGGGCCGGGATGACAATGGCGGTTTTGTGGAATAGAAAGGGGGGAAAGGTGGGGAAAAGATTGAGAAATCGGATGGTTGCCGTATCTGTGTAGAAAGAAGTAGACATGGGAGACTTTTCATTTTGTTCTGTACTAAGAAAAATTCTTCTGCCTTGGGATCCTGTTGATGGGTGACCTTACCCCCAACCCTGTGCTCTCTGAAACATGTGCTGTGTCCACTCAGGGTTAAATGGATTAAGGGTGGTGCAAGATGTGCTTTGTTAAACAGATGCTTGAAGGCAGCGTGCTCGTTAAGAATCATCACCACTCCCTAATCTCAAGTACCCAGGGACACAAACACTGCGGAAGGCCACAGGGTCCTCTGCCTAGGAAAACCAGAGACCTTTGTTCACTTGTTTATCTGCTGACCTTCCCTCCACTATTGTCCTATGACCCTGCCAACTCCCCCTCTGCGAGAAACACCCAAGAATGATCAATAAAAAAAAATAAAAAGAAAAAAAATAAAAAAGAAAAAAAAAGAAAAAAAATAAACCAAAAGAAACTATCCCCGAAAAGACCTAATGGCAGATCTACTAGACAAAGACTTTAAAGCAACAGCCTTAAAGTTGCTTAAAGAACTAAAGGAAGGCATGGAGAAAAATCAAGAAAACAATGTTTGGAAAAAGATTAAAATATCAATAAAGATACAGACATCTTAAAAAGAAACCAAAAATTCTAGAGCTGGAAAGTACAATAACTGAAATAAAAAATTCACTAGAGGAATTCAAAGGCAGATTTGAGCAAGCAAAAGAAATAATCTGAGAACACTTGGAGACTGGACAATGGAAATTATCAAGTCTGAGGAAAAGAAGCACAAAGACTGAAGAGAAGTGAATAGAGACTAAGGGACCTAGGGGACACAATCAAGCAGACCAACATACACATTGTGAAAGTCCCAGAAAGAAAAGATAAGTAGCAGAGAGAACATTTGAAAATATAATGGTACAAAATTTCCCAAATTTGATGAAAGACACGAACATAAACATCTGAAAAGCTCAACAAACTCCAAACAGGATGAATACAAAGAGACTCACACCAAGACACATTATAATCAAACTGTTGAAAGACAAAGGGCCAGGTATGGTGGCTTAGAGCCAGGCATGATGGCTGATGCCTGGAATCCCAGCACTTTGGGAGGCTGAGGCAGGCAAATCATGAGGTCAGGAGTTCGAGACCAGCCTAGCCAACATGGCAAAACCCTGTCTCTACTAAAAATACAAAAAATTAGCTGGGCATGGTGGCAGGTGCCTGTAATCCCAGTTACTTGGGAGGCTGAGGCAGGAGAACTGCTTGAACCCGGGAGGTGGAGGTTGCAGTGAGGCAAGATCACGCCACTGCACTCCGGCCGGGGAATAGCGTGAGACTCCGTCTCAAAAAAAAAAAAAAAAGACAGACAAAGACAAAATCTTGAAGGGGAGAAAAGCAACTCATTACACACAAGGATCCTCAATAAGATAAGGAGATCTCTCATCAGAAACTTTGGAGGGACCCACTCCCAAGATGGCAGCCGCAATGGCTGCCAGCTGTTGCGGCCACAGTGAAGACAGGCAGCAAAACACCAGCTGGTCCCAGATTCACTGCTAAGTGCTGAGGGGAGTTTTTCTCTATCCTCTGTGACATTTCCAATTTTAGATAATGCCTCACATCTCTGCCCCCACTCCAGAACCCGCTGATGCCCCCATGATCCCAAAGAAGACAGCCTACCCTAGAATTCACCCCCAGGATGTTGCAACACCACATTTTGTTTTTACATAATTTAAGAGACTAATGCATTAAAAAAATAGATATAGGTTATGTTTTTAGACACACAACGTGTAAGATGCAATATCATGACATCAACAACTGAAAGGGGTGAGAAATGGAGCTGTTGAAGAAGCCGAGTTTTCTATGCTATTGAAGTTAAGCTATTATAAATTCAAATTACAGTGTTATAACTTCAGGATGTTAAATGTAATGCCCATGGCAACCACACAGAAAATAGCTAAAGAATATACACCAAAAAAAATGAGGGCCGGGTGTAGTGGCTCAAGCCTGTAATACCAGCACTTTGGAGACCAAGGCAGGCAGATCACTTGAGGTCAGGAGTTTGAGACCAGCCTGGCCAACATGGTGAAACCCCATCTCTACTAAAAATACAAAAATTAGTTGGGGGTGATGACAGGAGCCTATAATCCCAGCTACTCAGGAGGCTGAGGCAAGAGAATTGCTTGAACCCAGGAGGCAGAGATTTCAGTGAGCCAAGATCATGCTACTGCACTCCAGCCTGGGAAACAGAGTGAGACGCTGTCTTAAAAATAAACAAAAATAAATAAATAAATACCTAAAACTTACACGGGACACAGCAAAAGCAATACTAAAGGAGAAATTTATAACTATAATGTGTACATTAAAAAACAGGAAAGATCAGCCAGGCACGGTGGCTCATGCCTGTAATCCCAGCACCTTGGGAGGCCAAGGCAGGCAGATCACGAGGTCAGGAGATCGAGACCATCCTGGCTAACATGGTGAAACCCCGTCTCTACTAAAAATACAAAAAAAAAAAAAAAAAAATTAGCCGGGCGTGGTGGCAGGTGCCTGTAGTCCCAGCTACTCAGGAGGCTGAGGCAGGAGAATGACGTGAACCCAGGAGGCGGAGCTTGCAGTGAGCTGAGATTGCACCACTGTACTCCAGCCTGGGTGACAGAGTGAGACTCTGTCTCAAAAAATAAAAGAAAAAAAAAAAAACAGGAAAGATCACAGACAACAACCTAACTTTACAATTTAAGGAACTGAAAAAAGAAATGCAAACTAAACCCAAAGCTAGCAGAAGAAAGAAAATAATAATAAAGATCAGAGCTAAGATCAATGAGATAGAGAATAGAAAAATAATAGAAAAAAATCAACAAACCTAAAAGGTGGTTATGCAAAAAAGATCACCAAAATTGACAAACCTTTACCTAGATGGACTTTTTTAAAACAGGCCAGGCACAGTGGTTCACACCTATAATCCTAGCACTTTGGGAGGCCAAGATAGGATTGCTTAAGCACAAGAGTTCAAGACCCGTCTGGGCAATATGTCAAGATCCCATCTCTACAAAAAATTTTAAAATTAGCCAGGCATGGTGGCAGGTGCCTGTGGTCCCAACTACTTGGGAGGCTGAGGCAGAAGGATCACTTGAGCCCAGGAGGTCATGACTACGCCACCAAACTCCAGCCTGGGCAACAGGGTGAGACCCTGTCTCAAAAAGGAAAAAGAGAGAGAGGACTCAAATTACTAAAATCAGAAATCAAAGTTGGGCCAGGTATGGTGGCACATGCCTGTGGTACCAGGTACTCAGGAGGATCCTTTGAGCCCAGGAGTTTGAGACCAGCCTGGGCAGTACAGCAAGACCCCATTTCAAAAAAAAACAAAAAAGACTGCAGGGTGAAGTGGCTCAGCCTGTAATCCCAGCACTTTGGGAGGCCAAGGCAGGCAGATCACCTGAGGTCAGGAGTTCAAGACCAGCCTGGCCAACATGCCAAAACCCTGTCTCTACTAAAAATACAAAAATTAGCCGGGCATCATGTTATGTGCCTGTAATCCCAGCTACTCAGGAGGCTGAGCCAGGAGAATCACTTGAACATGGGAAGCAGAGGTTGCAGTGAAGCGACATCATGTCACTGCACTCCAGCCTGGATGACAGAGTAAGACTGTGTCTCAAAAAAAAAAAAAAAAAAAAAAAGAATAAAAGAAAAAAATAATGAAAGTGGAGATATTACCACTGATTCTACAGAAATGAAAAGGATTATAAGAGTGTACTAGGCCAGGCGCAGTGGCTCACACCTGTAATCCCAGAACTTTGGGAGGCCAAGGCAGGTGGATCACCTGAGGTCAGGAGTTGGAGACCAGCCTGGCCAAGATGGCAAAACCCCGTCTCTACTAAAAAATACAAAAATTAGCTGGCATGGTGGCACGCGCCTGTAGTCCCAGTTACTCAGAAGGCTGAGGCAGGAGAATTGCTTGAAGCCGGGAGGCGGAGGTTGCAGTGAGCAAGATCGCACCACTGCACTCCAGCCTGGGCAACAAGAGCGAAGCTCCATCTCAAAACAAACAAACAAAAAAAAAGAGTGTACTATGAGCAGGTGTACACCAACAAGCTTGATAACCTAGATATGGACAAATTCATAGAACCAAAATCTACCAAGACTGAATCACAAACAAATAGAAATTCTGAACAGACAGACCTGTAACTAGCAAGCCAACTGAACCAGTAATCAAAAATCTCCCAACAAAGCAAAGCCCTAGACCTGATGGCTTCACCAAACATTTAAAGAACTAACATCAATCCTT
Organism: Homo sapiens; assembly: GCF_000001405.40. Lineage (NCBI taxonomy): Eukaryota > Metazoa > Chordata > Mammalia > Primates > Hominidae > Homo > Homo sapiens. The sequence goes on from NC_000005.10 coordinate 139,175,569, forward strand.
CTCAAACTTTTCCAAAACATTGAAGAGGAAGGAATATTCCCTACTTTATTCTCTGAGGCCAGCGTTACTCTGATACCAAAGCCAGACAAACACTACAAGAAAACTACAGACTGGCCAGGCGCGGTGGCTCACGCCTGTAATCCCAGCACTTCGGGAGGCCGAGGCAGGCAGATCACCTGAGGTCAGGACTTCAAGACCAGCCTGGGCAACATGGTGAAAACCCGTCTCTACTAAAAATACAAAAATCAACTGAGCGTGGTGGCGCATGCCTGTGATCCCAGCTACTCAGGAGGCTGAGGCATGAGAATCATTTGAACCCGGGAGGTGGAGGTTGCAGTGAGCCACGATCTTGCCATTGCATGATCTGGGCAACAGAGTGAGACTCAGTCTCAAAAAGAAAAAAAAAAGAAAACTACAGACCTGTTTCTCTTATGACCTTTTTTGTGAGACAGTGTCTCACTCTGTGGCCCAGGCTAGAGTGCAGTGCCACAATCACAGCTCACTGCAGTCTCAAAACCCTGGTCTCAAGCAATCCTCCCACATCGGCCTCCCAAAGTGCTGGGATTACAAGCATGAGCCACTGCACCCTGACTCTTTGCCACTTCATAAGAAGGTGGCCTTTCCTTCAGTTTCCAATAACATGTTCCTAATTTCCATCTGAGGCACCATTAGAAGGGCCTTTACCATCCAGATTTCTATCTACATTCTGATCAAGACCACTTAGATAATCTCTAAGAAAACGGAGGCTTTCTCTACAGCTCTCTTCTGAACCTTCGTCGGAATTACCCTTAAGGCTCCTTTCATGGCAATGCACCTCAAAACTCCTCTAGCCTTCTACCCATTACCCAGTTCCAAAGCTGCTTCCACATTTTAGGTATCTGTTATAGCAACACCCTACTTCTCAGAACCAATTTCTATCTTAGTCCACTCAGGCTGCTATAAAATAAAAATATTTTAGACTGGATAATTTATATATAACAGAAATTTATTGCTAACAATTCTAAAGGCTTGGAAGTCCAAGAACAAGATGCCAACAGATTCAACGTCAGGTGAGGGATCTCTGCTTCATAGATGGCACCTTCTTACTGGGTCCTCACATGCAGAAGAGGCAAGGAAGCTCCTCGGGCCTCTTTTATAAGGGCACTAATCCTATTCATGAGGGTGGAGCCCTCATGACCTAATCACCTCCCAGAGGAACCACCTCGAGGGTTAGGTTTCAACATATGAATTTGGAGGGGACACACATTCAGACCATGGCACTATCATTATTCCCTATTTAGAGCTGAGAAAATTAATGGGCAGGAAAGCAAAGTAAATAGTCCAAGGTCACATAGCTTCCAAGTGGAGAAGCTGAGATTCTTTTTTTTTTTTTTTTTTTTTTTGAGACAGAGTCTCACTCTGTCGCCCAGGCTGGAGTGCAGTGACGCAAGCTTCGCTCACTGCAAGCTCCGCTTTCTGGGTTCATGCCATTCTCCTGCCTCAGCCTCCCGAGTAGCTGGAACTACAGGCGCCCGCCACCACAGCCGGCTAATTTTTTGTATTTTTAGTAGAGATGGGGTTTCACCATGTTAGCCGGGATGGTCTCGATCTCCTGACCTTGTGATCCACCTGCCTTGGCCTCCCAAAGTGCTGGGATTATAGGCGTGAGCCACCACGCCTGGCCTTTATTTTATTTATTTATTTATTTATTTATTTGAGACTGGCTCTGTCACCCAGGCTGGAGTGCAGTGGCACCATCTCGGCTCACTGCAACCTCCGCCTCCTGCTTTCAAGCGATTCTGCTATCTCAGCCTCCTGAGTAGCTGGGATTACAGGCACACACCACCGTGCCTGGCTAATTTTTGTATTTTTAGTAGAGATGAGGTTTCATCATGTTGGTCAGGCTGGTTTCGAATTCCTGATCTCGTGATCCACCTGCCTTGGCCTCCCAAAATGCTGGGATTACAGGCATGAGCCACCGCGCCCAGCCGAGAAGCTGAGATTCTAACTAAAGTCAGCCCCAGTCCAAGGGCCAAGCTCCTAACCACTATGCAGCATGGCCTTCCAGATGAATAAGTGAAAGGAGTAGTGGGCAAGGCCACAGTATCACTAAAGAGTCTGGTCTAGGGTCTATACCCGCCCACCATGCACTTAACACTTGGTCTGGCAGCACGTAACTCTGACCCAGTTTTCTTTATACCACAGGCAACTCCTAAACCTCAGTTTTCCTGGACACACAGTGGGAGGAACAACTCCAGCCCATTTCTGGCCCTCCAGACATTGGTTGCTGCCAAGAGAGAACATGTGCACATCTACATCAACCAGAACTGAATGTTACACAAACCACAGGTGCTGGCTTTGCTAACTTGGCACATCACATCTCTGGGAGTTGCCAGTGTCAGTGGCTTAAGTGGTCTAAGGTGAAGGGGGTAGCCCTTACCCAGTAGTGACAGCCAAGAGAGGGATGGTGACACAGCAGGTTACAAAGGACTCTGTAGCTGTCAGCCGTTAACATGTGACAAGCCTGAAACCTCCAGGCCTTTTTCTGTGCAGATGGAAAGATGCCAAGTGCTGGCACCCTGGGCCACCATGTCTGCTGAGTGGCCAGGTGCCCCAACAACACACTGACTACTGGCACTGAGAGAGCACATGAATCAGGAGGAACAAGGCCACACTAAAGGAGATTAGTCTCAAGATTGCCATTTAGCTGACTGAAGGAAAACAACCTATTACAGTAATGTTCCTTTTCTGATCTTCATTTTCACTCCCTCAACAAAATCCATCCAGTGTCCAAAAGGGTGCTGCTCATTTGCAAATCCAAAACCACCAAAACCACCACCAACTCTCCAAAGGCTTCCCCTGTTCTCCAGGTAAATATGAAATGCCATGCCACAGCTGACAAGGCCTGCCCTCACCAACCCCTCCAACCTCAGCTGGCTCCTCTCACTCTCTGTGCTCCAACCATACTTTCAGTTCCTCATAAAACTCCCCACCCACTGCCTGCTTCCAGAGCCTTTGCAAATCCAGGCCCTCAGCCTGAAATTTTCCTCAACGTCCTGTCACTCTGCTTGGTAAATACTTGTTTGGTCTTCACAATATTTACTCGAACATCACTTCCTCAAAGAAGCCTTCTATGATACCCTCTTAGCCCTAGGACCAAGTCAAATCCCTCTCAGATGTTCTTAACTCTTTCTTTCAATACACTTATTCCAAGTGTAATTTTACTAACTTTGACATATTCATCAGTACACTCTAAGCTGGAACCCTATCTGACACTGTATCTCAGGGCCTAACAGTCTCTGGAATGTAACAGATGTTTTATATACATTTGTTGACTGAAAAAATAAAATTTCAGAGAGAAGGAAAACGAAGCTGTATCCAAATCAAAGAGTTCTACTTAGAGCTGTTCTCCTCCCTACATGACCTTAAGCCAAACAATTCTCTCCCCTTCCCCCTTTCTCTCCCAAATTTCTTACAGAAGTTACTTTCTGTCCTGACATTCTTTAAGCTGGTGGTAGCCATAGTGATAAGCTGGCCTACAGCCAGAAACAGTCTAAAAAGATATCACCTTGTCTGAGTGCTCCAGGCTTCCAAAATAAAAGTTCCCAGCACAGGCCCAGGCAGGCACAAACACAAAAGCCTTTCCCCAGTAAAGACACTGAACCAAACAACCAGGACCCCCTGAAAGAAATGAGTAATCCCCAGGGCAGACAGTGCCCCCCGAGTGACCCACCCAAAGAAAGAAGGGAGGGGAGGCAAGGCTACAGGGGCAGAAGCAGGCATTCTGTGCCCTGATGAGATTTTAAACCCTCTTTTACTCCTTGGATGAAGCAGAGATGTGCCCAAACACTAAATATCAAAGTCGCTCCTGATGAGGCAGCTTCAGAGGAGGTCCACAGATTGTGGCTCAGAAAAGCAATATCAGCAACTAAAGAAGTTCACATAAAGCTCTAATTAAGGCCATTTTCCCTCTACAGAAGCAGGAGGATCTTCTCCTTACCCTTCTCTTATGTAGGGTAGGCAGGTAGGGGGTGGCAGGAAGGGAGGCAGAAGTATTTTTTGAGCACCACTTAGTGCCAGGCATAGTGACAGGTACTTTATAGACAGGGCTATTAATAAAAAACAAATGGGAAATGAATAAGCACATACACAGATAGGTAGCTGATGCTCAGCGAGGTTAAGCAACTTGTCCAACTATTGAATGGTAAGGTCAAGGGTCACACCCACAGCCAGATGTGGTGGCTCATACCTATAATCCCAACACTTCAGAAGGCAGAGGAGGGAGGATCACTTGAAACCAGGAGTTCAAAACCAGCCTGAGCAACACAGCAAGATCCCATCTCTACAAAAAATTAAAAGATTAGCCAGGTGTGGTGGCACATGACTGTAGTCCCACTACTAGGGAGGCTGAGGTGGGAGGATCTCTTGACCTCAGGAAGTCGAGGCTGCAGTGAGCCAAGACTGTGCCACTGCATTCCAGCCAGGGCAACAGAGCAAGACCCTGTCTCTTTAAAAAAAAAAAAAAAAAAAAGTTGGCCAGGCACGGTGGCTCATGCTTGTAATCCCAGCACTTTGGGAGACCGAGGTGGGTGGATCACTTGAGGCCAGGCGTTCGAGACCCAGGAGTTCAAGACCAGCCTGACCAACATGGGGAAACCTCATCTCTACTAAAAACACAAAAAAATTAGCCAGGCATAGTGGTGTGCACCTGTAATCCCAGCTACTTGGGACGCTGAAGCAGGAGAATCACATGAAACCAGGAGGTGAAGATTGCAGTGAGCCGAGATCACGCCATTGCAATCCAGCCTGGGCAACAAGAGCAAAACTCCATCTCAAAAAAAAAAAAAAAAAAAAAAAAATCATACCCAGCTTTGCCTGAATCAGACTTTTTTCTCCTACCCCAATGCTGCCTTTGTGGGTCATCTATTAGCCCCACTCTGCTCCTCACCCCTTTACCACCACCTTCCTAACCAGAATTGGGAATGTAGCTCCTGGTAAGCTCTCTGGCAAAGAAAAGTCTGTCTTCCATGAGCACAACCCACCACAATTGATACATACAAAACTGAGATGCACCACCACTTCCTAGGTTTGGAGCACAGTTTGTTGTAGGGAGCAAAATTCATCATCTGCAACTATGGGCATGAGGCTGGATTTTCTGAAAACCCAAAATGAGACCACAGTGATGAAGTCTCTGCATTTCCCAGAACCCACAGCTCTGGGCACTAGTATGGTATTCCTGCAGTGTAGCATGCCTTAAACCAAAGGATGGTGTGCTCCATCACACCATCAGAAAGACAGTACCTGCAGGGTAGACAATCCCAGCTGAAGTCTCCATAGCTCCTCTAGCTAGGCAGAGAGGGTAGCAACTCCATACCTGAGTCACCTGCCTCTACACAGCATCTTCTGCAAGGTTAAGCAGCCATTCATTGTGCTGTAGTTCAAGGTTAACCCTTCCCCCTGCACTCATTTCAGGATCTGCCTCTTATCAAAACCTATGCCAGCTGATTATTATAATGATAACTATTATGCCATTATAATAACATTATTGTGCTTTTTTTCTGCACTTGACATCTGTTGGCTGATAGGTTTAAACAGTACATAAGCAATAATTATGCAGTGCTCTCTCCTTTCCAACCAAGCCTCTAGTGTGACTCTTAATGTTACATCCAACTGCAATAAATGCCCAGCCCGAGCAGCAGTGGGAAACATGGCTCATCTGGGTTCACCCACCATGCCTCTAGTCACAGTGCCAGAAACAGAGGCTCAACTAGGTCCCTAATTGTTAACATGCTCCCCTGCTCTCCCAGGGATTTGGGGGAAATACTACCCAGCAAGCAATTTATTGTTGAAAACCCCCGCAGGGCTGGAGGAGTTATATACAAGTCTCAGTACTGCAGAGGGACAAGCAGTACCAAATCACAACAGCACACACCATCACAAGAGAAGAAGCACAGGAAAATGCATTCCTCCACTGGGAGTTCTCAAACAAATGATTTCCAGAGAGTCATTCTGCCTGGTTCCCCACACACAGTTCTTGGCAATTGCTGGTAAAATTGGCAGAAGGGAGAGGAGGGGTAGGACTATCTCCAGGCTTCTATTTTGAAGTTGAGAAATCACTAAACTGGCTGCTCAGCCTTCTTTATAGGACCCGCCAGAGTCCAGGATAGAGTCTGGAGGCCAAAGCAGAGAAGTCCCACCTCCTGTCAGCCAAAGCCCTTGCATCTACCTTTCACACTGTTGATGACAATCAAGGTAGAAAAAAGATGTGAGATTCTTTAACTGCAGACTATCAATATGCCTGAATTACACATTAGCCCTATTAAAGTAAAGGCAACCCATAGCAAGGCTTCACTAAAAAATGATGTTAAAACAAACCTCGCCAGGGGACCAGGGCTGGCCTGTTTTGTTTTCTACACTGTAATACACAGTTTTTGTTTTTTTGGTTTTTTTTAAGGCAGAGAAGGGGGTGGAAGGTTATTTGAATTTAAACGAGCAGTAAACACTATAATCTGTGTGCAAGGAGAAAAGGAACATTCAGAAGTGCCAAGTGCAGCCTCTTGGGACATGTGTGGCCAGGGCAGTAGTAGCCCGGGGGGCTTTCTCCTTCAGCCTCAACACGCTGCTCTCATTGCTTGGGAGCAGGCAAGCCAGCAGGCAAGGTCCACGCAGCACAAAAAGGCACTGTTCCCTAGGTCTAAGGAGAAGATTGCCCTCTCAGAAGGAAATTAATATGACGCAACACGGAATGAGCAGGGCGAGTCATCCACAGAAGTCACCTATCTAAGGAGGGGGTTTGAAGAGGTGTTACTCAAGGCATGGACCACATCTGTCTCATTCATCACTGTATTTCCAGGGCTAAGCAGGTCCTGGCACACAATGGGTACTCAGCAAATAATGGTGGACTGAATGGTAACCAGAAAGAACCCTTAGGTTGGAAGCCACTGACAAGAGCTAGAATCTAACTGTTCCTATTGTAACCTGTGGTAACAAAAGAGCCGTGGACGGCAAAGAATATATAAAGGGAGCCAAGAGAATAAAAATGAGTCTATCTCCAGTACCTGGTGCCTTAATAGACTGACAAGTGTATTCTGGTCAGATTACAATATAGCCCTAGAAGGACAAAGTGGGAAGGAGAAAAGGGGAAGAGGGAAGAGTGAGAAACAAGTGAGACAAAACATTTATTGAGTGCTTACCATGTATATATCTGAAAAACCCAGGGGGTTTCACAGCTGAGGACACAGGAGCAGGGGGGTTGAGTAGCTCCTCTGAAGTCTCACAGCTGTTACATGGTTTAAATCTGGGTGTATCTGATGCTATGACCCAAAAGCTTGCCACCATAATTTGCCTTGGTTTCCTCCAGAGGGGAGCTGGCTTCCCAGCTAATCTCTCCTACAGAGGAGAGATGCTCTTACATGTCCACATAAATCAACTTAGTCGTCATGTTTATTGGAGTTAGTTAACTGGAACTGTGACTTGATGGTCTCTTATGAATTTCACATGCCTGAGGCAGGCCCCCAGGAACTGAAACCTGGATGAACTAACTAAGTTTACAGGCCTGCAAAGCTGCACACCAGTAAGGTCCTAAGTCATCAGCTTTCTAGGGCAAACCTCTCTGGCCCGGCACAGGTCAGGTCTGGGTAAGGAAAGAACCTAAGCATGACCTCTACATGCCCCCAAGTTCTCCTCAGAAATTACAAAGAAGCCTTCCCTACTCCATGCTATGTCAGCCATACACAGAATTCTATTTGAAGGCTTTAAATTCTGATTTAAGTAGGACTAACAGAAGTAAAAAGCCAAGGATTTCTGCATGGTCCTTAGAAGCAAATGAGCCTTCCCTCCATGTCCATGGTGCTCCTGCCTCCCCGGAGTTTCCAGAGACCTTCCACACCCATGATGTCAGGTGCAGCAGAGTAGAAAGGGCAAGGTGATTTTCCATATTCTATTCAGAAGAGACCAGAGGTGAGAATCAGCCAGTGCTCCTAATGGAGGTGAATACCCTGGACAAACTCAGAGGCAGCTTAGGTTGTACTAAAAAACATTTTCAAGGTTGTCTGTTTATTGCACCTCCTGTATGAGGGCTTTCATCAGTTAAAATGGGTTTTTTCAAAGCACAGGGAAGCGGATGATTCACCCAGGTGCACAACAGCTGCTGGGAAGACCTGTGGGAAGAGGCCACCCGGCAAAGGCAGGCTGTGTATGGTAAGAAGGGTCTCCAAGGAATGCCCTACATGCCAAGCCACATGCTGTCAGGATATTAATCCAAACCCATCTTGCACACTTTACAATGTTTACTCTCTCTGGGATGTGGAGCATTAAATTATATCCAAGGACTACACAAGTCCTTCCAATTCTATTCCACACTCACTTCTTTGCTAAAAAGATTTGTAACCTGGAAACAAAGCCCTCTGCCTAATAGCAGCAATAACTCTCCGCAAAGAATAGGAAGCCAGACTGTCAGTTCAAACTCTCCTAAAAGGTATTGCCCCATTGAAGCTTTAGTTTAGGTTTCTCCAAAAAGTGGAGAAACCTACTACTGATCCCCTTTTTCCAGAGAGGACAGGCCTGTGTAACTAAGCATCCTGAAAGGAGGGTTCAAACCAAAAGAGGAAAGAGGAATCACCACCACTCCATTCCTGCCCTAACTGCAATGGTCCTGGAAATGGTAAAGAATTCCAAAGAGGACTGCCTCATTGCTACAAGAACTAAGAACAAGGTACATTAATAGGAGACAAAGCTACCTGGATTAGTCACAGCCCTACTCTGGCTAGCAGTATGACCCTAAATGGGTCATTTAGACTCTCCGAGCCTCAATATTTTACCACCATAAAATGGGGGTGTTGTGTGGCCAGGCACAGTGGCTCATTCTTATAATCCCAGCACTTTGGGAGGTCAAGGTGGAAGGATCGCTTGAGGCCAGGAGTTCAAGACCAGCCTCGGAAACATAGCAAAACCCCATCTCTACAAAAAAATTTTAAAAAATTAGCCAGGCATGGTGGCACATGCCTATAGTCCCAGCTCAGGAGGCTGAGGTGGGAGGATATCTTGAGCCCAAGATTTTGAGGTTGCAGTGAGCTACGATCACACCACTGTTACTCCAGCCTGGGTGTGAGTGAGATGTTGTCTCTAAAAAAACTACAACTAAAAAATAAATAAATGGGGATGTCATAAGAATCAGACTGAAAACAGTAAAATTTGAAAACAGTAAAATATTGCACATACTTTACACCTGATTGTTATTCCAAAGACCCCTGCATGAGAAACCCTAGGACATTTCTAGGGAGCAGAGAGGCCAAGCTGTCACATCTGAGAGGCAGTCTACAGCGACTGGGTCCAGTTGTTTACAGAGAAATCCATATGTCAGGAATAAAGTGAGGACAGAGTAAAATTTGAAGAGAAGACCACACATGGGTCTGCTCAGCTACATTTAAAAAATAACAATACAGCAGGTCTCCAAATAACATTGCTTCGATCAACATTATTTCCTTATAACACCGACGAGAAAAAAATAATTGTTTCCCAGCCAGGGCCACTGCTTGTGTGGAGTCTGCTTATTCTCCCCATGTCTGTGTGGGTTTTCTCCAAGTCCTCAGTCACCTTCCACATCCCGAAGACGTGCCTGTTAGGTTCACTGTTGCGTGTAAGGGGTCCAGTCTGCATGAGTGTCAGGGTGTGTGAGTGTACCTTGAAATGGGATGGCATCCTGTCCAAGGCTGGTTCCTGCCTGGTGCCCTGAGCTGCCGGGATGGGCTCTGGCCACCCAAGACCCTGAACTAATAGGGTAGTAATTATCTCACTTGTTTTTGTTAATCCTTCTTAAAGGAATGTATAGCTCACATTTATCTCAGTTTTTAATATTAGAAGTGTTTTGGTCTTTATTTAGAAGTTTGGTCATGTTTCTGTAACAAGAAATATTCTGTAGGAACTTAACTCTTGTTTATACCAATGAGCCATAGTAAAATTGGTTTTGTATACATTTCACTTAAAGTCACAGTTTCCAAGAACTTATGACCGATGTCAAGTGAGGACTTACTGTATATGCATATGTTTCAAATTTGAAAAGGCACACAAAGACATATAGTGAAAAGTAAGTCTCCCTCCTTCCCAATTCTCTAGTTACCCAGGGCCTCTCACTAGAGACAAACTGCACTGCTTTCAGTTTCTCATGTAGTCTGCCCGAGATATCCCAGGCAGCTAATTTCTACTGGAGATGGGGATATCATTTGTGGCAACACTCTCAGACCTAGAAGGTGATGCCAGGCAAGTAAGCACTGCTGGGGCACTTAGGGACTATGAAAAAAATGAGACAGCCAGAGGATAAGATATCACCTTGCAAAAGGTTCCATGGAGATGCAGACTTCCTTCTGGCTATTATACTGTTTTGCCCCTTGGCTGACCACATTTAAGCAGTGATTCTGTACAATGTATTTCCCTTTTAGTTGTATTTGTTCACCCAGAGCTCTTTCTCAGAGATGTCATTAACAGAAGTGGCCTCTGGGACCTTATGCTGCACCAGCCTGACCACCAGGCCCTTCAAAGTAGCCAGAAGCAGGAACAACTATCAAACCTGCCTCAGTGGAAGCTGAGCAAAAGGGCAAAAAGTGCAAAAGTTCTTGAGTCACCACCTTTCTAGGGACAAAAGTTGCTTTTCATAGCCCAGTGAAATCAGAATATAAGGGAGGATAAAGCCCAGACCATAGATGTTCTACAGGGCCGAACCCAAGAGATTAAGTCACTACCCACAGAAAATCATAGGACACTTTTATCTAAAGATAGGCTTTCACCAAACGCCCTCAAAAGTTTTCAAGCTATGTCCTCCCCTCCCCCACCTTTATTATTTTACAAGGAATTTAAATGTGTGAAACTCCAGCCTCTACCTAAAGGATACAGATGGGTAGCCTATAGGTCAAATCTAGACCACAAATATGCTTTGGTAGTCCCTAGAGATTATGAATATCTGGCCTCCCATATGACATGAGGAGGCCATACTCACCCATGACGATAGGCTGAGTAGCAGCCACCCCTCATGAAGCACATAAGCACTCCGGTTTGACACAGGCCTACCATTCTCTGTTGCCTCTCTGTTCCCAACTTGGCCCTAAAAACATCTGAGTTGGAGACTCCTAGCCAGTGAGTAACACAGGAGGCTAAACTGGCAAGTACATCAGCTGACCAAATAGCAGGACTCTTGAATTCATAAACATTTATTGAACACTCTCTATGTGCCAGGACTGTGCTGGGGATTGGATGCATGAAGAGGAATGACAGATGCAGTGTCTGCCCTCTAGGAAGTTCTAATCCAATTGAGTGTATAAGGCTTACTCTAAGGAATCCAATGCTTCAAAAACAAAGGGCTCTGGGAATGGAGCATGTGAACTCACTGTGGCTGGGAATCAAGAAATGCTTCAGGGAAGTAGGATTTCAACAGGATTGTTATCATTTCTTAAGTTTTCATGTAAACATCCATTCAACAACCATTTATGGTATCCATATTACACTCAGCATTATGCTAAGAGACACATTAAATCACAACCCATATCCTTGAGAAGCTCATATAAAAAGAGACAAACATCATACCATAATAAAAGTGTGCTGAATTCTATAATAAAGGTGTTGCAATGGGGATACAGATGAGGACACATCAGGTAAGGCTCACTGAAGGCGGCAGCTCTGCAGCATAAAGTAGGGAACCGGCTGGGTGCAGTGGCTCACGTCTGTAATCCCAGCACTTTGGGATGCCGAGGCGGGTGGATCACAAGGTCAGGAGCTCGAGGCCAGCCTGGCCAACACGGTGAAACCCCGTCTCTACTAAAATTACAAAAATTAGCCGGGTGTGGTGGCACATGCCTGTGGTCCCAGCTACTTGGGAGGCTGAGGCAGGAGTATCACTGGAACCCGGGAGGCAGAGGTTGCAATGAGCCGAGATTGTGCCACTCCACTCCAGCCTGGGGCAACAGAGCAAGACTCCATCTTAAAAAAAAAAAAAAAAGTAGGAAACTAAGGAGAGAGTACTCTGGGCAAAAGAACTGGCAGAGACACCAACATGAAGCATACTCAGAGGACCACGTGGATCAGTTCATCAGGAGCAAGGGGTACACGTGGGTGATGGTACGGACATATTAATTAAAATGGTAGGATGGGTATACACTGCAATAGGCTTGGAACACCAACAACCTGATACATTTGGAATTTATTCAGGAGCTAGTGGGTGCCATTGAAGGCTTCTGATATGGTTTGAATTTGTGTCCCCACCCAAATCTCATATCAAATTGTAATCCCTAATATTGGAGGAGGGGCCTAGTGGGAGGTGACTAAGTCATAGGGGCGGATTTCCCCCTTGCTGTTTTCACAAAAGTGAGTTCTCACAGGATCTGGCCATTTAAAAATGTGCAGCATGTCCCCCTTGCTCTCTTTCTCCTGCTCCAGACATGTAAGACGTGCCAGCTTCCCCTTCGCCTTCCGCCATGATGGTAAGTTTCCTGAGGCCTTCCCAGAAGCAGAAGTCTGTACAGCCTGCAGAACCATGAGCTAATTAAACCTCTTTTCTTTATAAATTACCCATTCTCAGGTATTTGTTTATAACTGTATGAGAACAGACTAATACAGCTTCCAAGCATAAGTATTCTCTGATAAGCACAATATATAGGAAGACCCAAAGTGGCAGTGGTATATAGTGTCCTGGAGGAAGCAAAAGCAAGAAATAAGAGGGCGCTTCTGTAATAATTCTGGAGCACAGTCACAGGAAACAGGGGAAGCAACAAAACTAGGTAAAAAAGATACTGCAGAGGCTCGCTAAAAAGAAAAAGACAATGGCATTTTCTTGAATGTACTAATTCCTATTGTTTACCAATTCAGATTGGCCTTCCCTCCAAATAGTGAGTTTTTTTTACCTTATTTGTTTCATACAGAGAAGTGAGGCATGGTCTATAGTCATAGTGCTTGGATTTTTTTAAAAACTCAACTTGAGATCAAAATAATGGGATTGGCTCCAGGGGCTTTTTCCTCACTCCCTTGCTACATGGAACCAGTTGTACATCTCAAAGAGAGAGACAGTCAACTTGAGCACAAAATCTGGGTCAGTGTATGTGACTGTGCCTCCGTGACTTTGCACAAGGACCAGAAATGAGCATACAAATCAGAGGAAAGCAGTGACAAAAGTCAACATTCCCTTGATGAGCTAATTGCTTCATGTCTGGCTGAAGAGCAGAAAGCAAGAGATAAGGAGAACATACTATCTGAGGGACCAGGCAGGCTCTGGACTAGCCAGCCCTACCCCAATAAAATCCCCTCATCAGACACTGCCCCCGAAACAAGGCCTGCTGGCTTGAGCACCTGACAAGAGAGAACCTGAGAAAGATAAGCACTAAGCTGAGTAAGGAAGGAGATGGCAGAGAAGCAGCAAAGTTCCTTGCTACTCACAACTTTTAGTTATTCAGCATGAAATACCTATAACTATTGGTATAAATAATATGTAATACAAACCAACTAAGACAACAATGAGGTGATGGTTAAGATAAAACTTGCTTGGTCAGCATAACCTATCCTGAAACTACGACGTGGCTCAGAAACTGGAAACTATTGTTGTCAATAATGATGACAACACAGAGCATTTACATCAGGGGTCCCAAACCCCCGATACTGGTCTGTAGCCTATCAGAAACCCATCCAAGGAGGTGAGCAGCAAGTGAGTGAGCAAAGCTTCATCTGTATTTACAGCTGCTCCCCAACGCTTGCATTAACGCCTGAGCACCGCCTCCTGTCAGATCAGTGGCAGCATTAGATTCTCATAGGAGCACAAACTCTATTGTGAACTGTGCATGCAAGGGATCTAGGTTGAACACTCCTTATGAGAATCTAATGCCTGATGATCTGTCACTGTCTCCCATCACCCCCAGATGGGACCGTCTAGTTGCAGGAAAACAAGCTCAGGGCTCCCACTAAGTCTACATTATGGTGAGTTGTATATTTCATTACATACTATAATGTAATAATAATAGAAATAGGTTGGGCATGATGCCCATAATCCCAGCATTTTGGGAGGTCCAGGCGGGTGGATCACCTGAGGTCAGGAGTTCAAGACCAGCCTGGTCAACATGGTGAAACCTCATCTCTACTAAAAATACAAAAATTAGCGGGTGTGGTGGTACACATCTGTAATCTCAGCTACTCAGGAAGCTGAGGCAGGAGAATTGCTTGAACCTGGGAAGCAGAGGTTGCAGTGAGCCAAGACTGTGCCACTGAACTCCAGCCTGGGTGATGGAGTGAGACTCTGTCTCAAAAATAATAATAACAGAAATAAAGTACACAATAAATATAATGTGCTTGAATCATCCCCAAACCATCCCCCACATCCCCCAGTCCATGGAAAAATAGTCTTCCATGAAACTAGTCCCTAGTGCCAAAAAGGTTGGGGACTGCTGTTTTACATTGTGCCAGAGGAAGCACCATATCTATTCTCTGAATTCTTAAGATAGCTATAAAAATACATATTACTATTCCCATTCAACAGATCATAAAACTAAGGCTTAGAGAAAATAAGTAACTTACAATCTGACAACTAGTAAGTAGATATCAGAACGTAAATACAAGTGAGTCTGACTCCAAAGTGTGTTTAAACCACTCTGAAATACACTCATTCCTTCTCTCTTTCTCTTAGAGATGTCTTGAAGGTTTGCTTGGATCACCAGATAAGGTCCACTGTTACATCTGGCCTCATTCTTTACAGAAACACACAAGTCTGGCCTGAGCACTATTTGTTTCTAACACGGAGGAAGGCTTCAAATTCATTTCCTCTGAGGTAAGAGCAAGAGAAACACATTTCGACATGAGTAGGAGGAAAAACAGCACGACAGCAAAAATCTTCAACCATGAGGGTATAAGATCATGTACAAGGCAGTAAGTGGAGACAGGGCCTCCTCCTTCCCAGGAGACTTTTAACTGCAAAAGCATCCTGCATCTTTACAATGCTTTAAACAATTCTAACAACTTCTATGGCCACCCTTTGTAAGACCCCTAGCCTGTGTCCCAGCTCTAACACTAGAGTCCCACTATTATGTGGGTGGCCTAAAAAAGATCCTACCATTACGTGGCCCACTTCACTTCTCTGGGGCTCAGTTTTTGTCGTCAGAAAAATAAAAACCTATCAAATGCAAAATGGAGGCATTGGGCAGTAACAGAACTAGAAGTGTATCTCCTGACTCTTCACTCATCCACAGTACCACAAACAGCCAGCCCTGATGTTTGCAAGGAAATAAAGATCTCTATAATATCTTCCAGCCCAAAACACAATCATTTTAGACTTTAGCAGCTGGGTCCAAGGATGGAGACTTAACTTCAAGAATACAGTCAAACCCAACTCCCCATGAGTATGAGATGGGGTGTGGGGAAAAACAAGAAGCAACCTTAGGCCAGAGACAGTGGCTCACACCTGTAATCCCAGCACTTTGGGAGACCGGGGTGAGCAGATTACCTGATGTCAGGAGTTCAAGACCAGCCTGGCCAACATGGTAAAACCCCATCTCTACTGCAAATACAAAAATTAGCCGGCCATGGTGGCAAGCACCTGTAATCCCAGCTGCTTAGGAGGCTGAGGCACAAGAATCACTTGAACCTGGGAGGCAGAGGTTGCAGTGAGCCAAGATCACACTCACACCTGGGTGACAGTGAGACTCTGTCTCAAAAAAAAAAAAAAAAAAAAAAAAGCATCCTTAAATACTTACTTACAACTTACTTATGAGCTGGCCCCTTAAGCTTCCAATACACACTATCCACAGCACTCAAAGCATGGCCAATCAATGTTGTCTGTATCGATTGTCCTACTTTATGTTATTCCACTGGGCTGAAGCCTGCTAGTTTTCTAGTTTGGTCAGATGGCTGCTTTCCCCTTGGGAGCCTCACAAAAATGAGACTATCCCCAGAGGTAAAGAAATGTCCATTTAAAAGCCCACTGGTATAGCTGGGCATGGTGGCTCACACTTGTAATCCCAGTGCTCTAGAAGGCCAAGGTAGGGCATCACTTGAGGCCAGGAATTTAAGATCAGCCTGGGCAATGTTGCAAGCAAGACCCTGTCTCTTTAAAAAAAAAAAAAAAAATTAAATTAGCCAGGCATGGTGGTGCACACCCATGGTCCTAGCTACTTGGGAGGCTGAGGTGGGAGGATCACTTGAGCCCAGGAGTTGGAGGTTGCAATGAGCTATGATCACACCACTATACTCCAGCGTGGGCAACAGAGTGAGACCCTCTTAAAAAGGGCCAGGCACAGTGGCTCACGCCTGTAATCCCAGCACTTTGGAAGGCCGAGGCCGGCAGATCTCGAGGCCAGGAGTTTGAGACCAGCCTGGCCAATATGGTGAAATCCCATCTCTACTAAAAATACAAAAATTAGCCAGGCGTGGTGGCAGGCGCCTGTAGTCCCAGCTACTCGGAAGGCTGAGGCAGAAGAATCACTTGAACCTGGGAGGCAGAGGTTGCAGTGAGCCGAGATTGTGCCACTGCACTCCAGCCTGGGCAACAGAGCAAGATGCTGTCTCAAAAAAAAAAAAAAAAAAAAAAATCCACTGGCGAGTGAGGCATGGTGGTACATGCATGTAATCCCAGCTACTCAGGAGGTTGAGGTGGAAGGATTGCTTGATCCCAGGAGTTCAAGACTAGCCTGGGCAACATAGCAAGACCCCATCTCAAAAAAAAAAAAAAAAGTCCATTGGCATTAGCTTTCCTCACCAGAACTTTAGGATGTATCTCAGATTATTCTTCCAGTTTCTAGATCTCTTTCCCATCACAAGACTGAAGAAGCAAACTACTTGCAGAGATGGAAGTAGCCAGATGTGGAGATGAGTTCACTGACCACTTTGATGTTTTTCTGCCAGTGATGATAAGTGGTAACCAAAAGGGATGATCAAGAACTTCCTCAGTCACAACATAGCCTATGAGCAGACCTCAGAAACATACCCTTCCCCATTTCTCTGTAGATGTGAAATGTGAAATGTGACAAGGGCCAAACATCAGACTCTTCCCAAAGGTTCCGATGTCCAGTCTGGGGACACCTGGGCCAACACAGCAGCCCCAGCTGTGAAGATGGAAGGTCCAAGAGGCACCAGAGAAGCAGATGATAAATGGACCACCTCAAAATCCAAAGACTGGAAGAAAATTAAAACAATAAAGAATAAACTTGGCTGGGTGTGGTGGTTCACACTTAATAATCCCAGTACTTTGGGAGACCGAGGCAGGAGAAATGCTTGAGCCCAGAAGTTCAAGACCAGCCTGAGCAACACAGTGAGACTGTCTCTACCAAAAAAAAAAAAAATTAGCCAGATGTGGTGGCACATGCCTGTAGTACCAGCTACTCAGGAGGCTGAGGCAGGAGAATCACTTGAACCCAGGAGGCAGAGGTTGCAGTGAGCCAAGATCACGCCATTGCACTCCAGCCTGGGCAACAAGAGCGAAACTCAGTCTCAAAAAAAAAAAAAAAAAAAAAAAAAAAACAGGAAAGGAAACGAAAAAGCTTGTGGTACTAGCTGTTTCTTCTGGATAAAAAACTGGCCTTGATGACTACATTAAAGAAAGAATATCAGATAAGACCATGCATTCTCAGTGAGTGCAGTAACAGCCCAGAAGGGGTGAAAATTGATTCTTGGGGGAAAAAAAGTTAGATATTACAATGGTTTGTGGCCATCCAAAGGGCCACAATACAAAAACAGATACACAGTACATCTGTGGTATTAAAATTCCATTGGGGGTAGCTGGGCACGATGGCTCATGCCTGTAATCCCAGCACTTTGGGAGACTGAGGTGGGCAGATCACTTAAGGCCAGGAGTTCAAGACCAGCCTGGCCAACATGGCAAAACACAAAAACTACTACTAAATAACACAAAAATTAGTTGGGCATGGTGGTGGGCGCCTATAATCCCAGTTACTCAGGAGGCTGAAGCACAAGAATCACTTGAACCCAGGAGGCAGAGGCCACAGTGAGCAGAGATCACACCACTGCACTCCAGCCTGGGCGACAGAGTGAGACTCCCTCTCAAAAAAACATTCCACTGGGGAGTAGACAATTAAGGGAAAAAAAGTCTCAAAATATGATAATGAACAAAAGGTTGAAAAATAATTAGATGAACCCAAAGGGTTGAGTCTTAGATGAACCCTAAGGGCACAGTGTTCATTAACTTGTATAATGGTCATGGGTAGGGTAACTAACTTGTCCTGGTTTGCCCCGGACTTTCCTGCTTTTGGCACTAAAAGTCCCACATACGGATATCCCTCTGTCCTGGGAAAACTGGCATGGTGGTCCACTCTTCTCAAGAGAGAGATCAATGAAGGCATTCCCATTTCACAAATGAGGTGACACCAAGAAACACAGTGGTTGTCACGGATTCACAGCACTTTAGCAGCATTCCTGAGGCAAGGCTGGCTCTTTCCATTTGTCTAGTCCTATGCTCACAACTCTCTGCCCCTGATTTCCACTTTGGCAGAGAATGTTACTCATGAATTGATTATGCCACTTCCTTCTCAATACCAAAGCCAAGGGCAGTATTAGGAGGATGAAGGCAAACATGGCCAGCCAGCATAATCACAGCCATGTCTTACAGCTGCCTGGTGGAACCTGAAGGAACTACAAGTCTGGGCTGAATATAGTTTTGTTGCTACTGGATTCTGGGTACAAATTTGCAAAAGTAAGAATGCCAGGTGTAAACTCCTCACAAGCTAGGAAAATTCCTAGCTTGAGGTTCTCCACATGTGTCTGAGCAGCCCGAATCTTTTACAAGGTTTTTGTCCCAAAGATGAACTCAGTTATTGCTTATGCTAGGAATCAGGGGTTACCCAAGGCCTCACTCTGAATGGCAACAGGCTATTCTCCTACTCCCCTACTCAGCAGTGAAATCCTTGGTGAAAGTAAAGGAAGAAAAGAAAAGGGCATGCTATTCCGTCTTTAGTCTACGTATAATTAAAATACAAGACTCTCTGCTGTAGAAGACTAAGGTTTGCAGTTTAAGGCCGACTCAGAAAAGGATAAAGTATTCATCCTTGCTCAGAAAGAGAGAAGATTAGCTCCACAGGATGGGTCTCCAAATTGACACCAAATCCAGGAGTTAGAGATGGCTGTGCTACAGAGCGTGATCCAAGCACCATCTGGAGCCCCCAGAAAAAAATCCCTAGGAATAGCGACTAAGGGACTAGCATTGTAAGAGAGTTCAGATTAGCTCTCCTGAAAAGAGGCTTACTACAAGAGACTGGCAGACAGCCTCTGCAGCAAAACTTCACTTAGGAAAGGACAGAAAATGAATGAAGAAAGACAGGGGGAGGCTGAGCAGGTCAGAGTATGAATCCACAAGTATGTGAAAAAGAGAATCCACCTATTTCGAAAAAGGTACAACTTCCTTTCAGAGCCTTTTTTTTTTTTTTTGAGACAGAATCTCTCGCTCTATCACCCAGGCTGGAGTGCAATGGCACAATGATCTCGGCTCATTGCAACCTCCGCCTCCCGAGTTCAAGTGATTCTCCTGCCTCAGCCTCCCGAGTAGCTGGGATTACAGGCATGCGCCACCACGCCCGGCTAATTTTGCATTTTTAGTAGAGACGGGGTTTCTCCATGTTGGTCAGGCTGGTCTTGAACTCCCGACCTCAGGTGATCCACCCACCTCAGCCTCCCAAAGTGCTGGGATTACAGGTGTGAGCCACCGCACCCGGCCAGAGACTCTCATGTTCTTTTGAATATTCTCATTAACGGCAAATCTTCATTCTTTGAGGGTGAAAACATTTATTGCATTCCTATGTCCCAAGAGCTTTCATGTGTAATACGTCATTTAACCACCCTTCAAAGTAAATATTATTCCCAGTTTTTTTTGTTTTGTTTTGTTTTGTTTTGAGACGGAGTCTCGCTCTGTCGCCCAGGCTGGAGTGAATGGCGTGATCTCCGCTCACTGCAAGCTCCGCTTCCCAGGTTCACGCCATTCTCCTGCCTCAGCCTCCTGAGTAGCTGGGACTACAGGCACCCACCACCTCGCCCGGGTAATTTTTTGTATTTTTAGTAGAGACGGGGTTTCACCGTGTTAGCCAGGATGGTCTCGATCTCCTGACCTCGTGATCCGCCCACCTTGGCCTCCCAAAGTGCTGGGATTACAGGCGTGAGCCACCATGCCCGGCCCTATTCCCACTGTTATGTAGTGGTACATTGAGCCCCAGAGGTGAAGTAACTTATCCAAGGTTATGTGGCTAATAAGTGGTAGACTCAGAATTAAAACTCATGTTCACCACCCTCCAAAAATCTGTTATTTCCACTTCAAAAGAACTGTTAACTCATCTGAAGACAAGGCAGGTGACAAGGTTGCTTACCCATGCCATTCGGGGTTAAATATATATAGGCTGTGTGCAGTGGCTCACGCCTGTAATCTCAACATTTTAGGAGGCCAAGACAGAAGAATCGCTTGAGGCCAGGAATTCAAAAACAGCCTGGGCAACACAGCGAGACCCTGTCTCTACAAAAATTAAAATTACAAAATTAGCTGGGCCTGGTGGTGCGCCCCTGTAGTCCCAACTACTCAGGAGGCTTTAGTGAGAGTATTACTTAAGCCCAGGAGTTCAAGGTTGCAGTGAGCTATGATTATGCCACTGCACTCCGGCCTGAACCACAGTGTGAGACCCCATCTGAAAAATAATAATAATAATAATACAGTATGGTTTAATATATTAAAGAAACTGATCTCTCGCATGGTTCAAAAAGGTCTCTGAAAACAATTCCAGAGGTGGATTTTCAAAACTGCCTTGGACAACAGCCAAATCACTTAGGCACGCCATCCTCAACTCCCACCACCTACACCTGCACACATCACTCTAAAGGAGAACATTCATTGGTGGATCAAGTTCCCACATGTCAGTTATTTTAAAATCCATTTTGTTACCTTTCAGTTTCACTTAATTAGCCTCTTCTCCTGCCAATGAAACACACCAGGGCTCACAGTTGGCCTCAGTAGAGAAGTAATAGCTGGCCTTCAGAAAACAGCAGGGAAGGGGAAGTAAGTGGGAATCAAAGTACTAGGCAACTTTTCATTCCTGGACTGCCGCATCCCTACTAACATTTCCATCACCTGTAAAATGGGAGCAGAACGTCTCTTCTATTGCCAATTTCATTAAAACAGCACATGTATTCATGAGCAGATTAAATTCACTAAACAAATGAAAGAAAGGGGAAATAAATGTGGTGTGGTAACACCATCTTAAAAACCCGAGAGCCATGTTCTCAAAACCACAGACCAAGTTCTGACCCATGTTATACAAATATCAATCCCAATATCGTTACACTCTGGCTCCCATCAAAATCCTACCCAATCCCCAAATCTGGCTATACTTTTATCAGAAAAGAAAAAAACTTGGGTGGGGTGAGAGCAGAAAAGACACACACACACAACAAAATATCTTTCACAATGTCAAAAAAAAACCTGTTTATATGCCAGGCGAGGTGGCTCATGCCTGTAATCCCAGCACTTTGGGAGGCCGAGGTAGACAGATCACCTGAGGTCAGGAGTTCGAGACCAGCCTGATCAACATGGAGAAACCCTGTCTCTATTAAAAATAGAAAATTAGCCGGGCACGATGGCGCATGCCTGTAATCCCTGCTAATCGGGAAGGTGAGGCAGGAGAATCGCTTGAACCTGGGAGGCGGAGGTTGCTGTGAGTCGAGATGGCACCATTGCACTCCAGCCTGAGAAACAAGAGCGAAACTCCGCCTCAAAAAAAAAAAAAAAAAAAAAAAACTGTTTATAAACACATCACTTTCTTCTCTTAGCAAATATGTAAGTTTCATTCTCCTCCTGTCTACTTAGTTTGGGTTAACTTAACCCCCGCCCCATCTCTCAGATCATGTTTTTATTTAGGTTTATTGAGGTGGGAAAGCCAACTGAACTTTAAACGAAGCCAGGCATTTAAGAATATTAGAAAACTGATCTTACATATATAGGTAGTCAAATATTTTTAAAAGACATCAAATGGCATTCTAATTCCTCCGGTGCAAAGAAAGCCCCAGCCTCACACGTGTTAGCATTTCCTGATTCCTGGCTTTTCCCACTCAGAGCCCCATTCCAGGGGCTCATATGTCAAGTCATTCTCTCCTGACTTCTGAAGCAGGGATTTTCAAAGCCAGGATTCCGGGACCACCTGAATGAGAACCCCCTGGGGTACAGCTGCCCACGCACCATCTTATCGGAAATCCCAGGGAATGGAGCCCAAGGCTTATGCACAAAGCCCCTAGACGATCCGAGAGATAACACTAACCAGTCTGTAACCTCTAAAGGCAAATTTTCCAGGACAAAGAAAAACAAGCAATAAGAGAGTGACAATAATTCCACATGGGAAGAGACACACGGGTCTCGGAGATCAACACCAAACCACCCCTTCTTCGGACAGATACGGAAACTTAGGCTGGGAGAATGAAACAGGCAAGGGCACTAAAAACAGGTGCGGAGCCAAAGCCAATCTCAAATTTCCACGGCCCCATCTCCTGCCAATAAAGAGGTGAATGGAGACATTCTGAGTGGGAAAGATAAGAAAGGTAGGCCTTCGGCAGGGAGCCCCGGGCCCACTTGGACGTCCCGCTTTGGAGACACTAGTGAGGATGTGTGGGTCCCCAGAACACTGCTGGGAAGGCGCCGAGGCCGCCGGCAGGAGGAGGCCCAGGAAGCGCCCTGAGCCCCCCGCCCAGCTCCAGGGCCGGGCGGCCCTCACCGCCCCTACCTTCGGCCTCCGGCAGCCGAGTGGCAGACACAACTCCCACAATTCCAGGCGGCCGCGGCGGCGACCAGCTCCCCCTGCGCAAACGCGGCGGCGACCGTCTGAGCCGGTGAGCTGGCAGCTGTCACGCCGCTCGCGGCCTCGCCCAATCGCGGGCCGCCAGACCAGCGCGCGGCGCCCCCCGCCCCGCACCGAGGTGGGAGCCCCGCCCCTAGCCCCGCCCTCTGCAGACTCTTGCACGAGCTGCCCCCGTGCCCCTCCCCTTGGGGGGAGGGAGGGCTGAAGAGATAGCTTCACGCCTGCTTTTGCTTCCAGGCTGGAACTGCGAAGTTTCCTGTCTGATTTTCCAACAATGTAATTTCTTTCTAGCGGAAGGACCCTCAGAAAGCAATCAGAGGGGTGCGGAGTAAAAATAAATCAAGTTCTTGTGACTCAGTTTGGGACAGAAGCCGAGAGTCTCCAGCAATAAAATTTCTCGCAAATTCATGCAAAATAGGACACCTTTAAGCCACTCACTTTATATACTTGTGTAGATTTTTTACAAGGACCAGTTATTTTAAAAATAGCATCAGGTGGCCGGGCGCGGTGGCTCACACCTGTAATCCCAGCACTTTGGGAGGCCCAGGCAGGCAGATCACTTGAGGCCAGGAGTTCAAGACCAGCCTGACCAACATGGTGAAACCCCCGTCTCTACTAAATATACAAAAATTAGCCAGGCGTGGTGGCGAGCGCCTGTAATCCCAGCTACTTGGGAGGCTGAGGCAGGAGAATCGCTTGAACCCACCAGGCAGAGGTTGCAGTGAGCTAAAATCGTGCCACTACACTCCAGCCTGGGTGACAGAGTGAAACTCTGTCTCAAAATCTAATAAAATAAAATAAAGGTCACTTGCGATTCTGATTTTTTTTTAAGACAGAATCTGTGTCCCCCAGGCTGGAGTGCAGTGGCAGGATCTTGGCTTATCACAGCCTTGACCTCCCAGGCTCAAGGGATCCTCCCCCTCAGCCTCCATCCAGTAGCTGGGACCACAGGCGCGTGCCACCGTTGCCAGGCTAATTTTTTTTTTTTTTTTTTTTTTACAGACAGGGTCTCGCTATGTTGCCCAGGCTGGTGTCAACGCAGTTGTAATTCTGCTGTACCAGTGAATATCATGCTTTCTGTACCAGGTGCTGCATATATATTTTATTTACTTATAACGTCCTCTGAGCAGAATGGTCATCCCCTTTTTATAAATGGAGAAGCTGACGCTCAAAGAGGCTAAAGGAGTTATACAAAGTCATACAGTCAGGAAGTGGTAGAACTGGGAGTTAAAGCTAGATTTAAGTGTCTCCAATGTCCTGTTCTCTTTCCACTATTCCACTTTTAGACCTTCCCCTTGCCTAGACATGCTTAACCTGATGAATAAAAATGACTGCCCCCTCCTGCCCTCAGATCCCCCACATAGTGATTCCTGGTCATTCATGAGTGGAGAAAACAGTAATCCAGACAGTTACCTCCCCAAATGGCAAGTATTTCCCAATAGCAAACAACCTATTTCTGGACTTCCCTTCCCTTTTCCATGTACTCTATGAGCTTCTAGCAGACAATTTACCTTCTTGATTATGTTTACTTCAAGCAGATGGGAAACTGACTTCATAGCCACTGAGCAAACCTTGGTTACTAGTATGGGAAGGGAGAACAAGCCCCTGGGCAGTAGTTCAGTGAATAGTGCCAGTTTATGAGAAAGGTCTAGATAAAACACCTAGGGCCTGATTTGGAAAGAGAACAGCTCACTTTTCCCCTGGAACACCCAGGAGACCAGTGAGAAGAACTGGGCCTAAGAATAATTCTAGCTTATGTCACTGCCTAGTACCATAAGTACAGATAATAAATATTCAACAAATATTTCATGAGTGATAAATTAGAGAATGAACATATAAATTATAATAAGACTGGCACGAGTTATAAAAAAGATGTTAATAAAGTGCTACAAGAGTAAGAGCCTTAAAAATAGAATAAGCTCAAATCTTATAATAGCATGAATAAATGAATGCTTGGGCCAAGAGAAGAGTCCAGCTGAACACAGCTGCCAGCGCTCAAAGCGGGGCCTTTCTCCTTGGGACGGATCTAACCAGCTCAGGTATGTGGTAGGAAAGGGATAGTCTGTCTCCCACTGCCACCCCAGGCCTGGTCTCCAAACCTTGAAAAGCTCTGCCATGGTCTGAATGTTGGTGTCTCCCCTAAATTCATACATTGGAACCTCATATCCAATGTGATAGTATTAAAAGGTGGGCAGGTTGGGCCAGGCATGGTGGCTTCCGCCTGTAATCCCAGCACTTTGGTAGGCCGAGGCAGGCGGATCACAAGGTCAAGAGATTGAGACCATCCTAGCCAACATGGTGAAACCCCATCTCTACTAAAAATACAAAAATTAGCTGGGTTTGGTGGTGTGCACCTGTAGTCCCAGCTACTCAGGAGGCTGAGGCAGGACAATCGCTTGAACCTGGGAGGTGGAGGTTGCAGTGAGCCAATATCGCACCACTGCACTCCAGCCTGGCGACAGAGCAAGACTCCATCTCAAAAAAATAAAATAAAATAAAAATGGTCAGGTTGAAGGGAGCTGCCTTGCCCCTTCTGCCGTGGAAGGACACAGTGATCTCCCCTTCCACCATGTGAAGCAAGGCAGCAAGGCACCATCTTTGAAATAGAGAGCAAGCACTCACCAGCCCCTAAATCTGTTGGCACCTTGATCTTGGATTTCCTGGTCTGTAGAACAGTGAGCAGTAAATTTCTGTTTGTAAATTACCCAGCCTAAGGTGTTTGTTATAGTAGTCCCAACAGACAAAGACATACCCTGACAGAACTACCTTCTCAGAGGAACTTGCTCTGAACTTGCTCTGAAATCAAGCCTCTTGAGTTGCTGAAGCCAGTGTGCAAGGTTGAACCTAAGCAGACAGCCTCTACTTACACGGCCTTAAGCAAGGAGGCCCACTGTAAAGGTGAGAAGTTTGGGTGCAAGTCCAGTGATCACAGTGGGTGCTGGAATTTTGGTAGTCTCCTCTCTTTGTTTCCTTATATAAGTCTTGGAATTGAGCAAAAGTAAGTTTAAAATTTCCTTTTAGGCTGGGCGCAGTGGCTCACGCCTGTAATCTCAGCACTTTGGGACGCTGAGGCAGGCGGATCACCTGAGGTCAGGAGTTGAAGACCAGCCTGGTCAACATGGCAAAACCCCGTCTCTACTAAAAAATACAAAAATTAGCAAACCATGGTGGTGGGCGCCTGTAATCCCAGCTACTCAGGAGCCTGAGGCAGGGAGAATTGCTTGAACCTGGGAGGTGGATGTTGTAGTGAGCCAAGATCACGCCACTACACTCCAACCTGGGCGACAGAGCAAGACTCTATCTCAAAAAAAAAAAAAATCCTTTTAAATAAGTAAACAACAGGCTAAAAACCACCTCTCTCTTGCAGTTCTGTTGGGGAGTTTCTAGAATCCCTCTTCCACTCCCCAGAAGAGCAAAGGAAGGCTTGGAAGGGTAGAGAGACTGAGGAATCACCTTCAACCCGGCCACCATCAATCAAATCAAAGGAAACCACAGCACCTACCCCCAGAGCCCTGGCTAGGCGGAGATTTATAATCAATTTGGCCTTCCTCAACAAGCAGAATATGTTGAGTAGATCATTTCTCCTCTGATCAGCCTTTCTCAATTAATCTCCCACAAGCCTCACACCCTGTTGTGTGAAAGTATTCCTGGCTTCAGGAGTTGGCTCCCTGCTCTCTCTGGATGGGCCTCAAATGTTGAGTGGGGAGCAGGAGCCCTCACTTTGTCTCACCACTGTATTGATCTGCCTCCTCCCCTCGGCCCCTTCCTCTTTGCCCACCCAGCTTTCACCACACAACTCAGATCCTGCTGCCAGGAGTCCCTTCTGGACTGCAGACATTTTATTCACTTGAACATGAGCACCAAGCTACATGCCAGCCATTGGCTGTGGGGGTACAACTGTGAAACAGTCCTACTGGTTCTTACCCTCGAAGAGCTCAGGGTCAAATGAGAGACACAGAAATGTAAACAGATCAAAACAGCCTGGCAAGCACCATTTAACAGAAATATTAACGGGCTAGGTGCAGTGGCTCACGCCTATAATCCTAGCACTTTGGGAGCCAAGGCAGGCGGATCACTTGAGCTCAGGAGTTCGAGACCAGCCTGGGCAACATGACAAAACCCATCTCTACCAAAAATAAAATAAAAAAATAAAATAATTAGCTGGGCATGGTGGCACATGCCTGTGGTCCCAGCTACTTGGGAGGCTGAAGTGGGAGGATCACTTGAGCCTGGGAGGTGGTTTCAGTGAGCTAAGATTGCACCACTGCACTCCAGAGGTTCACACTGCTGTCTTTTCAGATCCCTTTTGTGAGTAAAGCCCTTTCACATTTATCACCTTGTTTGTTCCAGACACCTCTGTGAGGTAGGTGGGGCAGATTTATTTTGCAGATGAACAAAAACTCTTCCCACTGAACTCTTCAGAGCTGTGTTGTCCAATATGGTAGCCAATTGCCGCATGTTGTTTAGATTTAATTAAAATTAAATAAAAGTTAAAATACAGTTTCTTATTTACACTAGCCACATTTCAAATGCTCAGTCCACTATACTGGACAACAAAAATGATGGAACATTTCTATGAAAAAGCTCTATTGTGGCCGGGCACGGTGGCTAACGCCTGTAATCCCAGCACTTTGGGAGGCCGAGGCAGGCAGATCACCTGAGGTCGGGAGTTTGAGACCAGCCTGACCAACATGGAGAAACCCCCTGTCTACTAAAAATACAAAAATTAGCTGGGCATGGTGGCGCATGCCTGTAATCCCAGCTACTCGGGAGGCTGAGGCAGGAGAATCACTTGAACCTGGGAAGCAGAGGTTGCGGCAAGCCGAGATCACGCTGTTGCACTCCAACCTGGGCAACAAGAGCGAAACTCCATCTCAGAAAAAAAAAAAAGCTCTATTGTCTAACAGTGCTTGAGAGGTCCTGAGAGGCAGTGCTACGGCAGGGGTGTGAAGCCAGAGCACTCAGCATTCCCAGAAAAGCTAAGTCAAGGGGCCAACATGGAAGAAGCAGGAAGCTAAGGGGCACTCCAGGGGAAATCAGGAGAACTGCTCCCGAACCAGATTCCTCCACTTCCTGGGCTGCACTCAGATGGAGTGGGCTGCTGTGGCCAAGGCAGGGCAGAGACCAGATGATCTCTACTGTGGGACCCAAGCAGCACCTGAGCAGCTTCTTCCTGGCATTCAAGAATTCTAGATCTCTCCACCCCAAGAGGCTTCAAGGACTCCAGTAACTGTGCTTTTCTCTGTCTCTGGCTTATTTCTGAAGGCCTCAGAAGCAGAAAAGGGGGAGAAAAAAAAGCATTTCCAGCCCCTCTGAAAGGGATGTGAGGGTTCTGGATGGCAGCCTCCCACCTGCTTGGAAGTCTTTGGCAGCTCCAAGGGGCTTAGGCCAGAAGAAGGTCAGTAAATTTAAGCTGCATTTGCTCTCAGCTAAACAAGCCTTTCTGGTTCAAAGGAAAAACACTCAAAAGAAGGGACCCAGAAGACAGACAAGATTTCAAAGTGTTCTCACCAAACAGCTTCCCACTGAGGCCAAAGCGAAGCCCCAAGAACCATGACTCTGTCTCCAGAAGCGCCTTCAACCACACACCTATTAATGTACACAGACACCTGACACCAATGCAGTGCCTGCAGACACCCACAAAAGCACAGAATCACAGGAATCCATACACAGGGCAGACACAGACACAGCCCTGTCCCAGTTATCTACTGCCACATAACAAAGCATCCCTAACTTGGTAGCTTAAAACAACAATAATTTGTTTAGCAGTTTGGACAAGGCTTAACAGGGAAGAGTTGACTCTGTTCCATACACTGTCAGCTGGGGTGGCCCAACTACAGGAAGATGCTCACCCTCATGGCTGGCAGTTGATGCTAGCTGCAGGTTGGAACCTCAGCTGGTACTGTCAGCTAGGACACTGACAAGCGGCCTCTCCAAATAGCTACTTGGCCCCCTCACAGCTTGGTGGCTGGTTTCCAAGAATGAGCATCCCAAGAGAACACGGCATAAAAGTATCTGGTATTTTTATGATCTAGCCTCAGAAGTCACATAGCATCACTTCTGCTGTACTCTATTGGTTGAGTGAGTCACAAAGGTCAGCCCACATTCAAAGAGAAAGAGAACCCACCTCTCATTCAGAGGAGTATTAATATCCTTTTGTAAAGAGAACATGTGGGATGGGCTGTATCCTGGCAGACACTTCTGGAAAATACAGTGTGCCACAAGCCCTGGCATACACACTTGTGAACACAGCTTACACATTCAGACTCACGCACAGCACATAAATATGTTTATACACGTAGATAAAACATTCTGCATCCACTTACATGAACACTGTCACACAAAGATGTGCACATTGCTACAGGTGTATTAATTATACAACTAGACATGTATAATCAGATGTGCCAACTTACACATGTAGAATAGCCTTGAAAACCCTAAGAGATCCTAAAGAAATCAGGCTGGAAGGCCAGACGCAGTGGCTTACACCTATAATCCCAGCACTTTGGGAGGCCAAGGCAGGTGGATCACCTGAGGTCGTGAGTTCGAGACCAGCCTGACCAACATGGAGAAACCCCATCTCTACTAAAAATACAAAATTAGCCAGATGTGGTGGTGCATGCCTGTAATCCCAGATACTCGGGAGGCTGAGGCAGGAGAATCACTTGAACCTGGCAGGCAGAGGTTGCAGTGAGCCAAGATTGCGCCATTGCACTCCAGCCTGGACAACAAGAGTGAAACTCTGTCTCAAAAAAAAAAAAGAAAAGAAAAGAAAAAGAAATAAGGCAGGAGAAGATGGAGTATAACACAGATGTCAGCTGTCCCCTCCCCCTCCTCTGTTTCCCTACCAAGAAGTAATACCTACAAAAGTATGAGTGTGAAATGCAGAATTTACCAAAGACATCATAGGGGTGATGGAGGAGGAAGTTAATATCACTCCCCCCAAGCAAACAACTTGAAAGCCCACAGGAACAGTCCCTGCCCCACAAGTTCCTCTCCCACCCCATATCGCCTCCGTGGATCACTTTTTACCTCCTCTTTCCCTTGCACCGCACCCATTCAGCCAGTTCACATCTCCCTCTTCGTCACATTCTCCCTCAAGCTTCCAAATTCTTCACCCTTTTCTCATACAGAGCAGTTCAGATTTGCTTTGACCCATAATAAAGGGTTGATGTAAAGACAGACATCAGATGTAAAGGAGACGACGCTCCCTCTCATGGGCCGCTTGTTCTGTCACTCTTGTCATCTGCATCACACCCAGGTGTCTGATGGGCCAAGAGCAATTCACTCTACATTCCAAATTTGGGATGAGCCAGGTTGTCTGGTGACATAGTTTGGATATTTGTCCTCACCCAAATCTCATGTTGCAATGTAATCCCTAGTGTTGGAGATGGGGTCTGGTGACAGTGTTTGGGTCATGGGGGCAGATCTCCCTTGGCTTGGTGCTGTCTTCACCATAATCAGTGAGTTCTCATGAGATCTGGGTGTTTAAGTGTATAGCTCCTCCCCTGGCCTTGCTCCTGCTTTTGCCATGTGGCATACCTGTTCCTGCCTCACCTTCCTCCATGAGTGAAAGCTGCCTGAGGCCTCCCCGGAAGCTGAGTAGATGCCAGTGCCATGCTTGTACAGCCTGCAGAACCGTGAGCCAATTAAACCTCTTCTCTTTATAAGTTACCCAATCTCAGGTATTTCTTTATAGCAATGCAAGAAGGGCCTAATACAACTAGAATAGTTCATTGTAATCCTCACCAGCATCCCCCTCGCCCTTGCCCAACCTGGAAGAGTCCTATAAACCAAGCCACTGCAGGGCTGTTGTAGGGCAGCCTATGTGGACCCCATCCCTGGTCCAATCTATACCTACCCCGACACAAGAGCCAATGCTGTTTCCTTGAGCAGAGAGCTGCAGAAGGGATGGTGTCTGCTGTAAGAAAATCCTGGGCATGATGAGTGTGGTAACTGACCACACCAGCACAGTCCTCGGTGAGCAAGCCAATGATGGGAGAACTCTTCCCTCTGCTGACACTGTCTCTACTAAAGGTTCCCAAACGCCAGAGCTTTGGGAGACCACATGTGAATAAAGATTGCTGTGCAGCCTGTCTCAGAACATTAGATAATCGAATCCAATATAATTGTCATCAGAGAACATGAATTTGGAATTCTGTAGCAGTTAAAACAACTTTGGAATCAGACAGGGCCAAGTCCTGACTGCCTCTCACTAGCTAAGCAAGTCGCTCAACTCTAACCAACCTTAGAGACTAGCTTTCTTATCTGTAAAATGGAGATGATATTAGTACTCACCTTAACCATTATTATGGAGATTAAATGAGATAATGATACAAGTAAAGCATCCAGCCTAGTGCCTGACACACAGGAAGTTCTGAATATATCTTAGCTATTTTTTTTTTTTTTTTTGAGACGGAGTTTCACTCTTGTTGCGCAGGCTGGAGTGCAATGGTGCAATCTTGGCTTACTGCAACCTCCGCTCCCAGGTTCAAGCAATTCCCCTGCCTCAGCCTCCCA
This sequence comes from Homo sapiens, assembly GCF_000001405.40. Classification (NCBI taxonomy): domain Eukaryota; kingdom Metazoa; phylum Chordata; class Mammalia; order Primates; family Hominidae; genus Homo; species Homo sapiens. The sequence goes on from NC_000005.10 coordinate 139,206,864, forward strand.
AGTAGCTGGGATTACAGGCATGCACCAACACGCCCAGCTAATTTTTTGTATTTAGTAAAGACAGGGTTTCACCATGTTGGTCAGGCTGGTCTCGAACTCCTGACCTCAGGTGATCCACCTGCCTCAGCCTCCCAAAGTGCTGGGATTAGTGGCGTGAGCCACCGCACCCAGCCGATCTTAGCTATTATTAGTACTACTCTTTTCCATGCCTGTTGGCTACACAGACATTGTGCTAGAGACTGAGCAAAGTTAAATCACACACAAATACATGTGTGAGTACTTACAAACTCACATAGGGGATTCTGCTTTATATCCCTACTTAACATTCCAAATAATTACCTCACTCTCAGACCTACACACACATTATACATCATGCCCAGGCTATATGGATGCTTTCATGAAAAGGTTGAAAGAAGAGGTAACCTTTATCTACTCAGGTAGACAAACCCTCCCTCCAGCTAAAAATGAGACACACAGGAAATGAGAAGTGTGGGAATGTTTCTGGACAAGATAATTTTGGGGACTTTTCTGGGGAAAGGAATACTCCATCCTCTGAGCTGGGGGAGGATGACAAGTTGAATGTGGTTTTTCTCAGAAGCGTCTTTATTACTCCACATATTGGTGCACAAAATAGGCTAACTCAGGCAACAAGAGGTTGGCCACATGCAACTAATCATTCTTATTTGTTTAGTTTTTGTGGCTTCCCATTTCCCCATGGCCTCTGCAGAGATGCCCAGGGTGAGAGGCATTAGCTCCAGGATCATTATGGAATTATGAGGCCCATCAAACCATCATTAGAGCCACTGCTGGGAAGTAAATCTTCCACAGCTAGGACTGGGTTGCATAGCCATAGGAACCCTGCTTCATTCTCCTAACACCTGCTCCTCAGGAACTGGCAGGGGTAAGAGCTGGGGAGTGGAGTGAGGTTGAAGGGCCCTTCTCCAGGGCAGGGGATCTGAGGGCCACGGCCTTGTCCGCACCTCACCCTGGGCAACAATGACAATAATAACCTAATGTTAAGCAGAACATTACAGTTACAGTTAATAAAGTTTGCTCACATTCCTTATGCCATTTAATTCTCACAGGAATCCCATGAGATACTTGTTTTGTTGCCCCTCATTAACCAAAAAGGAAACTGAAGTCCAAATGCGCTGAGAGATGCAGCATAGTGCTGGGCGCGTGGCAGCCCCAAATTGGAATGTGTGGACCTAAGTGCTCCCTAAGGGTCCAAGAAGCCCTCAGCCTTGATTTAGCTCCAAATCTAATACTTTCATATTACAAATAGGTCAGATTCCACCTGCCAGAGTGTGTCCATTAGTTAACAAGTTTATTGAGTTCACGTGCTGGGTGCTGTGCTATGCACTGGGAATACAATCGTGAGTGAAGAGACTGTTAAAGATGGCCTCAAATTATTTGCCACTCCTGTCATCAGAAGGTGAGGTATCTTTCGTCTCCCTTTGAATCTAGGCTGGCCTGTGATTGCTTTGACCAATAGAGTACAGAAGAGGTGGTGCTATCCAGTCATGAGCCTAGTCTTTTTTTTTTAACACGGAGAGTCTCACTCTGTCACCCAGGCTGGAGTGAAATGGAGTGATCTCAGCTCATTGCAACCTCTGCCTCTCGGATTCAAGCAATTCTTCTGCCTCAGCCTCCCAAGTTGCTGGGATTACAGGTGCGCACCACGGTGCCCAGCTGATTTTTGTATTTTTAGTAGAGACAAGTTTTCTCCAGTTGGCCCGGCTAGTCTCAAACTCCTGACCTCAAGTGATCCGCCCACCTCGGCCTCCCTCTAAAGTGCTGTAAAGTGCTGGGATTACAGGCGTGAGCCACCGCGCCCAGAAATGAGCCTAGTCTTTAAGAGCTTCCACTTCACTCCCTTGGAGCCCTTAGCCACTCTGTAATAACTCCAACTACCTTGACAGAATGTGGAAAGGGAGAGGGGCCCAGCTGAGAGCAGCTTTCCAGCCTCCTACTAAAGCACCAGACATGCAAATGAAGCCCTCTTGGATCTTCCAAACCACACCAGCCTATATAGCTAGTGTGCTGCTGAGAGGTCCCAGTCAATATCACATAAGACAGAAGAACTTGCCAGCCAAACCCTTTCTGAATTCCTGACCCACAAAATTATGAGATATAACAAAATGGTTGTTTCAGTCCATGGGTTGGCAAACTTTCCCTGTAGTCTTTCATGAGCCACATACCATCTCTGTCACATATTATTCTTGTTTTTTGTTTCATTCTTTCTTTTTTCACAACCCCTTAAAAACATTTTTTAAAAAAATTCATAATTTGCCAGCTATACAAAAAAAACAAAAAACAAAAAAAACTGTGGGCCAGGCATGGTGGCTCACAGCTGTAATCCCAACACTTTGTGAGGCCAAGGCAGGTGGATCACTTGAGATCAGGAGTTCAAGACCAGCCTGGTCAACATGGTGAAACCCCGTCTCTACTAAAAATACAAAAACTTAGCCAGGTGTGGTGATGCTCACCTGTAATTCCAGCTACTCCAGAGAATGAGTAGGAAAATCACTTGGACCCAGGAGGCAGAGGTTGCAGTGAGCCGAGATCACACCACTGCACTCCAGCCTGGGCAATAGAATGAGACTTCGTCTCAAAAACAAAAAAACAAAAACAGACTATGGGCTGGATCTAGTAAATGGGTCCTATTTCATCAGCCTGTTTTAAGCCATGAAGGTATAGGGTAGTTTGCAACCTAGCAATAGCTAGCCAGAACGGTCCCTTCCTTCAGGAAGCTAAAATTCTGCATGTAAGACAGGCATGAAACAAAAAATAAACAATAATTAATTAATCAAATTACTACACATAAAGGAGATAAGCCAGGTGCTGTGGGACTTAATGTCATTGGGGGCTCCAGGAAAGGCTTCCCCCAGAAAGCAACACTTAACAGTTGAGATTTGAAGGATCACTTGAAGTTTTCAGATTAAGAAAAGGAGGGAAAAGTATAGTGTGGCTCAGCCATTTTGGCCCAATGTGGAAACTTCTGAAAGGCAATACTTTCTCCAGAACTCTCTACCAAATCGACCAAGAGCCTGCATCTTGACTTCTTCCTCTGCCCAATTCTGCTTCTGCCTTCTTCTTTTCACAGGTGTTGTTCCACAATAAATATCTTGAACCCTAAACTGTCTCAGTGCCTGCCTTCAGAGAACCCAACCTGTGATGCTGGCAAAAACAAAAAGAGAATTTTTTTTTTTTTTGAAACGGAGTCTCGCTCTGTTGTGAGGCTGGAGTGTAGTGGCGCGATCTCAACTCACTGCAACCTCCGCCTCCCGGGTTCAAGCGATTCTCCTGCCTTAGCCTCCCAAGTTGCTGGGATTACAGGCATGCACCACCATGCCGAGCTAATTATTTTTGTATTTTTAGTACAGACAGGGTTTCACCATGTTGGTCAGGCTGGTCTCAAACTCATGATCCGCCCACCTTGGCGTCCCAAAGTGCTGGAATTACAGGCGTGAGCCCAGCCTTTTTTTTTATTGAAACAATCTTGCTCTGTCACCCAGGCTGGAGCGCAGTGGCAGGATCTCAGCTTACTGCAGCCTCTGCCTCCTGGGATCAAGCGATTCTCCTGCCTCAGCCCCCTGAGTAGCTGGCATTACAGGTGTGCGCCACCATGCCCAGCTAATTTTGTATTTTTAGTGAGAAGAGACGGGGTTTTGCCATGTTGGCTAAGCTGGTCTCAAGTTCCTGACCTCAAGTGATCTGCCTGCCTTGGCCTCCAAAAATGCTGGGATTATAGGTGTGAGCCACCTCACCTGGCCAAAAAGAGAATTTATTGACTCATGCACAGTTATCCATGGCTTAATGACTGGGATATGTTCTGAGAAATGTCTTTACGCAATTTTGTCCTTGTGCAAACATCATAAAGTGTATTCACACAAATCTAGATGGTATAGCCCAGGGGTCCTCAACCATGGACTGGTACCAGTCCATGGCCTGTGAGAAACCGGGCCTCACAGCAGGAGGTAAGCAGCAGGTGAGCAAGCAAAGCTTCTTCTGTATTTACAGCCCCTCCCCAATTGCTCACATTACTGCCTGAGCTCCGCCTCTTGTCAGATCAGCTGCAGCATTAGATTCTCACAGGAGCACGAACCATATTGTGAACTGTGCATGTGAGGGATGTAGGTTGTGTGCTCTTTATAAGCATCTGACTAATGCCTGATGATCTGAGGGGGAACGGTTTCACCCTGAAACCATTGCTACCCCCCATACTGCCACCCTACTCCCCACATCCGTGGAAAAATTGTCTTCCATGAAACCATCCATGGAGCCAAAAAGGCTGGGGACCACTGGTATAGCCTACTACACACCTAGGCTATACAGTCTAGTCTATGCTCCTAGGCTACAAATCTGTACAGCGTGTTACTATACTGATTACTGTAGGCAATTGTAACACAATGGTAAGTATTTGCGTATCTAAACATATCTAAACAGAGGACCGGGCTCGGTGGCTCACACCTGTAATCCCAGCACTTTGGGAGACCAAGGCGGGCGGATCACCTGAGGTCAGGAACTCAAGACCAGCCTGGCCAACATGGTGAAACCCTGTCTCTACTAAAAATACAAAATTAGCCAGGTGTGGTGGCGCCTGCCTGTAATCCCAGTTACTCGGAGGCTGAGACAGGAAAATCACCTGAGCCCGGGAGGCGGAGGTTGCAGTGAGCCGAGATTACGCCACTTCACTCCAGTCTGGGTGACAGAGCGAGACTCCATCTCAAAAAAAAAAAACCAAAAATAAAAAAATTAGCCAGGCATGGTGGCACACACCTGTAATTGCAGCTACTCAGGAGGCTGAGGCACAAGAATCGCTTGAACCGGGGAGGGAGATGTTGCAGTGAGCCGAGATTGCGCCACTGCACTCCAGCCTGGGTGGCAGAGTGAGACTGTGTCTCAAAAAAAAAAAAATTAAAATTAAAAATATCTACACATAGAAAAGGTACAGTGAAACTATTGTAGTATAATCTTATGGAATGACCATCGCATATGTGATCCGTTATTGACCAAAACATCATTACATGGTGCATGACTGTAATTGAAAAGTCCACGGGTAACATGTTGACCTTCAAGCAGAGGTGGATTCGGAGCTCCAGCTTAACGTGATATACAGACTTTCAGTTCTAAAACCAGGAAAGTCCCAGGCAAACTGGGACAATTAATTACTGTAGCTCCAATGTGTAAACAGGTCTTGGTGTCTCCATTTCTTGGCTCTGCTTTCAGCTGAGTTGGATAATTCAGTCTCCGGATCTACACATAGCAAGACAGGACAGCAGCTCCAGACCCTATATTCTCTCAAGTTGGAGTCCTGAAAGAAAGGAACTAGTTTGCTTCCCTCATGACTCCAAAGAATTAGAGTGGGTCTTACTGGCTGTCATTAGTCTACTTGAGACATATGTCCACTGTTTTATTTTATCTGGTTTAGTTTTTTAAATTGAGATATAATTCACATTCCATAAAATTCATCTTTTTAAAGTATGCAATTCAGTAGTTTTTAATATATTCACAATGTTGTATGATTATCACCACTATCTAATTCCAAAACATTTCTATCACCCTAAAGAGAAACTCTAGGCCAAGTACAGTGGCTTACACCTGTAATCCCAGCATTTTGGGAGGCCAAGGCAGGCAGACAACTTGAGCCCAGGAGTTTGAGACCAGCCTGAACAACATAAGAAACCCCTTCCCTATAAAAAATACAAAAATTAGCTGGACATGGTGGCGAGTGCCTATGGTCCCAGCTACTCCAGAGGCTGAAGTGGGAGGAGTGCTTGAGCCTGGGAGGCAGAAATGGCAGTTAGCCACTGCACTCCACCCTGGGCGACAGAGCCAAACCCTGTCTCAAAAAAAAAAGAAACCCTATACTCAGTAACAGCCACTACCCATTCCCCCTCCTTCCAGTGCCTGGCTACCACTAATCTTTCTGTCTCCACAGGTTTGCCTATTCTAGATATTTCATATAAATTGAATCAAATAATATATGGCCTTTTGTGTCTGTCCTCTTTCGCTTAGCATAATGTTTATAAGGTTCATCCATGTTGTAACATGAATCAGTACTTTATTCCTTTTTATTGCTGAATAATAGCCCATTGTATGAATATAAAAAAGTTGTACATGAATGTTCATAGCAGCATTCTGATGCCAAGTGGTAGATAGTTGGGTTGCTTCCACTTTTTGACTATTATGAATAATGCTGCTATGAGCATTCATATACACTTGACCCTTGAACAACACAAGTTTGAATTGCAAGGATCCACTTATATGCAGATTTTTTTTACCAAATGCAAATTGAAAATACAGTATTCGCAGGATGTGAAACCTGAGTATATGGAGGGCTGACTTTTTGTATACTCAGGCTCTGCAGAGCCAACTGCAGGACTTGAGTTTGCATGGATTTTGGTGTACTTGGGCGTCTGGAACTAATCCTTTGCATACACTGAGTGTTGATCATACAAGGTTACCTAGAAGTGGAATTGCTGGATTGTACGGTAACTCTGTGTATGTCCCCATTCTTGAACCAATCACTGTGGCCTAAGAATAGAATGGTATGAATGATTTAAACCTAAGTCACAGGTTCTTTTTTGTTTGTTTGTTTGTTTGTTTTTTTGAGCCGGAGTCTCGCTCTGTCGCCCAGGCTGGAGTGCAGTGGCGCGATCTCTGCTCACTGCAAGCTCCGCCTCCCGGGTTCACGCCATTCTCCTGCTTCAGCCTCCCGAGTAGCTGGGACTACAGGCGCCCGCCACCGCGCCCGGCTAATTTTTTGTATTTTTAGTAGAGACGGGGTTTCATCGTGTTAGCCAGAATGGTCTCCATCTCCTGACCTCGTGATCCACCCGCCTCGGCCTCCCAACGTGCTGGAATTACAGGCGTGAGCCACCGCGCCCGGCCTTGTTTGTTTGTTTTTTAAAGACAGGGTCTCACTTTGTTGCTCAGGCTGGAGTGCAGTGGCACAATCTTGGCTCACTGCAACCTCTTCCTCCCAGGTTCAAGTGATTCTCATGCCTCAGCCACCTGAGTAGCTAGGATTACAGGCATGTACCACCACACCCAGCTAATTTTTGTATATTTAGTAGAGACAGGGTTTTGCCATGTTGGCCAGGCTAGTCTCAAACTTCTGGCCTCAAGTGATCCACCTGGCCCAGCTTCCCAAAGTGCTAGAATTACAGGTGTGAGCTACTGCACCCAGCTTACGCCACATGTTCTACTCCTGATGCTGAGGATGGAGTCAGTTTCATTAGGACCACATGGAATGAAAAGAAAATGATGGTTCACCAGGAAGAAATGGGGTACAGTTATCAGATGGAGGATGAATGGAATCTAGGCAGCAAATCTACAGATGGTCATTGCAAATTGCCATATTAATTGAATGCTCACTATGAGCCCGGCACTGTGTTAAGTACATGCATTATCTCATGTGACCTTTACGACAGCCTCATAAGGATTCTATTATTCTATTACTCCCCTACAGATGCAGAAACTGAGCTCAGAAAAGTTGAATAAGTTGTCCAAGTTTATATAGCTGAAAATTGAGTGTTTGAACCCAGGTCTGATGCAAAGTGTCAGAGAAAAACAGATCTTGAGTTAGGCTAAAATATACCTGCTAAAGCGTCTTTTGCATCATTTGCCCAATATTTTTATAATCATTGGGGAAGAGTCTGTGTAACCACAAATTTCCTTTCACACCAAGGACAAGGAAGAACAGGTTTTTATCAAGAAAAAAATCATAGTTGACATTTTTTCCCTTTAGATTTCCAAGTAAGCTTCCCAATTTTGTCAGATATCACATTATTGGCATTGAGATTAAGCAGCTATATTTCTCAGAAAGTCTCCATGCTTTTTGTCACCACTCATCTTTTTCTAACAGGCCTAGAAATTCAGCTAAATTCTGCTTGTCATGTGATTAGGAAGTGCAGAACTCCACACCATGCTCATAACCTCCTCCAGAAATGATTTACAAGAGCTCTTCTGTAGTCCTCATGATGAGGGCCTGGGGCTAGGGATCTCTGACTCCCTACTCTCTACTCCTGTGGACCAGAACCCCAATGATGTGAGATGGATGGGACAGAAGATGTGAGGCAACCAAAGAGTTGAAGAATATAAGAAGTTGCATTTCATTGCCACCACCCGCCACCAATTCCGAAATGTCAGTCCTTAGAGCATCACAGGAGAATAACCTCATATTAAACTGTATACTGTATTAAGCTTCATACTAAGCTGCAAGCGTTAGCACCACACCGACTCCTCCTTGAGAGACCCCATCCCACTACCCCTCCTCCCTAGTACACACACATCACCATCAAAGCAACTTGCATCCCAAACCCTTGAAAGATTTACTGCCAGTACTGCAGACAAATCAGTGAATACCCGGCAGTCGATTCCAAAGACAGGATGCTCATTTGCATGAGGAGTTGCATGTCATTTGCATTATATTTGCAATCCATTTGCATATCACGTCTGCCCTGTCAAAATGTACATAAATGCTTTATACTTTCACTTTTTTTATTTTCTAAAGAGGACTACGCCCCCGCATCCTGCCCAGACTGTCTGGGAAAATTACTGGTTGAGTATTCCCAGCTTAATTGTGAAGAGCCTCACGTGCCATACTGAGGCGATTTCAAACTGTGGAAGAGCCCCAAGGATGTCAGAACCTAGCTTGAGAAACTTCATTCATTCATTTATTCAACATGTCTTTATTGAACACTTACGATGTGCACTGTTGTTCTAGGTGCTGCAGATATATCTGTAAATAATGAGATGAAAATAGTTGCAGCATTAAAAGTTAAATGCTGTCATTTCAGAAAATCACTTGGCACCAACCCAATCAATACATAATACAAGTGCAAAAAAAAAAAGGCACTAAAATTTCCTGAAAGTGCTTGGTTATAAGGTCATCCGGTGTTACAGACTATGCTTATGTCGTTATTACTATTTTGTTAAGATTAATCCTGGCCGGGCATGGTGACTCAGCCTGTAATCCCAGCGCTTTGGGAGGCCAAGGTGGGAAGATTACTTGGGCTCAGAAGTTCGAGACCAGCCTAGGCAACATGGCAAAACCACGTCTCTACAAAAAATACAAAAATTAGCCAGGTGTGGCTGTGCCTGTAGTCCCAGCTACTCTGGAGACTGAGGCAGGAGGATCACTTGAGCAGGGGAGGTCAAGGCTGCAGTGAGCCATGATCCTGCTACTGCATTCCTGCCTAGGCAACAGGGCAAGACCCTGTCTCAAAAAAAAAAACAAAACAAAAGATTAATCCTGAAATTAAAACAAATAGTAAGCTCCTTATTTTTTTCTTTTCTTTTCTTTTTAAAATAGAAACAGGGCCTCACTATGTTGCCCAGGCTGGTGTCAAACTCCTGGGCTCAAGTGATCCTCCCACCTCGGCCTCCCAAAGTGTTGGGATTACAGGCGTGAGCCATTGTGTCCAGCCAGTAAACTTCTTAAAGTTTACTCAAGACACCTGAGAATGTGTCCCCAAGGGATCCAGGAACTCCAAGTTTGAGAAACACCAATTAAGGATCCATTAAACAATTTAAATAGGGAAATAGCCTGGGTTTACATCTTAGATCACTCTGCAGCCATGTGGAGGGAGCATTGGAAGGGGTGGAAGGCCAGAGGCAGATAAACCAGTAAAAGGCTTCAATAATCTAGGTGTGACTCAGATGTGGGACTGTCCACACTGTCAGCCTCATAAATCCTGTGGCCCCTTCACTGATGTCCATCTGAAATCAAGTCACACCACACACTGGATGGCTTCAGAAGTTTTCAGTGAAAATTTGTACAGTCATGGGGGGTTCATAACATACATTGTTTCAATCGAAAATTCAGCTTTGAGGCAGTCGCAGTGGTTCATGCCTGTAAGCCCAGCACTTTGGGAGACTGAGGCAGGCGGATCACTTGAGGTCAGGAGTTCGAGACAAGCCTGGCCAACATGATGAAACCCTGTCTCTACAATAGGACAATATGAGGGGTGGTCTCCTCCCTTACAGGGAGGCAGAGGTTGCAGTGAGCCAAGATCACGCCACTGCACTCCAGCCTGGGCAACAGAGTGAGACTCCAACTCAAAAAAAAAAAAAAGAAAGAAACACGGTTAGAATGGATTGCCTGGTTTAGATGCTCAGAGGTGCCCAGACAGAGTCTGGTTCAAAACCCAGGGTGATACCAACACATAAAGAGAAGAAGGGTAGTGAAGGGAAGCCCAAGGGGAGGACATGATGAGCGGGGTAGAAGGTATAGCAGAAACCAAGAGAAGAGTTTCAAGAAAGAAGGAGCCAGCAATATAAAACTCCACAGAGAGGTCCAGTATGAGGAAAACTGGAGAGAAGTCATTGGATCTAGCAATTAATGTGACTTTCTAAGAACAGTTTTGATGAGGTCTCATGTGAGACACTCTTTTTTTTTTTTTTTTTTTTTTTGAGACAGAGTCTCACTCTGTCGCCCAGGCTGGAGAGTGCAGTGGGGAGATCTCGGCTCACTGCAAGCTTGCCTCCTGGGTTCATGCCATTCTCCTGCTTCAGCCTCCTGAGTAGCTGAGACTACGGGTGCCCGCCACCATGTCTGGCTAATTTTTTGTATTTTTTAGGAGAGACGGGGTTTCATGGTGTTAGCCAGGATGGTCTCAATCTCCTGACCTCATGACCCACCCGCCTTGGTCTCCCAAAGTGCTGGGATTACAGGCGTGAGCCACCATGCCCAGCCAGAGACACTGTCGATTACCAACCCAAAAGCCATTTTCCCACTCTTCTTCCTTACTTGCCAAGACCAGCTCGGTTGTGGAGACCATAACCCAGCAGCACTAGAGGAATTAAAGACACACACACAGAAATATAGCGTGTGGAGCTGGGCACGGTGGCTCACGCCTGTAATCCCAGCACTTTGGGAGGCCAAGGTGGGTGGATCACGAGGTCAGGAGATTGAGACCATCCTGGTTAACATGGTGAAACCCTGTCTCTACTAAAAATACAAAAATTAGCCAGGCGTGGTGGCAGGCACCTGTAGTCCAGCTACTCAGGAGGCTGAGGCAGGAGAATGGTGTGAACCCAGGAGGTGGAGCTTGCAGTGAGCTGAGATCACACCACTGCACTCCAGCCTGGGCGAAAGTGCGAGACTCCATCTCAAAAAAAAAAAAAAAAAAAAAGAAAAAGAAATATAGCGTGTGGAGTGGGAAACCAGCGGTCTCACAGCCTTCAGAGCTGAGATCCTCAAACAGAGATTTACCCACATATTTATTGACAGCGATCCAGTGATAAGCATTGTTTCTGTAGATTGTAGATTAACTAAAATATTCCTTACGGGAAATGAAGGGATGGGCCGAAATAAAGGGATGGGCTCTGGCTAGTTATCTGCAGCAGGAACATGTCCTTAAGGCACAGATCGTTCATGCTATTGTTTGTGGTTTAAAAACACCTTAAGTGGTTTTCTGTCCTGGGTGGGCCAGGTGTTCCTTGCCCTCATTCTGGTAAACCCACAACCTTCCAGTGTGGGTGTCATGGCCATCACGAGCATATCACAGTGCTACAGAGATTTTGTTTATGGCCGGTTTGGGGGCCAGTTTATGGCCAGATTTGGGGGCCTGTTCCCAACACTTACTGGCAGGGACTGCCTCACATTATAAGGCCTCAAAACTGCTAGATACTTTGCCAACACCCCTCCCCCCACCTCCTTTAAACCTAGGGGTGGACATGTGACCCAGTTCTGGATAATGGAACTTAGGAGGAAGTTTTCTGGAAGATTCTGCAAAGGATTTTCCTCCCTAATGCAATAAATATGCTTAGGGAGAAATCTTTAATTCCTTCTTTTTTTTCTTTTTTTGAGATGGAGTCTCCCTCTGTCACCCAGGCTGGAGTCCAGTGGCATGATCTTGACTCACTGCAACCTCTACCTCCCAGGTTCAAGTGATTCTCATGCCTCAGCCTCCCAAGTAGCTGGGATTACAGGCATGCACCATGATACCCAGCTAATTTTTGTATTTTTAGTAGAGACGGGGTTTCACCATGTTGGCCAGGCTGGTCTCAAACTCCTGACCTCAAGTGATCTGCCCGCCTCAGTCTCCCAACTGTGCTGGGATTACAGGCGTGAGACACCATTGCTGGCCATCCCTTGCTTTTTTCTGCCTTGGGAGTTGCCACGTGAGCTCATGCTATTCAGAGCTGTGACAGCCATCTTAGGACTATGAGAAATAAGCCCAAGAATGGAGCAAATACTTTGAGGACAGTGAAGAGGAAAATGAGAAAAGCCTGGCTATTTGATGACATTACTAATGGCTGAATTAACCAAACCTGGACCCACCTATCTCTGGGTTTCTTGTTATATGAGATAAATAAATGTCCTTACTACTTAATTCACTGTTGGTCAATTATTCCATTATTTACAACCACAATACATGGTGGCCAGAATTAGTTATTGAGGAAGGAACGAAAAACAAGAAAGTAAAGATACTAAGATATTCTCCAGTGGTTTCTAAATGCCAGTCAAAAAACCACCTGCATTAAAATCACATGGGGCTAGGCGCAATGGTGATAAGTTTACATGCCTGTAATGCTAACACTGAGAGGGTGAGGCAGGAGGATTGCTTGAATCCAGGGGTTCGAGACCAGCCTGAGCAAAAAAGGGAGACCCTGTCTCTACAAAAAATAAATAAAAATTTAAAAAACTTAGCCAGGTGTGTTGGCGTGTGCCTGTGGTCCCAGCTACCTGGGAGGCTGAGATGGAAGGATCACTTGAGCCCAGGAAGTTGAGGCTGCAGTGAGCCGTGATCGCGCCATTGCACTCCAGCCTGGGCAACAGAGCAAGACCATGTGTCAAAAAAAAAAAAAAAGAAAAATTACATGGGAGCTTCTTTATGTCCTTTATTCTGATAATATTCTGATTCAGTAAATTCAGCACAGAGCCCAGGGATCTTCCTCTTTAATAAGGGCCTTAACCAGTACACCATTTTGGAAAATCATTGTCACTTTTTTTTGTTTGTTTGTTTGAGACAGAGAATCTCGCTCTGTCACCCAGGCTGGAGTGCAATGGTGCAGTCTCGGCTCACTGCAACCTCCGCCTCCCGGGTTCAAACGATTCTCCTGCCTCAGCCTCCCAAGTAGCTGGGACTACAGGCGCCTGCCACCACACCCAGCTAATTTTTTTGTTGTATTTTTAGTAGAAACGAGGTTTCATTATGTTGGCCAGGCTGGTCTCAAAATCCTGACCTCGTGATCCCCCTGCCTCGGCCTCCCAAAGTGCTGGGATTACAGGCCATGAGCCACCGTGCCCAGACTTTGTTTTTTGGGTTTGTTTGTTTTTTTTTAATTTTTTTTTTAGATGGAGTCTCGCTCTTGTTGCCCAGACTGGAGTGCAATGGCACGATCTCCACCTCCCAGGTTCAAGTGATTCTCCTGCCTCAGCCTCCCGAGTAGCTGGGATTACAGGCACCTGCCACCATGCCCAGCTTTTTATTTATTTATTTATTTATTTATTTATTTATTTTATTTTTATTTTTAGTAGAGAGGGGGTTTCACCATGTTGGCCAGGCTGGTCTTCAGCTCCTGACCTCAGGTGATCCACCTGTTTTGGCCTCCCAAAGTGCTGGGATTACAGGCATGAGCCACCATGCCCAGCCTTTTGTTACTTTTTTTTTTTTTTTTTGAGACAGGGTTTTGCTTTGTTGCCTGGACTGCAGTGTAGTGATTCAATCATAGCTTACTGCTGTCTTGAACTCCTGGGTTTAAGCAATTATCCCACTTTAACCTCCCGAGTAGCTAGGACTACAGGTACACACAACCATGTTCAGGTAATTTAAGAAAAAAACTTTTTTTTTTTTTGTAAAGATGGCAGTCTCACTCTGTTGTCTCACTGTGATGGAGACTCTGAGTCTCCAACTCCTGGCCTCAAGTGATCCTCCCACCTCGGCCTCCCAAAGGGCTGGGATTACAGGTGTGAGCCACTGCATCCAGCCTCACTTTCTTATAAAACTAAACTTACACCTATCCTATGAAGGGCAAATCCACTCTTAGATATTTTACCCAAGAAAAATAAAAACATATGTCCACAAAAAGACATGCATGAGAATGTCCATAACAACTTTTTAAAAATATAGATAGGAGTCTTGCTTTGATGCACATGCTGGTCTCAAACACCTGGCTTCAAGCAATCCTCCCACTTCAGCCTCTCAAGGTGCAGGGATTACAGGTGTGAGCCACCCTGTCCAGCCCATAGCAACTTTATTTACAACAGCTAAAACTGGACACAACCTCAAATGATCGTAACAGGAGGACAAAACAAATTGTACACAGGGGACAATCTATTATAAGGATTACCAGCCAGATGTGGTGGCTCATGCCTGTAATCCCAGCAGTTAGGAAGTCTGAGGCAGGAGGATCATTTGAGGCCATGAGCCTGAGACCAGCCCTGACTCTACAAAAAAAATTTTAAATAGACAGGTGTGGTGGCACACAACTGTAGTCCTAGCTACTCAGGAGGCTGAGGTGAGAGGATTGGTTGAGCCCAAGAGTTCAAGGCTGCAGTGAGCTATGATTGTGCCACTGCACTCATTTGAGCAACAGAGCAAGACCCTGTCTCTTAAAAACAAAACAAAACAAAACAAAAAGCCAGGCACAGTGGCTCACATCTGTAATCCCAACACTTTGGGAGGCCGAGGCAGGCAGATCCCGAGGGCAAGAGATCGAGACCATCCTGGCTAACATGGTGAAACACTGTCTCTACTAAAAATACAAAAATTAGCTGGATGTGGTGGCGGGCGCCTGTAGTCCCAGCTACTCAGGAGGCTGAGGCAGGAGAATCGTTTGAGCCTGGGAGGCAAAGGTTGCAGTGAGCCGAGATCTCACCACTGCACTCTGGTCTGGCGACAGAGCGGGACTCCGTCTCAAAAAAAAAAAGAAAGAAAGAAAATTAGAAAGGTACAGAGAGATTAGCATGGTCCCTGAGCAAGGATGACAGCAAATTTGTGAAGCATTCTATATTTTTAAGAAAAGATTACTAAGTAGCATTGAAGGCCTGATCACAACTGAAAATCAGACATTGGAGCTAGTGAACATAGTTTCGTGGTTTTTTCTAGTAGCCTGGAGGCAAGAGGCAGAAACAGAGAAAACGAACCTTGTCTTATCTTCTTGTGGAAATTAGAGTAGGAGGGACAAAATGACCAGAGGCAAAGGAACTGGAGGTAGTAGTGAGAATGGAGGGAAAATGACTCTATTTGTCCAAGAGCAGTTTAGAAACATACTGTCTGGAGCGTCCCTTGTTCTGTTCCCCACACTTCTGTGCTTCATGCCTCCACCTGGACTCAAAGGTAAGAAAATCAGCTAATCCTCTTTGTATACTGGGACTCAGGCTTAAAGGAGAGAAGGTAGTAGAAGCCACAGTTCGTGTTAAAAGGAGGCTCAGCAACAGATCCAGGGCAAGGCAGGGGTGCCCCTGAGATGTTGCTCTAATCTGGGAATGCCAGGAAGGGTAGGGGCAAATCCTGACTTTGTGTGGCCACCGAGGAGGAGGATGCTGCTCTGAGGGTTTGAGGAGCTGTCATCTGTGATGTGTGGCAACTCACGGCCTGAAAAATTAATTGGGCTGCTCCAGACAGGAAATAAAATGAAAATTCTGTCCAAGCAGGTGTCCTACTAACTCAGCAGGAAGCTGGGAACTGATTTGCATGTTCCAACATCCTCTTCTCTCTCCCTTCTCTGTAGTCACAGCTGGTTTTACGCTGCTCTCCAGGGAGGGGCATCAGAGATGTACAGTCTTACAGAGCTGGGAAAGAGGCTTCCTTGGGAGAGAAGTCCAGGAAAAGAGAATGGAAATGGTTGTACCATTACAACTCTAACTTCACTTCCTCTCTGTCCCTGCAGGCTCAGTAGAAGGAAAAAGAAATAAACTAACACTTGTGAAAGGGCTACTTCATGTTTGGGCATGGTGGCTCATGCCTGTAATCCTAGCACATCGGGGTCCTAGGTGGGTGGATCACTTGAGGTCAGGAGTTCGAGACCAGCCTGGCCAACATGGTGAAACCCTGTCTCTACCAAAAATACAAAAATTAGCTGGGTGTGGTGGCGGGTGCCTGTAATCCCACATACTTGGGAGGCTGAGGCAGGAGAATCGCTTGAACCTGGGAGGCAGAAGTCGCAGTGAGCTGGGATGGCACCACTGCACTCCAGCCCGGACAACAGAGCAAGACTCCATCTCAAAAAAAAAAAAAAAAAAAAAAGGTCTACTTTGTGTCTAGCCCTATGCTAAAGACTTTCACATTAATCTTCCCAACAACTCTGCAAGCCCAAAATCATACTCATTCTTACACATAAGGAAAATGGAGTTTGGGGGAGCAGAAATATCACACAGCTAGCAAGGGGCAGGCCAGGGACCCAACACAGGGCAGTCTCACTCAAACTCTGAACTTTTTCTACTCTAGTAAGCTCAGTCATGTTTTCTGTGTGTATTAAAGATTAATTGACCCTATGGTTAGTGTAGGCACTGCACACAGTTTGTTGAGCACTGACGTGTGGGAGAGGGCTCAACTGCCCAATTCTCAGGGCACCTAGGGACACACAGACCAATGACTGAGACTGTTATTCACCAATAATAATAACAACATCAACAATGAGATCCACCATTTCTTGAGATTTTACTAAGTGGTGAGCAACTTTTTAAGTGCTTTATATGTATTATCTAATATATTCTCACCATAACCCTGAGAGGGAGCCAACAATTATTCTTTCAAGAATCCATGGAACATCTGAGAAAACTGATCACATGCTAGGCCTGAAAGCACATCTCATCAGAAACCAAAAAATCAATTTGTTAGCAGCCGAACATATCTGAGTCACAAGTCACATGGCACCAGAGTATATTACCAGTGGCGAATCTGTATGGGTCTGCAGCAATGTTGATTCTTGCCTCCTCAGAGGAAATAATTTGACCAAGGGGCATAAGACAGAAGGAGAGACCGAGGCAAGTTTTAGAGCAGGAGTGGAAGTTTATTACAAAACTTTAGAGCAGGAATGAAACTAAGTAAAATAGCCTCTCCCTCTCCCTCTCCCTCTCTTTCCACAGTCTCCCTCTGATGCTGAGCCGAAGCTGGACTGTACTGCTGCCATCTCGGCTCACTGCAGCCTCCCTGCCTGATTCTCCTGCCTCAGCCTGCCAAGTGCCTGCGATTGCAGGCGTGCGCTGCCACGCCTGACTGGTTTTCATATTTTTTTGGTGGAGACGGGGTTTCGCTGTGTTGGCCGGGCTGGTCTCCAGCTCCTAACGGCGAGTGATCCGCCAGCCTCGGCCTCCCGAGGTGCGGGATTGCAGACGGAGTCTGGTTCACTCAGTGCTCAATAGTGCCCAGGCTGGAGTGCAGTGGCGTGATCTCGGCTCGCTACAACCTCCACCTCCCAGCAGCCTGCCTTGGCCTCCCAAAGTGCCGAGAGTGCAGCCTCTGCCCGGCCGCTACCCCGTCCGGGAAGTGAGGAGTGTCTCTGCCTGGCTGCCCATCGTCTGGGACGTGAGGAGCCCCTCTGCCTGGCTGCCCAGTCTGGAAAGTGAGAAGCGTCTCTGCCCGGCCGCCATCCCATCTAGGAAGTGAGGAGCGTCTCTGTCCGGCCGCCCATCATCTGAGATGTGGGGAGTGCCTCTGCCCTGCCGCCCTGTCTGGGATGTGAGGAGCGCCTCTGCCCGGCCGTGACCCCATCTGGGAGGTGAGGAGCGTCTCTGCCCAGCTGCCCCGTCTGAGAAGTGAGGAGACCCTCCGCCTGGCAACCGCCCCGTCTAAGAAGTGAGGAGCCCCTCCGCCCGGCAGCCACCCCGTCCGGGAGGGAGGTGGGGGGGTCAGCCCCCCGCCCGGCCAGCCGCCCCGTCCGGGAGGTGAGGGGCGCCTCTGCCCCGCCGCCCCTACTGGGAAGTGAGGAGCCCCTCTGCCCGGCCACCACCCCGTCTGGGAGGTGTACCCAACAGCTCATTGAGAACGGGCCATGATGACAATGGCGCTTTTGTGGAGTGGAAAGGGGGGAAAGGTGGGGAAAAGATTGAGAAATCGGATGGTTGCCGTGTCTGTGTAGAAAGAAGTAGACATTGGAGACTTTTCATTTTGTTCTGTACTGAGAAAAATTCTTCTGCCTTGGGATCCTGTTGATCTGTGACCTTACCCCCAACCCTGTGCTCTCTGAAACATGTGCTGTGTCCACTCAGGGTTAAATGGATTAAGGGCGGTGCAAGATGTGCTTTGTTAAACAGATGCTTGAAGGCAGCATGCTCGTTAAGAGTCATCACCGGCCGGGCGCGGTGGCTCACGCCTGTAATCCCAGCACTTTGGGAGGCTGAGGCAGGCGGATCACAAGGTCAGGAGATCGAGACCATCCCGGCTAAAACGGTGAAAACCCGTCTCTACTAAAAATACAAAAAATTAGCCGGGCGTAGTGGCCGGCGCCTGTAGTCCCAGCTACTTGGGAGGCTGAGGCAGGAGAATGGCGTGAACCCGGGAGGCGGAGGTTGCAGTGAGCCGAGATCCCGCCACTGCACTCCAGCCTGGGTGACAGAGCGAGACTCCGTCTCAAAAAAAAAAAAAAAGAGTCATCACCACTCCCTGATCAGGGACACAAACACTGTGGAGGGCCCCAGGGTCCTCTGCCTAGGAAAACCAGAGACCTTTGTTCACTTGTTTATCTGCTGACCTTCCCTCCACTATTGTCCTATGACCCTGCCAAATCCCCCTCTGCGAGAAACACCCAAGAATGATCAATAAAAAAAAAAATAAATAAATAAATAAAAATACATTTGGCACTGGGTGTGGGGGCTCACGCCTGTAATCCCAGCACTTTGGGAGGCAGAGGTGGGCAGATCACCTGAGGTCAGGAGTTCAAGACCAGCCTGGCCAACATGGTGAAACCCTGTCTCTACTAAAAATACAAAAACTAGCTGATCATGGTGATGTGCGCCTGTAATCCCAGCTACCTGGGAGGCTGAGACACGAGAATCGCTTGAACCCGGGAGGCAGAGGTTGCAGTGAGCCAATATTTGAGACTCTTTCTCAAAAAAAAAACACAAAGGAAGTAAAGTACACTTGAGAGATCACATGCATGGGTTTTATATGTTGCCATACTTGTAGGGTCTTGAGTTATTTCTCCTCTGATTCTTCCCTTGGGGCCTTGGGGTGGGCTGTCCGCGTGAGCAGTGGACTGCTAGCACTTGGGAAGGGAGCATATGCAGTGTGCTTACTGGAGTCATAGCATGCTCACTTGAGGCGTTCTTCCCTTACCAGTCTAGCATCTCTAGAGCAAGGTCATATACCAGTTAAACTCCACCATTTTGCCTCTTAAACTGCATTCTTGGGCCCCCTCGCTCAACTCCTGAGATCTTACCAGAAAGCCGCTGATAGCAGTTTCAAGTGTTTTCTATATATTAGGAGACTGCCTTTCCCTGGCACTGGCTGTCACCAACTATTTGTTTAGAGAGACAGTTAACAACTGCCTAACCATCACCTGATGGTCACCTGGCATTCCTGTTGTATGAGAGCAGCCCTCTCCTGCCCTGCTTATGCCTGACTAAGCTACCTATTGTAACAAATTGACCACTTTCTCTAATCAAAATAGAATTCAAGGCCAGGCACAGTGGCTCATGCCTGTAATCCCAGCTCTTTGGGAAGCTGGGGTGGGGGAATCATGAGCCCAGGAGTTTGAGACCAGCCAGGGCAACATAGTGAGACCTCATCTCTACAAAAAATAAAAAATCCTTCATCAGCTTAGGGAGATAAGATAAATAAATAAAAATAAAAATTAATTAATTAAAAATAAAAAAATTTAGCTGGGTATGGTGGCACATGCCTGTGATCCCAGCTACTCAGGAGGCTGAGGTGGGAGGATTGCTTGAGCCCAGGAGGTCAAGACTGCAGTGAGCTGTGATCACGCCACTGCACTCTATTCTGGGTGACAGAATGACACACCATTTCAAAAAAAGCAAAAAGAAACACAACAAAATAGAACTCAATGACAGAAAGATAACAACAGCCCCATGCATTTGGAAACATTTCTAGAATTATGGGATAAAAAATAAATCAAAATGCAGATATTTCTAAATAAAAAATAGCCATAGAAGACAAACTTGTATTTAAAGGGAAATGTATGGCTTTAAATGCTCATATGAGAAAAGCAAGCTGGGTGCGGTGGCTCACTGCTGTAATCCCAGCACTTTGGGAGGCTGAGGCAGGCGGATCACCTGAGGTCAGGAGTTCGAAACCAGCTTGGCTAGCCTGAGGAAACCCTGTCTCTACTAAAAATACAAAAATTAGCCGGGTGTGGTAGCATGCACCTGTAATCCCAGCTACTTGGGAGGCTGAGGCAGGAGAATTGCTAGAAGCAGAAGTTGCAGTGAGCTGAGATTGCGCCATTGTACTCCAACTGGGTGACAGAGTGAAACTCCATCTCATAAATAAATAAATAAATAAATAAATAAATAAATAAATATACAGAAATTAGCTGGGCATGGTGGCGGGCACCTGTAATCCCAGCTACTCAGGAGGCTAAGGCAGGAGAATAGCTTGAACCCGGGAGGCAAAGGTTGCAGTGAGCCAAGATTGCACCATTGCACTCTAGCCTGAGCGACAAGAGCAGAAAAAAACATAGAAATACTATAGAGAATCAACAAAATTTTTTTGACAAGCTCAGTCAAGAAAAAGGCATAGATAAACAATATCAAAACATTTAAAAGGGCTGGGCGCGGTGGCTCATGCCTGTAATCCCAGCATTTTGGAAGGCTGAATGAAGCAGGCAGACTACCTGAGGTTGGGAGTTCCAGACCAGCCTGACCAACATGGCGAAACCTCGTCTCTACTAAAAATACAAAAATTAGCCAGGCATGGTGACTGGCCCCTGTAATTCCAGCTACTTGGGAGGCTGAGACATGAGAATAGCTTGAACCCGGGAGGCGGAGGTTGCAGCGAGCTGAGATCACGCCACTGCACTCCAGCCTGGACAACAGAGCAAGGCTCCATCTCCAAAAAAAAAAAAAAAAAAAAAAAAACATTTAAAAGAAGATATAGCTGTATAGCAGAAAATTTAAAGTCATAAGAGAACACTGTAAAAAAATATTTTAAAGCAATAAGTTTGAAAATTTTGGTGAAACGGGTAATTTTCCTTAAAATGGAAAAAAAATCCTGTAATGGAGATGTTATTATTTCTTTTCCACAGATAAGAAAACTGAGAAGCAGAGAAATAACTTGGTCAGATTCCCATAGCTAGTAAGAGACAGAGTCTAGATTTGAAGGCCCAAGCAGTGGACTTCTGATTCATCTTCCCTCTTTCCCTCCCACAAACATTTACACTGAGTACCTACTAGACACCAGTCATTGTGCTAGGGATTACAGGGATAAAAGACAAAATTCTTGCCCTCTGGAAGCTCCCAGCCTAGGAGACAAGACTGGGCCAAGACTAGGATAAGTAAAGCACCCAGGGCACAAGATTTAAAGATGTGTTCATTCTCACTTGCAAAACAACTTAAATTTTGTGCCCTTGCCCTGGCTCTCCTAATAAGCATAACCACAACTGCAAAAATACATGCTTTCAACAACTTGAAGCCAGTAAGACTTCTGAGCTCCAGATGTGAGGAAAGGGCATTCTAGGCAGGGAGACTAGTACGAGCAAAGGACAGAGCAGAGAAGCAGCATGATCCCTGATGGGAACTACAAGCAGTTTGGTATTTCTGAGGCACACAAATCAATGCAAGGTGGAGAATGGCAAGAAGAGAGGGTGGAGGAGTGGCCAAGGTCCAGGTCATCACAGGCACTTTATATCATGCTAAGGAGCTTAGACTTTACCCTAAGGGTTTAAGCAAGGGAGTGACACAGGCATAACAGTATTTTACAATAATTCTTCTGGCAGGAATGTAGATGGTGGTGGGGATGGAAACATGGCAGAAAGTGGACAGATGAGTTACATGGCTGCAGAAGCATCCAGGCAAGAGAGGAAGAGAGCCTGCAGCAGGGCAATAGTAGTTGAAATGAAGAAAAGGAAATGGGTTTGAGAAATATTTGAGATGCAAAATTGGCAGGACTTAGTGGTTGATTGGATGTGGGAGGTGAAAGTGTGGAAGGAATTATGAATGAGGCCCCTCATCACCTAGTTTTCACCTGAATAACTAGAGAGTATAGTAGTGGCAGCAACATCCATCCATCTGTTTCTCAATTCATTCATACACCCAATAATGTGTCCATCTGGTTAGTATTAATTCATTCATTTGTCCATTCATACATCCATGTATCCATCTATCAATACAACTATACTTTGATCAAATTCTTATAACATCATGAAGAATGCATATGTAAAAAGGCACAATACTTGGCCTTACTAATTTATTCATTCATTCACTAAGCTTTTATTGATATCCTCCTGTGTGCCAGATACTATTCTAGGTAATGAAGATATAGCAGTGAACAAGCAGAAAAGGTCCTGATTTTAAAGGCCTAATGTTCTAGTGGGAGATACAGATAGAATGCAAAGAAATAACAATTTATTTTTTTTTTAGATACAGAGTTTCACTCTTGTTGCCCAGGCTGAAGTGCAGTGGCACTATCTTGGCTCACTGCAACCTCTGCCTCCTGGGTTCACTGCAACGTCTGCCTCCTGGATTCAAGCGATTCTCCTGCCTCAGCCTCCTGAGTAGCTGGGATTACAGGTGTCTGCCACCACACCCAGCTAATTTTTTGTATTTCTAGTAGAGGTGGGGTTTCACCAGGTTGGCCAGGCTGGTCTCGAACTCCTGACCTCAGGTGATCCACCCGCCTCGGCCTCCCAAAGTGCTGGAATTACAGGCGTGAGCCACTGCACCTGGCCAGAAATAACAATTTTAGATATGAAACATCTTTGTAATAAAATAAACCAGGCTCCTTGGAAATATGGCTGATTTTAGGTTGGGGCAGGAAATATATAATGTGAGCCTGGAGAATCTTGTAGTATCAGAAGGAAAGGAAGGGTTCAGACAAAAACACATGTTGGGAGTGTGTCAAAGAGACATAGGAACCAACTGAAAGAACTACCAGTGACCAAAATTGGAACCATTTGAGCAACAAAACGAAGCATTATTGGATTAAAACCCAAAGTACAAAATAAATATTCATAAGTATATACTGATGTAAATTAATTAACTGAATAAACAAAAGGCAAAGAGAAAAATCTTTCTTGCAGAATTCCAAATAATTTATTTAGACACTTATCCCTCAAGGACGTGGATTACAACTCCCCACTCCTTCAGTGTAGGCTGTGAATAGAAACTTCATTCCAAAGAGTATAGGATGGGAAGAGGGAGATAAAGGACTAAATTTATAGTGTTGAAACCTGGCAAACGTAAGCTTAGGTGATCAAGCTTAAAATCAATAGTAATAAGTCATGTTGCTTGATATGATGTGATGAGAATGTCACTTTATTTCTGTGGTCTTCCTTCCAAAACTCCATAACCCTAATCATGAGAAAAACTTAGATAAATCCCAGTCAAAGCACGTTCTACAAAATATTTGACCAATACTCCTCCCAAGTGTTAAGATCATCAAAAATGGAAAAAGTCTGACTGCCGGGCACAGTGGCTCACACCTGTAATCCCAGCACTTTGGGAGGCCAAGGCGAGTGGATTGCTTGAGACCAGGAGTTCGAGACTAGCCTGGACAACATGGTGAAGTCCTGTCTCTACAAAAAATACAAAAATTCATGGGTATGATCATGCACACCTGTAGTCCCAGCTACTTGAGAGGCTCGAGGTTCAGTGAGCCGTGATTGCACCACTGCACTCCAGCCTGGGTGACAGGGTGAAACCTCATCTCAAAAAAAAAAAAAGAAAAGAAAAAAAAGTGGCTCAGAGCATGTGAGGAACGTGGGGGTCTGCAAAATTTATCAGGCACAGAGAGAGACATGAGCCTGAGACTCAGTTACATCCCCCAACCCATGGCTGGTGGAAATTGTTTAAAGGTATTTTGTTTTTCTTCTTCCCTTTAGCTTCAGGTTAGCTGATAAATTATCTAAAATGTTGCCACAAGTTGCACAATGTGATCCTCACTCATTATTTTCACGTTCCTGGAATTTGTGATACAAAGAACAATTATAGCCAATCGATAGCTTATGTTATTTTAATGAACCAATAAGTTATTGGTAAACAATTTAGGAACTATCCTCTCCCTTCTTTTTTCTTTTTAACCTCTTAAAAACTCTCTTGTAATTGCTGCTAATTAGAGCATATATTCAGGGCAACTGGAACCTATGACTCTGGGCTATGGTTTTCAACCTTGGTCTAAATAAATTATCTATATTAACTTTGCTTCATTTTATTCTTTTAGGTCAACAGTGCCATATTAATGTAAGATGATAATAGAGGGGGAAACTAGGTGTGCAGTGTGTAGGAACTCTATACTGTCTTTCCAACTTTCCTGTAAATCTAAAACTATTCTAAAATTAAAAGTTTGCCGAGGTGCAATAGCTCACACCTGTAATTCCTCACTATGCCAGGCCAATGAGGGAGTGTTACAGTCTCCCCAGTGCACCACAATGTAGCGGTCTCTTGTTGTGAGGTATCACCTGGAGTTCTTTGTCTGATAACCAAGAGAAATAAGGAGAACGGACACAAAGGGTGAGGTTGGAGCAAAAGTTTAACAAGCAAAAGAAGGCCGGGCGCGGTGGCTCACGCCTGTAATCCCAGCACTTTGGGAGGCCGAGGCGGGCGGATCACGAGGTCAGGAGATCGAGACCATCCTGGCTAACAAGGTGAAACCCCGTCTCTACTAAAAATACAAAAAATTAGCCGGGCGTGGTAGCGGGCGCCTGTAGTCCCAGCTACTCGGGAGGCTGAGGCAGGAGAATGGCGTGAACCCGGGAGGCGGAGCTTGCAGTGAGCCGAGATCGCGCCACTGCACTCCAGCCTGGGCGACAGAGCGAGACTCCGTCTCAAAAAAAAAAAAAAAAAACAAGCAAAAGAAGAAGGCTTGGCCGGGCATGGTGGCTCACGCCTGTAATCCCAGCACTTCGGGAGGCCAAGGTGGGTGGATCACCTGAGGTGGGGAGTTCAAGACCAGCCTGACCAACATGGAGAAAAGCTGTCTCTACTAAAAATACAAAATTAGCCGGGCGTGGTGGTGCATGCCTGTAATCCCACCTGTAATCCCAGCTACTCAGGAGGCTGAGGCAGGAGAATCGCTTGAACCTGGGAGGCGGAGGTTGCGGTGAGCCGAGATCACGCCATTGCACTCCAGCCTGGGCAACAAGAGTGAAACTCGGTCTCAAAAAAAAAAAGAAAGAAAGAAAGCTCTCAAGAGGAGAGGGGACCCAGAAGAGGGTTGCTGTATTTACAGTTGAATGCAAAAGCTTTTATAAGAAACAGATGAGGGCTTGGCATCTCATTTGCAAGTGGCACGAATTTCTGGTAGCTCCACCCCATCCTCCGAGTGCACATGTGGGCCCTTAGCTTGAGTTACTCTATATTGCTTTTTTTCCCCTTACTGTGCATGTGTCAGAGGACAGAATTTTGCATTGTGGGCAGGTGTGGGCAAGTCTCCTGTGTAGCCTTTCTTATCTATGCGGCTGGGCATGTGTGGGCAAGTCTCCTGTGTAGCCTTTCTTATCTATGTAGCTGTGGGAATGTCTTAGACAAGCGCCTCTGTGCAAGCTCTCTTATCTGTGTCTGCAGGGTGTTCTTTTGTTTTGAAGAATTCAACCAAGGACCCACCCTAACTGCCTGCCTGACCAGCTTCTTTCTTTCTCCTCTCTCAGGAGGATCCCTTAAGGCCAGGAGTTAGAGACCAGCCTGGGCCTGGGCAATACAGTGAGACCCATCTCAAAAAAAAAAAAAAAAAAAAAAGGCCAGGCACAGTGGCTCACGCCTGTAATCTCAGCACTTTGGGAGGCCAAGGCGGGCAGATCACGAGGTCAGGAGATGGAGACCATCCTGGTTAACATGGTGAAACCCCGTCTCTACTAAAAATACAAAAAAATTAGCTGGGTGTGGTGGCGGGCGCCTGTAGTCCCAGCTACTCAGGGGGCTGAGGCAGGAGAATGGCGTGATCCCGGGAGGTGGAGAGCTTGCAGTGAGCTGAGATTGCACCACTGTACTCCGGCCTGGGTGACAGAGTGAGACTCCGTCTCAAAAAAGAAAAAAAATTAGCTGGAAGTGGTGGTGCATGCCTATAGTCCCAGTTACTCAGGAGGATCACTCGAGCCCAAGAGTTCAAGGCTGCAGTGAGCTATGATCCTGTCTCTGCACTCCAGGCTGGGTGAAAGAGCAAGACCCTGTCTCATAAGTAAATAAATAAGGTTTTTAAATTTTTTTTAATTTTCAAAATTTATTTAAAATTTATTATTTTTTTCACAACCCATATGCTATGGAATATGTTTTTTAAATTAATAATTTTTTTCGAGATGGAGTCTCGCTCTGTCACCCAGGCTGGAGTGCAGTGGCAGGATCTTGGCTCACTGCAACCTCCACCTCCCAGGTTCAAGCAATTCTCCTGTCTCAGCCTCCCAAGTAGCTGGGACTACAGGCACCTGCCACCACGCCCGGCTAGTTGTTGTATTTTTAGTAGAGATAGGGTTTCACCATGTTGGCTAGGCTGGTCTCGAACTCCTGACCTCAAGTGATCCACCCTTCTCGGCCTCCAAAAGTCCTGGGATTACAGGTGTAAGCCACTGCGCCCAGCCCAAGTTTATTTTTTAAAAAGTGCTTTGAAGGCTAGGCACGGTGGCTCACGCCTGTAATCCCAGCACTTTGGGAGGCCGAGGCAGGTGGATCACTTGAGGTCAAGAGTTTGAGCCCAGCCTGGCCAACATAGTGAAACCCTGTCTCTACTAAAAATACAAAAATAGCTAGAAGTGGTGGCAAATGCCTGTGATCCCAGCTACTTAGGAAGCTGACATACAAGAATCACTTGAACTCAGGAGGCAGAGGTTGCAGTGAGCCAAGATCGTGCCACTGCATTCCAGCCTACGTGGCAGAGGGAGACTCTGTCTCAAAAAAAAAAAAAAAAAAAAGAAGTGCTTTGAAGAAAAATAAAGCCAGGTATGGGATAGCAAGTGCTGGAATGGTGCCTACCTTAGATGATGGTCAAGGAAGGCCTCTCAAAAGTGATACTAGAACAGAGTCTGAGTGAAGTGAGAAGATGAGCCAAGGACATATTACAAGAAAGACTTGACTGGGCAGAAGGATCAGCAGATGCAAAGATTTTTGAGATTAGGGCATGTTTAGTGTGCTCATGGTTAATGAGCCTGGAGAAGAGGAAATGCAGGCAAGGGCCAGATCATGTGGGGGCTTTATTTTATTTTATTAATTGCGGAAAAATACACATAACATACAATTTTATCTTTTTTTTTTTTTTTTGAGATAGAGTCTCACTCTGTCACCCAGGCTGGAGTGCAGTGGTGCGATCTCGGCTCACTACAAGCTCCGCCTCCCAGCTTCATGCCATTCTCCTGCCTCAGCCTCCTGAGTAGCTGGGCCTACAGTCGCCCCCACCACGCCCAGCTAATTTTTTTATATTTTTAGTAGAGACGGGGTTTCACCATGTCAGCCAGGATGATCTCGATCTCCTGACCTCGCAATCTAGCCCGTCTCGGCCTCCCAAAGTGCTGGGATTACAGGCGTGGGCCACCGCACCCAGCCACAATTAACTATCTTAACCACTTTTCAGTTACAGTTTTCAGCCAGGTGCAATGGCTCACGCCTATAATCCCATCACTTTGGGAGGGCAAGGTGGGTGGATTACCTGAGGTCAGGAGTTGGAGACCAGCCTGACCAACATAGTGAAACCCCACTGCTACTGAAAAATGCAAAATTAGGCCTGGTGTGGTGGTTCACACCTGTAATCCCAGCACTTTAGGAGGCCGAGGCATGTCACCTGAGGTCAGGAGTTCGAGACCAGCCTGGCCAACATGATGAAACCCATCTGTAATAAAAATATAAAAAATTAGCTGGGCATGGTGGCAGGCACCTGTAATCCCAGCTACTCAGGAGGCTGAGGCAGGAGAATTGCTTGAACCCAGGAGGCAGAGGTTGTAGTGAGCCAAGATCATGCCATTGCACTCCAGCCTGGGCAACAAGAGCAAAACTCCATCTCAAAAAACAAAAACAAAATACAAAATATAAAATTAGCTGGGCGTGTTGGCACATGCCTGTGATCCCAGCTACTTGGGAAGCTAAGGCAAGAGAATTGCCTGAACCTGGGAGGCGGAGGATGCAGTGAGCTCAGATCACACCATTGCACTCCAGCCTGGGCAACAAGAGCGAAACTCTGTCTCAAAATAAATAGATAAATAATTAAAACAAACAAACATAGAAAAGGTACAGTAAAAATACAGTATTATAATCATTTTTTTTTTTTGAGATGGAGTTTCACTTTTGACACCCAGGCTGGAGTGAGATGGCGTGATCTTGGCTCACTGCAAACTCTGCCTCCTGGGTTCAAGCGATTCTCCTGCCTCAGCCTCCCGAGTAGCTGGGATTACAGGTGCCTGCCACCATGCCTGGCTAATTTTTCTATTTTTAGTAGAGACAGGGTTTCATCATGTTGGCCAGGCTGGTCTCGAACTCCTGACCTCAAGTGATCCACCCACCTCAGCCTCCCAAAGTGTTGGCATTACAGGCATGAGCCACTGCGACCAGCCACAGGATTATAATCTTAAGGGACGACCATTGTATATCTGGTCCATTCCTGACCAACATGTTATTATGCATATGCAATACTTTTTGGTAGCAACAGGGTTTTGCCATGTTGCCTGGGCTGGTCTGGAACTCTTGAGCTCAAGCGATCCCCCCGCCTCAGCCTCCCAAAGTGTTGGGATTATAGGCGTGAGCCACCGTGCCTGCAGCTGGCCTAGATATGTTTAGATACACAGATGCTTACCAGTGTGTCATACATTCAGTATGGTGACATGCCATACAGGTTTGTAACCTTGGAGCAATAGGCTATACCATAAAGCCTAGGTGTGTGGTGGGCTATCCCATCTAGGTTTTTTTTTTTTTTTGAGACGAAGTCTTGCTCTGTCGCCCAGGCTGGAGTGCAGTGGCATGATCTTGGCTCACTGTAGCCTCCAACTCCTGGGTTAAAGCAATTCTCCTACCTCAGCCTCCCAAGTAGCTGTGACTACAGGCCTGCACCACTATGACCCACTAATTTTTGTATTTTTTTGTTTGTTTGTTTGTTTGTTTTTGAGATGGAGTTTCACTCTTGTTGCCTAGGCTGGAGTGCAATGGCATGATCTCGGCTCACTGCAACCTCTGCCTCCTGGGTTCAAGCGATTCTACTTCCTCAGCCTCCTGAGTAGCTGGGACTACAGGCACATGCCACTGCCCCCGACTAATTTTTGTAGTCTTTTGTAGAGATGGGGTTTTGCCATGTTGACTAGGCTGGTCTCGAACTCCTGACCTCAGGTGATCCACCCACCTTGGCCTCCCAAAGTGCTAGGATTACAGGCGTGAGCCACCATGCCCAGCCCCCATCTAGGTTTCTATGATGTTTGCACAATGACAAAATCACCTTACAACTCATTTCTCAGAGGGTATCTCCATTGTCAAGCAAGTCATGACTGTGTACAATTGATTTAGCCATTCTCTCATTGGTGCGTATTTGGGTTATTTCCAACTTGGGGCTATTATGAGGAAGATTTCTTTGAACATGTCTTTTTGTAGATGTATGCACTCATTTATCTTCAGTAGTTACCTAGGAGTAGATTAATAGGTAATACAAAAGGTGTATGTTTAGCTTTAATAGAAACTGCCAGGTACCTGCCAGGTTACCTAAGTGCATGTATCAGTTTACATTCCCACTAGCAGCTGGTGAGTATTACAGTTGCTCCATATCCTTGTCTACACTTGGTGTTGTCAGAATTTTGGCATTCTGGTTGGTATGTAATGGTATCTCAATGTGGATTTAATTTGCATTTCTGAAATTGCCTTTGTAAAATTATGAGAGTAAAAGAAGTCTGACATGGCTCATTCTATCTCGCTTCTAACCTGTAAACCATCTCTGCTCATTCTTGAGCATAGGCCAAGCCAACCATGGGAGGAATTATAGTTGATAGTTTAACTTGAAAGCAAGGATGATAATAGTCCTTGCCTAAAACCAGCCACCTCCTTGCTCAGGGACCAAAAACCAGCTTTGTAAAACTAATGAAAGACCACGAGATTAGGATTATGGGAGGAGGCTCAATTCTGCTAAAATGTCGGCATAGTTTCTATAATCCCTTACTACTCAGGAGTCATGTGACCAGAGGCCACAGGATTTGTGACTTCCCCAATTGCTCCTATAGATAACATCACTATTGTAGAATCTAAGATTGATCTTTTGAGATTATTTTAGATATTTTGGCAAACAACTGATCCTGCCCAATCCTGAGACTCATGACTTAATGGGTCCTGTGACCCCACTCAAAGGCAGACTCAGTGCAGGAGAACTGTTTTCCACACCCCAGTGATTTCATGCCCAACCAATCTGCAGCACCCATTCCCTGGCTCTCTGCCCACCAAATTGTCCATCAAAACCATCATCTCTGAGTTCTTAGAGAGATTTCAGTTCTCCTGTGCGGCCTTGCATCAATTAAACTTTTTTGTTGTTGAGACAGGATTTTGCTCTGTCACCCAGGCTGGAGTGCAGTGGCACAATCTCAGCTTACTGCAGCCTCAACTTCCTGGGCCCAAGTGATCCTCCCACCTCAGCCTCCTGAGTAGCGGGGACCACAAGCACTCACCACTTTCCTAGCTTTTTATTATTTATTTATTTTGGTAGAGATAGGGTCTCCCTCTGTTGCTCAGGCTGGAAACTCTTTCTTTGCTGCTATACCACAGTTTCAGTGAACTGGTTTTGTCTGTGCAGTGGGAAGGAAGAACTTGTTGAGTGATTACATTTCCTCAAAGAATAATAATGTTGAGTACCTTCTCTCTTTTTTTTCATGAATAAAATAGGATTCATTTTTTTTAACACCTTCTCATTGGACAACTTTGAGAAGAAGGCAGATAAGATTTGTCTTAATAGTCTTTTTTTTTTTTTTTTTTGAAACGAAGTCTCACTCTATTGCCCAGGCTAGAGTGCAGTGGCACAATCTCAGCTCACTGCAACCTTCACCTCCTGGGTTCAAGCAATTCTCCTGCCTCAGCCTCCCCAGTAGTTGAGATTACAGGTGCCCACCACTGTGCCCAGTTAATTTTGGTATTTTTAGTAGACACAAGGTTTTGCCATATTGGCCAGGCTGGTCTTGAACTCCTAACCTCAGGTGATCTGCCCTCCTCCGCCTCCCTAAATGCTGGGATTACAGGCGTGAGCCACTGCACCTGGTCTTGACTTAATTTTTTTTTTTTTTTTGAGACATAGTTTTGCTCTGTTGCCCAGGCTGGAGTGCAATGGCGTGATCTTGGCTCACTGCAACCTCCACCTCCCACCTCCCAGGTTCAAGCGATTTTCCTGCCTTAGCCTCCAGAGTAGCTGGGATTACAGGCGTGCGCCACCACACCCAGCTAATTTTGTATTTTTAGTGGAGATGGGGTTTCACCATGTTGGTCTGGCAGCTTCGAACTCCTGATCTCAGGTGATCCGCCTGCCTCAGCCTCCCAAAGTGCTGGGATTACAGGCATGAGCCACCTCGCCTGGCTGGTAGGTGTGATTCTTGATGGCACACAGGAAGAAGACTACTCTGACTACTGAGTTGAAAATAGACTATAAAGTAAGGTGGAAGAGGATGATGGCTCAGACCAGAGTGGTAATGACAAAGTGGGTGTGAAGTGGTCAGATGCAGAATATATTTTGAAGACACTGCTTACAGAACTGACAGATTCTGTGGGGACTAAGAGAAAGAAAGGGGTCAGGGGTCATCCCTAGGTATTTGACTTGAGCAAAAAGGTAAATAGAGATACTGCTTGGAGAGAATTGGGTCCTAAGCAGGTCCAGGGGATGGTGGACAAGGAATCAAGAATTCTGTTTTGGACATATCAAGTTTGAGATTCCTATTAGACATACAAGTGGAGACGTCAAGTAGGCATTAGATATCTGAGTCTGGAGCTCAGAAGACAGGGTTCAAGCTAGAGATATAAATTGAGAGTTGTCAGCATTGATAGTACTTAAAGATTAGTGCTGGAGAACATAACTTAGAAATGAGCATGGACAGAAGACAACTCCATGGGCATTCAACACTCAGAGGATGAAGCCGTCCTCACAGGGTTAACAAGAATTCTGGACAGAAACACAGTTTAAGCATTAATCAGGCTGCACTCTGACCTTCTTCCTTGTAACTGAAAGTCACATAACACTAGATACTGACCATCTGCATCCTTGTTGTTCCTATAGATAGGATGTCTCACATTAGAATCATCAGGCTACTATTTAAGAATTGCTTAAGGAGGCGGAGCTTGCAGTGAGCAGAGATAGCGCCACTGCACTCCGGCCTGGGCGAAAGAGCGAGACTCCGTCTCAAAAAAAAAAAAAAAAAAAAAAAGAATTGCTTCAGTAGATCCTGAATTCCAGCAGAACAGCTGATACTAACTGGTTTAAAGACCCCGCAGAGGAATCAAATCGGCATCAAAATTGTTTCTTCATCTCCCTGTCCCATAACTTCACCCTGCACTCTTCGACCAATCCACAGTCTCCATACTTTGGCCCACTCCAAAACCTTTAAAAACCCTCGCCCCGGCCGGGCGCGGTGGCTCACAGCTGTAATCCCAGCACTCTGGGAGGCCGAGGCGGGCAGATCACAAGGTCAGGAGATTGAGATCATCCTGGCTAACACGGTGAAACCCCGTCTCTACTAAAAATACAAAAAATTAGCCGGGCGTGGTGGCGGGCGCCTGTAGTCCCAGCTACTTGAGAGGCTAAGACAGGAGAATGGCATGAACCCGGGAGGCGGAGCTTGCAGTGAACCAAGATTGCGCCACTGCACTCCAGCCTGGGCAACAGAACAAGACTCCGTCTCAAGACAAAACAAAACGAAACAAAACCCTAGTCCCAAATTCCTAAGGGAGATGGATTTAAGAATTCCTCCCATTTCCTCATTCAGCAGCCCTATGATTAAACCTCTTTCTCTGCTGCAACCTGGTGTCTCAGCACATTGACTTGCCATGTGCATCAGTCAACAGAGCTATGAAGTTATAACGACATGAAGACAGGGGAAGGAGCTGCTAGGAAAACAGGAGGAAAACCAAGGGAATGTTGGTGCCCAGGAAGCCAAGTGAAGAGTGTGTTTCAAGAGGAAGGGTATGTATGATAAACTAGGTCAAATGTTGCTTAGACCTTGAATAAATGACAGCTGAAAATTGAATAGATTTGGCAAGAGGCTTCAAGTTGCTTCTTATTCAAGAGAGGAGCTAAGAAAAGTGAGGAAGAAAAGGGACCACCTGTATTGCTCTGGGAAAAAGCCAGAATATAATCCTTAACCAGGCTGAGGGTGAGGGTGGGGGATATTTAGAGAAAGAAGATGAAATGCTCCAGATTGTCCACATCAAATGCCTGTGTCTCAAGCCATCAGCCCAAACAAGGCAATTACTGAATCTTCTGGCTAGAAGGATCATCACTGAACAAAAGAATCCCTCGTCTTCCAGGGAACTACAGCCAAACTAACCACAGGTCTTAAAAATCCTATCCTTTAGTCTCCACCATTTATTATCTCCAAAACTTATTAGGTCCCTGGTGGGGAGGGGAGGATCTTGCAAAGAGAAGGGCTTCCTGGCTGAAGGGATCATTCTGGGATTTTATTCCTTCATTCATTAGGTATTTATGGAACCCCTATTATGGTCTCAGTAGTCTACAGATACTATGAAATCAGCAGAGAGCAAATCAGACAAAACTCCCTGCCCTCAGGGAGCTGATAGCCTCCACCGTCCCTGTACTTTCCTCTAGTCTCATTCTCTTTCTTCCACGCTCAAAGGCCCTACCTAAGGTTATCAGGCAGAATTGGACAGGTCCACCCATTACCCCCTGAGCCTTCAGAGGACATAAAAACTCTCCCTTTTAGAACAAAGTACAAAGATCAGCTCCCTTCTCAGAAGGTGAATTTTCCTCAGGGCCAAACTCACATCTGGAGTGCAATTAGTTTGGATGTCACCGCAGTTACCATGTTGGCTCCAGACAAAGCCCAGTCACAATTGAGGACAGGATTTTAAATCACAACTTTCCAGAGTCTCATTAGGTAATTGATGCTGATCACATTGCTTAACGGGGACCCATAAAATGCTTGCTATTTATATTACAATGGGTAGAGAAAAGGCTCAACTAACCAGATAACTAACAGATGATATGAGGGACTAGACCAAGGGGTATAAAGAGGAACGGAGACCTGGTGAAGTTTGCCTGTCTCTGTGTTTTAACTTTTTGTTGGTGAAAATTATTTGACCAGATTCAGAAGAGACTGTGCCCTGGTCTTCACAAAGCCCAAAGCCGCTCTTCCCAAGAGCAAGAGACTGAGATAAGAATTGTCATTTAATAGGATTTTCTACAGCTGGCTAAATCGTTTGCTAAGTGAGCAATTTCAATCATCCTTTCTCTATCCGCTAGGAGGGAGTTAAGCTCATTTCTCTTCTATCCTGTACCCCCACCTCTCATAGCCTCACTCCCTCACCAGTTATTAGCTGGAAAGATGGTCTGGTTGAGGTACAGAAGGCACAGATTGTAGCAAAACACTTTGGGCCAAGCTGAGTTCGCCACATCATGAGGCTGTAAGAGTCAACCCCATTCCCCACCCTGCACACCCCACAGCACCCTTAGGGACCCATGAACACCCTCTATATGCCAGTCTCTCCAGAACAGAGGTCCCAGGGCAGGCCAATTCCCCTGATACTCACCAAGAAGGGTTGTAACACTTCCCACTGCAGAAAAGGGGTGGGAATGAGATTCATTTATTTCCATTATTGAGACTTTTCTTGGGGCTTTTATTTTATTGGGGCTTTTCAACAGGGAGCTTTCATTAAATCCCATAAACCAAGGCATATAAGGCATCCTCATAACCACCAGGTATTTGGAAGAGATCCTGGGGAGAAGAGGAAGATGATATGGGGAGGTAAAAAGCCAGGCCATCTACCAACATATGGGCTGAAATTGTGGTTAATAGAGTATGTACCTGTTGAGTTAGAATTCATTTTTCCTGAGATTCTGCCTCTTGATTGGCCTGGGACCTCCCCACCCCTGGATTCACTTCGGCTTGCTCCATATGGATGCCTATTCTTCCTTTCTCCTCTTCCTCCTCTTCTCTTCTCTCTGTCCCCTCTTATATGCTTTTCTTTTCTCCATTTGCACTGGAATGGAGAGATGGTATGGTGTCTTGGCTAAAGGCAAGGGCTTTCTCCCCAAATTGATCTACAGCTTCAACAGAATCTCTATCAAAATCTCAGCTGGTTTCCTTGCAGAAATTGACAAGCTGATCCTAAAAATTATATGGAAATGCAAGAGACCTAGAATAACCAAAACAATCTTGAAAAAGAACAAAGTTTGAGGATTAAGGCTTTCTGATTTCAAACCTTACTACAAATCTATAATAATCAAGACAGTGTAGTACTGGCCTAAAGACAGACTTGTAGATCAATGGAATAGATTTGAGGTGACAAGCAGTGGGTAGCACACACCTGTAGTACCAGCTATGTGGGAAGGTGAAGTGGGATGATCACTTGAGCCCAGGAGTTCAAGACCAGCCTGGGTAATATAGCAAGATCTTGTCTCTATTAAAAAATAAAATAATTTTTAAAATAACAAAAATAAAGATGGGCAAAGGATCTGAACGGACATTTCACTAAAGAAGATCTGCAAGGCTGGGCGTGGTGGCTCATGCCTGGAATTCCAACACTTTGGGAGGCCGAGGCAGGCGGATCACAAGGTCAGGAGTTCGAGACCAGCCTGACCAACATGGTGAAACCCTGTCTGTACTAAAAATACAAAAATTAGCCAGGCATGGTGGCACACACTTGTGATCCCAGCTACTCAGGAGGCTGAGGCAGGAGAATCGCTTGAACCGGGAGGCAGAGGTTGCAGTGAGCTGAGATCACGCCACTGCACTCCAGCCTGAGCGATAGAGGGAGACTCCATCTCAAAAAAAAAAAAAAAAAAAAAAAAAAGATCTGCAAATGGGCAATAAACACATAAAAAGATGATCAGGCTGGGTGCAGTGGCTCACACTGTAATCCCAGCACTTTGGGAGGCCAAGGCAAAAAGATTGCTTGAGCCCAGGAGTTTGAAGTCAGCCTGGACAACATGGAAAGGCTACCACATTAGCCAGATGTGGTAGCATGTGCCTGTAGTCCCAGCTACTCGGGAGGCTTCAGTCCAGGAATTTGAGATTGCAGTGAGCTATGATCATGGCATTGCACTCCAGCCTGGTCAAAAGAGTGAGACCTTGGCTGGGCGTGGTGGCTTACTCCTGTAATCCCAGTGCTTTGGGAGGCCGAGGCAGGCGGATCACCTGAGGTCAGGAGTTCGAGACCAGCCTGGCCAACATGGTGAAACCCTGTCTACTAAAAATACAAAATTAGCCGGGAGTGGTGGCATGCACCTGTAATCCCAGCTAATTGGGAGGCTGAGGCAGGAGAATCACTTGAACCAGGGAGTCAGAGTTTGCAGTGAGATGAGATCACACCATTGCACTCCAGCCTGGGCAAAAAGAGCAAAACTCTGTCTTTAAAAAAAAAAAAAAAAGTAAAAAAAGAAAAAAAAAGAAAAAAAAGTGAGACCTTTTCTCAATAAAATTAAAAAATACATATATAATCAACATCATTAGCCATTAAGGAAATGAAAAGCAAAACATC
The DNA here is from genome assembly GCF_000001405.40 of Homo sapiens. NCBI lineage: Eukaryota > Metazoa > Chordata > Mammalia > Primates > Hominidae > Homo > Homo sapiens. The sequence goes on from NC_000005.10 coordinate 139,243,573, forward strand.
AGATGCCACTTCACACGACTAGAATGGCTATAATTTAAAAGATAAATAATAACAAGTGTTGGAGAGGATATGAAGAAATTGGAATCTTCGTAAACTGCTAGTGGTATTACAAAATGGTGCAGCTGCTTTGGAAAACAATCTGGCAGTTCCTCAAAATGTTAAACATAGAGCTACCATATGGCCCAGAAATTCTACACCTAGATATGTACCCAAGGGAATTGAAAACATGTGTTCACACAAAAATTTGTACACGAATGTTCACAGCAACGTTATTCATCATAGCCAAAAAGTGGAAACAATCCAAATGCTCATCAACTGTTGAATGGATAAATACAATGTGGTATAACAATGGAGTATTATTCAACAATAAAAATAAATGAAATACTGATACATGCTACAACATAGACTAATCGTGAGAACATTATGCTAAGTAAAAGAAGCCAGTTGGCTGGGCACAGTGGCTCATGCCTGTAATCCCAGCACTTTAGGAGGCTGAGGCAGGTGGATTGCCTGAGCTCAGGAGTTCACGACCAGCCTGGACAACACAGTAAAACCCTGTCTCTACTAAAATACAAAAAATTAGACAGGTGTGGCAGTGTGCACCTGTAGTCCCAGCTATTCAGGAGGCTGAAGCAGTAGAATTGCTTGAACCCGGGAAGCGGAGCTTACAGTGAGCCAAGATGGTGCCACTGCACTCCAGCCTGGGCAACAGAGTGAGACTCTGTCTCAAAAAAAAAAAAAAAAAAAAAAAAAGCTGGGCGTAGTGGCTCACGCCTGTAATCCCAGCACTTTGACACTTTGAGAGGCCGAGGCGGGCAGATCACGAGGTCAGGAGATCGAGACCATCCTGGCTAACACGGTGAAACCCCGTCTCTACTAGAAATACAAAAATTAGCCAGGTGTGGTGGTGGGCGCCTGTAGTCCCATCTACTCGGGAGGCTGAGGCAGGAGAATGGTGTGAAGCCAGGAGGTGGAGCTTGCAGTGAGCCGAGATCGCGCCACTGCACTCCAGCCTGGGGGACAGAGTGAGACTCCGTCTCAAAAAAAAAAAAAAAAAAAGCCAGGGAGGAAAAGCCACACACTGCATGATTCCATTTATATAAAAAGTCCACATTAGACATATCTATAGAGATGGAAAATAGATTAGTAGCTGCCTAGAGTTGGGGCAATTTGGGATTGACTACAAATGGGTAGGAGGTTTCTTTCTGTGGTGATGAAAATATTCTAGGATTGGTTGTGTTGATGGTTGCACAGCTCTGTAAATATACTAAAAACTTTGTGCGCTTTAAATGGGTGAATTGTCTAGTGTATAAATTAAATCTCAGTAAAGAAACAGGCAACCCACAAAGTAACAGAAAATTCTATATGAAATTGTTACCACTAAGACGTCTAATAGTTATATTTAAAAATAATAATAACAATAGTTTTCTTGGTGTTTTGTTTTATTTTCTGAGACACAGTCTCCCTCTGTCACCAGGCTGGAGTGCAGTGGCACGATCTCAGCTCACTGCAACCCCCGCCTCCCGGGTTCAAGCAATTCTCCTGCTTCAGCCTCCCGAATAGCTGGGACTACAGGCGCATGCCGCCACGCCCAGCTAATTTTTGTATTTTGTTGTTGTTGTTGTTGTTGTTTGAGACGGAGTCTTACTCTGTCGCCCAGGCTGGAGTGCAGTGGCTCCATCTCAGTTCACTGCAACCTCTGCCACCTGGGTTCAAGTGATTCTCCTGCCTCAGCCTCCCGAGTAGCCGAGATTACAGGCGCGTGCCACCATGCCTGGCTAATTTTTGTATTTTTGGTAGAGACGGGGTTTCAGCATCTTGGCCAGGCTGTTCTTGAACTCCTGACCTTGTGATCCACCCATCTCAGCTTCCCAAAGTGCTGGGATTACAGGCGTGAGCCACCATGCCTGGTCTTTTTTTGTATTTTTAGTGAGATGGGGTTTCACCATGTTGGCCAGGATGGTCTCAATCTCTTGATCTCGTGATCCGCCCACCTCGGCCTCCCAAAGTGCTGGGATTACAGGTGTGAGCCACTGCGCCCAGCCAATAGCTTTTTAAAACAAAACAAAAAAGTGAGGGCTTTGCTGTCAAATCTCATTTCTGCCACCTGCTGACTATGTAACCTTGGACAAGTTACTTAACCTCACTGAGCTCAGTTTTCTCATCTGTAAAATATGTATTAGGTCATTTTGAGGATTAAATACATGAATATGTAAAGTCATCTGGCACATAGTAGGTGCTCAGTAAATGAAAACTATAAAGAAGAGCCAAGGAATGCCAACAATTAAAGGAGTGAGGAAGAAAAAACAATATTTGTGGGCCAATGCTATATCCATACATTTATGCCTAACATTTGGCTGTGTTCTAAGGACATAAGGAAGACCCTGACTAAGAAGCTGGAAGGCTGAGGTATAAGGCATTTCTGGAATAAAAATCCCCATAAATAAGCTAAGGGCCAAAACAGAGTCATGGGCAGGTTGTTCAGAAGCAGAGAGAAAGGCTTTGAAAGGGGAGGAGACTTTAAGAGTCAGCCAGGTGGAAAAGGGCAGAGTAGACCCTTGTCCCCTCCCCTACTATGGGTAACCAGAAGGATATGAAACAGCCCTCTCTGGAGAAAACTGGATAGAGTTTACTCAGGACAGGCAGAGGCAGAAATCAGAAGAGAAATTGTAGGTTGATTTTTCATGGCCAGGATGGGGAATGAAGCTGGCACAGGAGGTAGAAGATAAGGCCTGCCTCCCTGGCCTTGCAATAGGTGAACTGAGCCCTAGGAATTCCTGCCCTCTCCCCTGGACTAGCTCCCCTTGGCCCCTAAGCTCTGGATCTCCCTCTGCCTCCCACCAGTCCTCTTTTGGGGAACAGAACCCGATGCTCTGTGGGCCGAGCATGATGGCTCCAGCACTCCTCCCTCTAGTGACTCATTCCCAAGACTGGGGGTGGCAGGAAGTGCCAGGGCCCCAGAGTTGCAGCCCCATCCGGATTCTGGCAGCTTAGAGACATCCTATATTCTTCCTTCCTCCCCCCACCCCCGCCACCTCCCTCACTTTCAGCTCTGACTCTTGACATTTCTACATAAGAGACACCCACCTCCCCCAATCTCTTCTTGCCTTTCTATTGCCTCCTACAGTACCTAAACTGCAGCCCCTAGGGGCTGCTGGGTTAAAGCAGCCTGATCCCAAGGGGGAATGGACACAACCCACATCTAAGGGCCCTTTCCTAGGAAAGGTGACCAGGCAAGTTCTGTACCCTCATGGCCAGATCTTTGACCGGCAAGGCACATGATCTAGAAAGCATTCTGATTGACGCTTAAAACAACAAAATGGTTTTGCTCCATGCTAAGGTCTTCACAAGTCTGTCTCATTTATTCCTTACAACAACTCTAATACAGATACCATTATCACCGGCATCTGGCAAATAAGAAAAGTGAGAGGAAATGTGAAAAGTAGAAGAGCTCGGCCGGGCGCGGTGGCTCACGCCTGTAATCCCAGCACTTTGGGAGGCCGAGATGGGCGGATCACAAGGTCAGGAGATCGAGACCATCCTGGCTAACACGGTGAAACCCCGTCTCTACTAAAAATACAAAAAAATTAGCCGGGCGCAGTGGCGGGCGCCTGTAGTCCTAGCTACTCAGGAGGCTGAGGCAGGAGAATGGCGTGAACCCGGGAGGCGGAGCTTGCAGTGAGCCGAGATCTCGCCACTGCACTCCAGCCTGGGTGACAGAGCGAGACTCCGTCTCAAAAAAAAAAAAAAGAGAAAAGTAGCAGAACTGGGGCTTAAACCCAGGACTCACATCCTGGGCCTTTAACTGCCAGGCTCCTCTTCCTGTCTTGGGAACAGAGGGCAGTGTAGGCCTCTTTGAGCACAGCCCCCTGAGTAATCTAGGGCAGCACATGCAATCTTGAGGCCCTTGGCACAGCTGCTCTGGGGTCTGGCTTCAACTCTAGCCTCCCTTCTAGTTCTCCGTCCCTTTCTATACCTGCCCCACTCTCCGGGGTGGAAATGTGGAGGGCTACTCAGAGGATTCTCAGCCCCATCAACAGCTTATCTTCCTATTCAACTATTAGGACAAACAGACATCAATGTGATTCCAGGGTTCCCAGGGACTACCTAGAAAGAGGGAAATCAGATAGTAATGCTTATAGGTGCAGGCAGGCAAAAGGAGGCTATAGATACCCAAGCATGGGGTTAGCTGAGGCTTGCAGGCAGAGCAGACATCTGTCAAATCAAAGAGGCATAGAGACAGCCCACATGACAATAGAAATAATGATACCCTTGAATTATGTAGCACTTTATAATTTCTCAAGCACTTTGCAAACATTTGATCCTCCAGATGACCTCCTAGGGCCCAAGGAAGCAGAAAGCATCTTTTATAAGCTGTCACCACCTGTCAAGTTGTCCCCCAAGATGGGGAAAGGCAGGAGCCAGGCAAGGCAGTGAGTGAGTTAACCAAACCCAAGCCACAGTGAGTAATTGATAGTTTTTATGGAGACTTTATCCTCAGACTCCTTAGATATCATATTTCTGTTAGATTATATTTACATAACAGTGCAGGGTGAGAGACCCTGATAAATCTTCTCAGAGGCATGGGGATGAATACTGTGGAAATGTACTTTTGTTGATAGCGATTTGTTTTACTACACTACTGCCCTTCAATCTAGGGAGGAAAGAGCAAGGCTATTGCTTTATGGAGGGAGGGAAGGAGGGAAAGGAGAAGGGGAGGTATATAAAGATCAGAGATCTGGAACAAGAGGAATGAATGAGAGGGGAAGAGACAGGGCTCCGAAAGGGAAAGCTTTAGGCAAGGGGGGCAGAAGGAAAGGACAGGAAAAAGGAAAGCTGGGCCAGATGCGGTGGCTCACGCCTGTAATCCCAGCACTTTGGGAGGCTGAGGCAAGCAGATCACCTGAGGTTGGGAGTTCGAGACCAGCCTGATCAACATGGTGAAAACCCATCTCTACTAAAAATACAAAATTAGCCGGGTGTGGTGGTGCATGCCTGTAATCCCAGCTACTTGGGAGGCTGAGGCAGGAGAATCACTTGAACCTGGGAGGTGGAGGTTGCGGTGAGCCGAGATCGCGCCATTGTACTCTAGCCTGGGCAACAAGAGCAAGACTCCGTCTCAAAGGAAAAAAAAAAAGAAAAAGAAAAAGAAAGAAGAAAGGAAAACTCAGTAGCCAAGGGTGAAAGAAATGGATGATTCTGCAGGAAATGTGGCTTGCTGCTGGGGAATAGCCCTTGGCTGCAAGAATGAGCAAGATTCAGATGTCTTTTTGGCGGGTGCCAAGCTCTTCTTGTCTTTGTAGTTGGTCAAGAGAGATTGGGAGAATAAGGAGAGTCACAGGGCACAGGGGTCCTTTTAAGCCCACTTTTGAGGTGGGATCAAAAGCCTCTCTGGATCTCTTCCAGCCACATCCCACCATTCTCCATCAACCTTTATCCAGAGAGCACATGGGCTCTAGAGCCATCAGGACTGAGCTCTACCAATCCCTGGGTCTGGATCCTTCTCATCCAGAGGTTTAGGTTCTGCCACTAACTTAGCTGGATGGTTTTAATCCTCAAAACTCTCAGCCTTGGTTCTTGGTTTCTCGCTTTTTTTCTTTTCTTTTTTTTTTTTTTTTTTGAGACAGGGTCTAGCTCTGTTGTCCAGGCTGGAGTGCAGTGGCACAATCCTGGCTCACTGCAACCTTCTGCCTCTCAGGCTCAAACCATCCTCCTACCTTAGCCTCCTGAGTAGCTGGAAATACAGGTGTGTGCCACCATGCCCGGCTAATTTTTTGTATTTTTTGTAGAGATGGGGGTTCCACCATGTTGCTCAGGCTGGTCTTGAACTCCTCAGCTCAAGAGAGCTGCCCACTTTGGCCTCTCAAACTGTTGGGATTACATGTGTGAGCCACTGTGCCCAGTGGGCCTTGGTTTCTCTATTGGTGAACTGAGAATTTGTGGTCGGGTGTGGTGGCTCATGCCTGTAATCCCAGCACTTTGGGAGGCGGAGGTGGGTGGATCACTTGAGGTCAGGAGTTTGAGACCAGCCTGGCCAACATGGTGAAATGCCATCTCTACTAAAAAACAAACAAACAAACAAACAAAAATTAGCGAGGCATGTTGGTGCATGCCTGTAATCCCAGCTACTTTGGAGGCTGAGGTAGGATAATTGCTTGAACCCAGGAGGCAGAGGTTGCAGTGAGCCAAGGTTGTGCTACTGTACTGCAGCCTGGGCGACAGAGCAAGACTGCATTTCAAAAAATAAAAATAAAAAAAGGCGAGGGGGTGGAATTTGCTTACTTATCCAACAAATATTTACTGATTATATGCCAGAAATTGTGCTGTGGGGTTGTCTTTTCAACAGAAAACAATATACACAATAGTCCTTTCCTTCAAAGAGCACACAGTCCAACAATGGTAACAAAACACCCTCTAAGAAATGGACCCTGCCTGCACTAGGATAATAATGATGAGAGTCGCTGTCTGCCAGGCACTGTGCTCAGCGCTTACATCCATTAAGTCCTACAATCCTCACGGTGACCTGGTGAGGAAGGTCCTGTTAACTGCTGTCGTTGCCCAGGTGAGAACACCTTAGTTGGGAGGCAGCCTCCTGGACACATCCCATCGTTTTACTGTTTCATTTTCTTCATTGTATGTGCTGCTGTCTAAAATGGGTTTATTAACTCACTTACCTGTTTATTGCCTGCTCACAATTATATCCCCAGCACCAGGCCGGGCGCAGTGGCTCACACCTGTAATCCCAGCACTTTGAGAGGTCATGGCAGGTGGATCACTTGAGGTCAGGAGTTGGAGACCAGCCTGGTCAACCTAGCGGAAACCTCGTCTCTACTAAAAATACAAAAATTAGCCAGGGATGGTGGCACATGCCTGTAATCCCAGCTACTTGGGAGGCTAAGGCATGAGAATGGCTTGAACCCGGGAGGCGGAGGTTGCAGTGAGCTGAGATTGCACCACTGCACTCCAGCCTGGGCAACAGAGTGAGACCCTGTCTCAAAAAAAAAAAAAAATTATAACCCCAGCACCTTGAACAGTCTCTGACCCAAAGTCAGTTCTTTTTTTTTTTTTTTTTTTTTTTTTTTTTTTTTTTTTTTTGAGACGGAGTCTCGCTCTGTCACCCAGGCCGGACTGCGGACTGCAGTGACGCAATCTCGGCTCACTGCAAGCTCCGCTTCCCGGGTTCACGCCATTCTCCTGCCTCAGCCTCCCGAGTAGCTGGGACTACAGGCGCCCGCCACCGCGCCCGGCTAATTTTTTTTTTTTGTATTTTTAGTAGAGACGGGGTTTCACCTTGTTAGCCAGGATGGTCTCGATCTCCTGACCTCATGATTCACCCGCCTCGGCCTCCCAAAGTGCTGGGATTACAGGCGTGAGCCACCGCGCCCGGCACCAAAGTCAGTTCTTAATAAATATCTGTTTAAGGAATGAAGGAATGGAAGGACGAGAAGCTCATGGGGAGCCATCGCCGCCCTGCCTCTCCCGCGGGGTGCCAGTGAGAGTGAACTGAGTGCAGATGCTGAAGCTGCTATATCGCTCTCTAGAAACAGAGGGGACAATGATCAGCTGGCATTTATTTCAGAGAAATGCATTTTCTCCTTATTACTTTTCAGCTGTTTTCTTTTTTTTTTTAAATAACTTTCCTCAGACATTCTGCCCCTTCCTGCCCCGATTCATTCTGCATCCTCTAATAGTGTTATCCTCAGTTTTTCTAGCTCTCTGTTGTCCTTTTGGCTTTCCTGCTTCTTTGTTTCTCTTTCCCATGCCTCTCTGGAGGGAAGCTCACCCAGCTGAATTGTAACTGGTGATTTCCAAGGCCAAGAGGAAGTTCATTTTCACGCCAAAGTCTTCTGCCGGCAGAGGGCACTTTTCTCCATCTGTAAAATGGGCGGAGTATTTTGCAGGGTTTTTTGAATCAGTGCTGGTGAGTCTGTGGGAGAGGGGCCTCAGGACCACAGCACTCACATTTCCCCTGTAGCCAGAGGCTTGCCAAAGCCTTGGCCACAGGAGCCCCATACCCCAACAGAACAATTTCCTCTCCCTCTGTAGGTGCTATTTAGTGTTACAGTAATACTAGTTTGAGGATAAAAGGCCTCAGCATTTTGAGAACTCCTCAATCCACTGCATGGCAGGGTCTGCTGGGGGTATAACCAGCAAGACCATGAGTTAAGTGCAGGAGGGGCTTGTCACATAGGACCAGCAGTGTGTCGGGGTAGATGGAAATGTAGGTCTTGAAATTCAGACAGCTCTGAGTTTGACCTGGCTCAGCCACCTCCTCCGAGCCTCACAGAAGGATGGTTGCTGTTAAAGTGGGCACAGAAACACCTCTGGGCTTTTGAGAATGCTGTACTTTCTGCCTAACAGTCCCTTTCTCTCTTCTCTGTTTAGCTAACACTAAGTCTCCTCTTTGGTACTTTGCCCAAATCAGGCATTCCTCCCAGCACCCTCAGAATCCCTATGCTGAACCAGCTGTAGAACTTAGCCCGTCATGTTGGAATTATTTCTTGCAGGAATGTCCAACCCACCCAACTCAGCACCTCAAAGTCAAGAAATGAGTTTTCTCTTCCTTATAAGCCCTGAGCCAAGCCACATACTGAGCATAAAAGAATAATGTTCAAACCCAGAGATTTTCATTTCCTCCTCTTGAAACGCTGCTCCTTGCTCTATTGTACTAAGCACCCACTATGCATCAGGCACCCTAAATGTGTTGTCTTATTTAATCTTCATAATGGCCCTTTAGTTAGAGATTAAATTAGATAATAACCATTATCTCTCACCTGGACTATGGAAAGAGCCTCCTGCTGAAGGAACACTGCGTTTTTCCTCATCTGACATGCAGCTTCCACTCTTGCCACCTATAGTCTATTCATACAGCAACCAGAGTGATCCTTTTATTTTTTATTTTTTATTTTTTTTGAGACGGAGTCTTGCTCCATCACCCAGGGTGGGGTGCAGTGGCACGATCTTGGCTCACTGCAACCTCCACCTCCCGGGTTCAAGCAATTCTCATGCCTCAGACTCTCAAGTAGCTGGGATTACAGGTGTCCGCCACGAGGCCTGGCTAATTTTTCTGTATTTTTAGTAGAGACAGGGTTCTACCATGTTGGCCAGGCTGGAGACCTCAGGTGATCCGCCTGCCTCAGCCTTTCAAAGTGCTGGGATTACAGGCGTGAGTCACCAGGCCCGGCCAAGTGATCTTTTTAAAATCATGTCTTGACTGGGTGCGGTGGCTCACGCCTGTAATCCCAGCACGTTGGGAAGCCAAGGCGGGTGGATCACTTGAGGTCAGGAGTTTGAGACCAGCCTGGCCAACATGGTGAAACTCCGTCTCTACTAAAAATACAAAAAATTAGCCGGGTATGGTGGCTTGTGCCTGTAATCCCAGCTACTTGGGAGGCTGAGGCAGGAGAATCGCTTGGACCCAGGAGGTGGAGGTTGCAGTGAGCTGAGATTGCACCACTGCACTCCAGTCTGGGTGACAGAGTGAGGCCCCCATCTCAAAATAAATAAATAAATAAATAAATAAATAAAATAAAATCAGTTCTCTCCTCTGCTCAAAGCCCTTCAATGGCTCCCCATTTCACCCTACGTAAAATCCAAATTCCTTACCATGTCCTACAAAGCCCCACATTAACTTCCTTACTCTCAATCCACAAACTTTGACCTCATGCCCTAACACTCTTCCCCCTTGCTGTCTCTGGCAAGCCACATGGGATTTCTGACTATTCCTCAAACATTGCTACTCACACTCCTGCCTCAGGTCCTTTGCACTGGCTGTCCCCTGTGTCTACAAAGCTTTACCCATGATACCCCCACAGTTTGCTCCTTTCCTTATTTCAAGTCTTTGTTCAAATGTCACTTCGTTAGGGAGGTCTTCCTTGACCCTTTCGTGGTGTTTTTAAAATATGCCCACAAAGGCCAAGAGTGGTGGCTTATGCCTGTAATCCCAGCACTTTGGGAGGCCAAGGTGGGCAGATCACTTCAGCCCAGGAGTTCGAGACCAGCCTGGGCAACATAGCAAAACCCCATCTCTACAAAATATATATATAAAAATTAGCCAGGCATGGTGGCGTATGTCTGTAGTCCCAACTACTCGGGAGGCTGAGATGGGAGAATCACTTGAGCCCAGGAGGTTGAGGCTGCAGTGAACTGTGTTCATGCCACTGTACTCCAGCCTAGGTGACCCCCCAAAATAAATAAATAAATAAAGCCTACAGTGTGACCCTCAAAAATAAGCACATAAAATATGCCCACAAATTCTTTGATATTCCTTCCTTCAAGAGCTAGAACTAACTCCACTCCCCTTAACTGTTATATGTACTTACTGACGCCTTTCTAAAGAATGGAATGGAAGTAATGGTGTGTGACTTCTAAGACAAAGTAATAAAAGGCATTATGCCTACCCCAGTCTGCTCATGAGAAAGCATCAGACAAACCCAAATTGAGGGATGTTCTACAAAAGATCTGATCAGTACTCTTCAAAATTGTGAAGGTCACAAAAAAGATGAACTGAGAAACTGTCACAGATTGAAGGAGACTACAGAAACATGATGACTAAATTCAACATAATATCCTAGATGGGATCTTAGAACAGAAAAAGAACATTAATTGAAAAACTGGTGAAATCTGAAAAAAGTTTCGTTAACAGTAATGTACCAATTTTTTTTTTTTTTTTTTTTTTTGAGGCAGGGTCTCGCTCTGTTACCCGGGCCGGAGTGCAGTGTAGCAATTTCTGCTCACTGCAGCCTCTGCTGCCCAGGTTCAAGTGATTCTCCTGCCTCAGCCTCCCGAGTAGCTGGGATTACAGGCATGCGCCACCACATCTAGCTAATTCTTATATTTTTAGTAGAGACGGGGTTTCACCATGTTGGCCAAGATGGTCTCAATCTCCTGACCTCGTGATCCGCCAGCCTCGGCCTCCCAAAGTACTGGGATTACAGGCGTGAGCTACCACGCCCGGCCCCCAGTGTTAATTTATTAGTTTTGGCAAATGTACTATGGTTATGTAAGATATTAACATTAGAGGAAAGCTGGGTGAAATGTACATGGGACTATAGAAACTCAGTATACTATCTTTGCAACTTGTCTGTGAATCTGAATTTATTCCAAAATGAAAAGTTAAAGAAAATGCATTGTGGCTTCCTCCTTGCCCTCCTTCTTGGAGAACATGCTGCCATGTCATAAGTACACTCAAACAGTCCTGTGGGGAGGTCCACATGGTGAGCAACTGAGGCCTCCAGCCACAGCCATATGAATGAGCTGTCTTGGGAGCAGATCCCTCCAGCTCTAGTTAAGCCTTCAGATAATTGTGATCCTAGCTGACATCTTTTTTTTTTTTTTTTTTTTTGAGACAGAGTCTTCCTCTGTCACCAGGCTGGAGTGCAGTGGCATGATCTTGGCTTACTGTAACCTCCACCTCCTGGGTTCAAGCCATTTTCCTGGCTCAGCCTCCCGAGTAGCTGGGATTACAGGCACCCACCGCCACACCCAGCTAATTTTTGTATTTTTAATAGAGATGGGGTTATCACCATGTTGGTCAGGATGGTCTCGATCTCCTGACCTCATGATCCGCCCGCCTCGGCCTCCCAAAGTGCTGGGATTACAGGCGTGAGCCACCGCGCCCGGCGTCTTTTTTTTTTTTTAGACAGAGTTTTGCTCTTGTTGCCTAGGCTGGAGTGCAATGGCGCGATCTTGGCTCACTGCAACCTCTGCCTCCCGGGTTCAAGCAATTCCGCGTCAGCCTCCCATGTAGCTGGGATTACAGGTGCCCACCACCACACCCGGCTAATTTTTTTTAATTTTATTTTTAGTAGAGACAGGGTTTCGCCATGTTGGCCAGGCTGGTCTCGAACTCCTGACCTCAGGTGATCCACCCGCCTCGGCCTCCCAAAGTGCCGGGATTACAGGCATGAGCCACCATGCCCGGCCACTGACGTCTTTTTTTTTTGAGGCGGAGTCTCGCTCTGTCACCCAGGTTGGAGTTCAGTGGCGCGATCTCGGCTCACTGCATGCTCTGCCTCCCGGGTTCACGCCATTCTCCTGCCTCAGCCTCCTGAGTATCTGGGACTACGGGCGCCTGCCACCACGCCTGGCTAATTTTTTTTGTATTTTTAGTAGAGACAGGGTTTCACCGTGTTAGCCAGGATGGCCTCGATCTCCTGACCTCGTGATCCACCTGCCTCGGTCTCCCAAAGTGCTGGGATTACAGGCGTGAGCCACCGTGCCTGGCCACTGACATCTTTTAACTGCAACCTCAAGAGAAATCTTGAGTCAGAACCACCCAGCTAACTCCTCCTGAATTCCTGACCCTCAGAAATCATTAAGAGATAATAAATGATCACTGTTGTTTTAGGCCTTTAAGGTTTATTTTATTTTATTTTGTATTTTTTAATTTTTTTGAGACAGGGTCTCACAAAATCTCTACTCACTGGAATCTCTGCCTCACAGGCTCAAGTGATCCTCCCACCTCAGCCTCCCAAGTAGCTGAGACTACAGGCCCACACCACCATGCCCGGCTAATTTTTGTATTTTTTGTAGAGACAGGGTTTTGCCATGTTGCCCAGGCTTGTCCCAAATTCCTGGACTCAACCCATCTGCCCGCCTCGGCCTCCCAAAGTGCTGGAATTACAGGCATCAACCACCACCCCTGGCCTCAATTCCCCTTTTGCCCTTAACTTTCCTAATATCTCTTGCCACATGATATGTGATAAGTTTGTTTATTAACTTCTTTCTCCACACTAGAATCTGAGCTACATGAGAGTAAAGTCTTTGTTCTGTTTGTGTCTCCAGCATCTACACTGTGCCCAACATACAGTAAACGTTCAATAAAGGATAGTTGTATTTATTATCATTAGATAACAATGTTAGGTAAAAATTCATTTTCTGCCCTCACCTGGAAAAAAAAACCCAGCCCCTGAGGTTGGGGGATAAATGATGGGGCGAATGTGAGTGAGGCAATGTGGCCCTGGGAAATGTGAGCAGAGACGAGTCTGAAACTCTGAGTTCTGGGTCTAAGTTCCTCATCCACTGAGAGACCTTAAACAAGCCTCTTCTTTCCCCTGGGTCTCCATTTCCACAACTGCAAGATTCAAAGATTGGAATGACCTACAAAATCACTAAGATTTCTTTCAGCTCTAATAATCAATGATTCTATCTGGGCACAGTGGTTCATGCCTGTAATCCCAGCACTTTGGGAGGCTGAGGTGGGAGGATCGCTTGAGCCCAGGAGTTCAAGACCAGCCTGGGCAACGAGGGAGACCCTGTCTCTACTAAAAATTTCAAAAACTAGCCAGACATGGTGGCACATGTCTGTACCCCAGCTACTGGGGAGGCTAAGGTGGGAGGATTGCTTGAGCCCAGGAGTTCAAGAGCCATGATTGTGCCACTGCACTCCAGCCTGGATAACAGAGTGAGACCCTGTCTCAAAATAATAATTATCATCATCATCATCATCATCATCATCATCATCATCAATGAGTCTAAGGATGAGCCAGGACAGAGAGAAGCAAGGAGAGCTCAGTTCTGGAGATGGAGGAAAGGAGAGGGAGTGAAGAATCTAGGCCGGATGCGGTGGCTCACGCCTGTAATCCTAACACTTTGGGAGGCAGAGTCGTGCAGATCCCTTGAGGTCAGGAGTTCGAGAGCAGCCTGCCCAACATGGCAAAATCCTGTCTCTACTAAAAATACAAAAATTAGCCAGATGTGGTGGCACATGCCTGTAATCTCAGCTACTTGGGAGGTTGAGGCACAAGAGTCGCTTGAACTTGGCATGTGGAGGTTGTAGTGAGTCAAGATCCCACCACTGCACTCCAGCCTAGGCGAAGGAGCAAGACTTTGTCTCAAAAAAAAAAAAAAAAAAAAAAAAAACTACTCTCCCTCTCTCCCTCTCCTTTCCTTCTTTTCCTCCATGTCCAGGGACCAAGCACAACCTGACTCCATTCATGTTGTGCTCATCACCTGGAAACCCTTTCCCATTTGATAATCTCCTCTTTTTCCAAGGCCAAGCTCCCCTTCTCTGTGAAGCCTTTCCAGGTTCCCCTAGGCTGGGACAGCTATACCTTCTTCCTGGCTTCCACAGTCCTTTGCACATGTCTTTCTTTCTTTTTTTGTTTTTGTTTTTGTTTTTTTGAGACGGAGTCTCGCTCTATCACCAGGCTGGAGTGCAGTGGCGCGATCTCAGCTCACTGCAACCTCCACCTCCCAGGTTCAAGCAATTCTCCTGCCTCAGCCTCCTGAGTAGCTGGAACTACAGGCGTGTGCCACCACGCCCAGCTATTTTTTTTTTTTAATTTTTAGTAGAGGTGGGGTTTCACCATGTCAGCCAGGATGGTCTCGATCTCTTGACCTTGTGATCCACCTGCCTCAGCCTCCCAAAGTGCTAGGATTACAGGCATGAGCCACCGTGCCCGGCCCTTTTGCACATGTCTTTCTAAAGCACTTTCCAGATAACTGGACCTTTGTATCCTGGTGCTTTAGTAGAGCCTCCTAAAAGGAAAAAGTGGGTATTTGGGCTACACTCCCAGGCTTACAGTTACTGCCCAGAGAACTTGGCCCCTAATGGAAGGAAGGAGGGAGAAAACAGGGAAGGAGGTGGAAGGCCAGGGCTATGCTGGGGCTTCCCTAAACCTTTCCACTTTCCTTCTTCTCTTCTAGTCTTAGCCTCACTACCAAGACAAGCCTGCCGAAAACCTGCCTGCCTGTCCCTCTGTCTCACCTAAGTACTCTGTCAAATGTTTATTTGAGCCATATTAACTTGCTTGGGTGCCTCCTTCTCCTTAGTGCATGGTGCTCCTCTCACAATATACATACTCTGAGTTCCTTCCTAACTCCTGCTCTAGGGCTCTGTAGGCTCCCTGATATTTGGCGCTGAAGACAGGTTTGAGGGGCCATTTTCTTTCCAGAAGAACAGCTTGTGCAAAGGCTTGAAGAGCATGGTATGTTCTGGGAATCACAAAAGGTGATAAAACAGTCTGTAAAGTGAGGTTGTAAACAGTGGGTGATGAGGAAGGACAGGTAGGCAGGAACCAGCCTTGGTGGAGGGTTTTGCTTTGTAGGCTATGGAAGCCATTGAAGGATTTGAGCATGCTGGAACTCACTCCCTTTCCACTCAGTCCTTGCTGCTTTGCACACCTTTTCTCATCTGGCTCATACCAAAATCTTAGTAACACCAAAGATTTCTTGAGAGCCTTCATTATGTCAGCTTTCTGTTCACATTACCTCATTTTAAACTTTTAGTACCCATGGGTGATGAAACGGGTTCAGTAAGTTATTTGCCCTAAGTCACAGATCAAGGAAGAAGCAGAGCCCAGTTTTATAACCATTATACTAATTTTGGTCTATCCTCTCTATCCATTTCTAACTCTCTTCTTTGGAGAACAAATTAGGTATTTTTCTTTCCTCTTCTTTTTTTTTTTTTTTTGAGACAGAGTCTGACTCTGTCACCCAGGCTGGAGTGCAACAGTGCAATCTTGGCTCACTGCAACCTCCGCCTCCCGGGTTCAAGTGATACTCCTGCCTCAGCCTCTCAAGTAGCTGGGATTACAGGCACCCACCACCATGCCCGGCTAATTTTTGTATTTTTAGTAGAGATGGGGTTTCACCATTTTGGCCAGGTTGGTCTTGAACTCCTGACCGCAGGTGATCCACCCATCTCGGCCTCCCAAAGTGCTGGGATTACAGGCGTGAGCCATTGCACCCGGCCACAGATTAGAGATATCTATCAAGGCACCTTTGAGATCTGGAGGCAGAAGAGTAAAGATTGAGTCCTGGGGCTGGGCAGCTCTGCAGGAGGGATTTCCAGGTTCTGATGGGGTCCATCTCACTCAGTCTTACCCACCTCTTTGTGCTTGGCAGATGGTCTCTCCCGATTCTCCTTACTTATTTTCTTAGTTCACTTGCTTACTCCCGTTTCCAGGCCCTACTTTACTTCCTTGGACATTGTTTGCTCTTGTGTTCTGGGTCCTGGGTGATATGTGTGTTCTGAAAATGCCTGGATGGATCATGACCCTCTGGAACCCCTCTGGGTATTTTGGGTAACTGCGGAAGATCGCCATACCTTCTCTCTCCTTCCCCAGCTCTAACAAAATGGCTTTGGCTTCACCCTGGGCTTCCCAAATTCTTCAGCAAAGGTTGGCTCCTTCTTACCTCATCTCTAAATACATAATCACATGTGCTTCCCAGAACATGACAAGTTCTTGAAACCTTTGTATGTATATTTTCTCTCTCTGGAATGCCAGTATTCCCCCTACGTTTTAGACCAGGAAAATTCCTAACTATCCTCAATCTCAACTCAAATATGACCTCTCTCCCCACCAATATCATCATCACTCAGATCATCATTTCTTGCCTGGACTACTCCCTAACTCATCTCTAGGACTGCCACTCTGGCCCTACCCCATCCATTTTTCATACTGCACCCAGAGTAATTCTTTTAGAGACAGGGTCTGGCTTTGTCACCCAGGCTGGAATGAAGTGGCATGATTATAGCTCACTGAAACCTTGAACTCCTGGGATTAAACGATCCTCCTGCCTCAGCCTCCAGGGTAGCTAGGACTACAGGTGCATGCCACCATGCCTCACTCTTTCAAAAAAATTTTTTTGTAGAGATGGGCTCTTGCACTGTTGCCAAAGTTGGTCTTGAACTCCTTGACTCAAGCAATCCTCCCACCTCAATCTTCCAAAGGGCTGGGATTGCAGGCATGAGCCACCTCACCTGGTCTACTTTCTAAAATGCAAACTTGATTGTATCACTCTCCTTAAAACTCTTATATGGTTTCCCCTGCCCTAAAGGTAAAGTCATGACCCCTTAACCCAGTTTGGGCTCTTCTACCTCACTCCCACCCACTTCTCTTGCTTCTTGTTTTCTGGCCCCACTTACTACCCTACTGGTACCTCAGCCAGAGTTCCTGACACATTTTCTCAGCTCCTTGAAACTTGCCTCTCTTTTTTTTTTTTTTTGAGACGGAGTTTTGCTCTTGTTCCCCAGGCTGGAGTATAATGGTGCAATTTCTGCTCACTGCAACCTCCGCCTCCTAGGTTCAAACGATTCTTCTGCCTCAGCCTCCCAAGTAGCTGGGATTACAGGTGCACGCCACCATGCCTGGATAATGTTTTGTATTTTTAGTAGAGACGGGGTTTCACCATGTTGGCCAGGCTGGTCTTGAACTCCAGACCTCAGATGATCCACCCGCCTCAGCCTCCCGAAGTGCTGGGATTACAGGCGTGAGCTACCGCACCCGGCCTGAAACTTGCCTGTCTTGACCCTACGTGATGTTCCCTTGGCTTGGAACTCTCTCTCTTCTTCTCCTAGCTAACTTCTACTGACCCTTCAGGTAGGTCTTAGCCTGAACTCACTTCACTATAAGCCCTTCCCCAGACTCAGTGAGCTGCCTCTGCTTCCTGCTCTTACTGCCCAGTATTTTTCCCAATACAGCAGTGATCCTGTTAACTGCTTATTTATTTACTCATATGTCTCCCACATCCAACTGGGAGCTCCTTGAGGACAAGGACCTACCTTATTCCTTGCTTAGCCCAGAGTCTAGTAGGCTCTTTATGAATAATTGTTGAATTAGTGAGTGAACCAAGCATTCCCTGTCTTCACAGCACATACTCAGGCACTGCTGCAGCTTCTACCACCATCATTCTCATAGTTACTGTTCCAGATCATAGGTGACTGATTGTCTGGGTGTTCTTCTCTTTATGGACTGGGATTGCACCTTTAATGTTTGTACCCCTAATACTTTTTTTTTTTAGACAGAGTCTCGCTCTGTTGCCTAGGCTGGAGTGCAGTGGCACAATCTTGGCTCGGCTCACTGCAACCTCAGCCTCCCAGGTTCAAGCGATTCTCCTGCCTCAGCCTCCCAAGTAGCTGAGACCACAGGTGCATGCCACCACACCTGGCTAATTTTTTGTATTTTTAGTAGAGACGGGGTTTCACCATGTTAGCCAGGATGGTCTCGATCTCCTGACCTTGTGATCTGCCCACCTCGGCCTCCCAAAGTGCTGGGATTACAGGCGTGAGCCACCACGCCCAGCCCTGTGCCCCTAATACTTAATACAGTGCTCAACATTCATCTTTCCATCCCCCACTCATTATTTTTTAACAATTATTTCTTGAGTATCTACTGTGTGCTAGATATGGTGGGTATAGCAGTGAACAAGGTAGACAGGGCCCTGCCCTCAAGCTCACATTTTAGTGGCAAACAGTGAGTGCTCAGTGAACAGGAGGCTCAGTGGACCTCAGCCCTACTGGGAAGCCTCTGGAGTATTTCCTGTCAGGAGCTACAAAGCAGGGAGTACAGGTTCTGTGGGGGGAGAGTAGATTTTCTTGGTGACCTCTGGACCTCTCTTTGTCCAGGTCTCCTTGGGACTGGCCATCAGGTATCAGCAGCAGGGAGGGAAGAAATGAGGAAGGGAGAGAGAGGCAAGTATAGACAAGGTCTGAGTCCCTAAAGACAGGGAATTGTGTGTGGCTCAATGCCCATGGCCACTTTGCCGAGGCAGTTTGGTAATCAGCTTTCTTTCCTACACTGGAGCAGAAGAAAGAAATAGAGCCACACAGTGAAAGACGTAAAAGGATAGAAATGATAGAGGAAAAAGGAAGGAGAGAAAAAATGGAACAGAGAGGAGGAGGAGCATAAGGAGAGGGAGTAAGATTGAGGCACAGAAACAAGGCCTGCAGGACTGAGCCCTGCCTGCGTCATTGGCGGTCAGCTCTGGGGTATAGCTCTTCATTTGGGTCATCAGGGGAAAAAAAATATTCAATTTTGAACCCTTGGAATTCCCTAGATGCTTTCAGTAGCCCACTGATCCCTCAAGTTGTCTTTGGCTCCATCTGGCCATCCCAGGAGGCTCCCGCCAGGGACCTGCCAGCCCCCAGACCAAGATATAGTCATTGTGGACCCTCTCAAGCAAAGGGCAAGTGAAGGAAAAACAGCCTGTCTGAGAACAGCAGCCACTGGTTTTCTTCGTTTAAAAAAATTTTTTTTAGTGCTTATATAATTGCAGAAACCACTGATTTTTATCTTTCTCAGAAAAGACCCTGTGTTCACCATCTGTTTCCTGACTAGGGGCTTCAGGCCCTACTCTCTGAGACACTGGCCTAACAGTATCCTAATCTGTAGGCACAGAGCAGAAACTTCCCTGAGCTGGGAGCTGGGGAGGCAGGGCTCCCAGATGCCAAGCCGCAGTCTGAGTTCCTTACAGTGATGCTGCTCTTTCTAGAAACCTCAGCTGCTCGCTCCTGAGGCTGGGATGCCATCTGCTGCTCAGCTTAGGAAACTGGCTGATGGGCTGCACAGCCAAGGCTGAGTCTGGTGGGGGCTGGGCAAGAGGCCCGCCCTGGGTCTCAGGAGAGCCATGTTTTTTGTTTCTGGATAAATCCAGTACTGGCCTTCCGGGACAGAGCAAATAGTCTGTCCTCAGTCATTCTTCTTAGACTAGACAAGATGCCTCTCTTCGACAAGAAGAGACCTAGGGATTTTAGGGGGATGGGTGGGTCTGCTCTGCCCTTCGCAAAGTTCAGTGTCATCTCAAGGTTAAATTACCGAGAGAGGTCCAGGCTGCCTCTGAAGTTCTATAGATTTCCTCAAAGGGTTTATTTTTGTCTTTTCTTTTCTTTTGCTTTTTTTTTTTTTTAATTTGCAGGTTTAACTAAGATTATTACAAGTTGAGTTAATTGGCTGAATGAAATAATGAGGCCAGGCCTAGAGGAAGTGGGGCTTTGAAGAAAAAAGCATGCTCATGCAGAATTGAAATAAAATCTTCAGACTCTCAGCAGTTTTTGAAGCCCCTGCTCTTTGGACTGTCCTCGTTCAGGCTCCAACCCAGATAGGGTTGGGAACTCTAGTATTTTAGGGGCCACATATTTGTTGGTATTTCTTGAAGAAATGGTTATTCTGAGGAAATTTTCTACAAGCCAGTGTGGTAACCAGCCTCCAGGATGATCCATCCCCAATGCTGTCCATGTACTGATATTCATGCACTTGTAAATCCCCTCTCCCATATGGTACCAGGGTTTGTCTGTGTGACCAATAGAATATGACAGAAGTAATCATATGTAACATACAAGATTAGGTTATAAAAGACACTGTGGCTTCTTTCTTGGTCACTCTGTCATCTGATCACTCACTCTGGGGCAAGCCAGTTGCCATGTAGTGAACAGTGCTGTGGAAGGTCATGTGATAAGGAACTAGGCCTTCTATCAACAGCCAAGTGAGCCATCTTGGTAGCAGATCCTCTGGCCCTCATCAGGGCCTCAGATGACTGCAGCCCTAGTGGACGGCTTGACTACAACCTCATGAGTGACCCTGAGCCAGCTTAGCTGAGCTGCTCCCCAATCCTGACCCCCAGAAACTGTATGAAATAAACATTTGTTACTTTAAGTTCTTGAAGTTTTGGGATAATTTGTTTTGCAGCAACATAATAAATTTGTTGTATGGTATTATTATTATATCATGGTATATCATCTGCATTATATCACTTCTTTTCCTTATAAAGTCTGGTGTCTGGACTCCACCCCCTTAATCTCTCTAACCTCATCTCTTACCACCCTGCCTCCCCGCCGGCTTAGTCTCACCCTTGGCTCAGTCTGCCACAGACCCGTTGAATTTGCTTTTCTCTCTGATGGAACTCCCTCCCACTCAACCAACCCCAAAATCTCTGCATGGTAACTTCTTTATCTCCTTCAAGTCTTCATTCAAATGTCACCTCCTCAGTATAGCCTGTCTTGACACTCTTCACTCCTTGTATAGTAACTCCTACATCTTCCTTTTTTTTCGCTACTGTATTCTTAGCCCTTATAGTTATATAACATGTAATAAAATATCTTTTACATATTTATCTTGTAATTTCTGTCTTCCTCCACTAGAATGTAAGCTCCATGAAGGCAAGAATTTGTGTTTTTGTCTATTTTAGTTAATGTTCTATTCTTAGCATCTGGAATGGTGACAAGCATATGGGAGATATGCAATATATTTAGTTGAATGGGAAAAAAATGAATGTCATAATTTGCCATTTATATCTTCTAGATTCCATGTTATATATCATATGCCATAGTATGATAGTTGACATATATGTTGTATTTAAATGCAGTACAAGGCAGTGCAGATACAAGGGCCATAAATAAGAAGATCCAGCCAGGCATGGTGGCTCACGCCTGTAATCCCGGCACTTTGGGAGGCCGAGGCAGGCAGATCACTTGAGGTCAGGAGTTCGAGACCAGCCTGGTCAACATGGTGAAACCCCGTCTCTACTAAAAATACAAAAATTACCTGGGCATGGTGGTGGGTGCCTAAATACCAGCTACTAGGGAGGCTGAGGCAGGAGAATAGCTTGAACCCAGGAGGTGGAGGTTGCAGTGAGCTAAGATCACACCACTGCACGCCAGCTTGGGGGACAGAGCCAGCCTATGTCTCCAAAAAAAAAAAAAAAAGGAGACCCAGACTTGTTGCTTGTTGGCCAGCTATGTGACCATGAGCCAGGCATGTAACCTCTCTGGGTCTGTTTTACTCGTCTGTAAAGCAAGACTAATATAACTTCCTTGTCTTATCATAGAGTAGTTGTAGGGATCAAATAAGATGACAAATGTTACAGCATTTTTAAAGAGTCTAACACATGATGTAAGTGTTTCTGAAATGTGTTCCAAAGACCAGTTATCCCAGGGTATGAAGAAAAAGAAAGGTCAAAGAGGTTTGCAAAATGTGAGTTCCCATATTCTAACTCCTGCTGGACATTCGCAACTCACATTAGCACATGACAGGCTCTGAAAATCCTGCACATAAATATCTACTCCCAGTGCACCTAACTATACATTGGGAAAACTTGCTCTATACAAATACAGAGCATTATCTTTATTATCAGAATAGTACTGTTAGTTTATAATTTATTATTTTTTTTTGAGACAAAGTCTTTTGCTGTCACCCAGGCTGGAGTGCAGTGGCACAATCTTGGCTCACTGCAACCTCCGCCTCCCAAGTTCAAGAGATTCTCATGCCTCAGCCTCCCGATTAGCTGGGATTACAGGAGCCTGCGACCACGCCCAGCTAATTTTTGTATTTTTAGTAGAGACAGAGACATGTTTTCACCACGTTGGCCAGGCTGGTCTCAAACTCCTGACCTCAGGTGATCTGCCCACCTCAGTCTCCCAGAGTGCTGGGATTACAGGCATGAACCATCACGCTCGGCCTATTGTTACTTTAGATCAAGAAGGAGTGCTAACGTTCTTGGAACAGAAATTCCAGTGGGTTGGGCAATGAGATCCAGCAGCTGAAATGGAGATTGGAGGAGGGAAGAAGGAGGAGGAGAAAATAGAAAAGGAGGTGGCACAAGAGAGGAAGAAAGGAAAAGAAGAGCAAGGAAAATAAGAAGAAGAAACAAAAATGGTGGTGAAGGGAGAAAAGGACAACTAAACTAATCCCCTTTGCAAATAACTGTAGAAAAAAGGCAGGTCTGGCACGGTGGCTCACGCCTGTAATCCCAGCACTTTGGGAGGCCAAGGTGGGCAGATCACCTGAGGTTGGGAGCTCGAGACCAGCCTGACCATCACGGAGAAACCCCATCTCTACTAAAAATACAAAATTAGCCAGGTGTGGTAGCGCATGCCTGTAATCCCAGCTACTTGGGAGGCTGAGGCAGGAGAATTGCTTAAACCTGGGAGGCAGAGGTTGCCATGAGCCGAGATCACACCATTGTACTCCAGCCTGGGCAACGAAAGCGAAACTCCATCTCAAAAATAAATAAATAAATAAATAAATAAAGGCAGCCTGAGATCTCCTACGGATGGGGTGGGAGAGAGAATCCTAGAATCCTAGCGCTGCCTGCCGAGCCCTGCTTGTTCCTTTAAGTGTGACCTCTGCCAATTTCCGCAGTTGGAGCTCAGGCTTCCTTTTCAACTTCGAGGAATCTCTGATTGAAGATATTTCTTCCTTTTTTTTTTTTTTTTTTTTTTGCACTTGGTTGTTTTATTTCCTCAAAAAAAAATTAAATCGATATTTCTTCCTTATCAGAGAGGAGGAATCAGGTAAAACAAATCAGCAATTTCTTTCTTTTTTTTTTTCGAGACGGAGTCTCGCTCTGTTGCCCAGGCTGGAGTGCAAAGGCGCGATCTCTGCTCACCGCAAGCTCTGCCTCCCTGGTTCACGCCATTCTCCTGCCTCAGCCTCCTGAGTAGCTGGGACTACAGGCACGCGCCACCTCGCCCGGCTAAGTTTTTGTATTTTTAGTAGAGACGGGATTTCACCGTGTTAGCCAGGATGGTCTCGATCTCCTGACCTCGTGATCCGCCCACCTTGGCCTCCCAAAGTGCTGGGATTACAGGCGTCAGCCACCGCGCCCGGCCTCCAAATCAGCAATTTCTTAATTTAGTGTACTTATTAAGTGCCTGAAATGGCAGCTGCCATTTTTTTCCTTTCCTTTTGAGCAATAAGCCTTGGAAGCACGCCTGGCTTGGAAAAGGAAGAGGACCAGCAATTCCTCCTGAAAGGATTCCTTAGGCTAAGTGGGACATGAAGAGGCCATCAGGTTTATTCTTGACCTCCAGGTAGGCCTGCCCTGGGCCAGCCAAAACAGATGCTCTTAGAAAAGGAGATTTTGCAGCTCTCTCAGGCATCCACTTATATTTCTAGCCCTCATGGTGAGGAAGTCCTTTGTTATATCTCATTTCAGTCTTTTTCCTATAATTTCGGGGTTTTTTTTTTTGCCTTTCTCTTATCCCAGAATAAGACAGTGATCTGTCATAAGTTGCATGCATAGTGCAATGTATAGTAAACAATATAGAAACAACCCATTTCTCTGGTCGTATAATTGGTGAATATCACTTGAGACTCCTCATTTCCAGTCAATTGGGAGACTAGGCTTTATATTTATTTATCTATTTATCTTTATATCTCTACTTACTTATTTATTTAAATAAATAGAGACGAGGTCTCACTGTGTTGCCCAGGTTGGTTATTTATTTATTTTAAATTGTGGGATTCAAGTGTAGGATAGGGAAGTAATGGAAAGGAAGCAACATGCATTGAGTACCTGCCTGATCTCTTATATATGACATCTCATTTAATCCTCACGACAGCTCTAAAATATAGAGATTACTATTCCCATTTTATAGGTGATGGAACTGAGGCCAGAGGTCATGTACCTAAAAGTCAAACAGCTAACATGTAAGTGGTGGAGTCAGAATCAAATCCACATCTGACTCCTAGGTTCATGTTCTCTCTACCCAGGGAGCTTGTATATATCACACAGAAACCTAGGTCTTTAGTTTCCTTACATTGCTGTGAGATATTTGGTTTATTGTCCAATAAACATGCTGAGGTTCTGGCTATTTTACATGCCTATTTACTATTTGGTAAACTTAGCACCACAAAGATGCAAGTAACTCCATCAAGTGGATGCCTGAGAGAGCAGCAGAATCTCCTTTTCTTAAAGTATCTGTTTGAGCTGGGCCAGGGCAGGCCTACCTGGAGGCTTTCCTGTGACCAAATCTGAACTCACTCTACCTGATGTCCATTGTAATCTCCATAAAGGTAAGGACTATGTCTGTTTTATTTATCATTGTATCCCTCCTAGAGCCTAGCACAGGGCCTGCCACATGGCAGATACTCAATATTGGTTCAATGAATGAATGATGAAGTCAGACAAAGACTCTAAAAACAAGGTAAGAGAACCAACCTGACAAAGATTTAAAAGGGTCAATGTTTAGTTTAAAGAAGAAGCAAAGAAGAAGAGAGGTAGCCAGGAAAAGAACGAGAGACAGCAAGATAAGAAAACTCAGCACAAACAAGCAAGATAAAAATAGCCTCTCACCACCACTGTCCTTTTAAAATTACTTTCTATATTTGAGCTTAAGCGACAAGTGAAATCTCCTCTGTAATTTCCCATGTGTTCAGTTTAATGAATTTCCGGCAAATGGTTTCAGTATTGGAGGGCCAATTTGGACATTGTGGGGGTGGGGCTGGTGAGAAAATGAGGGGTATGGAAATAGACTAACAAATTGAGCTAGAAACCAAATGAAGAGGTGATTGAAGGCATGTGAGGAAGGAACCAAGTCCTGGAACTTGTTCAACTCCAAGAAGGACTGGGAATTGATCTTACTCTAGCTGGTGTCACGATGATGTTTCCCTTCATGCTGTAGAGGGAGCCCACAGTCCCAGGCTGCCTGGCAACTATGCTTTGTATCACATTGCCTATTGTCTAAAGAGCTTTGTTTGTTTAAACAGAAGGCAATATGTTAATAACAATTTCAAACATTAGAGGGAATAAATAGACTGTGGCTCTTTCAGGTCCCACATGCCTTCTACATAGCAGGTATGCCATACATGTTAAACTGAGTCACAGTGAGGGGGTTGAGTTATGGAAGAAAAGCATGGGAATGCCCAGTCCACCCCTTTGCATCTGTGCTGCTGGCCAAATGTCTTCAGTTTTTCCATAGATAGAGAACAGAGCTCTGAGAGGCCACAGGACTCAGAATACAAAGTCCTTTTTATTTTAGTCCTTAAAATTGACAATGACAGGCCGGATGTGGTGGCTCATGTCTTAATCCCAGCTCTTTGGGAGGCTGAGGCGGGCAGATCACTTGAGCCCAGGAGTTGGAGACCAGCCTGGACAACATGGTGTAACCTGGTCTCTACAAAAAATACAAAAATTAGCTGAGCATGGTGGTGCACACCGGTAATCCCAGCTACTCGGGAGGCTGAGGCAAGAGAATCGCTTGAACCCAGGAGGCAGAGGTTGCAGTGATCATGCCACTGCACTCCAGCCTGGGTGACAGAGTGAGTGAGACTCCACTTCAAAAAAAAAATTGACAGTGACCATGCAGCCCACAATTACAAGCAGAATTACAGATTTTTTTCAGGCTCTCAAGTATGCTGCTTTCTTTTATAACTGTGTGTGTGTGTGTTTATTTTATTTTATTTTATTTTATTTTATTTTATTTTATTTTATTTTATTTTGAGACGGAGTCTCACTCCGTTGCCCAGGCTGGAGTGCAGTGGCGTGATATTGGCTCACTGCAAGCTCTGCCTCCCGGGTTCACACCATTCTCCTGCCTCAGCCTCTAGAGTAACTGCGACTACAGGCACCTGCCACCACACCTGGCTAATTTTTTGTATTTTTAGTAGAGATGGGGTTTCACTGTGTTAGCCAGAATGGTCTCAATCTCCTGACCTCCCAAAGTACTGGGATTACAGGCGTGAGCCACCGCACCCGGCCGTATTTTGTTTTATTTTATTTATTTATTTTTTAATACATAGAGACAGAGTCTTGCTATGTTGTCCAGGCTGGTCTTGTGCTCCTGGGCTCAAGTGATCCTCCCACCTCAGCCTCCCAAAATGCTGGGATTACAGGAGTGAGCCACCATACCCGGCCCCACATGCTTTTCATTGTTGTTATTTAAACAGTTTTATTGAGATATAATTCACACACCCTAAAACCTACACATTTAAGGAGTGCAATTCAATGGTTTTTATTATAGTCACAGCTACGTGCAACCATTGTCACAATTTCAGAACATTTTCATCACATCAAAAAGAAACTCCAAGCCCCTTAGCTATCACCTTGTCCCCCACTCAACCCTAAGCCACCCCAATCTACTTCCTGTCTCTACAGATTTTCCTATTCTGGACTTTCATATGAACGGGATCAAACGATATGTGACATTTTGTGACTAGCTTCTTTATCTTAATGTTTTCTTTTCTTTCTTTTTTTTTTAGATGGAGTCTCGCTCTGTTGCCCAGGCTGGAGTGCAGTGGCACAATCTCGGCTCACTGCAAGCTCCGCCTCCTGGGTTCACGCCATTCTCCTGCCTCAGCCTTCTGAGTAGCTGGGACTACAGGCTCCTGCCACCATGCCTGGCTAATTTTTTCTATTTTTCAGTAGAGACGGGATTTCACTGTGTTAGCCAGGATGGTCTCGATCTCTGGACCTTGTGATCCACCCGCCTCGGCCTCCCAAAGTGCTGGGATTACAGGCGTGAGCCACTGCACCCTGCCTATCTTAATGTTTTCAAGGTTCATCTATGTTATAGCATGAATCAGTACATGATTCATTTTTTTCTTTTTTTCTTTTGAGACAGAGTCTTGCTCTGTTGCCAGGCTGAAGTGCAGTGGCTCCATCTCTGCTTGCTACAATCTCCGCCTCCCGGGTTCAAGCCGTTCTCCTGCCTCAGCCTCCCAAGTAGCTGGGACTACATGCACAAGCCACCACACCCAGCTAATATTTTGTATTTTTAGTAGAGATGGGGTTTCACCATGTTGGCCAGGCTGGTCTCAAACTCCTGACCTCAAGTGATCCGCCTGCCTCAGCCTGCCAAAGTGCTAGGATTACAGGTGTGAGCCATCACGCCTGGCCTCTTTTTTTTTTTTTTTTTTTTTTGAGACAGAGTTTCACTGTCACTCAGGCTGGAGTGCAATGGCATGATCACAGCTCACTGCAGCCTCAATCTCCCAGGCTTAAGCAATCCTCTCACCTTAGCCCCCTAAAGTAGCTGGGACTACAGTTGTGTATCACCATGCCCACCTAATTTTTTTATTTTTTGTAGAGATGGGGTCCCATCTCTATGTTGCCCAGGCTGGTCTTGAACTCCTGGGCTCAAGCAATCCTCTTGCCTTAGCCTCTTCAAAGTGCTGGGATTACAGGATTAATTCCCTTTTATGGCCAAGTAATAGTCCATTGTGTGGATATGCCACATTTTGTTTATCCATTCATCAAGTAATGAACGTTTGGTTTTGGAGGGCTATTATGAATAATGCTGCTGTAAACATTTCTGTATAGGCTTTTGTGTGACGGGCTTTAATTTCTCTTGGGTACATACCTAGGACTGGAATTGCTGAGTCATAAAGTAACTCTGTGTTTAATCATTTGAGGAACTGCCAGACGGTTTTCCAAAGCAGCTGCACCATTTTACATTCCCACCAGCAGTGTATGAGGGTTCCAATTTCTCCACATCCTTGCCAATCCAACTATGCTTTTGAGAAATAACAAGGACAACTGAAGAGCCCCACTCTAATTGGGTAGCTAGTACATAGCAGCAAGAGGAGTGCAGGGATGGAGGAGGGGTCCCTCCTCTACTCTAAGCCCTTAGGATCAGCCAGAGAGAATACAGCTATCTCTAGTACTCTTCCTGACCCCCTAGGCTATGTTAGCTGCCCCCAGACATGTGACCAAGTATACATATAGTACTTGTCATTCTTCTCCTCTAGACTGTAAGCTTTAGGCAGGCAGGAATCTCTATTGTTCTGACTTTATCTGCAGCATCTGAACAGAGTCTGGCACATGATAGATGTTTCGTAAATGTTGATTGACTGAGTGACTGACTAACTGAACAAATGACTAGATATTTCTCTACTGGTGGTTTTTCTCCCTGTTCAGGGAGAAAGAAAAAGAGCAGTCTTAGAGGCAGAAAGCATCAAGGAGGGAAGCAGGAATGAGAGGAGAGATGGAGGATAAAGAGAAAGGCAGGGAAGAAGCTTGGGGACCTGGTGTCACTTGAGGTCAGCTTTAAGTTATGAGGTCAAACTCAGAGCTAATGGACTTCCCCTAGTCCTTTGCTTTCCATCTAGCTGCATCTTTTTTTCTAGAAATGTTCCCTTTTATTTTTTGTTATTATTCTCAATAATTTTGTCTTTGCAAGAAGAAACAAAAAAGTAGAAAAATAGTTGATATTACAGGTAAAAAAAACATAAATCAACCCATCAAAATTAATTCAGAATTTAAAAGGATGGAAGTCAAAAAGGTTGACTATGAAGGATTTTTAAGTTGGAAACAAAATCTTCATCTAGGTTTTTCTCCAAAGGTCATTGAAAGACCTATAGCCCAAAAAGTTGACCACTTGTTCAACAGGACATGAAAATATGGCTTACCTCACAGCCTTATTTATAATGGCTGGCCTTCCACATAAATCCTGCCTTCTACCTGGACTAATCTGAATCCAGTCATCACCAGATTATTGGTCCCTCTCTCCCCAAAGGTCTGCATAGCTCCCTGTCCTCAGTTACTTCTTGTCTCTTCTCTGAAAGCACACATGCACATTCACACACACACATACACACACACACACACACACACACACACACCCTATCTTTCCTTTTCATGAATCTTCAGGGTAGCTCTGCCCTCTCCACTTTGTGTGTTTGGAAGGAAAGAAAGCGAAATATATGAGATGCCAATGCAATTTCTCCTTTAGCAGAGCTCGGTAGGACAATTACCCACCCAATCTGCCTGGTTTTATAGCTCTCATAACCTTCCTTTATGAACACGCTGTGACAGCCGGATGTGGGCATTGATTATGGCAGCAGTCTTCAGCCACATTCCTATTTAACTGCAAAGCAGAGCTCCTGCCTACCAGCCCAGCACTGGTCATGTGACTTTTTAAATTACTGTATTTATGTAAGCCTTTTCCCAACCAGAGCCTATGTCCAACTGCATCAAAACTGGGGAGGATTTGAGCTTGCCACTTCCCCTCCAGTGGCTCTTTGGCCCTACAGCCTAGGGTCTCTTGCTGGAATCAAACTGGGGCTCTGGGCTTTCTTAGGAGAGGTCTGCAAGAGTTGGGGTGCACAAGAAGCATACCTTTTTCATTATGAAAGAGCTGAGGAAATAGACAATGAAACATGTTGGCAGATGCCAAGGGCAGTGGCTTGGTTCCCAGGGGTTCACCTGGCAATGGTGCCAGGTGCAAGAGATCAGCAAAACTTACAGGATTGGTTGTTGTTGTTGGGGGGCGGGTGTCGGAAAGGAATTTGGGGGAATTAGAGAATGGAGTTGGGAATCACTGCTTGTAGGCCTTCCACTCTGGACCCCAGCAGAATCATATGGACTCTAGCCACTGGGAGAGGGAAGTTTTAGTGTTCCAAAGAAATCCTGGTAGCCTTGCAGGCAGTCTGTCCTGACCAAGGACTCTGCCTGACTGTGCCATGGTGCAGGGCAAGTCTAGCAGAGAAAGCCAGTGTTCTTCAGTTACTGCAGCTCGGCGAAGAATCCCACTGCAGGGCACTAGGGAGGCCGGTCCTGCAGAGGTCAGCAGTAGGAGTGACTGGCTTAATCTATTCGAAAACCTCCTGGAAAGATCCCGAAGACCGTGGACCAAGGTGACCTGCGTGGGTGAGCGATCCATTAGCCGAATGACAGCGCTGCCGCAGAAAGCCAGAAAAAGGATATGCGTGGGAAGCGCAAAAGCGTGGGCTGGGCCTGCAGCAACGGAAAGGCGCCACGCTCGTGAGCGGAACCAGCGTTCCGGGGGCGCTCAGTGTGGGCAGGCAGGAAGCCTGGCTCCACTAGGACACACAGATTCTCTCCTGAGCAGCTGCGAACTATGCGCCCCTTCTACCCTTAAGAGATGGGATGGGAGTCCAACAAACCCAGCCATTGCTCAGACCCCAGCCCTTCTCTCCTCTAAGAAGCAGGTTCACCTCTGCCACCGCACTCGCATTTTTTTTTTTTTTTAAAGCCCGGCCTTTCCTAGGCGGGGTCAAGGGCCCCGCCCACCGAAGCCACGCCCAGTAGCCGCCCCGGGGCGGGGTTCCCCTCGGCTCCCGGCTGCCCTTTCCCCTCCGGCCTCTGCCGGTGCTGCTGCGCCCTGCGGAGCTCCGAACACGTGCGCGTGAGTAAGGACCCAGAGGGGAGAGTCCTTGGAGGTTTCCCAGCCTGGGGAAAGAAGCAGTGCAGGGTGGCTTCTGCCGGGGCACGGGACGAAATTGGGGTTCGTCCCCTCGTGATCCCGAGCTTGGAGGGCATCTGAAAGAGACTTGGGCCTCGGAGTCGTCCCCTGTTTTTCTACCATCCCTCTTCCCTCTTCTCCCTAGGGAGTCCCATAGAGCCTGACTCCGAGAGCCTCGATCTCCCAGGGCCAGAGGCAGGGACTTTGGAAGGTTTGTGAGGAACAAATGTCCGGTGGAACTGAGTCAGCCCCTTTAACCCGAGCCTTGAAAGGGGCAGGCTATTTTTAGATCTGTTTTTAGACCCAGCGAACAATGAACCCTCTCTACTCATTTTCCTGTTCCTCTAAATTATTTGGAGGAAGTCAGGAGTGAAATTTGGGGATGGCTGGAAAAAGGTATGATCTTAGCCTTACATAAATTATAATGGTGACTGTGAGGCCGGGCGCGTGGCTCACGCCTGTAATCTCAGCACTTTGGGAGGCCGAGGCGGGCGGATGACGAGGTCAAGAGAAGAAGACCATCCTGGCCAACATGGTGAAACCCCGTCTCTACTAAAAATACAAAACTTAGCTGGGCGTGGTGTCGCACGCCTGAAGTCGGGAGGCTGAGGCAGGAGAATCGCTTGAACCCGGGAGGCAGAGATTGCAGTGAGCCGAGATAGCACCACTGCATTCCAACCTGGTAACAGAGCAAGACTCCGTCTAAAAAAAAATGGTGACTGTGTAGGAATATTTATTATCATTTGTGCAAACATTTTGGTTATTTTTATTTTTTTTAACGGAGTCTTGCTCTGTTGCCCAGGCTGGAGTGCAGTAGGGCGATCTCGGCTCACTGCAACCTCCGCCTCCTGGGTTCATGCCATTCTCCTGCCTCAGCATCCCGAGTAACAGGGACTACAGGTGCCCGCCACCACGCCCGGCTAATTTTTTTTTTTTTTTTTTTTTTTTTTTTGTATTTTTAGTAGAGACGGGGTTTCACCGTGTTAGCCAGTATGGTCTCGATCTCCTGAACTCGTGATCCGCCAGCCTCAGCCTCCCAAAGTGCTGGG
This sequence comes from Homo sapiens, assembly GCF_000001405.40. Classification (NCBI taxonomy): domain Eukaryota; kingdom Metazoa; phylum Chordata; class Mammalia; order Primates; family Hominidae; genus Homo; species Homo sapiens. Next base: position 139,275,268 of record NC_000005.10, read on the forward strand.
ATTACAGGCGTGAGCCACCGCGCCCGGCCTAACATTTTCGTTATTGCTTTTAATCAGTAGTTGAGGTCTTGGCACGACTACTGCCTCCAATTCCCCTCACATCCAATACTGCAGTTATTTTTCCAAGTGCTGTTTTTATTGTCCTTCAGGAAGTATTGGAGGCCCTCCTCTATCCAGTGTTCCCACTGTTCACTGCCCGTTTCTCTCACTGGATAACTTTTCCCTTTTTACTCACTCATATTCACCATCTAAGCCTTTTTTGGAATGTAGCTCCTCAGGTGTTTACTGAGTGCCCACACTATACCAGACATTATCCTGAGGATTAGCTTATATTTCACTTAAGCCTCCCAACCACCCTATTTACAGAGGACTATTAGTAATATCCCCATTCAGCTTGGTGTGCTCGCTCACGCCTGTAGTCCCAGCTACTCAGGAGGCTGAGGTAGGAGAATCACTTGAGCCCAGGAAGTGGAGGCTGCAGTGAGCCATGATTGTGCCACTGCACTCCAGCCTGGGTGGCAGAGAAAGACCCTGTAATATAATACCTCCATTCTACAAATGAGACTGAGGTATAGAGAGGTTTCTCGCCCAGTATCATTTGGCTAGACACTGGTTAGGGGATAGAGCCAGGCTCCCTGATATTTGTTTAATCGACTCTTTTGCTACTATTGAACTGCTGTGGTGTATAAGTAACAAGAGATGAAAACAAAGCTAAACAAGGATAAGCTATTGGTTTTATTGTCTGCTATTGTTTCTGTGGCTTAGGCCTAAGTTACCGTGTTTTGAGGGGAGGGACTCTGAGCTGCACACGTGTTCACTGTTGGCTGACTAACCTGGAGTTGTTTCATTGCAGAGAGGCTGGCTGTGGCAGATGCAACTGCAGGTGAGTGCAACCCCTTCAGCTCTCTTGGCTCCAGCTGTAGGCAGCTGCCTAGGTTGTCTTGTACCTAGGCAAGTGTTACACTGCTGGGAGAACAGCAGCCAATAGCTGGTTGGCATTCTGGCCCTGGTTCATGCCAACTCTTGTGTTGACTACCCCAGGATGCCAGCATAGTTGCTTATCCATTAAGGCAGGCGTGTTTTTTGGCTTCCCTGGGCCACATTGGAAGGATAAGAATTGTCTTGGGCCATACATAAAATATAGTAACACTAACGATAACTGATAGCTAAATTTAAAAAAAAATTGCCAAAAATAACTCCTCATAATGTGTTAAGAAAGTTTACCAATTTGTGTTGGGCTGCGGGTTGGAAAAGCTTGCATTAAGGTTTAATCTGTGAGAGCATGACTTTTTGCAGAGAATAAGTCCAGACCTTCCTGAATAGTTCTGGTCCAACAGGTTTGGGTAGCATGAAGTTACTTGAATCATACCTTGGAAACAGAACAAAGCTAATGGGAAGAGGGGGTTGGTAAAAATAGACGGAAAAGTCACACCTTTATTTTTAGTGCCTACCAAGGGCTCAAAGGGGGCCAGATACAATGGGATTTTTGCTAATTTCACTGAAATTAAAGTCCATGGCTCCTACTACCCACCATAAAAGCTAGTCATGACACCCTTTGTAGAGGGATGGATTCCCTATTAGGGAAACATTGATGGTAATTCACTTTAAAATTATGGGCATTCTCTAGCTGTTTAATAAAATATTAAAATATTGATTGAGGGGGCTCTGGGAACTGAACAACTACAACCACACTAATTTCTCCTTTGGGCTGACAGTATATTTGCTTTAGTTGCTTACTGATTTTCAGAAATGAACAGTTGTTGCCCCATTAAAGTGGTAGATATTGAGTTCCCTTTGTAGTAATTTTGTTTTGGAATGCTTTTTCCCAAGTAGTTGGGATGATAGGTGTGTGCCACCACAACCAGATAATTTTTTTTTTTTTAATTTGTAGAGACAAAGTCTCATTATGTTGCCCAGGCTTTAGTAGAGACAAGGTTTCACGACGTTGTCCAGGCTGGTCTCGAACTCCTGGGCTCAAGTGATCTCCTGCCTCTCAAAGTGCTGGGGTTACAGGCATGAGCCACTGCACCGTGCCTGGCCTGGAATGCTAATCTTTTGAGAAGAGATGACCCTCGGTTGCTGTGAAAAGTGACATACTAGTTTCCACAGGAGGAAATGGGGAGGATGTTGGGGGGCAGGGGAGTTGTTTATCAAAGCTTGTTTTGTTAGATCAGTTGGCATTCCCTTAATAGGATTCTCTCAACTAAATGTGAGTGCTTTGTGTGAATGCCTCAACTGTGAATAGCCTTTTACATATGGGGTCTTAAGGCTAGTGATATCTGTAGGGCTTGGGGGATGGTTAGCTTTATAGTACTATAGGCAGGGAAAAGGCAAATAATGGTAAATAAAATAATTCCTGAGGCTATAGAAATTGGGGTAAATGGCAAGCAGCATTCTATTTCCATCTCTCCAGATAAGGGTCCTTAGGAGCTGCTATTTTAGACCAGGGTGCCAAACATTCAAATTCATGGGAAATATATCATGTCTGCTCGTCTTTTTTTTTTTTTTTTTTTAATTGACAGTAATTGTATATGTTATATGGGGTACAACATGAGGTTTTCATACATGTTTACATTGTGGAATGAGTAAATCATGCTAGTTAACACATCTAGCACCTCACATACTTATATTTTGTTGTGGTGAAAACATTTAGTATCTTTTAGCAATTTTGAAATATACAGGCCAGGCACGGTGGCTCGCACCTGTATTCCCAGCACTTTGGGAGGCTGAGGTGGGAGGATCATTTGAACCCAGGAGTTTGAGACAAGCCTGGGCAACAGAAAGAGATCTCATCTCTATAAAAAACAAAAAAGAAATTAGGTGGGTGTGTTGGCATGCACCTGTAGTCCCAGCTGCTTGGGAGGCTAAGCTGGGAGGATCACTTGACCCAGGAGATTGAGACTACAGTGAACCATGGTCATGCCACTGCACTCAGTCTAGACAGAGTGAGACCCTATCTCAAAAAATATATATATATATATACACACACACACACAATGCATTGCTATTTATTATATTCTGTGTACTAGATCACTAAGTTTGCTTGTCTTCCTTTTTAGGATGACTTGAAAGTAGGGCATCCTTCACCCATCTGAAGGGAGGAAATAGTGGCAGGTGACAGTCTGCATGTGCAGTTTTCAGGTAAATATCCCTATTCATTCCAACATTGACTACCTCCTCTGTGCCAGGCCTGTGGGCTAGTTGGTATCTATCAGGAAACAAATGGGAGGTAAATTAACCTGTATTTGTAAGATCCATGAAGGAAAGGACAATATATCTTGTTTTATTCACTGCTAGATCCCAATCGCAGTGCTTGGCACATGGCAGGACCTCCCTGAATGTTGCATAAAACAACTGAAAACACAGAAGGGGATTCCTGTTAAAGGGTTTGACAACAGGGTCTGCAATTAGTGCTTCCACGCCTGTTTTGCAGTCAATATTCAACTGATACGTCTTCTACCTGGAGTGCCTAGGTATCTGAAACAAATAATGAGAAAGCTGTTTCAGGAATCATCCAGCGGTTGTCAGCTATCCAGGCTCATGTGGTGCCTGTGATGGTGTTACACTGTTGGAAGAGCAAACACTGTCTTTATTGAGGTTTGGCTCCAAGCACTGTTTTGGTGTTGTAGCTGAGTACCTTTGGGCAGTGTTTTGCACCTCTGAGAGTGGAATGACTCCTGTGGAGTTGATCCTAGTCTGGGTGCAAACAATTTTTTTCTGTTTGCAGAAAAAGACAGGTTGTCTTAGGGACAGCCTGTCATTCTTTACCTCTTTGAATCCTAGATGCCTTCACCTGAATGACATCTACCTCCATCAGGACCCCAGATGTCTGACAGCCCTGTGTGACACCAAGATAAGTAACGTATGTAGTCTTCTTGTCATGTAGGTCCCAATTAAATTACTATAGCTCAGATGGGGGTAGGGGACTTAAAATTATGATGTGAAAAATTATGTAGAGTATCAGACTTTTTTTTGGGGGGGGACGGAGTCTTGCTCAGTTGCCCAGGCTAGAGTACAGTGGCTCGATCTCGGCTCACTGCAACCTCTGCCTCCTGGGTTCAAGCGATTCTCCTGCCTCAGCCTCCCGAGTAGCTGGGACTACAGGCACCTGCCACCATGCCAGGCTAATTTTTTTATTTTAAGTAGAGACGAGGTTTCACCATATTGGCCAGGCTGGTCTGAAACTCCTGACCTTGCGATTTGCCTGCCTTGGCCTCCCAAAATGCTGGGATTACAGGTTTTTTTGTTTGTTTTTTGAGACGGAGTCTCACTGTCTCCCAGGCTGGAGTGCAATGGCGCAATCTCGGCTCACTACAACCTCTACCTCCTGGGTTCAAGCGATTCTCCTGCCTCGGCCTCCTGAGTAGCTGGGATTATAGGCGTGCACTACCACGCCCAGCTAATTTTTGTATTTTTAGTAGAGATGGGGTTTCACCATGTTGGTCAGGCTGGTCTCGAACTCCTGACCTCGTGATCCACCTGCCTTGGCCTCCTAAAGTGATGGGAGTACAGGCATGAGCCACCGCGCCCAGCCAAGTATCAGAATTTTAGAGAATTCTTAGGATCTAAAGTCCATCCCTCACTTTTCTGGAGCTCTGCTGTGCAGTAGGTATATGCTACATGTGGCTGTGTAAGTTGATAAAAATTAATCAATTTCTTAATCTCAGAATCTGGCTGCTGACTACCCTATTGGACAACTCCAATATTAGAGAACATTTCCACCAATTCAGAAAGTTTATTATGCACTGCTGTTCTAGAGCAGGGATCAGCAAACTTGCTGTAAAGAGCCAGGTAATATAATATTATGCTTGTTCAGCCATGTGGTTTTTGCAACTATTTTTGCAGCTCTAGTGCAAACACAGCCTTAGACAATATCAACACATGAGCAAGTCTATAGTTCTAATAGAACATTATTTATGGACACTGAATTAGAATTTCATAAAATTTTCAGTGTCAAAATTGTTTTCAATGATTTACAAATTTAAAGACCATTCTTATTTTGAGAGCCATACAAAAACAGCAGGCTGGAATTGGCCCATAGGCTATGGTTTGCCAACCTCTGTCCTGGAGAATGAAATTCAGGCCTTGAAAGTTGAACAGCTCATTAGTGACAGGTTCAGAGCCAATAGCAATGTGTCTTTCTGAAAAGTTTAATGTTATCAATAGCTTTGCCTTAGAGCATCATACTCTTCATCTTTTAGGGCACTAAGGTGACTGCAAGAAATTAACCAGTAGTAAAAATAGTCTGTTTTTTGTGTGTTTGGGATTTGTTTATGTGTTTTTTTGCATGGGTTACTTACAGCAGTTCTCTCCACTTTTAATGTGCTCCAAAGGGAGAGGTCTTAAGAAAGAATAGCAGTCTGCACTTATCAAACTCAGCCACAATCTCAGTCTGAGTTGGTAAAACCGAAATGGCTCCTAAGGAAAGAGGAAAATTTTATGTCATGAATAGTCACAGTACTTTAAATCTGAGGCCTCAAGTTCTAAGCATACAGGTTGTCTTCCTGACTACAGTAGCGCTATCCATGTGCAGAGACGTTCCTATATTGCTACTTGAAAATAGATAATTCATTGGTATTCCTGTATTCAATATCCCAAAAGGCATCAATGGTGTAATCATGTGCATTTAAATAATTTGATGGGATTTCCTACTTGATAAATAAAGTTACTCACCTACTTATCCCTGTCGATTTTTTTTTTTTTAAGCAAAGAAATATATTTCCTGGTGAGTCTAAGAAGATTAGTTTTTAAAATCTTTTTTGATAGAGGGTCTCAACTGTGTCACCCAGCCTGGTGTGCAGTGGCACAAGCACAGCTCACTGCACCCTTGACCTCCTGGGCCAAGCAAACCTCCTGCCTCAGCCTCCCATGTAGCTGGGACTATAGGCATGTGCTGCCATGCCTGGCTTCAAAGTAGTTATTTGTTTTTTTTAGAGACAAGGTCTCACTCAGGCTGGTGTGCAGTGGTGTGGTCACAGCTCACTGCAGTCTCAACTTTCTGGGCTCACGTGGTCCTCCTGACTCAGCCTCCTGAGTAGCTAGGATTACAGATGTCACTCTGCCTGGCCTCGAAGTAGTTTTTTTTTTTGTTTTTTTTTTTTTTTTTGCTCTGTTGCCCAGGCTGGAGTGCAGTGGCACGATCTCAGCTCACTGCAACCTCCACCTCCTGGGTTCAAGCAATTCTCTTGCCTCAGCCACCCAAGTAGCTGGGACTATAGTCACACGCCACCACACCTGGCTAAATTTTTTTTTGTATTTTTAGTAGAGATGGGGTTTTGCCATGCCATTTCAGCCAGGCTGGTCTCAAACTCCTTACCTCAGGTGATCCACCCGCCTCAGCCTCCCAAAGTGCTGGATTACAGGTGTGAGCTACCACACCCAGCCGAAGTAGTTTTTTTCTGTTAATCTTTTCCCATGCTGCAATGAAAACTTGAATGAGACTGGCAGGGTTACTGGTCTGTAAATACCCAGGCTGCCAGCTGCCATAGGTAGCAGTAAACACAAGTGCCTCTTTTCATTGCTTAGGCCAAGTTTCAGGTCTTAGGCCTGTACCATATTAAGAGGAAAAACTAAAAATAAGGAGGGTTTCCAAACACCCCCACCAACCTTGAATTTTTTAAAAAATGAGGGAACCACAATTAATAAACACTATTCCTGGCACCTGTCCATGATTTCACTTGCTGGGTTGAAACAAACTAGTGTCAGTGGGATTTTATGTTGAAATTTTGGATCATGCCTCACTCAAATTTAAACCAGAAAAGCAAAACCCAGAGGGATAAATTCTGCAAGTCCCAAAGGGACACAAAGAGGTGGCTAAGTGCCTAGGAATTCACACAAAGGAAAACACCGTGCTAAGAGCAACTAATTAAGAACTTAAAAAGAGTGACAATGACTCCTGTGAATGTTGTTGCTTAATTAGGGCTTTATGAACACAGCTCCAGTTAATGGACCTGTCAATATACTCTTGAAAAACAATTTCACTGAATTAACAAATTAACTGTAATAACTTAAAATCTCTGCTTAGCAACATCTTTCTCCTTAATGCTATTTAGGAACACTTGTAATGAGCCAACTTGATGAGTCATAAATTTGTCAGTTTAGTAGCCTAAGGCTTGTTCAGAGGAGACCCTGTTACTTGTTTGGTCTTCCTTGCCCTCCAGTAAAGGCCCTTTAGGATGTAAGAATGTTCTGTGCTGCTTCTTAAGGGTGATATACTCATTGGGAAAGTACAGTAAAAAGGACTTTAAAATTTATTTTATTTTACAATACTTTTAGATTTATAGAAAAGTTGGGAAGATGGTACAAAGAGTTCCCATATATACCATACCCAGTTTCCCCTAATAACATCTTACATTGGTATATTATGGTTGTCACAATTAAATGGGCTAATATTGATACATTAGTATTAACTAAAGTCCATACTTTGTTCAGATTTCATTAGTTTTTATGTAATGTCTTTTGTCTGTTCTAGGATCCCGTTGAAGATACCACATTACACTTAGGCTCCTGTTGGCCATGACAGCTTCTTAGACTTGTTTTTAATGACCTTGACAGTTTTGTTTTTTTGTTTGTTTGTTTTTGAGACGGAGTCTCTGTCATCCAGGCTGGAGTGCAATGTAATGGCTCAATCTCAGCTCACTGCAACCTCTGCCTCCCGGGTTCAAGTGATTCTCCTGCCTCAGCCTCCCCAGTAGCTGGGATTACAGGCATGAGCCACCGTGCCCGGCTGCCTCCTAAATTCTCAAAACATTCCATTTTTATTCTGTGGTCTTACTTTATTCTGTCATGTAGAGAATAGTGGTTGAGCCTGTTGTCTTTTGAGAGTGGATGCTGTAGTCCTTACATGGCTGACTTTCAGCCCGTAAGCTTATAGTAGAGGATGGGGATTTTGTTATCAGCTGCTAAAAGGGAGAAGCCAAGCCCAGAACTAAGGGTTCTGATGAGTTGAAGGAGAGGGAAGATGCCCCTCAAGGCAAAGAGCCTCTGAGTTAGAATCTGTGCTTCACCAGAGTGACAATGGTAGAACTTCTCCTTCTCAGTATTAATTCTCCTGGAGAGAACTCTAGGGTTGTCTAAACCTGTTCAACTAGGCTGACTACCCCAGCAAGTGATGGGTTGGACATAAGGCAAAGAACAGGAGGGGTGAAAGGGGGCAGAACAGACAAGTTCTGTCCCAGCCTCTGCTACCTCTAACCCCATGGCATTCTATCCTTTTCTACACTGGGCTTCCATTTCTTACCCCAACAATGATCTGTTCTTCCAGGTGCCGTCATTTAATTTCCCAGACACTTGACCTCCTTCTGATTTGTGTACTCCCTCCAAGGCTGAGTTGCAGTGAGTGACAATAATCTGTGCTAATTACTTATCTTGCCAGAAGACTCAAAGGGTTTATGGCTTTTACTAACTGAACTCTATGCTAGATGTTAGGGATAAATGGTTAACAGGACACAGTTCTTGCTTATCTTGCTATGGTCTGTCAAGCCTTATACAATCTAGCCTTATCTCTCTCACCGTCTTATCTTTATCACCCGTAGATTCCCTTGTTGGCCACTGGTTTCTTTCAGTCCTTAATTAGCCTTTTGTCACTACCTGTCTACACATGCTGTTTTTCCCTTCTCATTCCATCTTGACATTGTCTATTTTGAGATCTCAGCTCAGTTGCAGAGAAGCTGCCTTCCCCATCTGGCAACCCATTATATGTGTCATAGTACCATGTTGTACCATAGAGCTAGACACAGGTGCCATGTTGTGTCTTGAAATGTATTCACCAGCTTCCAAAGGTTTACCTCAATCCCCTTTACTCAAGAAGCCTCAGTTCTACTGACAGTTGGTAATAATAACCTCTCTGTCATAATGTACCCAAAATAGAGTAAGAATATCATGCTTTTCAGTAATACTCCAGTGAATGAGGCTAAGAGTACCATTTTTGTTCTTATAAAAGAATTTTTTTGGACATGAATACAAAGATGTCAGGTTACCAAATCATTTGCTAGTAGATCCTAACAATATCACCTATAGGAAACTGAACGTAGCCTTTAAACATTAAGTGATGATAATGGATTTGGCCGGGCGCGGTTGCCTATAATCCCAACACTGAGAGGCTGAGGTGGGTGGATCACTTGAGGCCAGGACAGGACCAGCATGGCCAACATGGTGAAACCCCGTCTCTACAAAAGAAAAAAATACAAAAATTAGCTGGGTGTTGTGGTGTATGCCTGTAATCCCAACTATTTGGGTGGCTGAGGCACGAGAATCGCTTGAACTTGGAAGGCAGAGGTTGCAGTGAGCTGAGATCGTGCCACTGCACTCCAGCCTGGGTGACAGACTGAGACAGTCTCAAAAAAAAAAAAAGAAAATAATGGATTTGCAGAGACTTGCTATTTAGATTTCAGACATCTGTTAACTAAAACACATGTGTAGGCTTTTGTTACTTATTTCAGTAATCTGTAAATATCTTTATATTTGAGAAAATTTGTGAGACATCTTTGTGTAAATTATAACTTGAAGAACCTCTCTTACAAGCAGGCATATTGGTAAGTAGCTGCGAGGATATAACTTATAACCAGATTGAAGTGTATAATTATAATATGTTATTATTCTGGGGTTCTATAAAAAATAAAATCTTTGAATCTATGATTTTTTGTCATTAGGGTATACTTTGGGACATGTGGCGCCATAGAATATCAACACTATTTACTACATGTTGACCATGTTAAATACATTTAACACATCTCTTTTTTCAACAGCCCTACAAGGTACATGTTACTTGCCCAAAGTCACAGTCACACGAGAACTTGTGTGGTGCTGAATGAATCTGGCTCCAAAAGTACTGTTTGGTTTAGGAGCTTTCATGTATAGTGCCCTCAAGTCTTGTAAATTTCTGCTTCTTCAATCATCAACCTCGTTCAATCTAACATCTTGAAGGAACTACTCAAATGTCTTACTTACAGATTCTTACAACTATTTCAAATGCCAAATACCTTGTTTCAGATGGTCAACATCTTGGCTACTCTTGCTGTAGTGTGCAGTGGGTTCTGTTTGTCCTAACAGAACAAAACATAGTCTTTTAGATTTTTAAAAAATATTCCTCTGGAAAGCCTTAATGAATGCCACATTCTAATCCCTAGTCTTGCCCCATGATATGATTTATCACTTTTTATTAAAATTCCTCAATGCTTGCCCTGTTGTGTCTTGAAGAAACTGTGGGCCAGAATAAGAATTTCAAGACATTTTTAAAATTTTTATTTGAGACAGAATCTCGCTCTACTGGTGGCACAGGCCTCTACTCCCAGTTACTTGGGAGGCTGAGGCAGGAGAATTATTTGAACCTGGGAGGTGGAGGTTGCAATGAGCCAAGATTGCACCATTGCACTCCAGCCTGGTCAATAAGAGTGAAACTCCGTCTCAAAAAAAAGAATTAAATGAGATCAGGAAAACAAGACATGAACAATATGAAGTTCAACAAACAGAAATCATTAAAAAGAACCAAATTCTGGAGCTAGAGAACACAATGACTAAATTGGAAAATTCCACAGACGTTTCAACAACAGACTCAAAAAAAGAATCAATGAACTTGAGACAGATCACTTGAAATTAGTCAGAGGAAAAAAAAATGAAAAAGTGAAGCCTATGGGACACCATCAGGTGAACCCATATACGCACTTTGGGTATTTCAGAAAGAGCAGAATAAAGGGCAGAAAGTTTACTTAAAGGAAACTTCCCCAATCTAGAGAGACAAATGAATATCCAGATCCAAGAACCCCAAATATATTAAAGATATCTTGACCAGGACACATTATAATTAAACTCTCAAAAGACAGAGTTTTGAAATTCATATATAACCTTTTCAAAAACTCCTTTGTAAGACCTGACCCCATCCTCTTGCCACTGCTAGAAGAGCAGCTACTGGTTAAGTTTTCTGTTTTTAAGTAGCCTTAAAAAATGACCTGGTTCCAGGGCATTAAAACTGTCCCAGTAGATTTCTGAGGTGTCAACTCTGCTGCAGACAGCATAACATTCAAAGGCTCTGCATTTGTCTCTAGCTGCAAGATCATAGGCAATCTTCTTTTTAAAAGCTATTTATTTATTATAAAATAGAAATGGGGTCTCACTGTGTTGATCAGGCTGGTCTCGAACTGCCCTCAAGTAATCCTCCCACCTCGGCCTCCCAAAGTGCTATGATTACAGGTGTGAGCCACTGTGCCTGGACTTTTTAATTTTATTATTTATTTCTGTAGACCTCCTCTGTGGACAAGCTTCTTGATATCTTATGTGAAATAGGAATAATGGTACGTTGGCCAGGCACAGTGGCTCACACCTGTAATCCCAGCACTTTGGGAGGCTGAGGCGGGCAAATCGCTTGAGGTCAGGAGTACAAGACCAGCCTAGCCAACTTGGTGAAATCCCATCTTTACTAAAAATACAAAAATTAGCCAAGCTGGTGGCACGGGCCTGTAATCCCAGTTACTTGGGAGGCTGAGGCAGGAGAATTGCTTGAACCTGGGAGGCGGAGGTTGCAGTGAGCCAAGATCATGCCACTATACTCCAGCCCGGGCAAGAGAGCCAGACTCCGTCTCAAAAAAAAAAAAAAGGAATAATGGTAATTAAAATGTGTTATCAACTGCTTAGTAGAGCATGTAAATAGTGGTCTATTCTGCTAGACTCCTGAGCTCCATGAGAGCAGAGACCTTTTATTTTGTTTTATTTTGTTTACTATTATGTACTGGCAAGTGCCTAGTATACAATAGTAATAAATAGTCTCTCAAATATTAGTTGGCTGCTGAATATCAAATGGTTGACCTCAAAGGTGTGAATTCCATAATTCCATTTTGTCGTCTTTTAGGACTTTTACCTTTGTCAAGCTTAATTTTCTCATCAAAAGAAATTTCAAGAAAAATGTCATTGATGACAGGACTCCTCATATTCACATAATATATTTTAATGGATTTTGTGGTGTCAAAGTATATGTCCCCAATCTTTTCTTGCTTTTTCCTCTACTCAAAATTGGAAAAGGTCCTCATTATAATCTCAAATCCATACTCTATTCTGGCATTGAAAGTTTCATTACAGGGCTGGGAGAGGAGGCTCACGCCTGTAATCCTACCACTTTGGGAGGCCAAGGCGGGTGGATCACCTGAGGTCAGGAGTTCGAGACCAGCCTGGCCAATGTGGCGAAACCCCATCTCTACTAAAAGTACAAAAATTAGCTGGACATGTTGGCGCGCACCTGTAATCCCAGCTACTCAGAAGGCTGAGGCAGGAGAATCGCCTGAACCCGGTGGGCGGAGGTTGCCGTGAGCCAAGATTGCGCCATTGCACACTAGCCTGGGCAACGAGCAAAACTCCGTCTCTAAAAAAAAAAAAGTTTCATCATTAAGCTGTACCAAACTTGTCACTTAGACCTTTCAAAGTCTCACCAGCAATTCTTGCTTTGAAAGGCCCCATTCTTTACCATTCCTGATGCACACCCACTCCCACACCCAAATGTGAATACAGCTTTTTACCCATGCCTGCTCACAAACAGGCCCACTTTGAGGTCAAACTCCTTGTCAATCTCCATCAAACCAAGATCCTAAGGGCTGGAAGTTTGTCTTTTCCATCATTGTAGAATGTCCTTCATGAAATAGGCATTTGATGAATGAAATCTTGCATTAATTTTGGTGGCCGGGCATGGTGGCTCACACCTCTAATCCCAGTACTTTGGGAGGCCAAGGCAGCCAGATCACATAAGCCCAGGAGTTCGACACCAGCCTAGGCAACATAATGAAACCCCGTCTCTACAAAAAATACCAAAAAAAAATTAGCTGGGTTTGGCGGCGCGCTTCTGTAGTCCCAGGTACTCGGAGGCTGAGGTGAAGGAACACTTGAGCCCAGGAAATCAAGGCTACAGTGAGCCAAGATGGCACTAGTGCACTCCAGCCTGGGAAACACGAGACCCTGTCTCAAAAAACAAACAAACCAACAAACAAAAACCAAACTTTTTTTCCTTTGTGTCTTTTTGCTGATAAGCCCCTAAGCACCTGTTATATTTCTTTTGAATCTCCCACATCATCACTAAGTTCCTCAATAAATAATTACTTCGTTGAAAAAGTTTGACTTTCTCTGCACGATCACCAGATGGCATTAGAACCTTATGCAAACATGGGTAGGTGTGTATCTGAACTGAGATTTGATAGGCAGTCATGTTTCTGTCTGCCAAAGGACCAGAGGCTGTTGTTTCATCTAATAGTTGAGAACAAGATCAGTTGGAATCAGACTTGCAGAGTAGAAAGCAGATCAGCTTTTGAGTGGAAGACTCAAGAGTCACTGAAAAGTAAGATTCCCTCCAAAAAAATTTTGTCTTTCCAAAGCTAGCTACATGGTGGGTTTAAACATCATCTCTTTTTTTTTTTGAGACGGAGTCTCACTCTGTCGCCCAGGCTGGAGTGCAGTGGCACAATCTCAGCTCACTGCAAGCTCCGCCTCCTGGGTTCACGCCATTCTCCTGCCTCAACCTCCCGAGTAGCTGGGACTACAGGTGCCTGCCACCACGCCCAGCTAATTTTTTTTGTATTTTTAGTAGAGACAGGGTTTCACCATGTCAGAAAGGATGGTCTCGATCTGACCTCATGATCCACCCGCCTCAACCTCCCAAAGTGCTGGGATTACAGGCATGAGCCACCACGCCCGGCCACACCCAGCTAATTTTTGGATTTTTAGTAGAGACATGGTTTCATCATGTTGGCCAGGTTGGTCTTGAACTCCTGACCTTGTGATTTGCCCGTCTCAGCCTCCCAAAGTGCTAGGATTACAGGCGTGAGCCACCACACCCGGCCAACATCATGAGGGAAGCCCCAGCCCTTGATGAATCCTACCAAATTCCTTTTCCAAGCCTGTCAAATGATTGGCCTCAAAGATGTGAATCACATTTTGTAAGCTTTGCTCAAACCTTTGAAAAACAGAAAATAACATACAGATGTAAGATTGCAGTTCCACTTTCACAATGGCTATTTAAACATTTTCCTTGCCTGGGCGTGGTGGCACACCCCTGTAAGTCCCAGTACTTGGGAGGCTGAGGAAGGAGGATAGCTTATAGCCCAGGAATTAGAGGCTACAGTGAGCCACAATCAAGCTACTGCACTCCATCCTGGATGAGAGAGCAAGACCCCATCTCTAAATATATACCCTGTCTCTAAATTTATAAATATGATAAAAAATACATAAATATATAAATTTCCTTCTTGCAGCTCCAGCTCTCAACAGAAGACTTTCTCACAGAGTAAATTGATATTAGCTGACTATAATGTCCATGTCTTCCTTCTACCAATCTAATGAAATTTCAGCACTGTCTGCTCCATACCTCCTGTTACTGTAAAGGAAATTATCTTTCTTCCCTATCCTTTCAGGAACCTCTATTATGGATTATCCCATCTCCTTGTCTTTCCAACAATTCCTTCGTTAAGATATCCTTACTGCCAATTCGTTGTGCTGAAGTCCCTCACGTAGTAAAACAAAAAACCCTTAATCCTGCTTTCTCTCCTCTAGTCTCTTCATAGCCAAAATTTTCTGCATTGAGTACTTTTTGTCTTCCTTCTTCCCATATTCAGCCTTTCCAGTCTATTTCACGCTTCAGTGGAAGCAACTCTCAATGTTACCTGATATCCATGTTGCTAAATCTTGTAGATGTCATTGGTCTTCATCTTGACCTCTTGGTAGCATTTGACCCTGTTGATCACTTTGTCCTTGAAGTATTTTGTTGTTGTTTTCAAGGCAACACAATTTCTGTGCTTTCCTTCCTCTGCCTTCCCTTCATATATACATATATTTGCTTTTCTCCCCCTACCCCTGTCCACTAAGTTTCCTTTGCTATACTTGATTAAAGTTCCTCAAGGATTGGCGCTCAGGCCTCTTTTTTCACTGCATCCACTTAAGGTTCTTTTTTTTTTTTGAGACAGAGTCTTGCTCTGTTGATCAGGCTGGAGTGCAGTGGTGTGATCATGGCTCACTGCAACCTCAGCCTCCCAAGTAGCTGGGATTACAGGCGAGCGCCACCACACCCAGCTAATTTTTTATATTTTTGGTAGAGATGGGGTTTCACTATGTTGGCCAGGCTGGTCTCGAACTCCTGACCTCAAACGATCTGCCTCCCAAAATTCTGTGATTACAGGCATGAGCCACTGCGCCTGGCCGCTCTTTTTTTTTTTTTTTTTTTTTTTTTTTTAACAGGGTCCTGCTCTGTTGCCTAGCTGGAGTGCAGTGCCACCCCCTCCCAGGCTCAGTCGATCCTTCCACATCAGCCACCCCTGACCCTGTCTACCCCTGCCCCGGAGTAGCTGGGACTACAGGTGCGTATGCCACCACGCCTGGGTAATTTTTGTATTTTTTGTAGAGACATGGTTTCACCATGTTGCCTATGATGGTCTTGAACTTTCTGGCCTCAAGCGATCGGCCCACTTTAGCCTTCCAAAGTGCTGGGATTACAGGTGTGAACCACTGTGTCTGGCTTTAAGTTTATTTTTCAACTCCTGTTACTTCGTTTACGGCATTAACTTGTAAATTTGTCACTAACCCACAATCTTTCCCTGGGCTCAAGACCCATATATACCACTCCTTACCTTAAAATTCATGTGTCCCCAACTGAACTTGCGTTGGATAGTATTAAATAGGACTTGTATTACCCAGTTTATCTTAGATTCTGCATTTGAATTTGTAACCCCAGGGAAATGGCCCTTTCCTACATCTCCAGCCCTTTTTAATGTCTATGCACAGGAGGCTGAGGCGGAAGGATTGCTTAAACCCGGGACGCAGAGGTTGCAGTGAGCCATGGTCACACCACTGCACTCCAGCCTGAGCAACAGAGCAAGACCCTGTCTCCAAAAATAAACAACACACCAAAAATTCTGCAGTTTCCCAAAGTCTACCTCAGAGTTTTCACACATTCTGATCCCTCTGCCTGGGGATGCTTTATTCCCTTCACCTAGTTAATTGCCTACTCGTCAGATATTAGCTCAAACCTCAGTTTCTCAGGAAAGCTCCTCATTCCCTCAGATTATTCACTCGTCTCAAATACATATTTATTGGTTTAATGTCTGCATAAAGTGTAAGCTCCATGAGGGCAGTGCCTTTGTCTCCTTTCCTGCTCTTTGGCTGAGGCCTAATATATTGACACAGTAGGTACTCAAGAAATATTTCTTGTATCACTGACTAAATTAGATTGAGATAAAGTAATATTGTGAATCAGTGGCTTACTACTTATTTTGTAGATAAAACAATTTACCCTGTCTTGAGATGGTAACTTCATTTTTTTTTGAAACGGAGTTTTGCTTTTGTTGCCCAGGCTGGCGTGCAATGGCGCGACCTTGGCTTCACCGCAACCTCCGCCTCCCGGGTTCAAGCGATTCTCCTGCCTCAGCCTCTCGAGTAGCTGGGATTACTGGTATGCACCACCATGCCCGGTTAATTTTTGTATTTCGAGTAGAGACGGGGTTTCTCCATGTTGGTCAGGCTAGTCTCGAACTCCCGACCTCAAGTGATCCACCTGCCTCGGGTTTCCAAAGTGCTGGGATTACAGGCATGAGTCACCGCGCCTGGCCAAGTAACTTCATTTTTATGGCTATGCCATTTCAGGTAGTGCTTCGTTGAGGCATCAAGACTCCACTGACCAGCTTTTTCACTTTATTGAATTACATAACCTTTTTTTTTTTTTTTTTTTTTTTTTTGAGACAATGTCTGACTCTGTAGCCCAGGCTGGAGTGTGCAGTGGTGCACTAGGCTCACGGCAACCTCCGCCTCCGGCTCAAACGATCCTCAGCCCCGTCCTCCGTACCAGGTGAGTAGCTGGGACCACAGGCGTACACCACCACGCCCAGCTAACTTTGTGTTATTATTATTATTTTAGTAGAGACGGTGTTTCGCCACGATGCCCAGGCTGGTCTGGAACTCTTGAACTCAAGTGATCCACCCGCCAAGGCCTCCAAAAGTGGTGGGATTACAGGCGAGATCTACCGTGCCTCAAATCACATAACCTTTTAATGTCTCAGTTTTGTGATCTACCAAATGGTATCCCACAGTAGCCGCCTCTCAAGGTTATTGTAGGGTTATGTGTAAACTGCTTATTGCATTGCCCACCTTATAGAAAGCACTCCATATTATAATCATTAACTGTGCTGGAAAATTCCCAACTCTCCAGATGCGGAGTTCTGCAAGGATGGTTGGGGAGAGAGTTGCAGCCAGATTAGGTCTCCAAACAATTTACTTAAGCCTCTGAAGGCCGGAGCTCAAATCCCTCCAACCCGGGTACCTAACCAGTACCTCAGTCCCAAGAGTGTATTGCATTCAGTCAAATTCACCAAAAGGCGGCGGTGGTCTTTAGGAAGGAAAAGGCTCGCGGTCCTCCGCCTCAACGACCCTCCTGCACAGAATTCCTGATTTTAAAAACCAGCTGGCCACTTTGGGAGGCCGAGGCGGGCGGATCACAAGGTCAGGAGATCGAGAGCATCCTGGCTAACACGGTGAAACCCCCGCCTCTATTAAAAATGCAAAAAGAAATTAGCCAGGCGTCGTGGCGGGCGCCTGTAGTCCCAGCTACTCCGGAGGCTGAGGCAGGAGAATGGCGTGAACCCGGGAGGCGGAGTTTGCAGTGAGCCGAGATCGCGCCACTGCACTCCAGCCTGGGTGACAGAGTGAGACTCCGTCTCAAAACAAAAAACAAAACAAAAAAAACAGCTGGCTGGGCGTGTAGGCTCACGCCCTTAATCCAATGCTGAGAGGCGGAGGCGGGAGCACTGCTTGAGCCAAGGAGTTCCAGACCAGCCTAGGCAAAATAACGAGACACCATCTCTACGGAAAAAATAAAAATAAAAAAGTTAGCTGGCCATGGTGGTGCGAGCCTGTAGTCCCAGCTACTGGGGAGGCTGAGGTGGGAGGATCCCTTGAGGATAGGAGTTCGAGGCTGCAATGAGCCATGATAACGCCAGCGCACTCCAACCTGAGCAACACAGTTTATTTATGATAAATAAATAAACATACCTAAATAAAAACCAGCCAAAATGGTATCGTTTTCCCTTTGTGGCCCCAATATCTGGCGCTTTCCACCATTCCTTGGCAAACAGAACAACCAGAGAGCATAAAAGTCGAGTCTAAGCCAGGGACTCTCGCGAATCCCTTCTAAGGCATACCCTATTTAAACTTTGTATTATGCTATTCAGGAGGTTGACAAACAGCCTTTTCGGGAATGGGACTCGAACTCGTAAGCCACGTCTGTTCCTCCATTTCCCGCCTCAGCTGGATGACGGAGAGGGATCTCCGGGATTAAAGAACAACGACCGCAGGCGAGTGCACGAGCGAGGTGCGCGCGCTGAGTAGGGGGAGGGGCCTGGCGCGCGCCGAACCAGATCGAGGGGGTGGGGGCGAGCTCTCTCGCGAGAGTGGGTTTGTTCTTGGGCTGCAGCCGCTGCCGCCGCTTCTCGCCAGCGCCGTTGCTGCGGGGGATTGTGGGAGTCTCCGCGTCCCGCTCGCTGGGAGAGAGGTACCTCTCCTTTTCCCTCTCCCTTTCCCTAAGGTAGGCGTGAAGCGGGTAAGAGTCGGGGTCGGGTGGCTGGGGGTTCTCCGTGTCCGCCGGGAGGGGACAACGACGGCGACAGGGGCTGCGGGGAGCCGGCGGCGCGCCTTTCTTGCTCGCTCCCGCTCTGCCTCCCTCCGCGTTGCGTATGTGAGCCGCCTGATCGGCGGCCGCCATGTTAGGAGCGCAGTGGCGGCGCAACCAGCCTTCTAGGGCGGCGGAGGTGAGCGGTCCGGGAGGGAAACACGCGGCCGGCCAAGGGCCCAGGGTGCGGCGGGAGATTTTGGGTGAAGAGGTGCGCTGACCGGCCGAGCTTCCTGCGCGTCCTGGGCTCGTTGTGGGCGGGGGCGGGACGACTAGCCCGTTACACGCGGGCCGCGGCGCTGAGGGGGAGGGAGGAGCTCGCTCGAGGCCTGAGGGACAGACTGTACACTGGGGGCTTGCCGTTTGAGGAGGATGGTTAAGATATCTAAGTCCTTGGGTAGCGCCAGTGCCAAATAACCCGTTCGCCTTTTTTTCTCTGAAAATGTTCCCCCAAAATGGAGGATTTCGCAGACTCTGAAGAGCCTGCTTGTTTGAGCAGCGTTTCTTTCTTTTCCCGGTGTCTCGGCCTTCACGCCGCTCCTTGCCCATCGCCTCAGAGCGCCCCCTAAGACTCCCGGCCCACACGCGCGCGCGCGCGCGGCGTTAGCTGGACATCAGAAACAATTCCTCCCCGCCCCCCATCGCGTAAAAATGGCCGAAAAATGAAACGTTAACGCTTGTTTTTCGTACTGCGTCGTGGAACAAGCCGCCTGCAGTACAGTGCGAGGCGGGTGATTTGCACTTGTTTAGTCAAGTCACCTCACATCCTTTTTCTCTTTATCAAAATAGTATTAGTCCAGGTTCCTCCAGAGAGGATCGTGTGGTGTGGGACCTTCCGGTTTCCAGACAAAGGGTTTTGGAGTACCGTGGTGTAGTCGCCGCATCGTTCTTTGCATTTCGAGCTCTGTGCCATGTTCTGTGTTCGGCATTTACCGTGGATGAATATCCCCTAGGTGTTTATCCTGCTCTGTGGCCCTGTTCTGTGGAATATTCCTATTGGATCAGTTACAGTTTTTTAGCCAGATATTTCTAGAACGGTTATGGTGGTTCTGAAATGGCTAGTCTTTCGGGCGCGCTGGAATAATGTGAAGAATCGTTGATTTCGTAGGTAGGGGTCACGAGATTTTGTATTGGTACTGCGTTCTGTGTTTTAAACCTTGGCTTAAGATTTCTGAATAGTCGGTAAAATACATTTTTCTCCCAGGGAAATCTAAACAGTTGACTATGCGGACAAAAATGATGTTTCAGGCTATTTTAATAAATGTTTAAAATTTCCCTTTAAAAACATTTCTTTACTAATGGCTCAGTCATCTACGCAGTCTATCGACGTTTTTCACAGTATTGTTTTAAAAATCAAGAAAGGCTTGACATTTTCGTTGCAAAAACGCTCTGGATGATGCCTTTTCCACTTAAATAGAATGTTTTTGCAAACTCGAAATTAAACAACATTAAAATACTGCATGAAGTTTCTTGGTTATGTAAGATTTGGAAAAGATCATTTAGCCAGATGTGTGTTGAAGTGCTTTAAATTTGTATTTCTTCCTTTGCACTTAACAGTATATACTTAGAACATTACTTTGTACTTTACCCAGAGAAGTTTCGCTTTATCATCTTTATATATTTTTCAGCCGTGTACAGCTTTTATATCACATTTTGAACTAACTTGGAAGGATTTAACTACCCTTGATCTGTGCATTTGTTTTAGTCTTTAAACATACTAATTTTTTTACTAATGCTTTTAGAGTTTGTAAACGCTAATATTACAAGTCAGTTAATGGTTTTTACTGAGGAGTGCAACGGTGGTGTCGTATTTTAGGAGCATCACGTAGTTCAAATCCCTAATTTTATAGAAGAGAAGGTTAAAGCCCAGATAGGTCGTGACCAGTTGCAAATAGTAGCAGTGCTGTCAGTGTGGTCTACAGAGGTCTTGGATCTTTTTTTTCTCTGAAACAGGATCGCTCTGTTGCCCAGACTGGAGTGCAGTGGTATGATCAGTGGCTCACGGCTCACAGCAGCCTCGACCTCCCAGGCTTAAGTAATCCTCCCACCTCAGCCTCCTGGGTAGCTGAGATCACAGGCGCGCGCCACCACACCAAGCTAATTTTTTGATCGTCTGTAGAGACGTGTTCTCACAATATGGCCCAGGCTGGTGTTGAACTCTCGGAGCTCTTAGATGTTGATTCAGACTCCTTCATAGTATAATAGGCTTAAAATGGAAAGACTGTGCGTACAGGAATTTATCCTAAGGAAGTAATGTGTCAGATTTGCGTATATAAATTTAATATCAGTTATTAAGAATTTTTTTTAAAATTAAATATTCAAGTTTTGGGAATCTGCTAATTCTGTTGTGAAAGTGGAAATCTATACAGCCACTTAAAACAGTATCGTAGGTGAAGAGTATGATGGGAAAATGGTAACGGTATACAGTTTTAACTGGAAAGGAAAATGTTGGAAAACTGCTAATGTCGTTTGATTGTTTTTTAAACGACAATGTAAACATGAAAATAGAGATATACCCCAAAATGTTTGCTCAGATGTTGGCATTGTTTACTCCCTGATGTTTTTCTGAATTTACCACGAGAAATAACATCAACTTTTGTAATGAGAGAAAAAAATGAAAAACATATTTTGTAAATACTGTAACTGCTTAAAATATTAGAGTCCTCTGTATTTTTAAGCGAAATTGGCATAGACAAACTAGCTGCTTCAAGTCTGAAGTGAAAAGTACTGAGAAGTGACAGAAAGTAGTGCTTGTGTAACATTTTGGATATTGGGTATAAGCAAACACAGGAATCAGAATATTCTTAGGCAAAAATGTTAAAATCATTATTATTGGAAATAGTACTAATTAGCTTACAATATGAATTGCAGCCAAAGAATTGAATAATGGTTAGATGTTCTTAGAACATCTTTTTGTTAGGGATACTTGATTTTATATATCTCCTTTAGTTAGAATTACAGTACAGCTATCCCACACTTCTGGCAACAGGTTCTAAAAGTGGATGATTGCGGCCAGTGGCCCGTGATCCCAGCACATTAGGAGGCCAAGGCGGGCGGATCATCTGAGGTAAAGAGTTCTGAGACCAGCTTGCCCAACATGGCGAAACCCCATTTCTACTAAAAATTACAAAAATTAGCCGGGCGTGGTGGCAGGCACCTGTAATGTAATCCCAGCTACTTGGGAGGGTGAGGGAGGAGAAATCACTTGAACCCAGGAGGCGGAGGTAGCAGTTAGCCGAGGTGGCGCCACTGCATTCCAGCCTGGGCAACAGAGCGGGACTCCATCTCAAAAAAAAGTAAAGTGGATGATTGACTTAACATTTGGGATGGACAGTGCTAAGTTTGTTGGGATGGATTGGAAGGGTTATAGGCTGGGAGTGTAGTTTTGCCATTTTCTGTATATGTGGTTGGTTATTCTAAGGCACAACGCTGTCCAAGAAATAAAGTGCTGTAATTTATAATTATTAGCTATGTAGCAAACCTTTCTCATTGGATCATTAGGATTAAGGGCTCTGAAGTTCTTGATAAAAGTTTATGTGTAGAAAATTTAATGGATAATTAAAAGTAAAACAGAAAACAAGCCTATGGGTTGAGTTTTAGATATGTACCTTTAAAGGGGTTTTATGTGTAATTTAAAAAATTGAGTATAAGTGTTAGGTTTTAACGCATTTCTATTATAATCCTATTTGTAATACAGTAAAAGTTACATGATAAAGTGCTGTTATCTGACCTAACCTGAATATAATTTATTACTGTGGCACTTCTGTGTGGATGGAGTGCGGAGTGCCTTTGATGTGATGTATAATTTTCCAGTTGTACATCAAGCCCTAATGTTCTCTGTATAGATAAAGCTCAAGGCTCTTTGGAAGTGGAAAATAAAAAGTGAAGTAGTAATGAAAGCTTAGGTTTGAAAAAATTTTAAAGCTATTCCAAAATTTAAAGTATGCTTGCTCCCCACCCACCAAACCTTAAAAACATCTTATCTGACATTCTCTTTAATGTGGTTCAGGCAGAAACAGGTTAGTAGGAAAACAAGAGGGGAGCTTGCCTGTGGAGAAGGAGAGAGTAGTTGCAGATGGGTAAGAAAAGTAAAAGCAGAGTGCCTATGGTAAATGTCTTAGTGGGCCAGCAGTAAATGCAGCAAGTATGGAAAGTAGTCATTTAATTAATATTAGGGAGCAGTATTAT
The DNA here is from genome assembly GCF_000001405.40 of Homo sapiens. Lineage (NCBI taxonomy): Eukaryota > Metazoa > Chordata > Mammalia > Primates > Hominidae > Homo > Homo sapiens. The sequence goes on from NC_000005.10 coordinate 139,298,078, forward strand.
CTGCATTTACTTCATGAAGATGCATAACTTTCAGATCTTTTAGGATGATGTGTTTGGTTTTTTTCCTCCTTTGTGAGGATTATTAGGATATTAACCGTCCCTCTTAACACACGGGAACCTATACCATATGTGAAAATTAAAAGTCAATTATTTGAGCACTCAACTTAAGCAGTAGTTGGGGAAAGAATAATGTCAAAGAAATACAAACATTTGGCTGGGTGCAGTGATTCACACCTGTAATCCCAGCACTTTGGGGGCTGAGGTGGGCAGATCACTTCAGGCCAGGAGTTCGAGACCAACCTGGGCAACATACGGAAAACCCCGTCTCTACTAAAAATACAAAAATTAGCGGGTCGTGATGGCGCGTTCCTGTAATTCCAGCTGTTGGAGACGCTGAAGCAGAATTGCTTGAACCTGGGAGGCGGAAGTTGCAGTGAGGCGAGATCGTGCCACTGCACTCCAAGGCTGGTGACAGAGCAAGACTGTCTCAAAAAGAAAAGAAACACAAATATTTGAACTCCAAATATTCTTTGTGTGTAGAAAAATCTAATGGATAATTAAAACTAGAGCAGAGAGAAAAGCCTAGGAGTTGAGAGATTTTTAGATACGTGACTGAAAAGATTGGAAAAGGCTATCAGTTTTAATGCTTGTGTCTGTCTTTGTGTGGGCCATGGTATTTTGGAAGAGCACCATGGAGGAGGAAGTTTTGCAGTTTTGCACCAAGGGACACCAAGAAACAGCGTTGTTCTTGGTAATGGCAAGAAATTGAAAACAACTTAAATGTTCATCATCTGCAGAATAAAGTACATGTGCATACATAATGATACCTATATTGCAGTGAAAATGTAGGTTTAACTCACAATTGTGGATAAATCAGTTTTTAAAAGCAAGTCAGAACAGTACATTTTAAGTCAATTTGCATGAAGTTCAGAAATGCAAAAATAACACTTTTTAAGGGTACATACATTAAGTAGTCAAACTTAAACACAAGGGGAGGGAGTCGTTGGAAATTGCTATGTAGATTTATTTCCAAAGTCTCGTTAATGTTTTGTTTCGTATTTTTATATACACTGGTTTGTATAATACATTGAATGATTAAAAGGGGATGCTGGGCCTTGAGAAAATAACTGGTATTACATGAAATGACAGAGGGATGCCTCCCAGCTAATAATTTTATTTACACAAGCATTGAGTAGTTTCTGTAAATGGAATAGTAAGCAGACGTTTCTGTAAGGTGTTTGGTTATGGTTGGGGAAAAGGTTTAGAGAAGTAGAATGGAACCAACACATGAAAGGCAGTGAAAATTATATGTGAGGCAGGGCACAGTGGTTCATGTCTATAACCTCAGCACTTTGGGAGGCTGAGGGAGGAGGATCACTTGAACCCAGGAGTTCATGACCAGCTCATGCAACGTAGTGAGACCTTGTCTCTACTAAAAATGTTAAAAATTAGTCGGGTATAGTGGTGCATGCCTGTGGTCCCTGCTGAGACCAAGGAGGATCACTTGAGCCCAAGAGATTGAGTCTGCAATGAGCCAAGATTGTGCCACTGCACTGGGCAACAGAGGAAGACCCTGTCTTGAAAAAGGAAATCGTAGTGTGGATTTCATGTGGTAAGTGGTAGGGAGTAGTAGGTTTTTGAGCCAGGAGAGTGTGAAATGAGTGATGTTTCAGGTTGTTTATGTTGAAAGGTGATGAGGTGTGAGCTTTGATGCCAGGAGGCTAGCTAAAAAGCAGGAGGACTAAGATTATGGCAGAGAGAATAGAAAGGTAAGATCTATGGCCATACCACCCTAAACGCACCTGATTTCGTCTGATCTTGGAAGCTAAGCAGTGTTGGGCCTGGTTAGTGCTTGGATGGGAAACAGGTTAAGGATGCAGGGTGAAGGGTGATTTAAACACAGGTTGGCAATACAGAATGAAGAAGGAAGATGTTTAATTTTTCCACTTTTACTAGAATTACTGCAATATAGATAGTGTATTGTTCTTTAGCTTGTCTGTTGAAAGTTACTACCAGTTGGCTCACACCTGTAATCCCAGCACTTTGGGAGGCCAAGGTGGGTGAATCACAAGGTCAGGAGTTCGAGACCAGTCTGGCCAACATGGTGAAACCTTGTCTCTACTAAAAAATACAGAAAATTTGCCAGGTGTGGTGGTGTGCACCTGTAACCCCAGCTACTCCAGAGGCTGAGGCAGGAGAATCACGGGAACCCGAGAGGCGGAGGTTGCAGTGAGCCAAGATCACGCCATTGCACTCCAGGCCTGGCAACTGTGCGAGACTCTGTCTCAAAAACAAAAGTTACTACCAGTCTTTAAGTCTGTTTTTGAAAGCTGATTCCTGGTGACCAGTATGACATTAAAGTTGATACATGAAAGAGACTACGGTGCAGATAAAAAGTTTATAAGCTCTTTATTCATTTGTCTTTGGATCTCAGTCCTTTTGCCTCTAAAAGTTTTTCTCATCTAAAAATAAAGAAAAATAGATTTTACCTTCTTAGTTTTATGAGGATCAGATTATACCAAATGAGATGATTACTACGGTGCTGTGTGTCAGACACTATTTTAAATGTTTTATTTAGACTAATTTATTAAGTCTTTTTGAGTCAGAGTCTCACTCTGTCACCCAGGCTGCAGTGGCTCACTGCAACCTCTGCCTCCAGGGTTCAAGTGATTCTTCTGCCTCAGCCTCCCCAGTAGCTGGGATTACAGGCACATGCCACCACACCTGGCTGATTTTTGGTGTTTTGTTGTTTTGAGACAGAGTTTTGCTCTTGTTGCCCAGGCTGGAGTGCAATGGCATGATCTCAGCTCACTGCAACCTCCGTCTTCTGGGTTCAAGTGATTCTCCTGCCTCAGCCTCCCGAGTAGCTGGGATTACAGGCGCCTGCCACCACACCTGGCTCTTTTTTGTATTTTTGGGTAGAGACAGGGTTTCCCCATGTTGGCCAAGCTGGTCTCGAACTTGTGGCCTTAAGTGATTCTCCCACCTCAGCTTCCCAAAGTGCTAGGATTACAGCCATGAGCCACTGTGCCTGGCCTAATTTATCGAGTCTTTATGGCCTTATGAAGTAGGTATTATTTTTATTTCCCACCACCCTTTTTGGCTCAAGGTCACACAGCTGTTTGTAATAGAACCAGGATTCACACGAAGGCTTTTGGGCCCCCAAAATTCAGTATGTATGAAATAGTTGTAGAAATGTTTATGGAAGTCAAGAGAATAGGGCTCTTAGGGATACAGAATGGAGCCTTTTTTCTTTATTTGAGACAGAGTCTCACTCTGTCACCCAGGCTGGAGTACAGTGGCACAATCTTGGCTCACTGCAGCCTCCACCTCCCGGGTTCAAGAGATTCTCCTGCCTCAGCCTCCCAAGTAGCTGGGACTACAGGCGTGTGCCACCACACCCGGCTAATTTTTGTATTTTTTAGTAGAGATGGGGTTTCAGCGTATTGGCCAGGCTGGTCTCGGACTCCTGACCTTAAAGTGATCCTCTCGCCTCGGCCTCCCAAAGGGCTGGGATTACAGGTATAAGCCACCGCGCCCAGCCCAGAATGGAGCCTTGAAAGAAATCACTGATTTTGCTTAAGCAGAGAAGAAAGTAAAGAGCCAAGTTTATGTCGTAGTTCAAATAGACAATGAACATCATCAGGTACACGGGGTAACTTTCTATCTTGTAATACGGGTTTACTTCATCAATTCTGTGTAGTTCTAATCTGAAACTATTTCTTGCCTGATTGAAGGTCACTGGGAAAAAATTTTAAACCTAGGAAGAAGACAGTATTATTCCAGGTCTGAGTGGGAATTTCTTACACTGGTTAACAAGTAGTTTTCTGTCTTCTCAGCAGCTGACGCCACTCTGCAACATTCTTGTCATTCATTAGCCTAAGGATCAAGAAGTGGACTAAAAATTGACTTCACGTCTGTTAGATGGATTAAGAACAGTGGTCTTAAAGCACTTGAAAATATTCATGCTTGTATTTCAGCCTTCCTGGCACTACACTTTTTTATCTTTTCTATTGTATGATGACACATGCTACTTTACCACACCCACCTAATTTTTGCATTTTTAGTAGAGACGGGGTTTCACCATGTTGGCCGGGCTGGTCTCAAACTCCTGACCTCAGGTAATCTGCCCGCCTCGGCCTCCCAAAGTGCAGGATTACAGGTGTGAGCCACTGCGCCTGGCCTATTTTAAAAACTCTTAAGCCACTCAAGGTACATGCCATACTGAGATGAGATTGTGACACTCAAAAACATAGATTAGAGAGCATAAGATTTGAAAGTGGCTGAAACTCTAGGAAAAAAATGTAGTTCTTCAGCATACTTCAAAAAAACCCTTAAATGAAATAATTGTTACAAAATATGTTAGGAAATATTATATACACCATTAAAATGAAAACTTGTAGTACTTTTAAAATGGAAACTATGGTAAATTCTTTATAAAACCATTATAAAATTTAATAAATGAAGAAAAATTTAAATAGTAACTGAAACCTGTTCTTGAATTGAAAATAAGTTGGATGCTTGGTTTGAAAGTCCTGACCGCAGGAATCAATATTTTTGTGTGATTTATGACAAAAATCAAGCAGCTACCTTCCAAATGGTGCTGCTTTGAAATTACTGACAGTCAACTATGTCTGCCATCTATCAGTGACATAGGTTAAGACATTTTTACTAAATTGGTATTGTTGATTGCTACCTAAAACATATTTGGTATATTTTCACATGAATAAGCTAATAAATGATCAAGGTGATTGGCCTTGATAGAACATTTGGAAAATCTGAGCATTTCTTGCAATTCAGAAGAGGAAAATATAAGAAACTGTAGTTTTCTAGCTGTTGCTTGTAAGTTTCAATGTGAAGTTAAAATAATGTCATTATGAAGGTATTTTTTTCCCTGAGTATCTCTAGTTTTATGGTTAAACCATAAATAATCTTTCATAGTTTTATGGGTAAACCATCTCAAATTAGTTGTTTTTTTTTTTTTTAATTCTGACTACAAAGACTGAGAAGAGAAAAATTATTTTTTTATTTGTTTTGTTTTTTGAGACGATGTTTGCTCTGTGGCCCAGGCTGGAGTGCAGTGCCCCAATCTCGGCTCAGTGCAGCCTCCATCTCCCAGGTTCAAGTGATTCTCCGGCCTTAGCCTCCCACGTAGGTGGGACTACAGGTGCGTGCCACCATGCCCAGCTAATTTTTATATTTTTAGTAGAGACGAGGTTTCACCATGTTGGCCAGGATGGTCTTGATCTCTTGACCTCGTGATCAACCCACCTCGGCTTCCCAAAGTGCAGGGATTACAGGCGTGAGCCACTGCGCCCTGCCAGAGAAAAATTATTTAAAGGAGTGATTATCTCACACAGTTGAGAGCATAGCTGAAGATCCATGTGGAGTAGTAGATACCTCTTAGCATTTTGGGAGGTCAAGGCGGGAGGATTGCTTGAGCCCAGGAGTTCGAGACCAGCCTGGCCAACATGGTGAAAACCCCCTCTCTACCAAAACAATGAAAACTAGCCGAGCATGGTGGCATGTGTCTGTAGTCCCGGCTACTTGGGCTGAGGTGGGAGGATGGTTTGAGCCTGGGAGGCAGAGGTTACAGTGAGCCTGGGCAATGCACTCCCAGGTGTGATGCCATTCCACTCCAGCCTGGGCAATGAAGGAGTCAGACACTGTCTTTTTTTTTTAAACTAAAAATCTTTTCATTTTTTTCTAATACCTTCTAAGAAATTAAAGTTAGCTTGCGCTTATTTTAGTAATTCTGCTAGATATTACTCTGAAAGAATGACTAAGGACTTACCGGTAATCTTTAAGGAAATTTAGATCTGGAACAGCTGTTTGCTTCTGTTCTCCGTGAATTTTCAGGGTATGTGAAATTTTTCAGAAATATTTTAGTACTCTAGTTCTTTTAATTGGAGAAGAAAAAGCCAATAACAAAAATCAGATTCTCATGTAATGGGAGGTAGAATATTAACTGAAACGTTTCCTAACCATACATAGGGATGATACTCAGATTTGTTTAGATGTTGAATGTGAAGCTAACATTTTTAAACAGCTTAAAATTGTATCATAAAATAATTTTAAGTTACAGTTTGTTTTGAGTTGCCTATAAAAATGAATTTTTAAGCTAATTTGTTAAGAATTTGGTTATCGGGCCAGGCGTGGTGGCTCATGCCTATATAATCCCAGCACTTTGAGAGGACGAGGCAGGGGGATCACCTGAGGTCGAGACCAGCCTGACCAACATGGAGAAACCCCGTCTCTACTAAAAATACAAAATTAGCTGGAAGTGGTGGTGTGTGTCTGTAATTTCAGCTACTTGGGAGGCTGAGGCAGGAGAATCACTTGAACCTAGGAGGCAGAGGTTGCAGTGAGCTGAGATCGTGCCATTGCATTCCAGCCTGGGCATCAAGAGTGAAACTCCATCTGAAAAAAAAAAAAAAAGAATTTGGTTATCAAGATTGTAGTAAATGGCATTTGTGTAGTGAAATTGTGGGTAATGTTGATAGTTTTTAGGGGGGTGCAGGTGCTTTCTTTTTTGGAAGTGAAGGGTTCTGCATTGATGGGCATTTACACTAGTATATAGAGATTTTAAATAGGTAAATTGGATTTTGATAATAAATGTTCTCCCAAAGCTACTATATTTAAAATTGTTTTAACCTCTAGTGCAGTTTCCTATAGAAAGGCAATTTTATAATTACAGGAAAAAACAATACAGTAAAAGGAGCTAATCTTTTGTAAATCTTTAGTAAGTGTCTCCATATTGTGCTGCCTTTGCTAATAGGCAGTGGGGCCCATGTGAATGAGCCTTTAAAAGTGGCTTGTACATCTTATGTTCAGCATTGACATGATAGAGGAACTGTTTTCATTAATGCTTTTTCAACAATGTTGCCACATCTGGTTTCTCCCAACTTTGTTCTAATAAAACCATTTTTAAGAATTTGGTTTATTTGTGGTTTAATCCAAAATCTAACTTAAGTTGCTTTTCACTAATTTTACCCTAATATCCTTGATGGAGCTGCATTTTACGTTGAAACTGAGTATCTTAAAACTACTAAGGTGGTTATGGAATTACACGTTGTCATGGGATTTACATTGTTTGTCTTGACTCTTTTCTGAGTTTTTCTGACATTCATTTTCTGTTTGTCTTAAGGTTATCCTTTACCTTTGCTTCTCTTAACTTTTTCCTTTTGTTGATCCACTGTTTTCCTATGAGCTACCAAAAAATGTAATTCAGAGCTCTGTAGTCTAACAGTCACATTTCCTTAAAATATGGCCGTTTTAAAAATTTTAAACATAATTGTAATACCATTATATAATTTCTCTTAGGGAAAAAATAATTCAAAAGACTGACTTTTCAGTAATGCAAAGCTTTGGCTACAACATGAAGGTCAAAGCTGCAATTAATAACCCTGATACTTCAACATTTTTATTTTGAAAAACCCTCTAAAGGATTTGATTTGTAAAAATATGTGTGAAAATTTAGAGGGTCCACCACCATTTACATAGCATCTCAGCCGCCATTCTGTCTGGCATTTATAAGACATATCAAAGAAACTTTCATCTGAAGAAGTCCACTTATTCTCGTCTTTATTAATCTTAAAGCTTAAGTAGTTTACATAGTGGATCTTGTCTAGAACTATTAATAGTTTCTTTGGTGTATTTTCTCAAATTCATCTTTCTTGGTGTGCAAAAACATCTTCCTGTAACTCCAGCCACCTCTTATAGCATTTCTGTGTCTTTTAAAACTTGATTATATCTATTTTTTAAAATCCAGTCTAAATCTTTCTTGCCTGCAACTTTTTTTATACTTCCTTTGCCACTGTATTTGTCCATTGTATCCTTGCTTTAATCTATCATTGGTGAAATTGATCCTGTAATAGACTTGTAACTACTGGATATTGTCTGGTTTTACTGTTAAAGTTTCACATATTAAGCTACCAGTGCTGAGTGTATTGGTGATCAAAAAATAGAAAATTTAAGCAATGCCTCATAGAATTCTGTACCAAACAACTTCAGATTTACCTCTGTATGTAGTTGTGATTATAAAATTGTTTCACTGAAGATGTTATGTATATCTTTCAACTAATATTTTATGACAATCGTGATATAAAAGATTTGGAAATTCTTATGTGACAGTTTCTGAGGTACAACAATAATGATTTAAGAAAGAAAACAATTTCATCTAGAAACACGTCTTGGGGGATCATAATCAGAACATAAATTTACCAGGTGATTTGGGCTATTCTTGTGAAAAGTTTACAGGAAACTGTGTAACCAAGATCTCATTTTCATTTTTACCTGTTTTGTGCTCTAGATGTGCTGTAGCCCTGAGCATTAAATGAGTACTGATGGATGCTGATTTGGGGAGTTCCCTTCTTTAAATCACCTGTATTTCCTGTACCTAGGTTTTTTCTTGGGAGGGCTCCTATTCCTGTACTGACCAGAGTTAGTTCTCCTTACTTTAAAAGACTAGATATGAAGTAAACACTGCCTGATGTAGGATGGTCAGTAAGAAGGCAATTAGTTGTATAACTTAAATTTGGGCAGCAATCCTTAAAACTATAGGAAATGACTTATTTTTCTTATTCACATCTATCTTCACCTCAAATTGATTTTGCTGTATAAAGGTCTCAGCTATTATGTTTGGTCTTATATCTTACATTAGGTACTTGAAACCTAAGCTTCATTTACTTGTGATTTTACTTGGTTCTTTCTGATAGTGATAATAGGTCTCATTTTCCAAAGCACAGTACAACTGATTCATCTTTGACTTGCTGACCTTGATTTTTTTGTTTTTAGTCTTCTGGAACTTAAGCATCATACTATAGGGTGTATTTTTATTCTTCTAAAAGAAGAAACCCATCTATATTTTTACTGAAATTTTGATGTACTCAGACATCTAACCTTTCAATTTACATGTTTTTAAACTCAGTATGAAAGTCCCTTTAATAGTTAAGCTTTAGCATGAAATACTACTTTTTAAATATCTATATGCAGGCTCTGCATACATCAGGAATCTGTTTAAGATATGTAATAAATTCCTTGTAAGTTTGAGATCTTAAATGTTTTTTTTTTAAATCAACATGATGCATAAGTTTTTTTTTCTTAAAAAAACGGCATCTGCTTAAAGGGATTTATGACTAAAATTGCTTATTTTTCTACAGAGTTGTCTGCTGGTTCTCAGCTTGAAGAAGATTCTGCAGTCCTTATTGATCCTTTTTCTTGGCGTTACCATTTTTGAAGCAAAGTTAACCTAGCTTTCTAGTTTGAGCTTTCTTTTTGGCCGTCTTTAAAAAAATTTTTTTTTTTAATCTATAAAATAGACAAGAGCTAGTTCTACAATGTCCAAGTCATTCCAGCAGTCATCTCTCAGTAGGGACTCACAGGGTCATGGGCGTGACCTGTCTGCGGCAGGAATAGGCCTTCTTGCTGCTGCTACCCAGTCTTTAAGTATGCCAGCATCTCTTGGAAGGATGAACCAGGGTACTGCACGCCTTGCTAGTTTAATGAATCTTGGAATGAGTTCTTCATTGAATCAACAAGGAGCTCATAGTGCACTGTCTTCTGCTAGTACTTCTTCCCATAATTTGCAGTCTATATTTAACATTGGAAGTAGAGGTCCACTCCCTTTATCTTCTCAACACCGTGGAGATGCAGACCAGGCCAGTAACATTTTGGCCAGCTTTGGTCTGTCTGCTAGAGACTTAGATGAACTGAGTCGTTATCCAGAGGACAAGATTACTCCTGAGAATTTGCCCCAAATCCTTCTACAGCTTAAAAGGAGGAGAACTGAAGAAGGCCCTACCTTGAGTTATGGTAGAGATGGCAGATCTGCTACACGGGAGCCACCATACAGAGTACCTAGGGATGATTGGGAAGAAAAAAGGCACTTTAGAAGAGATAGTTTTGATGATCGTGGTCCTAGTCTCAACCCAGTGCTTGATTATGACCATGGAAGTCGTTCTCAAGAATCTGGTTATTATGACAGAATGGATTATGAAGATGACAGATTAAGAGATGGAGAAAGGTGTAGGGATGATTCTTTTTTTGGTGAGACCTCGCATAACTATCATAAATTTGACAGTGAGTATGAGAGAATGGGACGTGGTCCTGGCCCCTTACAAGAGAGATCTCTCTTTGAGAAAAAGAGAGGCGCTCCTCCAAGTAGCAATATTGAAGACTTCCATGGACTCTTACCGAAGGGTTATCCCCATCTGTGCTCTATATGTGATTTGCCAGTTCATTCTAATAAGGTGAGTTAACTCAACAGATGCTTCTAATTTCTTTTACATTGTAGTGCCTATTTACCTATATCTTTGACTCTAATTCTGTAGTCTGATGACATTGAGTTGATCAAGCATTTTTAAACTTTTGAGAACACTTACTTTATTTGGAAGGTAATTGTTTTTGAGCATTTTAAACCAGGGCTTTACATTAATATATTCTGCCTAGATTACTTCTGGCCACAAAGCTATCATCCACTGAGATTATCTTGTTGGTTTTTGGCATCAATATGTTCTTCTTAATCATATATTTAAGCAGGTTTTTTTTGTCTGCTTTGTTGAATTGTTTTAAGTATTTTTTTTGCAGTCAATGTGCTCTGCCATTCAGGATGCTAGATTTCAGCTCTCCATCTGTCTTGATTGCTGATTTGTATGTAGTAAAGATGTATTCTTGAACAATTCTCTTTTTTTCCTTATCTGTGGCTACAGGGAAAGAGTTAATGTAGAGCCCTGGTGTTTGTTTCAGTATGTTTCATATTTTAGATTAGTTCATTCTTCCTTTTTTAATTTCCCTTTAACACAAACTCTCATACTATGACTGAAATTTTTCATCATTTTTTTTCTCCTTTTCCACAACTTTCTTAAACATACTTCAAAACTCACTTTTTATTATCCCATGTTACATCTGTCCCTTTAGAGACTTGGACAAATCAACTACTACAGTATCCTGCTCTGTGTTCCTCATAAACAAATTCTTTTTCTGAGTTAGGCTTAGACTTCTGAAATAGTCATTTGAAAAGAAAATCTAATTCTCCTTTGCTTTAATTATCACATCTGGCAAAATGGGAACTTTTTCAAAATGCCCTTTTAAATATGTTGTCCTTTCTCTTTCAACTTTTTCAGTGTTACTCATTCTGACTTTTTTTCCCCCAATATATGGTGCAGTTGACTTAAAGTCATTGTTATAGCACCCCACTAGCTTGATCTATAATCTGTGACCGTCCATTTTTTCCTGATGTGCTCTACTTAACTGGAACAAGTTGCTGCCATGAAATTGATTTGATGGTTACTGTTACAGGGTTTTTCTTTACAGTAACATCTGGAAGGGTCATTTTCTTTTCATAGCTAATCCTTTGATAAGCATTTTTTAGTAAATGAGTATGGATTTTTTTTTAGTAGACTAAATCATACCATTGTTTTTAATATTCTGTTAAAGAGTATTACCAGTCACTCCCTTTCCTTGTGTTTGGATCTCAGTATTTTTGTCTTTTAATCTTTAATCTGTACCAAAGTAAATTAACATAAATGCTAAATTTAGGTTTATTTAAACATTTAAGAAGATGTATTTTCATTAAGAAATACAACCCCAGACTCACAAAAGCCAGCAAATTTTAATTGGTATATGTTTTGGGTGTTACCTTTTCCTAAATTTGTTGGCTCTACTAAATATATCATGGAATTCATTTTAGTTTCTGATCAGCACTAAACTTTAAATTTTAGGTCCCGTGTGAATTCATAGAATGAAAAGGTCCATTAAACACTGGTGACTCCAATTTTTTCTGCGTTATTTCTTGCCTGTTTATAAGGAAATAATAGCAGAAATGTCAGTATGACCAATATTCTCAGAAAGGGTCTCTAAATTCTGAGGAAAATAGATAGTTACAAGTGTCTCAAATGAGAGTGATGTGAAGGGACTTAAAAAATCTTCGCTACTGGAGTCATTAAGCTGTTGGGACATCATGAACACAATGGAACCATGAGAGGACTTCGAGAAAAGTTTCTGTTTTTATGTATGATTATGCTTTTTTCCTTCAAATTTTGCTACTTTCTAGTTCCTGAAGAAGGCTAATAACTTAAATGGATCTAAATTAACAAAAGAGCAGTTTTTACATATTTTGATGAAACTATGGATTCAAGAGTAAGATACACTACCCTAGTGCAAGAGGTACTTTTAGCCTGTAAAAATGCTTAGGTCCTAGCTAGTTTTGGTATTCTGTCAAAATACTGAGTACATTTGAGAACTATTTTAGAGGCCTTTTGTTTAATTCTGTGGTTTAAATGTGTAAATTGGACCAACTTTAAGAAGTTTAAACACATGGATTATCTGAATTTCTAGTTTTCTAGTTGCTTTACTATGTTTTTTACGTATATGCATTATATTGAAAAAATCTTTACTCACTTTAGCAGTGGACCCTCTATAACCGCTATAGAAATGACCTTAGAGAAAATTTCTGTGATGGAAGTAGATAATGAAAAATTTTTAAACATTTAATCCTGCTCTCTGGTATTGCTGCATAACTTGGAAAATCTGTTCTTTTTACTTAGTGGTATTGTTAAATAGTCTACATGATCAAAAATTCTTACTGTGAAGTAAGAAACTTAAGTTGAAAATAATTTGTCATGGAGTGTCATTATTTTTAGGTGACTTAAAGTGATGGTGGTGTTTTTATTTCTTTATAGGTCATTTTAGGTCATCAAATTGCTTTTCTTTTCTTTTCTTTTTTTCTTTTTTTTTTTGAGACGGAGTTTCACTTTTGTTGCCCAGGCTGTAATGAGTGCAATGGTGCGATCTCGGCTCACCGCAACCTCCGCCTCCCAGGTTCAAGCAATTCTCCTGCTTCAGCCTTCCGAGTAGCTGGGATTACAGGCATGCGCCACCACGCCCAGCTAATTTTATATTTTTAGAGCCAGGGTTTCTCCATGTTGGTCAGGCTGGTCTTGAACTCCTGACCTCAGGTGATTCACTGCCTTGGCCTCCCAAAGTCCTGGGATTACAGGTGTGAGCCATCGCACCCAGTCATCAGATTGCTTTTCTATGCAATCTCAAGCTTTCTCAGCTTCCTTTCACTTAAAGAAAATTACCCACTACAGCACTTTGGCTGTCTTGTCACTTGAGTTTATATTAAGTTATACTTTTTTCTGCCATTCTGTAAGTGCTTCCCAAATTCTTTTTTTTCTCTCTATAAGGTATCTCAGATACATCAAGGTGAATGTAGTTTTCCTACAGAAATGTCTGAATTTAAAAAGTGCACGAATCCTTTATTAATCTGATTTTACAGGAGTTACCTCAGTGTAGAGTCCAGGGATATATATTTTTATAAAACTCTTTCACTTAGTCCCCACCGTAAACCAACCAGTAATAGATCAGTAGTACAGATTAGTCATTGGATGAGTTTGGGAGGTATGTGATTGATTTTTTGATCTTGGCCTTCCTTTTTTCACTTTGAAAGACCAGACACACTTTTCCCCTAAGTTTGAACCTTTAAACAACGTGGAGGATTGGATATAATTTCTGTTCAGCTATGTACCCTTTCTAGCTCCTATGAAATAGAAGCATGCGTAGTAGGATAACATTTATTTCTCTCCCACAACTTAAGAATATTTTAAGTAAAATCTGAATATTTTTAGTTCAGAGAATTGTAAGTCGTTAATTGGTATTTGTTTAATTAATCCTTTTTTTTTTTTTTTTTTTTTTTTTTTTTTTTTTTGAGAAGGTTTCTCGCTCTGTGTCCCAGGCTGGAGTACAGTGGCGTGATCTTGGCTCACTGCATCCTCTGCCTTTCGGGTTCAAGCAATTCTCCTGCCTCAGCATCCCAGGTAGCTGGGATTACAGGCATACATCACCATGCCCAGCTAATTTTTTTGTATTTTTAGTAGAGACGGGTTTCACCATGTTAGCCAGGCTGGTCTCTAACTCCTGGCCTCAGGTGATCCGCCTGCCCCGGCCTCCCAAAGTGCTGGGATTACAAGTATGAGCCACCACGCCCAGCCAAGGCTTCTAAATTTTGTGAACTTACCTGTGGCTCCTCTGACTTAGAGCCATTTTTATTTTATTTTATTTTGTTTTATGTTTTTGAGAAAGGGTCTTTTGCTTTGTAGCCCACGCTGAAGTGCGCTTAGGTGTTCGCAGCTCATTGCACTCTCTACCACCCAGGCTCAAGTGACGCATGTACCACCACCACATCTGGCGTTTTTTTCTTGATAGAGATCGGGTTTCACTGTGTTGCCCAGGCTGGTCTCAAACTCCTGGGCTCAAGTAATCTGCCTGCTTTGGCCTCCCAGAGTGCTGGGATCGTATGCGTGAGCCACTGCACCCGGCCCTTACAAGCCATTTTAAAACTGGTCCCCAAGAAGGCAGTGGTCCATTACTTTCCAGTTGAAACTTTAGATATCCCAAATAGCTGATGATTAGAGAGCCAGCTGGAGAGATCTTGAGTTCCTTAGCTATTAGCCATTATTTTAAAAAGATAATCTAGCTTTGAGAGACCTGGAAATAGTAGTTTATAGCTTCCAACATTTTAAGGAAGGTACCATTCTATTTGGATGAGTTCCATTTTAGTTTACAGGATTTTATTTTTATTTATTTATTTATTTTTGAGACAGTTTCACTCTTGCCCAGACTGGAGTGCAATGGTGTGATCTTGGCTCACTGCAACCTCTGCCTCCCAGGTTCAAGCTATTCTCCTGCCTTAGCCTCCCAAGTAGCTGGAATTACAGGCACCTGCCACCATGCCTGGCTAATTTTTGTATTTTTAATAAAGACAGCGTTTCACCATGTTGGCCAGGCTGGTCTTGAACTCCTGACCTCAGTTGATGCTCCCACCTTGGCCTTCCAAAGTGCTGGGACTGCAGGCCTGAGCCACCGCACCTGGCCTTTCACAGGATTTTAGATAATTTTACTAGAGCATAGGAATGTACCTAAACTGTTGTCAGGTAAATATAAACCAGTTTTTTTTTTTTTTTTTTTTAGGAGCTCATTTATAAAATACCAATCCGCAGCTTTTTGAAAGCACGTATCTTGTAATTTGGTACCTTGGTACCTTACTCTAATTTAGTTCAGCTCTCAGTGAGACATCCCCCTTTAAAAACACATCGCCTGACCATGTTTTATATTCCAAATATAATTGTATTGGGTAGTGTGGGTGTTACAGAAATTACCTCAATTTGTGGGAGTTTGTGAAACATCAATAATAGTTGTAAAGCAGGAATTGTAAAACAAGACTGCTTTATAATCAGTGTAATAATAGTTCTTTTTTTTTTTTTTTTTTTAGCACATTCCATGTGCCTGGCAAGGGTCTGATAAGCAGTTTACCTTTATTGACTCATTTGCTTTTCACAACAACCCTATGAGACTCTTGTCCCAGTGAATTTAAATAACACGGACCAAAGATTCACATCTTTGTAATTTGGGAGTGAACCTAGGCAGTCTAATAGCAGAGCCCACTTTTTGTAACTTCTCTTTCTTACATTGCCTAAAAAGTTAACTCATTTATATCTGCATTTTTTTCCTAAAGAAATTTATTTGAATAAAATAAGAGTTACTTCAATTTAAAGTAAACCATAAAAGAGTAAATAGTGAAAGAATGTCATGTTTCCCACCCTAAATTTGGAAAGAGGCACTCCTTAAATTTGCTTATTTTGGGGAAATACAAAGGGAGCATAATATTTTGATAAATGGGATTCGTTTTCTAGAAAAGCCATTCCTGTTGAATCATGTTAGCATTTTATGGTAATGCTAATCATGGTGTATTTTTCATTCACTGTGTATTTAGTAGGTAGTAAACCTGGAACATCCTCAAAAGCTGGATGTGATTAAAGTTTTAGTTTTTGTTTTTGTTTTTGTTTTGTTTTGTTTTGTTTTGAGACGGAGTCTTTGTCATCCAGGCTGGAGTGCAGTGGCGCAGTCTCAGCTCACTGGAATCTCCGCCTTTTGGGTTCAAGAGATTCTGCTGCCTCAGCCTTCCAAGTAGCTGGGACTACAGGCGTGTGCCACCACGCCCGGCTAAATTTTGTATTTTTTGTAGAGATGGGGTTTCGCCATGTTGGCTAGGCTGGTTTCAAACTCCTGGTCTCAAATGATCCATCCATCTCAGCCTCCCAAAGTGTTGGGATTATAGGCATGAGCCACCATGCTCGGCCTAAAAGATTCTATTTTAACTAATTGTTCACATTTATAGTATATAGTTTCTAGAAAAGTAGATATAAACATGGATGTTTTATTCAGAGTGCTATAAAGTAGCATACAATGAATACTTCAGTTTGGTCCACAGTAAAAATTAATAAGCCTTGCTGATCTCAAGGTTAGTTACTACTCTTGATCTTTATTAACTCTATATCTTTTCCCTGTCAAATATCTTAAGTATGTTGACAAGTTAATCCAGTTTTTCCAAGAATGTGCATAGCGTATTTGAGGGCAGGATCAAGCCTCAAGGATTCAGAGAAATGGTTTTAAATTAAATCAATGTGATTTAGTGAATGGGCAGGTGTTTGTACAGCCTATGATACTGCATAGACATTAATATCCTAGAGTTTGAATGGTTCAGATGAAAATATTTCAGCTTTATTTTTGTTAATTCTACTAATTTACTTTGCTGCAGGAGTGGAGTCAACATATCAATGGAGCAAGTCACAGTCGTCGATGCCAGCTTCTTCTTGAAATGTAGGAGTTTGAAATACCTTTAAAACATCCTTATCGTGAATCAGAATCAGCCATTATTGGTTTTTGGGAGTTCATCATTTACTTGTAATATCCACAATGTTAATATCACATAGTGGTACTGTATGGACAATACTATTTACAAGTAAAATGTTTAGATCTGGAAATTTCATATTGAATATTAGATGCAGTAATAATATTTTGTTATTTAACATTTCTAGGATACATATATATTGGTCATTATACAAATTGGTGATTTTTACTAGACATAGTGAAAGATAGTATTTGATATGTAGAGTGGATTAAACAGTAGCATTTTTAATAATACATGCTCTAAAAATGTAAAAGATACGGAAAAGAGGGTAGGTTATTAAAAGATTCTAATTCATTGTCCAGCAAAATCCTTGGTGATGAATTTTTTTTTTTTTTTTGCTTTTGAGATCTTTGGTTTTGAGTTCAGGCTGCTACCATGAAATGGAATTCCTAAAGAAACTCCCTGCTTAAGCAGCACACAGTGCCCATTGTTCACTGGAGTTGGAATTTTCACATATGCCTAACTCTGTTGGGGCTATTCTTTCTTTCTAATGTCACAACTCAACTGTGCTCTTGGTATTAATATTGGAGAAGGAAAATCTGTGCTCTGTTCTTGTTTCTATGTAACCCACATTTCTAATTCTTTGTGCGGCACTTCCTCCTTACAATTTAACAAATAGAGGAAAAACTTAATTTCAACATTATCTGCATTTGCAAGCAATACAAAACAAGTTTATTCTCGTGGATTATTTTGAAGTTCTGAAATTTTTCTTTTGAAATATCTATTGGAAATGCTTTAAAACTATGTTTCTAACACTTAGACTCTCAGATAACTTTACTAATAAATGATCTCTATTTTAGAGGCCAAACAAGGCTGTTTTGTGAAAAGGACAGTTTTATTTTAAAGTTAATTTTCTGGTCTTTTTAAAGCTACCCAGAATGGAATCCTGACAATGATACAGGACACACAATGTAAGTTAAATTTTTTAAGCTACCATTTGTAAAGGAGATCAATGTAAGGAATTCAGGTTTCACTTTCAACATTTCATAAACAAAGTATTTTCAGAATTTCTTTACTGAAAATGAGACTTTGATAAAATTCACTTTGGTTAACAATTTTTAGAATATATATTATGTAGTAATTTGTATTCTTTTATTGTTAATGTAGACTTTGACCTAGTTACTTCACAGATACTCTGAAAGATTGAAGTGGTTGTGGTCATATATTGGGGTGCTTTAACATTTAATCTTAATTCTTTCCAATGGACCTCTTTATTATGATTTATATTTTATGTCTTCACTTTACTAGGGGTGATCCATTCATGTTGCAGCAGTCTACAAATCCAGCACCAGGAATTCTGGGACCTCCACCTCCCTCATTTCATCTTGGGGGACCAGCAGTTGGACCAAGAGGAAATCTGGGTAATTATATAAAATTCATGTTACTTTTCCCTACAGAGCCGTTACTGAAAATTTTTCTTTTTATTTATTTATTTGAGATGGGGTTTTGCTCTTATCGCCCAGGCTGGAGTGCAATGGCACGATCTCGACTCACTGCAACCTCTGCCTCCTGGGTGCAAGCAGTTCTCCTGCTTCAGCCTACCGAGTAGCTGGGATTACAGGTGCCCACCACCACGCCCAGCTAATTTTCGTATTTTTAGTAGAGACGGGGTTTCACCGCGTTGGCCAGACTAGTCTCGAACTCTTGGCCTCAGGTGGACTACCCGCCTCAGCCTCCAAAGTGCTAGGATTGCAGGTGCGAGCCACTGTGCCAGGCCGCAAATTTTACTTATTTATTTTAGACAGATTCTCACTCCGTCACTCAGGCTAGAGTGTAACGGTGCAATCTCTGCTCACTGCAACCCCTGCCTCCCGGGTTAAAGCTATTCTCATGCTTCAGCCTCTCCTGAGTAACTGGGATTACAAGTATGTGCCACCACACCCAGCTAATTTTTATATTTTTGGTAGAGGCAGGGGTTTCGCGGTGTTGCCCAGGCTGGTCTCAAACACCTGGCCTCAAATGATCTGCTCAGCCTCCCAAAGTGCTGGGATTACAGGTTTGAGTCACCACACCCGGCCCCATTCTGAAAATTAAAGGCAATGATTATAGGTGAAAGAAGGCTCATTCAAATATTACACAGAAAAAACATTGCATGAAAAGTGATGGTAATCATATATTTGTAAGAGCTTTTCATTTGTGTTTGGAAGATGCACGTTTTTCAGTAAAATTGCTTCTTTAAGCAAGTATAGTGATTACAAGACTGAAAACTTTCTCTTCCCATAAAGGTGCTGGAAATGGAAACCTGCAAGGACCTAGACACATGCAGAAAGGCAGAGTGGTCAGTAATGAAGCTTTTGGTTTTACTGTATTTATGATTTTTGGGAATATGATTTGACCTAAATCCTTACTAGTTGAGTATGTATCGTGGTCCTTATGGGAACATTGCTGTAATTTGAAAACAATCACGTTTTTCTATGGCTTTGATAACAGTTAAAACTTTAAATTTTGTATGCCCATAGTCCAGTGAGGTCACCTTAATTCAGCATCTTGGAAGCTTTGCTGTCCAGTTACGCGTACAATATTTAATTTAAAAATCACTACAGAGAGTATGTTTTGACACTTTGAAGTAGTTTAACCGTTTGGTTATGGTCAGAAAGAACTTACCCAGTGACGTTTGATATGTAGCTTTAAAATTCTCTAGAATGTTATGAGTTGTTTTACTTACACTCTCCTGGTTAATTATAGATTATAAAAAGTCCTAATGCGTAATTGGTTTCATATTGCTTTAAAGAGACTTAATTGCTTGGTTTTTTTCCCCTAATGGATAGGAAACTAGCAGAGTTGTTCACATCATGGATTTTCAACGAGGGAAAAACTTGAGATACCAGCTATTACAGCTGGTAGAACCATTTGGAGTCATTTCAAATCATCTGATTCTAAATAAAATTAATGAGGTATGAATTGAAATATTGGTATTATTCATTTATTCATGCCACTAATATATGTTCTGCAAGAATTAAATGATTTTGTATTAGAAAAATAAAACTCAAGGTAATCTTAAGTTTATCAAATGCAGAATGTAGTAGAGGAAAAGGCCAGTAGTTGATGAATATAATAGGGTACTAATGGATTATTAGTAACTATAAATTATGATCCTTAGGTAGTAATTGTCATTATACTACTATAAAAGTTGTAAAAGGAAAATTCTGTGGAAAGCCATTTCAGATCTATACCAAAATGATGGTTTCAAGTCATTATTTTTAGTCCAATTGGCATAGTAAATGATAAAGTAATGCAGTAGAAAATTAATCTGAGGTGGCCTTTGTAATAAAATAGCAAATTGGCAACACTGTTTTTTGGGGTTTTTTTGTTTCTTTGTTTTGGGAGTCGGAGTCTCGCTCTGTCACCCAGGCTGGAGTGCAGTGGCGCGATCTCAGCTCACTGCAACCTTCGCCTCCTGTGTTCAAGCGATTCTCCTACCTCAGCCTCCCAAGTAGCTGGGATTACAGCCGCCCACTATCATGCTCAGCTGATTTTTGTATTTTTAGTAGAGATGGGGTTTCACCATGTTGGCCAGGCTGGTCTCGAAGTCCTGACCTCAGGTGATCCACCCGCCTTGGCCTCCCAAAGTGCTGGGATTACAGGCGTCGGCCATTACACCCGGCCAACATTTTTGTTCGTTTGTTTTTGTTTTGTTTTGTGTTTGAGTGTCACTCTGTCACCTGGGCTGGAGTGCAGTGAGGTTCACTGCAGCCTCCACCTCCCAGGTTCAAGCCATTCTCCTGCCTCAGCCTCCTCCCAAGTAGCTGGGACTACAGACGTCCACCATTACGCCCAGCTAATTTTTGTATTTTTAGTAGAGACGGGGTTTCACCATGTTGGTCGGCCAGGATGGTCTTGATCTTTCAACCTCGTGATCCGCCTGCCTCGGCCTCCCGAAGTGTTGGGATTACAGGCATGAGATACTGGGCCCAGCCTCTTTTGTTTTGTATTTTGATTCTTGAAAGTATTTTCTACTTAATGATTAAATATATCTGAAAAGATTTGGGGCATTGTTATTTTTTAGGAAAAAAAATCTTTAGTTCAATGTGAGAAAGCTGATTGGAAAAAACAGAGAAATAACTTTTTGTATAATTTCAGGCATTTATTGAAATGGCAACCACAGAGGATGCTCAGGCCGCAGTGGATTATTACACAACCACACCAGCGTTAGTATTTGGCAAGCCAGTGAGAGTTCATTTATCCCAGAAGTATAAAAGAATAAAGGTAATGTTTATTTTTTTCAAGCTGTATATCAGTTTAACAAATGATTTTAATAGTTATTAACTGTGGTTATTTCAAATTATTGCTAAGGCCAGGTGTGGTGGCTCACGCCTGTAATCCCAGCACCTTGGGAGGCCAAGGTCAGAAGGATTATGTGAGGCCCAGGAGTTCCAGGCAAGCCTGGGCAACATAGCAAGACCTCGTCTCTATAAAAATAAAACAATTGGTAAAGACTAGGATGTTTTTAACTGTTAACTAATAATTATTGCACATTTGTCCTTTTGTTGTTGTTATTTATTAAAGAAACCTGAAGGAAAGCCAGATCAGAAGTTTGATCAAAAGCAAGAGCTTGGACGTGTGATACATCTCAGCAATTTGCCGCATTCTGGCTATTCTGATAGTGCTGTTCTCAAGCTTGCTGAGCCTTATGGGAAAATAAAGAATTACATATTGATGAGGATGAAAAGTCAGGTAATATACATAAGGAAGTTTTAGAGAAGATAATTTATTAAAATCCTTAAGATTTTTCAATATGGAGCTGGGCGTCATTCCTCAACCTGTAATCCCAGCAGTTTGGGAGGCCAAGGCAGGCAAATCACCTGAGGTCAGGAGTTCGAGACCAGCCTGGCCAGCATGGTGAAATCGTATCTCTATTAAAAATACAAAAATTATCCAGGCGTGATGTGCCTGTAATCCCAGCTACTTGGGAGGCTGAGGCAGGAGAATTGCTTAACTGGCAGGGGGCGGAGGTTGCAGTGAGCTGAGATTGCACCACTGCACTCCAGCCTGGGCAGCAGAGCGAGACTCCCAACTCAAAAAAAAAAATTTGCTTTTTTTTTTTTTTTTTTTTTTTTTTTTAAAGTATATCCCTATTTTTAGTGATGAAATCTGGAGGACTAGTTGTTTGCTTTTCTTTTCTTTTTTTTTTTTTTGAGACAGGGTCTCAAAAATTAATATTTCATACTTTTTTTTCTTGTATTTAAAAAATATAGAGTTAGCCAGTCGCAGTGGCTCACGCCTGTAATCCCAGCACTTTGGGAGGCGGAGGCAGGCAGATCACGAGGTCAGGAGATTGAGATCATCCTGGCTAACACAGTGAAACCCCCTCTCTCCTAAAAATACAAAAAAATTAGCTGGGCGTGGTGGCGTGCGCCTGTTGTCCCAGCTGTTGGGGAGGCTGAGGCAGGAGAATGGCATGAACCCGGGAGGCGGAGCTTGCAATGACTCGAGATTGTGCCACTGCACCCATCCTGGGTGACAGAGCAAGACTCCATCTCAAAAAAAAAAATTTAGAGTTAGGCTGGATGCATTGGCTCATGCCTGTAAATCCCTAGACATTGGGAGGCTGAGGCCAGAGTTGCCCAGGAGTTTGAGACCGCCCTGACAACATATTGAGGCCACATCTGTACAAAAAAAAATTTTTTTTAACCAGGCAAAGTGGCATGCTCGTACAGTTTTAGCTACGGGAGTCTGAAGTCAGGTGGAACACTTAACCCAGGAGTCCAAGGTTTGTAGTGGGCTATGATTGTGCCACTGTACTTCAGCATAGGCAGTGGAGTGAGACCCTGTCTCAAAAAGGAAATAAGGATGAGGAGAACATCTTTTTTGTTTTTCTTTTTTTGTTTTAAACACTTCTGTAATTCAGCATTGCAAGTTTGTGTTCTTCCAGACTTTTATTTTTCTTACACTATTTTAATATCTTAAGCTTATTACTTTTTTTTTTTTTTTTTTTTTTGAGACAGAGTCTCGCTCTGTCACCCCGGCTGTAGTGCAGTGGTGCAATCTCAGCTTACTGCAAGTTCTGCCTCCCCGGTTCATGGCATTCTCCTGCCTCAGCTTCCCCAGTAGCTGGGACCACAGGCACCCGCCACCACGCCTGGCTAATTTTTTTTTTTTTTTTTTTGTATTTTTACTAGAGACGGGTTTCACCATCCACAGGATGGTCTCGATCCCCTGACCTTGTGATCCGCCCGTCTCGGCCTCCCAAAGTGCTGGGATTACAGGCTGAGCCACCGCGCCCAGCCAGCTTATTACTTTTTTGCAGAGTGTATATAGATGGCTTAGTATTTGGCACTAAAGTGATTCTTGGGGATTTTGTAAATCTGACAGGTTGGTTTTTTGGTTTTTGGTTTTTTCTGAGATGGAGTCTTGCTCTGTCGCCCAGTCTAGAGTGCAGTGGTGCCATCTTGGCTTGCTATAAACTCCGCCTCCTGGGTTCAAGCAGTTCTCCTATGTCAGCCTTCCAAGTAGCTGGTACTACAGTAGGCACACTCCACCAGGCCCAGCTGATTTTTGCATTTGTAGTAGAGATGGGGTTTCACCATACTGGTCAGGCTGTTCTCGGAATTCCTGACCTCAGGTGAGCCACCCGCCTTGGCCTCCCAAAGTGTTGGGATTACAGGTGTGAGCCACTGCGCCCAGCCCTGATATTCAGTGAATTTTTAACTCTGTGCTAAAGATTAAAATTTTTAGCCGGGTGTGGTTGCTGTCACCTGTAATCCCAGCACTTTGTGAGGCCAAAGCAGGAGGATTGCCTGAGTCCAGGAGCCCGAGACCAGTCTAGGCAACATGGCGAAACTGCACCTCTACAAAAAATACAAAAATTAGCCAGGCATTGGTGGTGCATGCCTGTAGACCTAGCTACTGGGGGGCTAAGGTGGGAGGATCAGTTGGGCCCAGTACATCAACGCTTCAGCAAGCCAGGATTGCGCCACTGCATTCCAGCCTGGGTGACACAGTGAGACCCTGTCTCAAAAAAGAAAAAAAGTAATGAAAATTTTCTAACCAGTAGGTAGAATACATAATAAGGTTTTATACAATTTTGTAAAATATAATGTGCTTTGTGGTTTCTTTTCTTTCTTTTTAAGGCTTTTATTGAGATGGAGACAAGAGAAGATGCAATGGCAATGGTTGACCATTGTTTGAAAAAAGCCCTTTGGTTTCAGGGGAGATGTGTGAAGGTTGACCTGTCTGAGAAATATAAAAAACTGGTTCTGAGGGTATGTAGTATTTGATTTGTCATCATTTAACAGCTTGTTTTTACATATTTAAAGCCACAACATTCTTTTAAACATTTTTGTATGCTAAAAATACAGGATTATTGAAACCTATTGAAATAAGTTATTGAAAGAGAACAACCTTTTTTTCTGGTCTTTAATGGCAGAAGTTTTTAAACGAGTCTTCCCTAAAGGACACCTTCATTGCTCTTATCTGTTTAAGTTTTTCATAGCGTTCTGCTACCAGAATGTTTTATTTTCCACTTCTCTGTTGGTATGGTCATGATGAATGTCTGTAGGCAGCTTAGGTTCTCAAATAAGGTTACGGGAATTGAATAAGCTGAGTTGATTATAGGGATTGTCTCCAATTATTAATTCACTGGATAATTGTGTATTCTGCAAATGTGTTAACTTCTGCAAAACTTTTGTCTTTTAGATTCCAAACAGAGGCATTGATTTACTGAAAAAAGATAAATCCCGGTAATTTCATTTTGTTTTTCATATGTGTGAGTATATTCAACTTTACTTTTTCAGACAACAAATTAATTGTGGTGTGTCCTTTTGATTTCAGAAAAAGATCTTACTCTCCAGATGGCAAAGAATCTCCAAGTGATAAGAAATCCAAAACTGATGGTTCCCAGAAGACTGAGAGTTCAACCGAAGGTAAAGAACAAGAAGAGAAGTCCGGTGAAGATGGTGAGAAAGACACAAAGGATGACCAGACAGAGCAGGAACCTAATATGCTTCTTGAATCTGAAGATGAGCTACTTGTAGATGAAGAAGAAGCAGCAGCACTGCTAGAAAGTGGCAGTTCAGTGGGAGACGAGACCGATCTTGCTAATTTAGGTGATGTGGCTTCTGATGGGAAAAAGGAACCATCAGATAAAGCTGTGAAAAAAGATGGAAGTGCTTCAGCAGCAGCAAAGAAAAAGCTTAAAAAGGTAAAGAAAGATACATTGATTTGTTTTAATAGAACATTAGATCAGATCAGTATTTCAAGTTATTTACCTAAGCAGGATCAGATAGAATTATATGATTTAAATCAGAAAATAAATCAGATATGAACCAGAATATAAACATTTAAATCTAAACTCTGCAATAAATAATTAAATAAGACATTTTATTATAGTTGGCAAAAAACATCAGCTCAAAGAGGAAACTTTTCAGTAAAAATGAGGGAGAAAGACTCAAAATATATGTGCTTCTGTATTGTAGTGGTGTAGTGGTAGCATATAGGTAGGCAGCCTTATAGTGTAGCTTTGAAAAAAAAAATACAGGACGTGAGTTTGCAGTAAGTTAACTGACCCAACATAGTTAAAACTTTTGCCACTCATTCAAAAATTATTGAATAATTTTTCCTATTTGAGAAATGTTGGCCTGGTCAGATACCTTAGTATCCTTTAAAACAATTTTATTTGAACAAGTAAGTCATTTAGAAGCCATGTATAAAGTGAATATAAATATAAAAATACACACATGCTATAAAGAAGAGTAAACAAAGGACCCACATTGAGCTGACTGCCTAGCTTAAGGAGTAGGGCATTAAAATGCCTTTGAGGCAAACTTTTTATGTTAAATGGCTCATAAAATGTCGGAGTCAGGCGGGCCCAGTGGCTCACGCCTGTAATCCCAGCACTTTGGGAGGCCCAGCAGATCAGTTGAGGCCAGGAGTTCAAGACCAACATGGTGAAACCCCGTCTCTACTAAAAATATGAAAATTAGCCGGGCGTGGTGGCACATACCTGTAGCAGCTACTTGGAAGGCTGAGACAGGAGAATTGCTTGAATCTGGGAGGCAGAAGTTGCAGTTAGCCAAGATCACATCACTGTACTCCAGCCTGGGTGACAAGAGCAAGACTGTCTCAAGAAAAAAAAAAAGTAGAGCGAAATGAGATTTTTGCCATCCTATTCCATATTCCATTGGTTCCTTTTATGCAACATTCAACTCAAAACCAATATTTACCTCAGTTTTTATTTGATGGCTTGGTCAAATAACTTCATTAATTTTTCTCACTAGAGCTGATCATTATGTTTACATTTGTAAATGCTAATAATTACTGATGTTTATGGCATTTAATGCCATACGTTTTTCTAAGTTTAAATTTATTAATTTAATCCTCACAGTAACCATATGCATCTCATACTGTGATCTCCAGTCCATAAATGAGGAAAATTGAAATATGGAGAAGTTAAATAATCCCATACTGCTTATAAGACACAGAGCCAAAATTTAAACTTGGGCAGTCATTCTTCAGAGCATGATTGTTTTTTTTTTTTTTTTTTTTGGAGACGGAGTCTTGCTCTGTTGCCCAGGCTGGAGTGCGGTGGTGTGATCTCAGCTAACTGCAACCTCCACCTCCCAGGTTCAAGTTCTGCTGCCTCAGCCTCCCAAGTAGCTGGGATTACAGGTGTCCACCACCACACGAGGCTAATTCTTGTATTTTTAGTAGAAACGAGGTTTCGCCATGTTGGCCTGGCTGGTATTGAACTCCTGAGATCTCAGGGTGATCCGCCCACCTCAGCCTCCCAAAGTGCTGGAATTACAGGTGTGAGCCACCATGCCTGGCCCAGAGCTTGGTTTTTTAGCCATTACACTGTTTGAGTATTTGCTCTAAAGAGTAGGTATTTGCAGTATACTGTCTTACAAAGGATATTGCTCAACTTTTACCAAATCAAGTTTTTTACACATTGCCTAGCAGCATTGTAGTCTCAGAAAAGATAAAATATGAATATTCCTATCTCATTTAACTTCTGCTCTTTGTGTGAGGCAGACCTTCCATTTTTTAGTTTTAAAATAAGCTAAATTATTTTTCAAATTATCAGTAATTTTTTGGAAGAAAGGAAGAAGTTACTATTTTGAGCCAATGAATAAAGACAAAGACGCGGCCGGGCACGGTGGCTCACGCCTGTAATCCTAGCACTTTGGGAGGCCGAGGTGGGTGGATCACGAGGTCAGGAGATCGAGACCATCCTGGCTAACACAGTGAAACCCCGTCTCTACTAAAATTACAAAAAAAATTAGCCGGGCGTGGTGGCGTGCGCCTGTAGTCCCAGCTACTCGGGAGGCTGAGGCAGGAGAATGGCGTGAACCAGGGAGGCGGAGGTTGCAGTGAGCCGAGATCGCGCCACTGCACCCCAGCCTGGTCGACAGAGCAAGACTCCGTCTCAAAAAAAAAAAGGCAAAGACGCTATCCGTTTCCCTTCAAGTAAAGCAGACAGAAGGGATGCTGCAGGATAATTGTTGCAGAGTAAATTTGTCTTTCTTAACAGCGTCGTTTTCCAGGGAGTATGGAAGGTTTTGTCACTCTAGATGAGGTTGGTGATGAGGAAGATTCGGAACTTCAGAAACTTCGTAAATCGGGCATGGCATTTAAATCTGGTGACAAAAATGATGATGGTTTGGTTGAAATTAAGGTGGACAAGATCGAGGAACTTGATCAAGAAAACGAAGCAGCGTTGGAAAATGGAATTAAAAATGAGGAAAACACAGAACCAGGTGCTGAATCTTCTGAGAACGCTGATGATCCCAACAAAGATACAAGTGAAAACGCAGATGGTCAAAGTGATGAGAACAAGGACGACTATACAATCCCAGATGAGTATAGAATTGGACCATATCAGCCCAATGTTCCTGTTGGTGAGATTTAAGTCTTTGTTCTTCACCTTCCTCACTCTCCTCAAAACAAACTCTTAGGTTTTAAAATAAGATTTTAAAGTTGGTCTTACATAAGCTGTGATAGCATTTTAAATTTGCTTTGTTTCTATGGGGAACAATTTATAAATCTTAATTGATATATTTTCCTCTCATGCATGTCTCTGATTTTGTATTATTTTCTGTTGTTATTCCACAATGTGTTCCCTTTTTTCGTAAAATTTCTTGCAAGTTACACGCTTTTGTTTTGCTTTTCTGTGTTGTTTTTCTGTATTATATTTCTTTTTTTAAGAATACAGTTAGGTGAGACCTCAAACATCAATTAGGTAAAAGCAAAATATGGTTCGGTTTTTGTTTTTTATCTTAGGCTGTATTGGACTTCTCAAAAACATGTTGTTTCATTTAAATTATGTTGACAGGTGAAATTGTGAATACTAAATAAAATCTTCAGTTTAATTTGTAAGAATGTATGTTTGTATTTCTAGGTATAGACTATGTGATACCTAAAACAGGGTTTTACTGTAAGCTGTGTTCACTCTTTTATACAAATGAAGAAGTTGCAAAGAATACTCATTGCAGCAGCCTTCCTCATTATCAGAAATTAAAGGTAAGGTTGAATGTAAAACAGTTCTTTTGTGAAAACTTAACAAGTTATGGAAATAAGTGGGGTATATAAGTAAAATGTGTATAGTGTTCTCTCTAGACTCAGTGCAGTGCTTTCTCCTGAAGATAACTTTTTATTTACTTTTTTTTTTTTTTTTAAAGACAGTTTCTCTCTTGTTGCCCAGGTTGGATTGCAATGGTGCAATCTTGGCTCACTGCAACCTCTACCTCCTGGGTTCAAGCAATTTTCCTGCCTCAGCCTCCCAAGTAGCTGAGATTACAGGCATGCACCACCACACCCAGCTAATTTTTGTATTTTTAGTAGAAATGGGGTTTCACCATGTTGGCTAGCCTGGCTGGTCTTGAACTCCTGACCTCAGGTGATCCACCCACCTCAGCCTCCCAAAGTGCTGGGATTACAGGCATGAGCCACCGCGCCTGGCCTTTTCTTTCTTTATTGATGGGTTATCAAAACATCTGTTGAACCTCTTGTCATAGTTTACCCTTGCTACATAACAATTTAGTGTTTTCTAACCATATTATAAATTCTGTGGTAGAATTAAACTTATTCAAGTATTCTCAGATTGTTGTTGGGCTGTACTTTCTCTAATTTGAAAGATGCTGGGAGTCTGAATACTAAAAGTGGCATGACCATTCATATTAAAATAATTTTTAATATTGACATTATTATTGACACTTCAGTTATTTTTATGACCAAAAGTATATAAAGATCAAAAGCATAAATACATAAACCACAACATCACTAAAGAATAATTCCTATTGAGATATATTGAAATTTGTTTTTGTAATTATCAGCTTCTTTGGACTACCTATTGAAATAGTGACTGAAACTTAAAAGTAGTTGCTAAACAAGTCAATTATAGATACCTTGGTTTTTCACACTGCTTTATAATAAGTTAACTATAGTTACTCAGTCATTAGATATGTTCTCTGTTGACTAAATGGATGAATGTAATCTTTAATTTTGGAAATAATTCAAGTTCTTGGCTGTGTGTCACTTCTGTTTTTTTTTTTTTTTTTAAATGTAACTGCTCTTTGCCACCTATATGTCTTTTACCATCCTGTATATGAAGAAAGAATTGTGGCTATTTGCAATGGTAGCAGCAATGTAGTACAAATTATTTTATTTTATTTTTTTGAGACAGTTTTGCTCTTGTTGCCCAAGGCTGAAGTGCAATGGCGCGATTTTGGCTCACCCCAACCCCCGCCTCCCAGGTTCAAGCCATTCTCTTGCCTCAGCCTCCTGAGTATCTGGGATTACAGGCATGCGCCACCATGCCCAGCTAATTTTGTATTTTTAGTGGAAATGGGGTTTCTCCATGTTGGTCAGACTGGTCTTGAACTCCCAGCTTCAGATGATCCTCCCACCTCAGCCTCCCAAAATGCTGGGATTACAGGCCTGAGCCATAGTGCCCGCCCTGGTACAAATATTTTTATCTGCTTTGATTTTAAGCTGTTTGGGGTCAAAAACTATATGTATTGTCGAGAAGAATATGGAAATAATATAAAAGATTGCTAGGTGCTTCTTGTGGCTCCTTTTATTATTTCCTTATATTTTATTTATTTTTTTTTTATTTGAGACAGAATTTTGCTCTTGTTCCCCAAGCTGGAGTGCAATGGCACAATCTCAGCTCACTGCAACCTCTGCGTCCCGGGTTCAAGCAATTCTCCTGCCTCAGGCTCCCGAGTAGCTGGTATTACAGGCGTGTGCCACTTCGCCTGGCTAATTTTTTGTATTTTTAGTAGAAACGGGGTTTCACCATGTTAGCCAGGCTGGTCTTGAACTTCTGACCTCAGGTGATCGCCTGCCTCAGCCTCCCAAAGTGCTGGGATTACAGGCGTGAGCCATCATGCCCGGCCTATTATTTCCTTTTATTAAAAAAAAAAAAAAAACTTTGTCACCTTCATCAAGAAACTGTTAAGCATTACAGTAACTTGCTAATGGTAAATTGATACTTTCCTAACTGGATGTTTGTGGGGTGATTTTTTGTTGTTGTTGTTTTTCTTTAAAAGATATAATGGCTTTTAATTCTTACTATTTTGCATTAACTATATAAAGTTGAAATTCCAATGAGATGGAAAGAAGCTTTGGACATTTTAGGTTAGATTTTTTAATATGTCTTTTGTACTTTCATTAGTGTCTTAATGGAGCTCCCGTGTCTAGAAACTCTAGCAGTCACAGGTTTAATGGCAGGGGTCAGCAAGCTACACTCGTGGCTCAGTCATCTGTTTTTGTAAGGTTTTATTAGAACCCACAGCCATAATCATTTAAGTGTCATCTATAGTTGTTTTAGTTTATAATTGAGTGCAGGATTGAGTAGTTGTAACAAAGACTGAATGGCCCAATGAGTCTAAAATATTTACTGCTGGCCTTGCAAGAAAATGTTTGTTCAGGTGATTTAATGAGTAGTGCATTGAGGCCAGATGTGATAGCTCTTGCCTGTAATCCCAGCACTTTGGGAGGCGGGGACAGGCAGATCACCTGAGATCAGGAGTTTGAGACCAGCCTGGCCAACACGGTGAAAACCCCGTCTCTACCAAAAGTACAAAAAAATTAACTGGGCTTGGTGGCGGGTGCCTGTAATCCCAGCTGCTTGGGAGGCTGAGGCAGGAGAATCACTTGAACCTGGGAGGTGGAGGTTGCAGTTAGCCGAGATCACGACACTGCACTCCAGCCTGGGCAACAGAGCAAAACTCTCCCTCAAAAAAAAAAGAATAAAAGTGCATGTCATTTAAACCCATAGTTCTTGAATAGTGTCAGTTCAGTGTGACTGTGGTCTTTGTTTTCTCATCTCTAAAAATTAGGGTTAATTATAACATTTGAAATACCCATTTTATACCTTTTACCATTTTTTCCCCGTGCCTTATTGTAATGTCCTGAAAGTTTTTGTGTGCTAATGAGGATTAACTAATTGTTGAAAATATTGACAAAATTATAGTTTAAGTCCCTAAACTTGGATATAGGATATTTGATTTTGGAATTAATCCATTTTGCTGCATTTCTCTTAGGTGACTTAATGGCTGTAATTCTCTTTCTTTATAGAAATTTCTGAATAAATTGGCAGAAGAACGCAGACAGAAGAAGGAAACTTAAGATGTGCAAGGAGATTTAATGATTTCAAAGAAAATAATGGTTCTTTGTTTTTAATGTTAACCTTTTTTAAATACAATACTGATAGTTAGAAGAAAACTATTGTACTCTTTTGTTTTAGTGGAGAAATAATAGATGTCTGTTCATGTGTTAAGTGTTATAGCAAAAAAAATACACATATGGTTAAGTTAATGAATAGTTTTTGTTTTATCAGAATGGCAACAGACAGAAGTACTTTGTAGAGATTGACTTCCTAAGCTACTTAAGACAACTTGCACCACTAAGAAAAAAATGTAGAACCATTTGGAAAAATGAAATTTAGTAGTTCCAAGTTTCAAAGAAATGTCAACATTTTATTCCATTCAATAAAGAACAAAACCAATAGTGTTTTTATTACTTTCATCTGAAACATTCCATGTTTTAATCTGAGCCTTGCAGACTTTCATTTGGAGTTTGAACCCGTTTTGGTTGCATTTCATTTTTGGAGAACTTAATTAACGTGAGATTGGCAATTGAAATGCAGGTGCAGTTTTCTGTTAATGTCATGCTGTTGTTTAGGTAATAAGAAATATTAAGTAATTGGCTTTAGATTTTGTAATTTTTTTCCCTGAGTTCCTGCTAGATTTCGTATTCTAGTAGTCAATGTATTTTCAGTGAAATGCAAAAATATTCCCGTTATCTTTGACCAGTATTAATTTTTGAGATCTTACTGCTTGTCACTTGAATCCCGTGATTGTCATACATCTCTGGTATAAGCAACATTTGATTTTTGAAGTGTGTAGACCATCTCTTCATATTTTCAAGATGTAATTTTACATTTCTGCATTTTTAAAACAGTTTGGCCATAATCCTAGATGCACGCTTCTAATTCATGTACCTGCACATGTGACCTTTGTGAACAGAAATTTGCATGTATAATTTGTGTTTACTTGTAACTTTCTGGTTATATACTGCTTATATCTGTGGATTCAAGTTACTGAAGTGAATACCAATAAAAAGAAAACCCTAGGCCATGTTAATTGGTTATACATGTTTGGAATGTTAACCAACGTATTTGTCAGTTGTGGTTTTTATTCGCTCTTAAACTTTGTGCATGCTTTAACAATTTATTACTTTTAAATCTAGAGTGAATTCTAAAGACTGCCGCTAAAGATCTGAGTTTTAAAAATGTTGTTGCTGGTGGATTTCTTGTTCCTGTTACATAACTAAAAGTGAGGCCATTTGTGGTTTTTAAAAACCTTATGAATTAAAAATGCTACAGGTGAACAAACAGAAGCTTATGTTTAGAGATATTGATGACTTAACAGTACAATTGGAAGTAATACGGATGAGCAAGAATTAGTTCTGCAGCTTTTCAAAATAATTACGTAGAGACTCTTGGTATATTGGATTATCTGTTGTAAACAATTTTTTTTTCTTCCCTGACACAGGGTCTCACTCTGTCACCCAGACTGGAGTGCAGTGGCACAGTTCTCTGCAACCTCAGCCTTTGGGCTCAAATGACCCTCCTACCTCAGTCTCCTGAGTAGCTGGGACTACAGGCTCATGCCACTATACCTGGCTAGTTTTTGGTTTTTTTGTATAGATGGGGCTTTGCCATGTTGCCCAGGTTGATCTTGAATTCCTGGGCCCAAGTGATCTGCTCGCTTCAGCCTCCCAAAGTGCTGGGACTGTAGGCATGAGCCACCATCCCTGGCCAAGAAACAAAGTTTTAATTTCAAAAAAATCTACAAAAACAGGATAGGCATTGTCTTTCAAATGTTCAGACCCCAGTTTATTAAAGGATACTTCAAATAGTTGGCTAAATTTTATGATCTCTCCCGTTGAAAAGTAGGTGATGATTTTAATGTGACATGCACAAAAAATCCTTGCCAGTTTACTTCTGCAATTTAATTTTAGCCTTTACTAATTACCCACTTCTGTTTAATTCCAATTTTTAACAGCAGGTACATAAAGCATTATGTGCACAATGGAGTTCTTCAGTGTTTCCTTTCAGTGATGGCTTTTTCATAGCTTCAACTTTGTTGGATTTAGCAAGTTGAAGGAAAGAATGCTATGTTTTTAATACCTACATTTGAGAGCATTTAGAAATCAGAAATTATAATAAGCTGTTAGTGATAAATCTGTAACAGCCCTTCGATTACGAGAAAACCTCTTTTTAGTAGGAATGTTTCCACTCATGTTTGCTGTAAAGTTTAAGAACATTTTTCCTACGGCTATGTCAGCCCTTAGTTTAATCTTACATTATCCTACAAAAGTGAATGAAACTTCTAGAAGTACCTTGAGTTTGTTTTACAGTTCTTTTTTATTGACCGATTGCTAGTAAATTTGGGATCTGAGAGTGTCCTTTATAAGACTTTAATTGGATAGCTGTAATATTGCTTTGAGTATTCCAAAAATAAGTTCATTTGAAATGTTATTCAAGAATATGAATTTCCAACCATAGTGTGTGTGCATCAGTACCTCTAGAGATTTATTTATTTATTATTATTTATTTTTTTTTTTGAGACTGTGTCGCCCAGGCTGGAGTGCAGTGGAATGATGTTGGCTGAATTCTCCTGCCTCAGCCTCCCAGGTAGCTGGGACTACAGGTGCATAACTGCCATGCCCAGCTAATTTTTCTTAGTAGAGGCGGGGTTTCACCATGTTGACCAGGCTGGGCTCAAACTCCTGACCTCAAGTAATCTACCTGGCCTCCCAAAGTTTTGGGATTACAGGCATGAGCCACCACACCCAGTCCCTCCAGTGATTTTAAGTGGTAACATCCTGAGGAGCTTTTTAGGAATAGCCATTATTTGAATTCGCTAAGGACAGGTTCCCCTGCCACCTTTTTTTAAGGTGATGGGGACTGGAAAAGGAAATAGTAAACTATTGAATGTTGTGGCATGTAGTAAGGTTATACAGGGAGAAGAGTGTACTGAAATTGTTTACTTTAGCTTTGTTCACAGTGGATTTTTTTTCAGCCTTAAGATTGTGACAAAAGCAGCTCATGGTATGTAATAGAAATCTGCTGGGACACTGCAGAGCAGCATATGGGCTGTTTAAGATAACTTGCACTAGGACAGAAGCAGCTCTGAGTATAGTCTGTTGGTTGCCTTCCATCATAAATAAAGTTTAGTGTAGCTGAAAGCCTGGGTATTCTGTGTTTAATGAGTTTGAGGTTGTTTTATACCCTGACCTCATTGTTGAGCTAGCTGGGTTTGAATTACTCTCCCACTTTGGCCATTAGATGATAAGGTCAAGATTCTAAAAATCAACAGTGGTGCACAAATAAATAGTTACAGGAATTATTTTCCTTTAAAATGAATTGTTTTCAGCCAGGCACGGTGGCTCACGCCTATAATCCCAGCACTTTGGGAGGCCGGGGCGGGCGGATCATGAGGTCAGGAGATCGAGACCATCCTGGCTAACATGGTGAAACCTCATCTCTACTAAAAATACAAAAAATTAGCCCGGCATGGTGGCGGGGCCCTGTAGTCCCAGCTACTTGGGAGGCTGAGGCAGGAGAATGGTGTGAACCCAGGAGGTGAAGCTTGCGGTGAGCCGAGATGGTGCCACTGCCCTCCAGCCTGGGTGACAGAGCGAGACACTCTCAAAAACAAATTGTTTTCAAATGTTTGCATACATCAAAATTACCTACAGGTTAAAGCATTGCTGGCTCCCTGCCAGGTTTTCTAATTTCCTAAGTTTGGGATGAGTACTGATAATTTGCATTTTTGAGAGATTGGAGGTTTTAATGGAAACCCAGCTACACATATACCCTTAAAGGAAGACCGGTCCTCTATTGGTGATGGTTGTCCTCTTCGACACACTGCACAGCTTCGGGAGGGTCGGGAGGGACACACTTGGAGCATTGAGGGAGTAAGGGGACACCGGTTTAGCCAGCCAGATCAGCCAAATCAATTTTTGTATTTTTAGTAGAGAGGGTTTCACCACGTTGGCCAGGCTGGTCTCTAACTCTTGACCTCAATCTTCCCTCGGCCTCCCACTCGGTTCCCAGGTGAGCCACCGCACCCGGCCTGATTTGCATTTTTAACAAGTTTCCAGGTGATGGAAATGTCAGTGACATCAAGCTTTGAGAACTTTTACCTATAACTGAAGATGTGTTGGTGGTAGGTGTTCGTAACCAGATCCTACCTGGCTTGGTTACTATTGCCTGAGGTACTGATTTTGCTACCCTTTTTAAAGCGTTTAAAATGCAAAATTAGTCACCTTTTTTAAAAAAAAAATCATTTATGGGAGACAACCTCTTTCAGAGCCGTAGATACTGTTATCCTTCATTTTTTTGCCAAACATAAAGTTTTGTAATTTTGTTGGGTATGTGGTAAGAAATTGCAAGGCATGTTAGTGGAATAGAACTACAACAGGAATTTGCCATTTTGCCTGGCCAAGTGGTTTGTATCTTTTTGTTTTTCCTTAATTTTGCACCCCTCAAGCGCTACATAGGAGCTAATGATGATGCTTGATAACAGGTAGTTTGTTGAAATTTAATGTGAATGGAAAAATGGAAATGGTTAATTCTGTCACTGGCAGATCTAACTTGCTGATGGATCTCAGTTAAAGCACTAGTAATTGGGTAATAGCAGTCTGAAACTTGAGTTTTGTCAAAATAACTCCCTATGGAGGTTAGTTGAAAAAATTCTTGATGAGAACAGTCAAGAAGTAACATGATTAATTTTGAAGAGAATCAATTATATTTTTTATTTTTTTGAGACATGGTTTTGCTGTTGTTGCCCAGGCTGGAATGCAATGGTGTGGTCTCGGCTCACTACAACCTCTGTTTCCTGGGTTCAGGCTATTCTCAGCCTCCTGAGTAGCTGGGATTACAGGTAGAGACAGGGCTTCACTATGTTGGCCAGGCTAGTCTTGAACTCCTGACCTCAGGCGATCGTGGCCTCAGCCTCCCAAAGTGCTGGGATTACAGATGTGAGCCACTGTGCCCACCACAATTATGTTAATTTTAAAGGATTTGTCCTTAAAAGTTTTTGGTCGTGTCCTGCCTTTGAAGTTTTCTTGTTTTTTGTTGTTGAGACAGGGTCTCACTCTGTCATCCAGGTTGGAGTGCTGTGGTGTGATCATGGCTCACTGCAACCTCCACCTCCCCAGGCTCAGGTGATTCCCACATCTCAGTCTCCACAGTAGCTGGGGCTACAAGTGCATGCCACCACACCCAGCTAATTTTTGTATTTTTTGTAGAGGGGTTTTGC
The DNA here is from genome assembly GCF_000001405.40 of Homo sapiens. Taxonomy (NCBI): domain Eukaryota; kingdom Metazoa; phylum Chordata; class Mammalia; order Primates; family Hominidae; genus Homo; species Homo sapiens. Next base: position 139,334,600 of record NC_000005.10, read on the forward strand.
CATATTGCCCAGGCTAGTCTCTCAAACTCCTGGACTCAAGTAATCCACCCACCTGGGTTTCCCAAAGTGTTGGGATAACAGGTGTGAGCCACCACTCCTGGCCTCTGAATTGTTAATTCTAGCCTTAGTTGTAATTTCACACCCAGCACAGTGGCTCAGGCCTGTAATCCCAGCACTTTTGGGAGGCTGAGGCGGGCGGATCACACAGGTCAGGAGTTTGAGACCAGCCTGGCCAACATGGTGAAACCCCGTCTTTACTAAAAATACAAAAATTAGTCGGGCATGGTGGTAGGGGACTGTAATCCCAGCTACTTAGGAGACTGAGGCAGGAGAATCGCTTGAACCCCGGAGGCAGAGGTTGTAGTGAGCGGAGATAGCGCCACTGCACTCCTTCCTCGGCGACAGACTGAGACTCCAGCTCAAAAAAAAAAAAAGTTATTTCCATACAATTTTAAGAACTCTAAAGTCAAATATATAATTGGGGATATGAAAATTGGTGAAAAGACTAAACGCTTTTAAGGAAGGGGGTAGTCTATTGAGTGTAGTACACAAAAGTCAATAAACATCTCACTTCAGCAGGATTTGTATACTTGGGTTGGAAGTACCTGGTATTCGGTACAGGATTAATGACCTTTCTTTGAACAATGATATGCTTCATACATGGTAATATTTATGAGGAGTTTTTTTTTTTTTTTTTTTTTTTGAGACAGAGTCTCGCTCTGTTGCCCAGGCTGGAGTGCAGTGGCGCGATCTCGGCTCACTGCAAGCTCCGCCTCCCGGGTTCACGCTATTCTCCTGCCTCAGCCTCCTGAGTAGCTGGGACTTACAGGGGCCCACCACCTCGTCTGGCTAATTTTTTGTATTTTTAGTAGAGACAGGATTTCACCGTGTTAGCCAGGATGGTCTCGATCTCCTGACTTCGTGATCCACCCCCCTCAGCCTCCCAAAGTGCTGGGATTACAGGTGTGAGCCACTGCGCCCAGCCTATGAGGAGTTTCTTCTAAGGACCTGATCCAAAAGGGTATACACAAAGAGCAGCAGGAGTCCTGTCTTTGATTAGGACAAAATGCTTTTCAAGTTTCACTCCTTGCCCCTGCCTATCAAAAACAGGACCAATTTCAGTTGGCTCAACTTTGACAGGGTTGTTAAATCAGAAGTAGCGGCTTCTCATTGGCCATTTGGCTTTTGAGATTTAAATGGAAGAGTTTGTTTTCGTACATAATAGGAAAATTCGAAACATCACAGAGCAATTAGATCCCAGCTACTTTCGTAACTACCAACTCTACTTATATTGACTTCCTGCCTTTTTTTTTTTTTTTCTTTGAGATGGGGTCTGGCAATGAATGACACAATCATAGTTCACTGCAGCCTCGAACTCCTGGACTCAAGTGATTCACCTACCTCCACCTCTCAAGTAGCTAGGGCTACAGCCATGCACTGCCATGCCCAGCTAATTTTTGTAGGGGGTGTGTGTGTGTCTGTGTGTAGAAGATGCGGTCTTGCTATGTTGCTCAGGCTGGTCTCAAATCCATGGGCTCAAGAGATGCCCCTACCTTGGCCTCCCAATGCGCTGGGATTATAGGCATAAGTCATCATGCCTGGCACTTTTTACTTTTTTTCCTACACTTGCATAAACCCTAGTTTGTTGGTGGTGGTTTTGTTTTTAGTTTGTTTTTGAGAGGGGTTCTCGCTCTGACACCCAGGCTGGGGTGCAATGCCGTGATAGCCCACTGCAACCTCCGCCTCCCAGTTTTGAGTGACTCTCCTGCCTCAGCCTCCCCAGTAGCTGTGACTACAGGTGTGCAACCACACCTGGCTAATTTTTATTTTTGTACTTTTAGAAGAGACAGGGGTCTCATCATGTTGGCCAGGCTGGTCTCAAACTGACAAGTGATTCGCCCACCTCGGCCTCCCAAAGTGCTAGGATTACAGGCGCGAGCCAGTGTACCTGGCCCACCCCCACCTTTTTTTTTAGAGACAGCGTCACCGCCTTACCAGGTTGGGGTGCAGTGGCACACTAGTAGCTCATGGCAGCCTTGAACTCCTGGGCTCAAGCAAGCCTCCTGCCTCAGCCTACGAGTAACTGGGACTTATAAGAATGTGCCACCACACTTAGCTATTTTTTTACATTCTTTCTGAACACAGAGTTTTGGTAAGTTTCCCAGGCTGGTTTTGAACTCCTGGCCTCAAGCATTCCTTCTGCCTCGGCCTCCCAAAGTGCTGGGATTATAGGTGTGAGCCACAGAACCCAGCCTATGCCCTATTTGAATAGGGAAACCTGCTTTATGGTGTGATAGCCTGTGGAAAGGGACTGCAGTTTAAGTGATGATTGGTGTGAAGGATAGTGAGACTTTCATGATAACTCCTAGTTCATTTTCCTGATTTTGGCTGCTTCTGCTGAAACTCCAAGTGTATCTCTGGCCCATGTTATTTTAAAAGGCAAGCTTCTAGAGAGGTGAACATGGGGAGAACATGGAAACAACAACAAAAAAAGCTGAGCTGCTCCTGGCTAACATGGTGAAACCCCGTCTCTACTAAAAATACAAAAAAATTAGACGGGCGTAAAAAAAAGACTCCGTCTCAAAAAAAAAAAAAAAAAGGCTGAGCTGCACAAAGTCAGCAGGGAACGGTTTTCCCAGCTGGAAAAGAGGAATTGCTTCTGCCTTTCCAGTTATTCAGCACGTCTGTAGGCACACATGATGATTCTGCAAAAACGTTTACCTATTCTACACCTACACATTTTCCAAATCCTGCTCATGCTGCATATTCAAACTACACAAGTTTGGCTCTTTTTTTTTTTTTTTTTTTTTTTTTTTTGAGACGGAGTCTTTCTCTGTCGCCCAGGTTGGAGTGCAGTGGCGCGATCTCGGCTCACTGCAAGCTCCGCCTCCCGGGTTCACGCCATTCTCCTGCCTCAGCCTCCCGAGTATCTGGGACTACAGGCGCCCGCCACCACGCCCGGCTAATTTTTTGTATTTTTAGTAGAAACTGGGTTTCACTGTATTAGCCAGGATGGTCTCGATCTTCTGACCTCGTGATCCACCCACCTCGGCCTCCCAAAGTGCTGGGATTACAGGCATGAGCCACCGCGCCCACCCGAAGAATATTTTACTTTTTTTTTTTTTTTTGAGACGGAGTCTTGCTCTGTCACCCAGGCTGGAGTGCAGTGGCGAGATCTCAGCTCACTGCAACCTCTGCCTCCTAGATTCAAGCGATTCTCCTGCCTCAGCCTCCTGAGTAGCTAAGGTAACAGGTGCATGCCACCACACCTGGCTAATTTTTTGTATTTTTAGTAGAAACTGGGTTTCACTGTATTAGCCAGGATGGTCTCAATCTCTTGACCTCGTGATCCACCTGCCTCGGCCTCCCAAAGTGCTGAGATTACAAGCGTGAGCCACCGCGCCTGGCCAAGTTTGGCTCTTTAAGGCCAGGTGAGTTTTAAACTTCACTAAACAACTTTTTTAGGAAAACCCACCACTTACTGTCTGTGTATCCTTAGTGCCTAGATCAGTGCAGGCATAAGTAGGCATTTTAAAAGTTGAATAATACTTGATCCCCTCACCTTCTCATTCAGAGCAGGGACCTTTGCTTACCCTGCAGTGTTAGGCCCTTACTCAACCCTACATACCTACGCTAGCTAGCTACATTCTCTGCCTACCTTGATACAAAGGAGCATAGGAACCATTACTGAAGCACTATAGGAACCTATGTAAGAGTTCATTTTGGGGGGGTGTGTTTTCTTGTTTATAAATGCAATATGCAATTCAAGCTTTCCTAGAGAATTTAGACAATATTTTTAAAATTCAGAAAATATTGACTCCTTTGAAATCTGACCACCAGGAAGGCCGGGCACGGTGGCTCACGCATGTAATCCCAGCACCTTGGGGGGCCGAGGCAGGCGGATCACGAGGTCAGGAGTTCAAGCCTTGCCAACATGGTGAAACCCCGTCTCTACTAAAAATACAAAAATTAGCTGGGCATGGTGGTGCGCGCCTGCAGTCTCAGCTACTTGGGAGGCTGAGGCAGGAGAATCACTTGAACTGGGACCTGGGAAGCAGAGATTGCAGTGAGCCGAGATCGTGCCACTGCACTCCAGCCTGGCCTACAGAGCGAGACTCCATCTCAAAAAAAAAAAAAAAAAAAAAAAAAAAAAAAGAAATCTGACCACCCAGAAATACTGCTATTAACATTTTGATGACCATTCTATCAGATACTTGGCATTTATACCTACTCGTGCCTGTTTACATATAAAATTTTGAAAGATTTTACAAACATGCTGTTTTGCAACCTGCTCTTTTAAAAAGCATTGATATATTCTATATCAATGAATATACATATTTTAAATAACTATTTTAATGCATCATTATTCATTTAACCAATTTCCTGTTGATAGGCATTTTGATCTTTTGGGTTTTATAACCAGGCTATAAATATTCTTACATGTCTCTCTTTACATCTGTCCATTTGGGTAGATTCCTATATTTGGAATGTTTGGGTAAGAAGGTACATACTTTTTACATTATTGATGAGAAATGAGGGGTCTGTAGGAAGGTGGTAATTTACAGTGGGGGCCTACTCATAGCCATCCTGGGCCTTCTGATTTCTACTTCAACCTCCATCTTAAGATGGTTACTATGTGAACCAGATAGGTAAATTTTTGCAGTGTTTTAAAACTGGATCTCTCTGTTGGTCCCATTGCAGTGTCTCTCCTTACCATTAGCAAACTTGTTAGCCTTCATTATTTTGTTTTCCATGTATAGATCATCACCATCACTATCCAAGTATAATATTGCTACATTGAAGTTTATTTTGCATGTGAGCAGAGTGTCCTTATGTCTAGAGAATGCCAAGGAAATACTGGGCCCCTGACGCTTAGCCACTGTGGTGAACTCTCAGTGCGATCTGGAAATTGAGATCTTAACCCCTTTGTGTGGGAAAAACAGCATTGGCCTTTGAGTGTTTCACATGATTTATCAAATATTTTTTATTACCATTATAACCAGTTAAGTGGCTTGTGTTACTAAATAACAAATTCAATTATCTCATGTTTACCTTTTTGTTTATTTGTTTGTTTTAAGACAGAGTCTCACTCTGTCACCCAGGCTGGAATGCAATGGCATGCTCTGGGCTCACCGCAACCTCCTCCTCCCGGGTTCAAGCGATTCTCCTGCCTCAGCCTCGCGGGTAGCTGAGACTACAGGCATGTGCCACCACATCCGGCTAATTTTTGTATTTTTATTAGAGATAGGGTTTCACCATGTTGGCCAGGCTGGTCTCAAACTCCTGACCTCATGATCTGCCCGCCTCAGCCTCCCAAAGTGCTGGGATTACAGGTGTGAGCCACCGCACCTGGCCTCATGCTTACCTTTTAAGAGAGTCTGGGTTAGGCCAGGCCCTGTGGCTCACGGCTGTAATCCCAGCACCTTGGGAAGCTGAAGCGGGCAGATCATTTGAGCCCAGGAGTTCAAGACCAGCCTGGGCAATATGGCAAAACCTCATTTCTACAAAAAATTCAAAAATTAGCCAGGCATGGTGGTACACACCTGTGGTCTCAGCTACTTTGCAAGCTGAGGTTTGAGGATTGCTTGAGCCAGGGAGGTTGCGGCTGTAGTGAACCGTGATCATGCCACTGCACTCCAGCCTGGGTGATGGAAGACTGTGTCTTAAAAAGAGAGTCTGAGTCATCTCAGACTATATAAATACCTATTTTGTTATGTTCAGACTTCCTTCAGCCTCAGATTGATAGCTTATCTTCACAGTTTAGAATATAGATCTGTAAGTGCTGCCAAGGTGGTTGACCCAGGAGCTAGGGCAGAACCATCTGCATTCATTTCTTTGGGGCTTTGGACTGGCCCAGAAGAGTATTCAGTGAATGAAATAGCTCTGAAGAGGAACAACCCGGTTTCTAAATTCAAGCCTTCCCATGGAGGGAATTTTTTGTCTTAGTAAATACTACAAGCATATAGTTTTTAAAAGATTCAAATTTTTCAGGAGAAAAGGATAGTTATTTGCACCCATTTCCTAGTCGGTCATTTGCCCTCTCCAAAGGGAAGAAATTAGTTTGTGTCCCTTTTTCAAAGATAGTATCTACACATTTGAACATCCAGATTTGTAAAACACATACTCTCGGCCGGGTGCGGTGGCTCACACCTGTAATCCTAGCACTTTGAGAGGCGGAGGCGGGTGGATCACGAGGTCAGGAGATCGAGACCATCCTGGCCAACACGGTGAAACCCCTATCTCTACTAAAAGTACAAAAATTGGCCGGGTGTGCTGGCGTGCGCCTGTAGTCCCAGCTACTTGGGAGGCTGTGGCAGGAGAATCTCTTGAACCCGGGAGGCGGAGGTTGCAGTGAGCCGAGATGGCGCCACTGCACTCCAGCCTGGGCAAGAGAGCCAGACTCCGCCTCAAAAAAACAAAACAAAACAAAAAAACAAAAACATACTCTCTTCTTTACATTGCTTAGTGTCACTAGAAATATATCTTGGGGCTTGTCAACGATGACAGGAAGGAAGCATGGGTAAGAATAACTATGGGGCCAGTGCACCCAGGATCACGGACTACAAAATTCTTGAACCCGGAGGTCACACTTTTCTATCCTGTGTGGACAGGGCATTTCCTCCTTTAGCCACAAAGAAGTTGCACATGTATTTGTATTTTGCGTTTGCATCCAGCTTCAAAAAGTGTGTTTTTGTGCCTGCACATGTCTGAGTGCGGATGTTTGCATATCATTTAGTACGCCTCTGTGATTTCCCTTAGTTTATTATTTTTCTGTGTCAGGATCTTGACGTGACTCGGTGCATGTCGCTGTTTGTGTGACATTGTGTATCATTCTTGGGGTGTGTATGGGTATGTGTGTGCTATGTCATTACCTAAATATTACGTTTTTGGGGGGGTGTGTGATGTCTGTGAAAGTCCACGCCTGTGTATCTTGTCAGGGTGCTCTTCAGTCCCCAGCTGCCTCACTCATTGCATATCATCATTCTCGGAAGATGGGCGGGTGTGGGAACAGTGGTACGCCCCCATTCCTGCCTTCCAGAGAGAACGTGCGACAGCGTTCCTGCTACACCCGGCAGCCGGCCGTAGGGGCGCGCTGGAAAGGCTGCTGCGCGTGCACACGTGTGCAGCCTTGGAGACAGACTTCGGGGTCGCGCGTTCTCGCGCGCGCTCTCTAGTGGCTTCGGAGGGCAGAGCTGACAGAACAAGAGGGCGGGGTTGGCGGCGACGGAAGTGAAGTCACTTCCGGGCTGGGGTGTTTGTTTGGACTGGAGAAGGGAGGCGGCGGGCGAAGCGCACGTCGAGCGGGGGAGCGGCGCTGCCTGTGGAGATCCGCGGAGGCCGACAGGATTCGTTGGCTGCCGTCCCCGCTGCTGTGCATTGGGTGAGGGGTCCTCTCGGGCAGAGTGGCGACAGGGGTGCGGAGGTCGAGGGACAGCAAGTCGGCGACGGCAGAGGGGCCTAAAGGGTTCCCTGGGTGGTTGGCCACCGAGTCCATTGCGGCCTCCGTTGTTCATTGCCTCTTTCCACCAAGTCTGAGGGATGAGCTTGGGCCGACTTCGTCTCTGTCTTCTCCGAGACATGGCCGTCGCTTTTTTTTCATTGTCATTATTAATGATTTGGATCTCGCAGCTCTCTATCCGGGTCCTCAGTGGCGCGAGGGTTGCCGGGATAGCACTTTCTCCTGTTCCTCATTCTCCCGGTCCTTTATCCCTCCGCCGGGTACCCTTTCCCCTGCCCCCCTCCCACCGCCTCGGCAACAAAGCTTATTGTTTCTACCCACTTTACGCCTGCGCGTCGCCACGCGCAGCCCCTACTTGCTGCGCGTGCGCGCCTCAGCCGAGGCTGGGGTTTGGGGAGAGAGGGGCGGAGGGACTGGCGGGCTCTTGGCGTCTTGGGGGAACGCTGCAACCGTCGACGGGCCTGATCAGAAGATCGTCTTTCTCCCGTTTCTTCGCCATCGCTACCCCTTATTTTTGGTTGTATTGCAGCTCATGCCCTGGAAAAAAGAACCTTTGGGGTACTGGGAACCCTTACCCTAGGAGGGCGTTGAGTTAGATGAACTTTAAGGTCCTCTTACCTTTTAATAATTTTCTGTGCTTACTCTCCTCCTTCCCCACCATCGCCACCAGAAATAAATAAGGCTTGTGGTGAACTTAGGTCTTCAAAACATTTGTTGCAGCAGCCAGCAGTGATATTTTTTAGGGACTCCTAAAAGGGGTCTTACCTGCTTCCTTTTGTTTCTTTTTTCCCTGATTTGGCACCCGTATCAACTCATAAAAACCCCAAACTCTAGAAAGAATTTGGCTTCCAATTTGCCTTGGAAGGTGTAGCAGCTGACAGCCTTTGACGTTTATTTCAACGGAAAGTAGATGTTCATGTTGGGTGTGCTGGCTAATGTTGAAACGTGGTGGCATTGTTTTTTCACAGATTTCATTAGCACAGTTAGATCAGGTGTTGGTTTATATTTTCATTAAGTCGCTTTTGAAATTTCTTCTGGCGTAGGTTGTGTTTGCAATAAGTAAAAGTTCTCTACAATAATTTTTAATGAGACTCCACTATTTGCTTTTGTGATTCTGTTTCCAGTTAGTGAAAGACAGGATATTTGGGGAAAATTAGTCTGTTTATACTACTTGTCAGTTGTGAACTTGAATAAAACTTTTTCACACACACACAAAATCACAGGATAGGTAACTTGACAAGAACTATAGAACCCACTTGTGTTTCTTTAAGGGATGGAGGTTAGGGAATGGAGATTTCCTCTAATGATTCAAGGCTGTGCACGTTGCTCCTTAGGAACTCAAATTGAGGTAGGTAATTTCACCCTCTTTTGGTCAGAATGAGTTTATAGCAGGCTTTTCCTTAAATAAGCACTCTGCACTTTATTCAGGTTTATCACTTTATGACTCTAGAGTGTGATGCTCCAGTTTTAGTGAAAAACTTGAACACTTAGCACAGCAATTTGGTTGATACTGTGGGAGATTAAAGAATGTGGAAGGCAAGACCTCTGCCCCCTTGTAATCTAATAACCTTTTGTGCTTTTAAAACATTTTCTTGTAATTTACATCCTATTGTCATTCATTATCATGAAACGTGAAATGGGCAGAGCAAGTTTTTTTTTTTTTTTTTTTTTGAGATGGAGTCTCACTCTGTCGCCAGGCTGGAGTGCTGGAGTGCAGTGGCGCAATTGGCTCACTGCAACCTCCGCCTCCCCGGGTTCAAGCGATTCTCCTGCCTCCGCCTCCCTAGTAGCTGGGACTACAGGCGCTTGCCACCACGCCGGCTAATTTTTTGTATTTTTAGTAGAGACAGGGTTTCACCGTGTTAGCCAGGATGGTCTCGATCTCCTGACTTTGTGATCCGCCCCCGTCGGCCTCCCAACAGAGCAAGTTTTATCTTGCCCATTTGGGAATTAAAGAAATAGAAGCCTGAAAGATTATTTTTATTTAGCAAATATTTATATAACAATAATGCCAGGCATTGTTCTCATTGCCTTTACAAATATTAACTAATTTGATCCACAACATAGCTAGAAGGTAGGCCCTACTGTAAAATGAAGATAACAAATGAGACGTGAAGTAACTTTCCCAATGTCACAGAGCTATGATAGTCGGAATTCAAATCCAGATAGTCCAGAGATTCTATGCTCTTAACCATTATGTGGTGCTGTGTGATTTAGTGACAGGTCTAGGGTACTTTAAGGTGGCTATGTAGCATAGCTGGGATTTGAACCTACGTCTTCTGACTGTGGTCTAAGATTAAAGTTGTCCAAGTCATTGCCTTTGTGATCTAGACCACCTGTTGCACAGGTGCATGAATAGTTTGCATTTGATATAGGCTAAGGTTCAGTTCCAAAAAACTCCCTTTTTTCTTAATTTTTTCATTGTTTAGAGTGGTGCTGTCCAATGATGTAGGTACTGTGTGTGGTTATGAGCACTTGAGATGTGGCTAGTGTAAATGAAGAACTAAATTTTAATTAAATAGATCTGTGTAGCCGATGGCCACCATATTGGATGGGCACACGTTTGGAGAATTTGAATAGCCTCTGCTTCTTATATCAGTTTGTATAAATTTGGGTGGCATTTCTAATGTACTTGAGCTTTTATCAGTTAGGATGACCCATTCTTGCTCTCACCTAATTACCCTTGTTACACTACAGTTGAGATTAGGGTAGACTTTGGGATTTTCTTGTGACATTGTTTCACCTCTGTAGATTTAAGATCTCTAATTTTTACCTTGTCCCTTGGTCTAGAGACCTTTAACTGCCCTAAATATTTAATCACCGAGATAGTTAATGCCAATTGTTATGTGCTAGGTTCTCTAACTAGGTACTATTATTAATTCCCATGCAACAGATGAGGAAACCGAGACTCAGGTTAAGTAACTTGCCATGGTCACACAGTTAGTAAAGCAGCCTGGTTCCAGAGCCCATGGGTTTTTGTTGTTGTTGTTGTTGTTGTTGTTTTTGAAACGGAGTCTTGCTCTGTTGCCCAGGCTGGAGTGCAGTGGCGCGATCTCGGCTCACTGCACGCTCCACCTCCAGGGTTCATGCCATTCTTCTGCCTCAGCCTCCTGAGTAGCTGCACCCGACACCACACCTGGCTACTTTTGTTTTTGTATTTTTAATAGAGACGGGGTTTCACCGTGTTAGCCAGGATGGTCTCGATCTCCTGACCTCGTGATCCAACGGCCTTGGCCTCCCAAAGTGCTGGGATTACAGGTGTGAGCCACCGCGCCCAGCCCAGAGCCCATGTTTTTTAATCGTTACCTTACTGTGCCAAATAGTAAAACAAAAAATTCGGTGCTTTTCACAGACTTCAGAGTGGAAAACAGACCAATTGAAAAATGTTGCGATCCTCTTTAACTGCCAAAGGAAGTATGCTTAAACGTATATATGCGTAAAATACGATTAAAAAATATGCAAATAAGGTAAGGATCACAGTGGTTCAAAACAGAGTCCAAGGGAATGAGAAAAGATGGTGCCTATGGAGGTAGATTAATGAAAGAAACAGAAGAGAACTATGCTTGAATTTTTTTTTTTTTTTTTTTGAAACGGAGTCTTGCTCTGTTGCCCAGGCCTGAGTGCAGTGGCATGATCTCATTTCACTGCAAGCTCCACCTCCCGGGTTCATGCCATTCTCTTGCCTCAGCCTCCTGAGTAGCTGGGACTACAGACGCTTGCCACCATGCCTGGCTAATTTTTTGTATTTTTAGGAGAGATGGGGTTTCACCGTGTTAGCCAGGATGGTCTCAATCTCCTGACCTTGTGATCCGCCCACCTCGGCCTCCCAAAGTGCTGGGATTACAGGCGTGAGCCACCGCACCAGGCCTATATTTGAATTTTAATGAGAATTCTTAAAAGATGAAACTAGTGGAGAAAGATTGTAAAACCTAAAAGATTTCTGTATTTTAAAATTCCATAGACAATATAAAAGGACACTGCTGGAAACCAATATGTCTAAGAGGCATTTCAGGAGGGGAAAAACAGCTGAAGACACAATAAAGCCCTAAGTTGATAAATTGAAAGGGTTTGCTGACTTCCAGGCAGTAGTACTGGGAAAAAATTGCTCTTACCTATCCAAAATCTGGTGAAATATATGAATTTGTTAAAACATCTTAAGCTGTCGTCTAGAACAGGATTTTTAAATTTTTATTTATTTTTTTGAGACGGAGATTTGCTCTGTCACCAGGCCGGAGTGCAGTGGCGCAATCTTGGCTCACTGCAACCTCCGCCTCCCAGGTTCCAGTGATTCTCCTGCCTCAGCCTCCCCAGTAGCTGGGACTACAAGCATGTGCCACCACGCCCAGCTAATGTTTGTATTTTTAGAGACGGGGTTTCACCATGTTGGCCAGGATGGTCTCAATCTCTTGACCTCATGATCCACCCCCTTGGCCTCCCAAAGTGTTGGGATTACAGGCGTGAGCCACCGCACCTGGCCTATTTTTATTTTTTGAGATGCAGTCTCCCTCTGATGCTCAGGTTGGAATGCAGTGGCACCATCTCAGCTCACTGCAACCTCTGCCTCCCAGGTTCAAGCAATTCTCCTGCCTCAGCCTCCCGAGTAGCTGGGACTACAAGCGTGCACCTCCATGTCCAGCTAATTTTTGCATTTTTAGAGACGGGGTTTCGCCCAAGTTGGCCAGGATGGCCTCAATCTCTTGACCTCGTGATCCACCCCCTTTGGCCTCCCAAAGTGCTGGGCGTGAGCTGCTGCGCCCAGCTTATTTTTATTTTTTGAGATGCAGTCTCAGTCTGTTGCTCAGGCTGGAATGCACCATCTCAGCTCACTGCAACCTCTGCCTCCCAGGTTCAAGCAGTGCTCCTGCCTCAGGCTCCCGAGTAGCTGGGACTACAGCTGTGCGCCACCATGCCTGGCTTAGTTTTTGTATTACTAGAGATGGGGTTTCACCATGTTGGCCAGGGCCGGTCTCAAACTCCTCACCTCAAGTGATCCACCTCCCTTGGCCTCCTAAAGTGCTAGGATTATAGGTGTGAGCCACTGCACCCAGCCTAGAACAGGATTTTTAAAAGGAAAGAAAATTGATTTTCTACAACATTGAAAGTTGGAATTATTGACAATAGATTATCAACAGGAAGCACAGACATCTCAGAATTCTGTTACAACTAATTTTTTTTTTAGCACATTTACATGGAAATACTCATGTTACAACTTTTTTTTTTTTTTTTTTTTTTTAAGACACAGTTCCGCTCTGTCGCCCAGGCTGGAGTGCAGTGGCGCGATCTTGGCTCACTGCTACCTCCACCTCCCGAGTTCAAGCGATTCTCCTGCCTCAGCCTCCTGAGTAGCTGACACTACAGGCGCCCACCACCATGCCCGGCTAATTTTTGTATTTTTGGTAGAGGCAAGGTTTCACCATATTGGCCGGGCTTTTCTAGAACTCCTGACCTCAAATGATCCACCCACCTTGGCCTCCCAAAGTGGTGGGATTACAGGCCTGAGCCACCACGCCAGGCCATACAACATTTTTATTCAAACATGAAGGCAAAAGATGTTTTGTAGCATTAGGAGATACACCTAATGCTAAATGACGAGTTAATGGGTGCAGCACACCAGCATGGCACATGTATACATATGTAACTAACCTGCACATTGTGCACATGTACCCTAAAACTTAAAGTATAATAATAATTTTTAAAAAACTGTGGTACATCCATAAAAAAAAAAAAGATGTTTTGGACACTGGCTTAGAATGATAAATCCTCAGGTAGCCTTTTGAACTATTTTACAAAGATAGGAAGTTAGGGGAAGATGATGAATATAAGAAACAACTCGGCCAGTGTGGTGGCTCATATCTGTAATCCCAGCACTTCGGGAGGCCGAGGTGGGCGGATCACCTGAGTTCAGGAGTTCTAGACGAGCCTGGCCAACATAGTGAAACCCCATCTCTACTAAAAATACAGAAATTAGCCAGGCACAGGCATGGTGTTACACACTTGTAATTCCAGCTACTCAGGAGGCAGAGGTTGCAGTGACCCGAGATCGTGCAGCTGCACTTTAGCCTGGGCAACAGAGTGAGACTCCATGTCAAAAAAAAAAAAAAAAAAACTACGAGTGATGAATTTATTTATTTATTTATTTATATTTTTTGAGACAGGGTCTTGCTGTGTCACCCAGGCTGGGGTGCAGTGGCGTGATCTTGGCTCACTGCAGCCTCTGCCTCCCAGGCTCGAGCAATTCTCCTGCTTCAGCCTTCTGAGTAGCTGGGACAACAGGGGACCACCACCAAGCCTGGCTAATTTTTTTTTTTTTTTTTGAGACGGAGTCTCACTCTGTCGCCCAAGTTGGAGTGCAGTGGCGTAGTCTCAGCTGACTGCAAGCTCTGCCTCCCGGGTTCACGCCAATTTCCTGCCTCGGCCTCCTGAGTAGCTGGGACTACAGGTGCCTGCCACCATACTTGGCTAATTTTTTTTTGTATTTTTAGTAGAGATGGGGTTTCACCGTGTTAGCCAAGATGGTCTAGATCTCCTGACCCCATGATCTGCCCACCTCGGCCTCCCAAAGTGCTGGGATTACAGGCGTGAGCCACTGTGCCTGGCCACGCCCAGCTAATCTTTGTATCTTTTTTTTTTTTTTTTAAAGTCAGAGTTTCACTCTTATTGCTTAGGCTGAAGTGCAGGACACAGTCTTGGCTCACTGCAACCTCTGCCTCCCAGGTTCAAGCAATTCTCCTGCCTCAGCCTCCCCAGTAGCTGGGATTACAGGTGCCTGCCACCACACCCAGCTAATTTTTGTATTTTTAGTAGAGACGGTTTCGCCATGTTGGCCAGGCTAGTCTTGAACTCCTGACCTCAGGTGATCTGCCTGCCTCAGCCTCCCAAAGTGCTGGGATTACAAGCGTGAGCCACTGTGCATGGCCTGAGTGATGAATTTAGTAAAATATAAATGGATGATAATGTGTATTGTCAAGTATTCAATTCAAAAATTATTTTAAAACATAGTAAGAGAAAACCTAATAGTAGGAATCTACCAGTGCTAACTTCCACAAAACTGAAGATTGGGGAGGGAAGAAGTGTGTAAGTAAAATAATTTTAAAGGGCTTGCCTTGGCTCAGAGTAAGCATTGGGTTGGGTATATTGGAGAAGGAAAGGCATTCTAAATGGATGTATAGAGTTGTTTTTTGCTGTTGTTGTTGTTGTTGTTTTTCTCTGAGACGGAGTCTCGCTCTGTCGCCCAGGCTGGAGTACAGTGGTGTGATCTTAGCTCACTGCAACCTCCGCCTCCTGAGTTCAAGCAATTCTCCTGCCTCAGCTTCCTGACTAGCTAGAACTACAAGCTCACACCACCATGCCTGGCTAATTTTTGTATTTTTAGTAGATACCGGGTTTCGCCATGTTGGCCAGGATGGTCTCGATCTCCTGACCTTGTGATCCACGCGCCTCAGCCTCCCAAAGTGCTGGGATTACAGGCATGAGCCACTGCCTCCTGCCCTTGGAGTACATTTTTAATTGATAGGAAAATAGTTAAAGTTATTAAGTGTAGGAAAATAAACGCTATAGAAAAGAAATAGTTAATAGAACATTTGAAAAAGCATAAGAAAAGTAAACATGAAATTATTATGAAAGACATAAAACGAAACATCAGTTATCAAAAATGTTAATTCCTGGCTGGGCACAGTGTCTCACACCTGTAATTCCAGCACTTTGGGAGGCTGAGATAGGTGGATCACAAAGTCAAGAGATTGAGACCATCCTGGCCAACATGGTGAAACCCCGTTTCTACTAAAAATACAAAAGTTAGCTGGACATGGTGGCGTGCACCTGTGATCCCAGCTACTCGGGAGGCTGAGGCAGGAGAATCACTTGAACGCGGGAGGCAGAGGTTACAGTGATCCGAGATTGCGCCACTACACTCCAGCCTGGCGACAGAGTGAGACTCTGTCTCAAAAAATAAAAATAAGAAATAAAAGTTAGCCAGGTGTGGTGGCGGGCGCCTGTAATCCCAGCTACTCTGGAGGCTGAGGCAGGAGAATTGCTTGAACCCTGGAGGCAGAGACTGCAGTGAGCTGAGATCGCGCCACTGCACTCCAGCCTGGGCAGCAAAGGCGAGACTCTGTCTCAAAAAAAAAAAAAAAAAGTTAATTCCTTATGAGACAGAAATTCTCAGACTGGGTCACATATTCTATCTACTGTAGTAGAGGACTTGGATAAACCACTTTCAGAATTGACCAGATTAAGTAAAAAAGATGAGTGTAATATATACATCATTCTTGTACTTTAGAAATAGAAATCACAGGCCAGGGGCGGTGGCTCATGCCTGTAATCCCAGCACTTTGGGAGGCCGAGGTGGGCGGATCATGAGGTCAGGAGTTGGAGACCAGCCTGGCCAACATGACAAAACCCCATGTCTACTAAAAATGCAAAAATTAGTGTGTCATGGTGGCATGCGCCTGTAGTCCCAGCTACTCGGGAGGCTGAGACAGGAAAAGCACTTAAACTCAGGAGGTGGAGGTTGCAGTGAGCCGAGATTGTGCCACTGCACTCCAGCCTGGGTGACAGAGTGAGACTCTGTCTCAAAAAAATAAATAAATAAATAAATAAAAAATTGAAATAGTTGAGGTTGAAAGATCATACCTGCAACTTATCAAATGGTTAAGCAAAAAAAAAGAAGAAAAAAATAGAGAAAACAGGCAAAAGACTGATGAATCTAGATGAAAGGTTTGTGCTCCTTGTCCTCTTTCAGTTTTTGATATTGGTATAGAAATACACAATTACAGAATAAAGAATCTCAGAATAGATTCAGACAAATGGGAATTCAATTATGATAAACATGAGGAATAAGCTTTCATTAGTGGGGGATGATGTAATTTATATGGAGAAATATAGATCCTTCACATATTCAAATGTTCACATGAACTAAAGATTTAAATATAAAAACTTGAAACTATAAAAATATTGAGAGAAAATACAGGAAATATAATCTCAATGTGGGAAAAGACTTCCCAGAAGCTGTAAAGGAAAACAAATGTCATTTTTAGCTCATCTGATTGCAAAAATAAAATACAATACATATATAATATCTGGGATTGTTGAAGATGCAGCAAAATGGATGCACCCAAACAGTATAATAGGAATGCGTATTGCCACATTTTTATAAATAATCTGTCATCTCTTACAGTTAAAATGCAATGGCCCTTGACACAGTTATTCCCACTTACAGGAATATATCCTATACGAAGCACTACTACCTTGTCTCTACTAAAAAAAAAAAAGAGTGATCATAGCAAGATTGTGTGTAATGGCAAAAAGTGGGAACATAAATGTACATCAGAAGGGGGTGGTTGAATAAGTGGTGTTGTATCCATTAAAAAGTGAAGTATACCAATACCTGTTGACTAGGGAAGATTTTATGTAATGTATTTAATATAATTCTGTTAAAATACAGAAATGCTTTATGTGTGTTTATATAAACAAAGAATTATGAAAGGATACATATTAAGCTGTTAACATTGATGAATTACCTCTATGATAGGATCGGAGAGGGAAAAACTATATACGCTTTAGACGTTTGTATACCTAACTTTTTTTCTTTTTTTTTGTAAGTAGTGTGTACTTTTTACATTCATCCCTGTCACTCTTTTTTTGAGAGATGGGGTCTTGCTGTATCACCCAGGCTGGAGTGCAGTGGTGCAATCATGGTTCAAGTAATCCTCCTGTCTCAGCTTTCCAAGTAATTGGGTCTACAGGTGAACACCACCATGCCCAGCTAATTAAAAATGTTTTTTGTATAGATGGGCTCTTGGTATGTTTCCCACACTGATCTTGAATTCCTGACCCCAAGTGATCCTCCCGCATCGGCCTACACTTCAATGCTTGCTTTCCTAACAAAATTGATCCTAAATTTGTGCAAAGACCCTGCTGTCCAAAAATTTTCAAATGAATACTGAAAGCATAAAGTGAAAAATTACTGTTTATGACAGGTTGAGCATCCCAGTTTGAAAATTTGATATCTGAACTGTTCCAAAGTCCAGAACTTTTTGAATGCCAACATGACACTCAAAATTTCAGATTTGGGATTCTCAACTGCAAGTATAATACAGTATTCCAAAATCTGAAAAAAAAAAAAACACCAAAACACTTCTGGTTCTAAGCATTTTGGATAATCACATTTATTTTGTGATTTTCACTAGGGAAATCTGATTTACAAGTATTTTAATGACTACTAGATACATTAAGCTAGTTTTTCTGAGTTAGTCTTGCCGTGTTATGAAGACGTGTTATCTCCTTTGCATGAGATTAATACTGAACATTTTTTATTTTTGATATATTTTCTGACAGTTTTAGGGTTTTAAAGCATAACATGCCTTGAAACAAATACAGGCTGTAAAAAACCTGGGGAAAAAATATTGGCTTTCTCAGTTAATTCCTGCCAGTTTTTTTTTTGTTGTTTTTTTTTTTTGAGATGGAGTTTCGTCCTTGTTGCCCAGGCTGGAGTGCAATGGAGTGATCTTGGCTCACCGCAACCTCTGCCTCAGCCTCCCGAGTAGCTGTGATTACAGGCATGTGCCACCACGCCCGGCTACTTTTGTGTTTTTAGTAGAGACAGGGTTTCTCCATGTTGGTCAGGCTGGTCTCAAACTCCTGACCTCAGGTGATCTTCCTGCCTCAGCCTCCCAAAGTGCTGGGATTACAGGCATGAGCCACCACGCCCAGCCTACCTGCCAGTTTTATAGTGGGTCAGAATGAGGCATGAGCCAAAGATAAGATAGTAACAGATGAGGCTGGGTGCGTTGGCTCACGCCTGTAATCCAGCACTTTGGGAGGCCAAAGTGGGCAGATCACCTGAAGTTGGGAGTTTGAGACCAGCCTGACCAACGTGGAGAAACTCCCGTCTCTACTAAAAATACAAAGTTAGCCGGGCGTGGTGGAGCATGCCTGTAATCCCAGCTGCTCCGGAGGCTGAGGCAGGACAATCGTTTGAACCCAGGGGAGATGGAGGTTGTGGTGAGCCATTGCACTCCAGCCTGGGCAACAAGAATGAAACTCTGTCTCAAAAAAAAAAAAAAGTAACAGCTGAGTATAGTCAGCCTCTCAGTTTTGTGTTTTTTGTTTTCCTCTGTGACTTATTTGTACCAGAGTTTGTTTTTTTACTGTATTGTTAAGTCATTGTCTGTTTTCGGTCCTTAAAAGTCATTCAAGCAAATTAGGGCCTTCTTTTGTGTTTCCAGCATTTCCTCTAAGTTTTAATTATTTTTGTTCTGGAGAAAAGCATTCTCTCAGCCAGGGGAGACTCTCAACATATATAGGTTTGAGCTCATTGACTCTTAGGATGTTAAAGACATTTGTTTCTGGCTATTTCTGAATAGGATGATGATATACCCCAGCTGTTGTACACATTTTTACTGTGTATTATTTTCTTAAGGGTTACCCTGGAGGTTATAATTAACATCTTAGTTTGTAACAATTCAGTTTGAGTTAATATCAGCTTAGTTTCAAGTGTATCCAAAAGACTATATAGCTTCCTGTCGCCCACCATTATTACATTTGTAATAATGTAATTACAAAATAATTACATGTCTTTTGTAATTTGTTACTACAAAATACATCTTTATACATTGTATGTCCATTAACATAGATTTATAATTCTTATATTATGCATTGTCTTTTCTTTTTTTTTTTTAAGGCAGAGTCTCACTGTTGTTGGCCCAGGCTGGAGTGCAGTGGCGCTGTCTCGACTCACTGTACCCTCTGCCTCCCGGGTTCCAGCAGTTCTCCTGCCTCAGCCTCCCGAGTAGCTGAGATTACAGGTGCCTGCCACCACACCCACCTAATTTTTTTGTATTTTTAGTAGAGACGGGGTTTTGCCATGTTGGCCAGGCTGGTCTCGAACTCCTGACCTCAGGTGATCCACCCACTTCGGCCTCCCAAAGTGCTGGGATTACAGGCATGAGCCACTGTGCCCAGCCTTATCTTTTAAATAATGCAGAAAGAAAGAGGAGTAATAAGCCAAAATATGTTATTACAGACTTTTGTGACTACCTGTATAAGTTACTTTTACTGGCATTTTAATTTTGTGTGGATTCAATTTAATGTCTGTAGAGTTCTTTCATTTCAGCCTGAACGACTCACTTTAGCTTTTCTTATAGGACAGGTCTACTAGTGACAAACTCTGTCCATTTTTTCTTATCTGGCAGTGACTTAATTTCTCCTTCATTTTTGAAAGGGTAGTTTTGCCAGATAAAGAATTCTTAGTTCGATTTTTTTTTCTTTCAGCATTTTGAATATGTTACCTTCTGACCTCCATGGTTTCTGGTGAGAAATCAGCTGTTAATCTTATTGAGGATCCCTTGTATGTAATGAGTTGCTTCTCTTGGTGTTTTCAAGATGCTCTCTTTGTCTTTCAACAATTCGATTGTAATGTGTATTGGTACGGGTCATATTGAGTTTATCCTACTTTGGGTTAATTGAGCTTCTTAGATACATAGATTTGTGTCTTTTTATCAAATTTGGGGAGTTTTAGGCTGTTATCTCTTCAAATGTTTCTGAACTATTCTCCTTTTCTTCTGGTAATTCCATTGTATATATTTTGGCACAGTTGATGTCTCCTGGGTCTGTCAACGTTCTGTTCATTTTTCTTCATTTCCTCATTCTGCTTCTCAGACTGGATAAATCTCAATTGACCTTAACTTAAATTTGCTGATTCTTTTGTCTCTCTGCTCATATCTGCTGTTGAACCCCTCTAGTAAATTTTTCATTTCAGTTGTACCTTTTTTTTTTTTTTTTGAGATGGAGTCTTGCTCTGTTACCCGGGCTGGAGTGCAGTGGCGTGGTCTCAGCTCACTACAGCCTCCACCTCCAGGTTCAAGCGATACTCCTGGCTCAGCCTCCTGAGTAGCTGGGACTACAGGCACGTGCTACCACATCTGGCTAATTTTTGTACTTTTAGTAGAGACAGGGTTTCACTATGTTGGCCAGGCTGGTCTTGAACTCCTGACCTCGTGATCCTCCTGCCCCAGCCTTCCAAAGTCCCAAAGTGCTGGGATTACAAGCATGAGCCACCGCACCTGGCCCAGTTTACTTTTAAACTCCAAAATTTCTATTTGTCTCTCTCTTTTTTTTTTTTTTTTTTGGAGACAGAGTTTTCACTCTTGTTGCCCAGGCTGGAGTGCAGTGGCATGATCTCTGTTCACTGCAACCTCCACTTCTTGGGTTCAAGTGATTCTCCTGCCTCAGCCTCCCAAGTAGCTGGGATTACAGGCATGCACCCCCATGCCCAGCTAAATTTTTTGTATTTTTAGTAGAGACAGGATTTCACCATGTTGTCCAGGCTGGGCTTGAACTCCTGACCTCAGGTGATCTGCCTGCCTTGGCCTCTCAAAGTGCTGGGATTACAGGCGTAAGCCACCACGGCCCACTATTTGTCTCTACTGATATTCTCTATTTGGTGAGACATCATTCTATGGTTCCTTTTATTTTTTTCTACATGGTTTCCTTTAGCTCTTTTAACATACTTAATATACTTGATTTGAAGTCTTTGGCCAGGCACAGTGGCACTTTGGGAGGCTGATGTGGGGAGATCACCTGAGGTCAGGAGTTCGAGACCAACCTGGCCAACATGGTGAAACCCCTTCTCTGCTAAAATAATACAAAAATTAATTGGGTGTGGTGGCGGGCGCCTGTAATCCCAGCTACTTGGGAGGCTGAGGAAGGAGAATCGCTTGAACCCAGGAGGCGGAGGTTGCAGTGAGCCAAGATCAAGCCACTGCACTCCAGCCTGGGCAACACAGGGAGACTCAGTCTCAAAAAATAAATAGGCTGGGCGTGGTGGCTCACGCCTGTAATCCTAGCACTTTGGGAGGCACCTGAGGTCAGGAGTTTGAGACCAGGCTGGCCAACATGGTGAAAACCCTGTCTCTACTAAAAGCTGCAAAAATTAGCCAGACATGGTGTTGGGTGCCTGTGATCCCAGCTACTTGGGAGGCTGAGGCAGGGGAACCACTTGAACCCAGGAGGCAGAAATTGCAATGAGCTGAGATCGTGCCATTGCACTCCAGCCTGGGTGACAGAGCAAAACTCTGTCTCAAAAACGATACGTTAAATAAATAAAGTCGGCTGGGCACGGTGGCTCACGCCTGTAATACCAGCACTTTGGGAGACCAAGGCAGGCGGATCACAAGGTGAGGAGTTTGAGACTAGCCTGACCAACATGGTGAAACCCCGTCTCTACTAAAAATATAAAAATTAGCCAGGCCTGGTGGCATGCACCTGTAATCCCAGCTACTCGGGAGGCTGAGGCAGGAGAATCACTTGAACCCAGGAGGCGGAGGTTGCAGTGAGCCAAGATCGCGCCATTGCACTCCAGCCTGGGCAAAAAGAGCAAAACACTCCTCGTCAAAAATAATAAATAAATAAAGTCTTTGTCCAATGTAATATCTGGGCTCCCTTGGGGACAGTTTCTGTTAATTTATTTTTTGCCTGTGTATGGGCCATACTTTTTTATTTCTTTGCATGCCTCATAATTTTTGTTGAAAATGACATTTCGGGCTGGGCACGGTGACTTACGCCTGTAATCCCAACACTTTGAGAGAGAGTCCAAGGCGAGTGGATTATTTGATGTCAGGAGTTCGAGACCAGCCTAGCCAACATGGTGAAACCCCGTCTCTACTAAAAGTATACAGAAAATTAGCCAGGTGTGCTGGCATGCGCCTGTAGTCCCAGCTACTCGGGAGGCTGAGGCAGGAGAATCGCTTGAACCCGGGAGGTGGAGGTTGCAGTGAGCTGAGATTGAGCCACTGCACTTCAGCCTGAGTGACAGAGCAAGACTCTGTCTCCAGAAAAAAAAAAAAAAAAAAAGACATTTTGAATGATATAATGTGGCAATTCTGGAAATTAGATTCTCCCCAGGTTTGTTGCCACTTATTGTAGTTGTCATTTTAGTGCCTTTTCTGAAAGAGTTTAGTAAAATTTGTATTCTTTTTGTGTGTGTGGCCATTGAAATCTCTCTTCCATTAGCTTAGTGGTCAGCTAGTGATTTGACAGATTTTTTTTAAATGCCTTTAAGCAAAAAACAACTCCCCTAGTCTTGGTATATGGGTCCTATGGATGTGTTGAGGCACACCTTCAACAGCTCTGCCTTTGCCTTCACTTCCTGCATGGGCAGAGCCTGAGCCAGAGGTGAAAACTTAGAGCCTTTTCAGGTCTTTTCTGAACATCTGCTCAGCACTGACATGCCTATGGCTTTCTAGGACTACCAGGATATGTGGGAGCTTTTCAAAGCTCTTACTCTCAAAGCATCTCCTTCACCAGCTTTTCTTCCCAGGCTTTTTACTGTGTTGATTGTTTGCCCCGTTATTGCTACTATATTTACCCTTAACTGTTTTTGACAAATATGTGTGCTACTGCCCCACCTCACTCCCCATAGCAAACTCTTGAGCCAGTCCTTCAGGGAGCCAGGTCAAAACAACCAGAGTTTTTTGTTAATATTTATTATATTGCAGCCAGGGGCCGTGGCTCACGCCTGTAATCCAAACACTCTGGGAGGCTGAAGCGGGCGGATCACGAGGTCAAGAGATCGAGACCATCCTGGCCAACATGGTGAAACCCCGCCTCTACTAAAAATACAAAAATTAGCGGGGCATGGTGGCACGCGCCTGTAGTCCCAGCTACTTGTGAGGCTGAGGAAGGAGAATCGCTTGAACCTAGGAGGCAGAGGTTGCAATGAGCTGAGATTACGCGACTACACTCCAGCCTGGGCAACAGAGCGAGATTCCATCTCAAAAAAATAAAAATAATATTGATATTGCTACCTCCAACTTGTACCAAGAATGCAGGCTATTGTCTTCAAGGCTTACCAAGCTGCAAATGGGAGATGGCACTAGGGTAGTTTAAAATACCACAGAGGTGTTTTACCAGAATTGAACTGTTGGTTTTTTTTTTCTTAAGCATTCCTCTGGAAGTTTATCATTGCATTGGCAGTTCTTTTTAGTAGTTCTGTAGAGATAGGGGTCTCACTATGTTGCCCATGCTGGTTTTCAACAGCTGGGTCTGGAGGCCCACCTCAGACTCCCAAAGTGCTGGGCCCTGGTGCATGTTTTAGAGTCAGGCTACCTTGACTTGAATTTCAGCTCCACTGTTCACTAGTTGTGTAACCTGGAACAAGTTACTTAAGACTTAGTTCTTTGTCATGGAAATGAATTTGACCATAATCCCTACATCCACAGGACTTGTGAGTATTAAATAGATGATGACTGTAAGGCCCTTAAATGCAATACTATTGTTGCATATGTGTTTACTTTTTAAGAAAAATATATACCACATTAGCAGTGCTTACTTTTGGGAAAAGGATTGGGAGTGAGGATTGTGTCTGGTGGTGGGGAGGGAGTCAGCTACCTTTTTTACTCATTTTTTCTATCACAGTTGAAAATGTATAGCTAAAAGACTGACTAGCATTGAACACATTGGGTATATATTCAAGAGAACTGAAAACGTGCTCATATAAAAACTTGTACACAAATACCGATAACAGCATTATTAATAGCCAAAAAGTGGAAACGACTGCAGATGCTCATTAATCAGAGTAGATAAAATGTGTATCTCTATACAATGGAATATTGTTTGGCAATAAAAAGGAATGAAATGCTGATACATGCTACAACATAGGTGAACCTTGAAAACATTGTAATAAGTGAAAGAAGCCAGACATGAGAAGAGGACACATATTTTATGATTCCATTTATATGCAATGTTCAGAATAGGCAAATCTATAGAGACAGAAAGTAGACTAGTGGTTGTCCAAGTTGGGGGGCTTGGGAAATGGAGAGTGACTACAGATGGGTATGGAGTTTCCTTTTGGGGTGGTGAAAATGTTCTGGAATTAGGTAATGGTGGTGTGTTAAAACCACTGAATCAAACACTTTAAAACAGTAAATTCTTTTTTTGAGACGAGGTCTTGCTCTGTTGCCCAGGCTGGAATGCAGTGGCGTGCGATCATGGCTCTCTGCAGCCTTGACCTCGGGCTAATATGATCTTCCCACCTCACTCTCCTGAGTATCTGGGACCACAGGCGTGCACCACCACACCCAGCTAAGTTATTTGTTTGAGACAGAGTCTTACTCTGTCTCCCAGGCTGGAGAGTGCAGTGGCGCGATCTTGGCACACTGGAACCTCTACCTCCTGGGTTCAAGTGATTCTCCTGCCTCAGCCTCCTGTGTAGCTGGCATTACAGGTGTGCGCCATCACACCCGGCTAATTTTTTTTCATTTTCAGTAGAGACAGGGTTTCGCCATGTTGGCCAGGCTGGTCTCAAACTCCTGACCTCAAGTGATCTGCCCGCCTCAGCCTCCCAAAGTGCTCGGATTACAGGCATGAGCCACAGTGCCCGGTGTGAAAAGTAGGATTTTATGGGCATAAGTTGGGACAGGATACAAATTGGGAAAATAATGAAAACCTGTTTATATTGGGGTGTCTTTGTACCTAACTTAATGATAAGGTTCAGATGCAGATTAACCAAAGTTCCATCCAGTTGTGAGGCAGGATCAATCCCAGCCATTCACAGTGTTAGAGGAATATCTAAAATGTAATTATTTAACAGTAAGCAGTTTGGTAGCCTGCCATATAAGAATGAGTAATTTTCGGCCGGACACGGTGGCTCATGCCTGTAATCCCAGCACTTTGGGAGGCTGAGGTGGGCGGATCACTTGAGGTCAGGCGTTTGAGGCCAGCCGGGCCAACGTGGTGAAACCCTGTCTCTACTAAAAATACAAAAAAATTAGCCGGCCATGGTGGCACGCTCCTGTAATCCCAGCTACACAGGAGGCGGAGGCAGGAGAATCTCTTGAACCAGGAGGCAGAGGTTGCAGTGAGCTGAGATTGCACCACTGTACTCTCCGTCTCAAAAAAAAATGGGTAATTTTCTTCTTTTCTTTTTTTTGAGATGTAGTCGCGCTCTGTTGCCCAGGCCAGAGTGCAGTGGCGCAGTCTCGGCTCACTGCAACCTCCACCTCTCAGGTTCAAGCGATTCTTCTGCCTTGGCCTCCCAAGTAGCTGGGACTACAGGTGCGTGCCACCATACCTGGCTAGTTTTTGTATTTTTAGTAGAGACGGGATTTCACCATATTGGCCAGGCTGGTCTCGAACTCCCGATCTCGTGATCTGCCCGCCTTGGCCTCCCAAAGTGTTGGGATTATAGGCGGGAGCCACCGCACCCAGTCTAATTATTTTCTTTAGAGGAACTGGTTATTATTTAGTCAAAACTTGCTATCAAAATAGTTTTTCATCCAAGTTTAATGATAAAAATAACAGATATCCATTGTCTGTTTTCTGTCTTGTCTGCTTTTACAGTGCCTCAATTTCCTAACAAATCATATTATCATATTTTCTTTCTACTAACACCATAGCACATAACTCTGAGTCTGTTTCTGCCTTTCTTCTTTTGTTTGATTGTATTATTGTTTTTCAAGATAGGGTCTTGCTCTGCCGCCCAGGCTGGAGTGCAGTGGCACTATCTCAGCTCACTGCAACCTCCACCTCCCAGGGTCAGGAGATCCTCCTACCTTGGCCTCCCAAGTAGCTGGGACTGCAGGCGTGCACCACTGTACCCAGCTTTGCCATATTGCCCAGGCTAGTATCAAACTCCTGGGCTCAAGCGATCCACCCCTGTTGACCTCCCAAAGTGTTGGGATTACAGGCATGAGCCGCACCCAGTTTGTTTCTTCCTGCCTTTCTTTTTTTTTTTTTCTTTTTTGGAGACAGGGTCTTGCTTTCTTGCCCAGGCTGAAGTGCAGTGATGTGATCTTGCCTCTCTGCAACCTCTGCCTCCCAGGTTCCAGTGATTCTCTTGCCTCAGCCTCCCAGATAGCTGGGATTATAGGCATGCACCACCACATCCAGCTAATTTTTTGTATTTGTAGTAGAGATGGGGTTCTCTATGTTGCCCAGGCTGGTCTCGAACTCCTGGGCTCAAGCAGTCCGCCTGCTTTGTCCTCCCAAAATGCTGGAATTACTGGAGTGAGCCACAGTGCCCGGCCTGCCTTTCTTTTATAGATATACATACTATAACTAGGACAGAAGTTCCCAGAAATTTTTAGTTGAGGACCTCTCAACAATTAAAATTTTCACCACTATGATCCTGTTGTCATTAGTATCTAGTATTTGTCATATTACATGAACAGCTATGGATTTTTATTACACTTATGTCCTCTTAAGGATAAGTCCATAAAATTTAAAGGGCCAGGCAACACACATAGGGTTCATCTTTTCCCTGAAACTTATCCCAAAGGGAAAAAAATACATATATTTCCAGTAGGAGATTTTAGATTTAGTGTTTTACTTGATTATGACAAATGTGAGGTAAGCAGACCTCAATAAGCCTTTCTTTGGCACAAGTCACTATACTGCTTGAGTTTACGTACAGGTGAATTGTTTTATGTAAATCTATTTTTAGTGATTTCAAACTTAATGAATTGGAATATTTTAGAATGTGAAACCTTGTGCTTCAGATATTTAGCCTGCAATGTATCAATTAGGTTAGATCATGTTATCAGCTATTGAGTAGTATAAGACATCAGGCTTGTATTTGATACTACTTTTACTCAGGTGAAAAGATACTGGGCTGGGCGCGATGGCTCATGCATGTAATCCCAGCACTTTGGGAGGCTGAGACAGGTGGATCATTTGAGGTCTTGAGTTCAAGGCTAGCCTGGCCAACATGGTGAAACCCAGTCTCTACTAAAAATACAAAAGTTAGCCAGGTGATAATGGCATACGCCTGTAATCCCAGCTACTCTGGAGGCTGAGGCAGGAGAATTGCTTGAGCCTGGGAGGCGGAGGTTGCGGTGAGCTGAGATCACGCCACTGCACTCGTCTGGGTGAGACCCTGTCTCAAAAAAAAAAAAAAAAAAAAGATGCCTGAAACTCACTGTACAGTGAGGAACTCCAGACATGGAAGAACTTGACATGGACCTAGAGAAAAAGCAGACACAGAATATGGGCTATCAAGGAGAGATCCAGAGCTATATACATGAAGAACCTAAGAAGTTATTAAAAATCTGTTAGTTTTCACTTTCAATCCCTGGACTTTTTGAAGTCAGTTTTTAAAAATTGAATTTGCTTTTCATCATTTCATCACTTGATGACTCAGTCTTTCAGACCGTGTTTGGTTTTTGTTGTTGTTGTTGTTGTTGTTTGAGGTGGAGTTTCCCTCTGTTGCCTAGGCTGGAGTGCAGTGGTGCAGTCTCGGCTCACTGTACCCTCTGCCTCCTGGTTTCAAGTGATTCTCCCACCTCAGCCTCCTGAGTAGCTGGGATTACAGGCATGTACCACCATGCCCAGCTAAATTTTTTGTTTTTGGGTGTTTTTTTTTTTTTTTTTTTTTTGAGATGGAGTTTCACTCTTTTTGCCCAGGCTGGAGTGCAACGGCGCAATCTTGGCTCACCACAGCCTCCGCCTCCCGGGTTCAAGCAATTCTCCTGCCTCAGCCTCCGGAGTAGCTGGGATTACAGGCATGTGCCACCACGCCCGGCTAATTTTGTATTTTTAGTAGAGACGGGGTTTCACCATGTTGATCAGGCTGGTCTTGAACTCTCGACCTCAGGTGATCCACCTGCCTCGGCCTCCCAAAGTGCTGGGATTACAGGCATGAGCCACCGCGCCTGGCCTTTTTTGTATTTTTAGTAGAGACAGGGTTTCACCATGTTAGGCTGGTCTCAAACTCCTGACCTTAAATGATCCACCTGCCCCCGCCTCCCAAAGTGCCGGGATTATAGGCATGAGCCACTGCACCCAGCCGACCATGCTTGCTTTACAAAGCAAGTGATATGTAATATAAAATATAAATTGGATGGTTTGGAGAGTCCATGTAAGCAACTGATGGACTTCATTTACTGTTATCGGAAAACATTAGATGTGGCCGGGCGTGGTGGCGCACACCTATAATCTCAGCACTTTGGGAGGCCAAGGCAGGCAGATCATCTGAGGTCAGGAGTTCAAGACCAGCCTGGCCAACGTGGCGAAACTCCATCTCTACTAAAAATACAAAAATTAGCTGGGCATGGTAGCACGTGCCTGTAATCCCAGCTACTTGGGAGGCTGAGGCGGGAGAATCGCTTAAACATGGGCAGTTGAGGTTGCAGTGAACCAAGATCATGCCACTGCATTCCAGCCTGGGTGACAGAGTGAAACTCTATCTCAAAAAAAAAAAGAAAACATTAGATGTTTTAGGCTGTCCTCTCCTGTTTCTTAAAACATTAAAATCATTTGGAAAAAACAAACATGAAGCTTTCCAATTATTCAACTTACCGTGTATTTTTAATGTATCATCTGCCTCTAACACCTATTCATGATGCCTGCTAATAATAAACAGATGCTCACTAAGAACTGAAAGAATCAGCTGGGCCTGGTGGCTCATGCATATAATCCCAGCACTTTGAGAGGCTTGGGTGGGAGGATCACTTGAGCCCAGAAATTTGAGACCAGCTTGGGTAACACAGACCTTGTTTCTACAAAAAATAAAAAAAATTCAGCCGGGTGGTGTGGTGGTGCACACCTGTAGTCCCAGTTACTTGGGAGGCTGAGGCAAGAGATCGAGGCTGTGGTGAGCCATGATCACACCATTGCACTCCAGCCTGGATGACGGAGTGAAACCTTGTCTCAGAAAGAAAAAACCCTGAATGAGTAAGTAAATTAACTGTGCTGTTGTTCTTTTAAGGTTAAAAACGACAACCAACATCAGCCATGAAAGATCCAAGTCGCAGCAGTACTAGCCCAAGCATCATCAATGAAGATGTGATTATTAACGGTCATTCTCATGAAGATGACAATCCATTTGCAGAGTACATGTGGATGGAAAATGAAGAAGAATTCAACAGACAAGTTAGTTTTTTGTACAAACATGTTTTTATAGTCCATTCTGGCCCTCAATATGATTGTACTTGTCCCTGAAATGTGTTTATCTTGTCCTTTATGTATAAAGTATGTAGACTGATGTGCCACCACTCCTGTTTATTTGGCTGCTGATTACTACCAGGCTTAACTGCTTACGGAAATAACCTGGGGAGCTTGTTTCAGGGTCCCACCCTAGAGATGTCTGAATCAGGAGGATGAGGGTGGAGCCTGGGAAACTTTTTCAGAGCTCTCAGATGGTTCCATTGAGCAGTCAGATGTGGAAACCACTGCCTTATGCCAGTAAGATTGCTGGTTACCGTGAAAGTCAAGAGAATTCAGGAGTCAGGAGCAGACAGGCACAGAAAAAAGAGACAGGCATCTCTTTTTACTTCTTCCCTGCCACCCTCAATGGAAAAAAGAATGTTCTACTAATAAAAGTAAAAACATAGAAAAACCCTAAACAGATAGATCTTCGCCGGTCATTATGGTAAGCATTTTTTTTCCTTAGCATGGAAGCAGAAAAGAAAGTATGACTTTGTGCCTTTAAATGGTTTAGTTCAAGATATTTTAAGCCATTCCTAGTGATATCTACCAAGTGTGCTATAAATTATCCTTTATTATAAATCTAGATAGAAGAGGAGTTATGGGAAGAAGAATTTATTGAACGCTGTTTCCAAGAAATGCTGGAAGAGGAAGAAGAGCATGAATGGTTTATTCCAGCTCGAGATCTCCCACAAACTATGGACCAAATCCAAGACCAGTTTAATGACCTTGTTATCAGTGATGGCTCTTCTCTGGAAGATCTTGTGGTAAAAAGTTATTTTTCATCTTTTTAAAACCTAGTGCATCTTTTGCATAAGTGGAAAAGCCAGCTCCCATCTATTTAAGAATTCTACATCTCTTTCCCCTTCAGAAATTGTGCTGCTTCTGGCCGGGCATGTGGCTCACGCCTGTAATCCCAGCACTTTGGGAGGCCGAGGCAGGCAGTTGACTTGAGGTCAGGAGTTTGAGACCAGCCTGACCAACATGGAGAAACCCCATCTCTACTAAAAATAAAAAATTAGCCGGGCATGGTAGCACATGCCTGTGATCCCAGCTACTCGGGAGGCTGAGGCAGGAGAATCGCTTGAACCCGGGAGACGGAAGTTGTGGTGAGCTGAGATTGCACCATTGCACTCCAGCCTGGGCAACAAGAGTGAAACTCTATTAAATAAATAAATAAATAAATAAATAAATAAATAAATAAATAGAATAAAAAATACAAAATTTGGCCAGGCACGGTGGCTCATGCCTTTAATTCCAGCACTTTGGGAGGCCGAGGTGGGTGGATCACCTGAGGTCAGGAGTTCAAGACCAGCCTGGCCAACGTGGTGAAACCCCATCTGTACTAAAATTACAAAAATTAGCTGGGTGTGGTGGTGCATGCCTGTAAGTAATCCCAGCTACTCAAAAGGCTGAGGCAGGAGAATTGCTTGAATCTGGGAGGCGGAGGTTGCAGTGAGTGGAGATCGCACCATTGCACTCCAGCCTGGGCAACAGAGTGAGACTCTGACTCAAAAAAAAGAAAAAAAAAATACAAAAATTAGCTGGACATGGTGGCGGGCGCCTGTAGTTCCAGCTACTTGGGAGGCTGAGGCAGGAGAATCGCTTCAACCTGGAAGGCAGAGGTTGCAGTGATCCGAGATTACGCCACTGCACTCCAGCGTGGGTGACACAGCAAGACTGTCTCAAAAAAAAAAAAAGGAAAAAGGAATTGTGCTGCTTTTTACAATGGAAGCAGAGTCTCACGACATGGAATCACTTCCGGCAACACTGTAGAGCTAGTCTTAGACGGACTTCTAGCCCCTGCTTTTAGTCCTGATGTTGCCCTAGGGTACTTAAATGTCCTAAAGAATTAATAATTTAAAAACACACACAATATTATCATGTTACTTGCCTATACAGAAGTAGCTTGATGGAGAAGTTTTGCTCTTTAATCTTGTCTTGGCTGGGTGCAGTGGCTCATGCCTGTAATCCCAACACTTTGGGACGCCGAGGCACGCGGATCACGAGGTCAAGAGTTCGAGACCAGCCTGACCAACATGGTGAAACCCCGTCTCTACTAAAAGTATACAGAAAATTAGCTGGTTGTGGTGGTGCGTGCCTGTAATCCCAGCTACCTGGGAGGCTAAGGCAGGAGAATCGCATGAATCTGGGAGGTGGAGGTTGTGGTGAACCAAGATGGTGTCGTTGCACTCTAGCCTGGGCGACAGAGTGAGACTCCACCTCAAAAAAAAAAAAAAAAAAAAAAGCGGGGTGGGGGGAATTGTGATAACTAAACATCAGCACTAGAGTGAGAACTGGCTGGGTCCACTGAACTAATCTGTACACCATGATTACCTATGAAGCATTAAATACAAAAATCAGTTCTTTAGTTACATCCCAACATGCTCAGTTGTCTGGGCATGTTAATTTTTTAAAAGTACTACAGAGGATTTATTATACAGCCAACTTGCCTGAGTCGGTCATTTGGAAACCATTCTTCTAAAGGATGGTGTAGAGAGCACTGAAGTTTACATTGTGGTATATAGCCTTTGTTGCAGTAAGTGATGGTAACCCATTTGAGCAGCTGTATGATCTGAATAGTCTGGAGGGGGGTATGATTACTTACGGCTACATTAGTCACCATAAATAATCCAGTTGCCCTGCAGAGTAACACTCTTGGCTGAGCATAATGTATAACTTTAATCTGGACCCAGTATAATTCCATAGTACAGAAGCTGGTTTGTTCTTCTCAGTCTATTTGATATTACTTTGTTTCATTCTTCTGTTGCTCCCAGAAAATTGTTCATTTAAGAACACTGTGCCTGGATGTGGTGGCTCATGCTTGTAATCCCAGCACTTTGGGAGGCCAAAGTGGGAAGATTACTTTGGCCCAGGAGTTCGAGACCAGCCTGGGCAACAAAGGGAGACCCTGTTTCTACAAAAAGTTTAAAGTTAGCTGGGTGTGGTGGCACAGGCCTGTGGTCCCAGGTACTTGGGAGGCAGAGGCCAGAGGATCACTTGAGCCCAGGAGGCCGATGCTGCAGTGAGCTGTGATTGTTCCGCTGCCCTCCAGTCTAAGCAACAGAGCGAGTCCATGTCTCAAAAAAAGAGAAAAGGAATGCTGCTTTTTTTTCTTAAACTTCACACTTTTAAAATGTAGATACATTATTTCCCTTGGGGGAAGGGAGAATATATCCTGTCCAAAGAAACTGCTATGTATAAATTACGAAACTAAAATTATTTCTTCAACATGATGTTTAATATTATGCATTAGTCTTGAAGTGATGTAGGGTCAAATTCAATGTAAAAGCCTTGCAGCATACCTACATTTCAGGCCCTGGAACCTGCCCTCATTTCTTTTTATTTTTTTCAACTTGCAGTCTAAAATATCACAGAGGAAAATTTCTAGCTGTTCTTCCTAGATGCTGACAAGTCTACTTAGGAGAGTAAAGATTTAGAGACATAGCATAACATTGGTACAAGTCTCTAAGACTCAGACTTTGGCCCATTCCCCCCCACCCCTTTTTTTTTAACTGATGCAAAAATTTGAATCCCAGAGAAAGGTGACTTATCTGAGTTTACACAGAAGTTAGTTAGGGGCAGGGCTGGGATTTCAGGCTTAGGTCTTCTGGTTCCCCATGTAGTTTTCTTTTCCTGTTATATACCATGCTTCCTGTGGGAATTAGAAGATGGCAATTGTAGAAAAACAACTCCACATTTTTAGTGAGGATTCTAAAGTAAAATCAGCAATTCCCCAGTTACTTTAATCATAATTTCAACACTTGTTTAACATGGTTCCTTGGTATTTAGTGTTTAAAGAAAGCTACATACCATAGTTCGATTAACAGAATTCCTTGTTCCGTGCTATTCCTTTAACTTATGTGAAGTTACTGGATTTCTGGTTACACTTAAGCAAACTGAATTTCAATTCCTATTTTCTCTTTAGAAAATTGATGTAATTTAGGCCGGGTGCAGTGGCTCACGCCTGTAGTCCCAGCATTTTAGGAGGCCGAGGCAGGCAGATCACGAGGTCAGATCAACACCATCCTGGCTAACATGGTGAAACCCCTTCTCTACTAAAAATACGAAAAATTAGGCCGGGCGCGGTGGCTTACGCCTGTAATCCCAGCACTTTGGGAGGCCAAGGCGGGCGGATCACGAGGTCAGGAGATCGAGACCATCCTGGCTAACATGGTGAAACCCCGTCTTTACTAAAAATACAACAAAAAATTAGCTGGGCGTGGCGGTGGGCGCCTGTAGTCCCAGCTACTCAGGAGGATGAGAGACAGGAGAATGGTGTGAACCCGGGAGGCGGAGCTTGCAGTGAGCTGAGATCGCGCCACTGCACTGCAGCCTGGGTGACAGAGTGAGACTCCGTCTCATAAAAAAAAAACTAAATAAATAAATAAAAATACAAAAAATTAGTTGGGTGTGGTGGCACGCGCCTGTAGTCCCAGCTACTCAGGAGGCTGAGGCAGGAGAATCGCTTGAACCCAGGTGGCAGAGGTTGCAGTAAGCCTAGATTGTGCCACTGCACTCCAGCCTGGGCGACAGAGCAAGACTCCGTCACAAAAAAAGAAAAGAAAAAGTTGATGTAATTTAATATGATATATAGCTTACATCTGGTTCTTCCTTTTTGGGGTTTAGTATAGTCTTACAGACTGAGTTCTTTTGTCTTTTTTTTTTTGGAAGATGTTTTTGCATGAGGATCTAGATTGAATTAGTACCTGAAACTGTGTTAATGAACTTGCTTTTTTATGTACTTATTTTCCAGGTCAAGAGCAATCTGAATCCAAATGCAAAGGAGTTTGTTCCTGGGGTGAAGTACGGAAATATTTGAGTAGACGGGGCCCTCTTTTGGTGGATGTAGCACAATTTCCACACTGTGAAGGCAGTATTAGAAGACTTAATTGTAAAAGCTCTCTTGTCACTGTGTTACACTTATGCATTGCCAAAGTTTTTGTTAGTCTTGCATGCTTAATAAAAGTGCTGAGACTGTTACTAAGTAAAAAGCTGTCAAACATTTACTGAAAATAGAATTGGCCCCATGGCTTGATGTGAAGACAGCAAGGAAAGAAGCACCAGTCAAGTTGTGAACAAGCACCAAATTAAAAGACCTAAACCTTACCAAATTGTCTTTTTTTGAGGCTAATCTATCACTTGTTAATGTCTAAACTTTAAAATCAGTACATTTAATTTGAGTTCCAACTGTTAAGCATATTTCTCAGACTTAAATTTGATTATGTCCCCATCAAAAAGAATCTCCATTTTCTGAAGGTCTGTTAGTTAATTTGAGATAATTTGTTAAAGGCAAGTATGTCATATTACTGAGGCTACAAGTTAGTCAGCAGATGAGTGCCAGTCCAGCCTTTTCTGGTATGTTATTGTTAGAAATATTGAGTTCTAATGTTACATCTGAGGAAGTATGTAATTTGAGAATTGTAACTTCTAAGGGATTCACTGCATCATAGCTATGCCTGTATGGAGTCTAACATATGACCAATACCAACCCATAATCCAGCTGAACAAAGATACTGTAACATGATTTGAGTGGTGCTTTTCCTTGCTTTGTTAACCATCACGAGAGTCTGCAGCACAACTTTTAACAAAGCTAGAACAGTTTTGGCTTCTTAAACTTCATATTTGGGTAGGTTAAGCTGCCATACGTGTTCAGTGTGAATAGTGTTTAAGTTGAAAATATTGTAAAAAAATTATATTTTTTCAAAAATATTTAAAAAAATAAATAATAGTAGAACTGAGCAGATGGTTGTGTTTATTGGTGCTGGAATGTACTGTAGTGGTGTTACTCACTTGAGTATGGGCCCAGTGCCTCAGGACAATCTTGCTGGCAAAATGTGCTAAGCTTTCAGGCTTTGTTAGATTCTAACAGGTATGTTGCCATGCAAGTACCTTTCCAGAATATAGCAGTAGAATAACTCCATTGCCCATCCTTGCTTCTTAATCACCTCAGACTTCAGTGTCAGGGGAATCCTAGATAGTCATGTAAGAAACTTTATGGCTGACCAATATGATGGTGACCTTACTCTAATAGAACCTCCATTGTTTTTTGTTCTTCACAAGGGCTTTTTTTGAGCTTATTAGGTTGAAAAAGATTAAGAGAGCCATATAGTCAGTTCTGACTCACATTCTTCTGGCAGTGGGTATGGGGGAGGTTCTTTGGTGTGGGCACCTGTACCCCAGTGTGTGGTTGGTTGGTTGGTTGGTTTTTGGAGACGGAGTCCTGCTCTGTTGCCCAGGCTGAAGTACAGTGGCACGATCTCAGCTCACTGCAACCTTCACCTCCCAGGTTCAAGTGATTCTCCTGCCTCAGCCTCCCAAATAGCTAGGATTACAGTTGTGTGCCACCACACCTGGCTAATTTTTGTATTTTTAGTAGAGACCGAGTTTCACCATGTTAGCCGGGCTGGTCTTGAACTCCTGACTTCAGGTTATCCACCTGCCTCGGCCTCCCAAAGTGCTGAGATTACAGGCGTGAGCCACCGCACCCAGCCTTTATTTATTTATTTATTTATTTATTTATTTATTTATTTTCAAGACAGAGTCTCACTCTGTCACCAAGGCTGGAGTGCAGTCATGCAATCTCAGTTCAATGCAACCTCTGCCTCCTGGGCTCAAGTGATTCTCCTGTCTCAGCCTCAAGTAGCTGGGATTACAGGCGCCTACCACCACGCCTGGCTAATTTTTGTATTTTTTTAGTAGAGATGCGGTTTTGCCATGTTGGCCAGGCTGGACTCGAACTCCTGACCTCAGGTGATCGCCCTTAAGAGTAAAGATTCTTGAATGTGGCTTTTGTTGGGAAAAAAATTTAAAAAAAGAAAAGGGGGCTCTAGGCTGGGTGCGGTGGCTCACGCCTGTAATCCCAGTACTTTGGGAGGTCAAGGTAGGTGGATCATTTGAGGTTAGGAGTTTGAGACCAGCCTGGCCAACATGGTGAAACTCCATCTCTACAAAAATAAGCTGGGCATGGTGGTAGACGCCTGTAATCCCAGCTACTCAGAAGGCTGAGACAGGAGAATTGCTTGAACCCGGGAGGTGGAGGTTGCAGTGAGCCGAGATGGCGCCACTGCACTCCAGCCTGGGCGACAGAGCAAGACTCTGTCTCAAAAAAAAAGGAAAAGGGAACTCTAGCCAGACTTCCTGGATGTGAATCCTGTGATCATGGGCATATCACTTAACCTTTCTGTACCTTCCTTTCCACATCTCTAAAATAGCAGTAATAACTGTCTCTGGATTATGTGAGTAGTTAATATATATAAGTACTTAAGACATAGAAAGTCCTGTTTTAAGTGTTGTTATTTTTACTATTAAGGAGTCATCTAGGCTAACCTCTCTTTTTGGGAACTTTTCTTGTCTGTCTGAGGGAACGTGCACATTGAACCCACTTCAGTGTTTAGTAGAGAGCCAGGCATCTGCATTACAGATAGTGATGGAAGGTTTCCGAGCATCAGCTGCCCATGCGTTCTGAAGACCTAAGGACAAAGTGTCACCTCATCAGGGCTTGTACAGGCATCGTTTTAGGATAAAGGCATCCTGTTTTAAAGGGTTTTAATTTTATGACGTTATTGAGACAAGGCAGTGTATATGAGAGGATTTTTCCTGTTCTTGTGCTGCATTTCTCAACATTTTCCATGTCGCATATCAAAGTGATACTTGTTTAGCATACTGGAGTACAAGAATGAGGCTGCCAGTGGCTAGAGTTCTTAGCTCAAGGACTCCAATTGGCCCAGATTCTGCCCAGGTGTCTGGAAGGCTAGAGGATCTGCATTTCAGCATACTTGTAGCCTCTTAGTGGCCCACACTAGTTGGGAAGTTCTGCTGTTACTATGAAATGGTAAAGGAATTCCACCCAAAATCCGTATGTTGACTTTTTACCCAGCTCACCTTCTCTTTGAGGACATTCAAACAGTTTACAAGAAAGAGAACTGAGTAGTTTGGTTTTTCTTTGGTTAAAGCATAAGAATGTTTTGATTATTCAACCCTCCCACAAAAACCATAGACACATCCTACCTTTCCTGGAAGTCATTTTTCAGACCTTGGTGCACACAGATGCAGTTTCTGTATTTTCTGGAGTGTCTTCTGGAATTGCAATCTGATCTTTTGAACTTGAAGAAAATCCTTTGAAGACTGGGCAGATAGGAATGTATTTCAGAAAGGTAATTCTTTTTACTATGCCCATCCCAATGGGGAAATCGTAGCTCTTGAGGCTGGAAGACATGTCACTGTTGGCATGAGCCCCAGCTTTCCACTGTATCAGACCACGCTCCTCTGGGCTCCCTGGAAGAGGATAGTGAGGTCATTTACCAAGGCCAGCAACCCTCAGCCACCCCCACTTCCCATAACCCAGTCCTAAGGCAGACTTCTGGAATCAAGTATCTTCCTTAACTATCATTTGGTCCTAAAACGTGGCTGAATCTATGGTTTCTGAGCTCCTAACTTGGCCAGAGCTCTAAGGAACACTAAAGGATACTAGTTATAGTAGTATTTATTGTGTAACTACAGTGTGCCAGGCTCTGTGCTAAGTGCTTTAATTTCATTATCTTGTTTCTTGAAAACATACCCCTGGGAGATGTATAGACACCATTGTACAAATTTTTATTTTATTTTATTTTATTTATTTATTTTTTTGAGACAGTCTCGCTCTGTTGCCCAGGCTGGAGTGCACTGGCACGATCTCGGCTCACTGCCACCTCCTCCTCCCGGGTTTAAGCGATTATCCTGCCTCAGTCTCCTTAGTAGCTGGGATTACAGGCATGCACCACCATGCCCAGCTAATTTTTGTATTTTTAGTAGAGACGGGGTGTCACTATGTTGGTCAGGCTGGTCTTGAACTCCTGACCTTGTGATCTGCCTGGCTTGGCCTCCCAAAGTGCTGGGATTATAAGCGTGAGCCACTGTGCCCGGCCTATACAAAATTTTAAGATGAAGAAAGGGACAAAAAGTTAAGTAATTGTGAACCTAAATCTGTGAGTATGTGGTAATGTGTGTTAGGCCCATGGGGACCAAATCAAGTCCAGATTGCGTTCTGGGGGTAAGGGAGGCATATTTTGAAACACTATAATCAGTGTTAATATTTCATATTATGATTCCATATGTGAAAAACTCATTTTTATAATACAAACTTCAGAAAGTCAAGCTAAATAAAATCTTTGGAGGTAGGGATACACCAAATAATTTGTTTTTTTGTGTTGTGTTTTTTTTGTTGTTGTTGTTGTTTTTGAGACAGAGTCTTGCTCTGTTGCCCAGGATGGAGTACAGTGGGTTGATCTCGGTTCACTGCAACCTCTGCCTCCCAGATGCAAGCGATTCTCCTGCCTCAGCCTCCCGAGTAGCTGGGATTACAGGTGTGACCCACCACGCCCGGCTAATTACTGTAATTTTAATAGAGATGAGGTTTCACCATGTTGGCCAGGCACTGGTGTCGAACTCCTGACCTCAAGTGATCAGCCCGCCTTGGCCTTGCAAAGTTCTGGGATTATAGGTGTGAGCCACTGAGCCGGGCTAGTAATTTTTACAACTAGGAATTCTCCCTCAGGTGGGGCAGGGTCACATGAGATCTCAGGTTTTCACAAGAGGGCTGGGATCGACAAAGACTGAAATACTATAAATCTAGCAGGAGTGGGAATTTCCACTTGCTGGCAGCCCAGGCTGAGAACAAACCCATGAGTAGCACAAACCAAGTTATGTTCCAAAATCTCACAGGAGAGGGCACTGAGGGAAGGTGGAGTCCCTAGGGAAGACTACCTGGAAGAGACACTGTTTGGGCTTGGCTCTACAAAGGGCACACACAGTCTGGAAGAGAAACCTTGATTGGGCTTGGCTGTACAAAGGGCACACACAGTGGGCACAGTAGAGTGGGATGAGCCATAGGTGTGGCGTAGGACTATGTTTCTGGTGTCCGATTACCTCGCACCACTGCCAAGACACACATGGCAGCCAGCCCAGAGCTCCCTCTAGCAGACCAGTCAGCCTGCCCACTACATCCCAACCTTCAGTGCCTTCTGTACTTCTCCAAGCCCCCTCCTTTTTCCTAGGCCTCACCTACTCTCCCTCATCAGTAAACCCTCCCAATAACTCCAGCCCGGCTTCCTTGACTTCATTGCTTGCTTAAATCTAGTTTTACCACCTATCTTGTGCCAGGAGCTCCTCTAAACAAATTGTTACTGACTTACACTTTTTGGCATATCCTCCTCAGTGTCTGATTCAGGGCCAAGCTGGTAAGCTCTAGCAGCATGTGCTGAACTAAACGGACTGCCCTCTAAGGTTGGGCTCTGGATAGGTAAAGACAAAGAGCACCCTGTGTCTACTAAAAATACAAAAAATTAGCCAGGCGTGGTGGCGGGCACCGGTAGTCCCAGCTACTCGGGAGGCTGAGGCAGGAGAATGGTGTGAACCTGGGAGGCACAGCCAAGATTGCGCCACTGCACTCCAGCCTGGGCGACAGAGCGAGACTCCGTCTCAAAAACAAAACAAACAAACAAACAAAAAAAACAAATGCAAAATGGCCCATCCCCAGCAGGAAGTTAAGGGCTGGAAAAGGCTTTTGCTATTCCATGGTTAAGGACAGGGTTTTGAGCCAGCTAGACCTTAGTTTGAATCCAGGTTGTGTGACCTTAGGCAAGTGACAACCCCCCTGAGCTTTAGGTTCCTCAGTGGATACTGAAGACTGCTGAGCTTATGTGGCATGACACACAGGATGATTCCTGGCAGGGACAGTTGTGATGCTCAGGTGGGTTGAAATGTGGGGTATAAGGGACTCAGGCAGTTCTGCAGCTGTTGTTAAGGATGACTGGATAGCTTAAACTAGCCACCCAAGTCACAAAGAAGCCTCTT
This sequence comes from Homo sapiens, assembly GCF_000001405.40. Taxonomy (NCBI): domain Eukaryota; kingdom Metazoa; phylum Chordata; class Mammalia; order Primates; family Hominidae; genus Homo; species Homo sapiens. The sequence continues at coordinate 139,374,810 of NC_000005.10, forward strand.
CATGTACAGATGCCTACCCAGATGCTCTCCATCTCCTCATATTCCCTAGGCATTGAGGCTGCCACTTGACTGTCTCAGGCCCATAGGATGGTCTGTTCCAGCCCCCAGTCTAGCATCCTCTAAATGGGCAGGGGTACCATGTTCAAATAGCCACCCATCCATCGAAGGGACAGCTGCTACCAAGAGCACCTTCCTTTGATTCTGCCTAAAATCCTACGGGGAACCCTGGCCCTCCTCTGTCCTCCCCAGCCCCAACCCACCAGCTGTTCAGAGACAGCCTCTGACACCTATGTTATGTGAACATGAACACTTGGATCTTGAGAGAGAGGGAGGCAGACAGGACCTGTGGCTGTGATCAGGCTGGTAAGTGACAAAATGGAGGCCCATCATCTTGCTACTACCATCCCTTATGTCCCTATACTGATGCAGTCATTAACTCCCATCTCCATGGAGCCTTCCCCAGTCCTGCAGCCCAGGTCCCCTGAAACCCTCCAGCAGAGGCAGTATGGTGCAGTGGATGGGACACAGGCCATTGACTGCGTCAGATGGATGTTGTTAAAAATCCCAGATTTAGCCAGATGGTATATAGCATGCACCTGTACTCTCAGCTCTTCAGGAGGCCGAGACAGAAGGATTGCTTGAGTCCAGGAGTTTGAGGCTGTAGTATGCTATGATCACACCTGTGAATAACCACTGCACTCCAGCCTGGGCAACATAGACCCCCATCTTAATTTAAAAATAGAGGCTAGGTGTGGTGGCTCACGCCTGTAATCCTAGCACTTTGGGAGGCCAAGGTGGGCGGATCACCTGAGGTCAGGAGTTTGAGACTACCCTGGCCAACATAGTGAAACCCTGTCTCTACTAAAAATACAAAAATTAGCTGGGTGTGGTGGTGCACACCTGTAATCCCAGCTACTTGGGAGGCTGAGGCAAGAGAATCGGTTGAGCTCAGGAGGCGGAGGTGGCAGTGAGCCGAGATCACGCCATTGTGCTCCAGCCTGGGTGACAAGAGCAAGACTCCATCTCAAAAAAAAAAAATTGAGGACAGGTGTGGTGGCTCACACCTATAATCCCAGTACTTTGAGAGGCTGAGATGGGAGGATCACTTGAGCCCAGGAGTTCAAGACCAACCTTGGCAATAAAGTAAGACCCCGTCTCTACAAAAAATTCAAAAATTAGCCGGGCATGGTGGCATGCACCTGTGCACCGGTAGTCCCAATTATTTGGGAGGCTGAGGCAGGAGGGTCACATAAGCCCAGGAGTTTGAGGCTGTAGTGAGCTATGATTGTGCCACTACACTCCAGTCTGGGTGATAGTCTGAGACCCTGTCTCAATTAAAATATACATCCCAGATTTGCGATGTTTTAATTTTTTTTTTGAGATGGAGTCTCACCCTGTCACCCAGGCTGGAGTGCAATGGCACGATCTCGGCCCACCGCAACCTTCGCCTCCCAGGTTCAAGCAATTCTCCTGCCTCAGCCTCCCGAGAAGCTGGGATTACAGGCACACACCACCACACCCAGCTAATTTTTGCATTTTTAGTAGAGATGGGGTTTCACCATGTTGGCCAGGCTTGTCTCAAACTCCTGACCTCGTGATCCACCCGCCTTAGCCTCCCAAAGTGATGGGATTACAGGCATGAGCCACCATGCTCGGCCGTGATGTTTTAATTTTGTGACTTTATGACTTTGTGGTTTTTGAGGATGAAGTAAGACACTTAGCTCTGCCTTACCCATAGTATATGTTTGCTAAATGTTAACTGTTTGTTATCAGAGCACCTGGTGACATTTATTTTATATATTTACTGGCATCTTTATGCGGGCCCCACAAAGTATCCTCCACGATCTTTGCAAAAAGCTCTGGTACCAAAGGGAAATGTTAGTGGCTCTTCTAGTCGCCATTGTGGCAGGCTGCTGACATATTTGGAGTGGATGGATTTTGCCAACAAACTGATGCTGCATTTATCTCTGTCCTACTCTGAAGAAAGCAAAGACATCCCTCAGCCCAGTGGCTATTAAGAAATGGAGAGGAGGCCAGGTGCAGTGGCTCATGCCTGTAATCCAGCACTTTGGGAGGTTGAGGCGAGCGTATCACTTGAGGTCAGGAGTTCAAGACCAGCCTGCCCAATATGGTGAAACCCCATCTCTACCAAAAATATGAAAATTAGCTGGGCGTGGTGGCAGCCACCTGTAGTCCCAGCTACTCAGGAGACAGGAGAATCACTTGAACCCTCCGGGAAGTGGAGGTTGCAGTGAGCTGAGATCGCACCACTGCACTCCAGCCTGGGTGACAGGGCGAGACTCCATCTCGGAAAAAAAAAAAGGAAAGAAATGGAAAAAGTGGAGAGGAAAGGATTCACAGGACCCAGCAGTGACTCTTCCGGCCCCATCCTCTTCAAGACCTCTGAGGCATGTCTGTGCCTCATTCTCTCCCTCCAGCCAGTGAGCACTCCACCAGCCCATCTATTCCTGATGCTCCCTGCAGGGCCTGCATTGCATGGGACCTAACCACACAGCTCCAGCTCAGAGGCCATCTGTTGGAGTGCATGAGTCCAGCCTAGTTCTTCATTCCCCTCCCAGGACCGAACCATACCTGGCACTGTGTTGTCAAGTATGAAAGCAAGGCACCCGCCCACAAACATCTCCGTGGTCAGCAGCACAATCAGAATCTGATCCACTTCAAGAATGCCTGTGGAATAGGCCAAGGGCCAATGGGTGTCATGGCCCAATCTGGAGAGCAGAGTTGAGGGACTTCCTCTTGTGCAGCTATGGCAAAGGAACAGTACAAAGCCCTGTCTCAAACCTATCTCTGTCTTTCCTATCTCTGGGTTCAAGTCCCAATTCTGCCAGTTGCTAGTTGTTCACCTGGGACAAATCACTGAGCCTCATCTTCCTCATCTGTAAAGTTGAAATGATAATGGAGAAATGATAAATGTAGATAAATGGAGCTGTTTTGAAAATTAAATAAGCACATGTAAAGGTCAATATCTGTCCACAGGAAGTGTCTTAGTAAAGGACAGCTGTGACCCAAGCTCTCAGCTGCTGGTTGACACCCAGAGTTGGGTACGATTTGTGGCTGTAGCTGTGTGGAGCCTTTGAGGGAGGGGGCTGTGCTCAAAATTTTGGGCCCACCCCGCCTTTGGAGACAGTAAACAGCTGGAGGCACCTGTATTGATGGCGCCAGGGTTGGACTCCAGGTAATTGGGCAGCGTGAGCCCGAAGAACATGGAAAATCCCAGCACGAAGAGGTTGCGAGAGGAGTTCATGTCCACAAATTGCAGGTTGGACAGCCCCACAGCTGTAATCATGCCTAAGGGCGCAAGAGAACGGCTGGAGGCGCCGCACACGCGTAATCCAGGTGAGTCCCACTCGGCGACCCGCACCGCGACCCGTGGCCCGCGCCAGACACTCACCAAAGAGAGTGCAGAACATGCCCCCCAGGATGGGGTCAGGGAGCGAGGCGAAGAGGGCCGTGAACTTGCCGATGGTGCCCAGGACCAGCATGATAGCCGCACCATACTGCACCACGCGCCGGCTGCCCACCTGCCGGGGAGCCAGCGGGGAAGCTAGACCTGGGGACGAGGCTGGGGCGGGGTTAGTTCCAGGGGCGGGGCCTGTTATAAGAGCGAGGCATAAACCGGCTGGGGCTTGATGCGGGGGCGAGGCCTCTCAAAGACAGGGTGGGGCTAAACCAAAGTGGGGACCGAGTTGGGGCGGGGCCTGCGGCCCACGGAATTAGGGCAGGATTTGGCTCTGGCTCGTCGCGACACCTTGGTAATTCCCAGGACGCCAATGTTGGGACTGGACGAGGTGGACCCGTTGCCCGTGCCCAATAGCCCCGCGATGATGCAGCAAATGCCTTCGGTGAAGATGCCCCTGTAAGGAAAGGGAGAGTCGGGGCTTGGTCCAGCCTCTGCACCAGTCTGTGTTCCCCCATCATCTTAGCAAGCTGCCGTCCTCTGGGGCTGTGGGGGCTGCAGCTATCAGCTGTAGCACTCCCTACTACAGGCCAGAATGCTCAGGCTCCAGAGCTAGTCCTAGTGCCCTGGCACTTACTCCTGTGGGTAATTCTGGCCTTCAATTTCCTCCTGGGATAAATACCGGTGCCCGTCTCACAAAATGCTTCAAAGATTGCATAAGAATGCACAGTCAGAGCCGGGCACATGGAGGGCTGTCAATGACGGTGGTTCCCTTTGGACTCCACCATCTTCTCAGCTACTCCCAGCAAAGACAGAGGGGTGATGAGAGGGCACCCCCATCGCACAAACAAGGAGAATGAGGTCTGGAGCGTGTTCCCGACTTGCCTAAGCCTACCCCCTGGGCCTCCACCCCGTTCCTGTGTGTGCTTCCTGGGTGGCGCCTGAGGAGATCAGATACTGAGGAGGGCAGGTAGGCTACCTGTTGATAGCATGTACTGGAGGGGGTGGTGCACCAGCCAGGCGGGCACAGGCGTAGTAATCTCCGATGGACTCAATGATGCCTGCCAGAGTGGCGCTGAACATTCCCAGGACAGCAGCCGCAGTCACCGTGGGCAGGCCCCACTGACCTGTGCTCGGAGGGAGACAGGATGGTGGCTACAGTGAGGAGACTGTGATGGTTAGGAATAGACAGGGCAGTGCTGGAAGGAGCAAGAGCAGATCAGGAGACCTCAGGCTGGGATGGGAGCTATACAGTTGTGGGAGCTTATTTGAGTCACTCAGAGCCAGGAAGTGGGACTGAAGCTTTGTCTAAGTAAAACACCACTCTGCTGGGCGCACTATAAATGTGCGGCTAATGCTAGGTGTGTCACCTGCTGGATTGGGGTCACCAGGAGTCTGTCTCATAGGTGGTCTCAGTTGGGGGCAGAGGGGCCCAAGGGGTGTTGCTCACAGGGGTAGGGGATGCGGATCCAGGGTGCAATAGCCATGATGTCACCACGGGCATCGGTTCGTGCCTGGAAGCCATAGGCTTTTGGGTCTGTGGGCAGCACGTCTGTCAAGGTCAGGACATAGCAGAGCAGCCACACGGTCATGATGGCCAGCATGATCTGAAGGAGGGGGGTGAGGGGGCACTGAAGGCACTGGAGGTCTCTGTCCAGGCTAACCTGCTCCCACCTCAGCCCAAGCCCTGGCCATAGTCCCAGCCCCAGCCGCCTGCCAGGTCCTCACAGGAAACATTTTGAAGATCTGGATGCGGAGGAGAGTGAGGCCCTTGCCCCAGCGGTAGACAGGCAGCAGGAAGGTGAGGTTGCGCAGGTACTGGGAGAAGAGGATGATCAGGAGAATGGAGCTGGGGGCAGAGGCACAATCAGGAAGTGGATGGGAGGCCAGGCTGGGGCCAGGAGCCGGGAAGAAGGACCAAGGACATGAAGAGGGTAGGGTGCTGGGGCTGGGCAGGGATCAGGCCTGGTGCCTGCTCACCAAGCTGAGATGCCCCAGTGGGAGCCAGCTCGGTCGCCAGCAGCTTGGAAGACAGAAAGGCCAATGAGGGAGACAGTGGGGGTGACTGTGAGAGGCCCAATGTAGTTGAGCAGGGCCCCAGGCAGCCCCAGCAGGCCAATCACCACCTCCACCACGCTGGACACCATGATTGCACCCTGGACCTGGAAGGGCAAACATCAGCCGTAAGTCACCATGTAAAGGTCATGACCTGGCTGCTGCTAGCAGGAACAAAGCTCCTGGACCACCTCCTCAAATCCCCAAACTCAGCGGCCACCCTCACTCCCATATAGCCCCTCCTCAGGACCCGGCCTCTTCTATGCTTACATGCAAACCCACCTCCCGTATCCGTGGGTGCCAAATATGAGAGGTGTTCAGGGGCAGACTCCAGTTACCGTAGATCTCCTCTGGGGGTAGAGTCAGGGATACACACACGGACCAGGTACAGAGACAGAGAGGGAGAGAAGATGCTGCCATGGCTGCACCCTGGTGTTGACCCGGGACAGTTGCTCAGACCTCCAGGTCTCTGGGCCTCCCCTTTTCCCCAGTGCAGACCCCAGAAGTGTACCCACCTTCCGGGGGGCATTTCCATCTCTCCAGAGCCAGTATGGCTTTGGCTGGAACCAGAAATGCAAAGGCACTGGCCTGGAACAGCGGCAGCCTGGAGGAGAGGCACAAAGCAACAGGGGTGGGGAGGGGCGGGTGGGGAGGAGGGATAAAGATGCGGGGAGAGATCAGGAAGGGAGAGCACAGAGAGAGTGACAGAGACACAAGGGACAAGGGCAGATGGAAATCGTTGAGGCCCCAGGGAAGACCATCTCTAACATTTTGGCTGCCCAAGGAAGAAAACAAATGGAGCCCCCAGCTCAAAACCTGCCCCCTTCCCACCACCAGCTCCTGCACTGTGAGGAGGGGGCACCTGCCCGGAAGTGGACACCTCAGTTCCCGCATCCAGGTTTCTCTCACAATCTTCCCCTGTCCCCCGCTGCTCAAACAGCTCAAATGCCACCCAGGCCTAGGGCTGTGCACTCGGGAGCGTGGGGCCCTGGGAGGGTGGGCTGTCGAAGAGGCTGGCACCAACCCTGGGAGCTAGCTCAGGGCTGCCATCTGGGCAATATTCAGAATGGGGTTTAAGAGGGGAGAGCCGGCTAGGCTTGGTGGCTCACGCCTGTAATCCCAGCACTTTGGGAGGCCAAGGTGGGCAGATACAAATACAAAATTAGCCGGGCATGGTGGCGCATGCCTGTAATCCCAGCTACTCAGGAGGCTAAGGTGGGAGAATCGCTTGAACGCGGGAGAATCGCTTGAACCCGGGAGGTGGTGGTTGTGGTGAGCCGAGATCACGCCACCGCAATCCAGCCTAGGCAACAAGAGCAAAACTCCGTCTCCAAAAAAAAAAAAAAAAAAAAAAAAAGAGGGGAGAGCCAGCGAGGGTACAATCCCTTAAACTTGCAGATGCCTGGTCTTTGAAGTGTGCCTAGATCAAGATTCCCAGGGTTGGGGCCACGCTGCCCAGCTCTAAGGCTGGCCTGGGATAGGAGAAGCAGGTGGAGGCAGAAAGCGGCTTTTTTGTCTCACCAGTGTCCTCTGGGAGCCCACCTGCTCCTGCTGTGTGGATCACAGTGGAGGGGTGGCGGGGGACGGGTTGGGGGGCTGGGCGGCTCACCGGATGCCCACGGTGGTCTGGATGAGAGTGGTGATGCCCACGCACGTGAAGATGGTGCCGATGAGCTGACTAACCATGTGCTGGTCGTGGCCCACACACAGCGCCTCAGCCAGCAGGAAGGGCACGGCGATGGTACCACTGAAGCATGTCAGGTAGTGCTGGGCAGAGGGAGACAGCAGAGTGCATGAGGCAGGACCCCAGAGCTCCAGGGAGAGGGGACAACCTAGTGTCCTCATGCCTGCCTCAGCGGGCCTGGAACCGGCTGCCTGCCCAGGACTGGCAGTCCCCACAAGGGATTCCCAGAGAGCTACTGCTGACCACTCTGGGGGTCACTAATTTCCACTCAAGATATTCCTGCGGCTTCCGTGGAGTCGGCTCTGCTCCCTGTCACCAACACCCCACCTGGCAAGCGTCACACTCCCCCAGGGAGTTCATCTTCTTTCAGGATTCAGCCTCTTCCCGACTCCTGCTTGCTGACAGCCACTGTGCTGACCTCAGGTTTTTCTTCCTGTTACCCAAGATACTCCCTGCTGGCCAGGGAGGGGCTGGAGTCCCCGGGGAGTGTGCAGAGTGAGGGCGGGGAGGCCCTGGGGGACCCACCTGGAAGCCCAGCAGGATGCACAGGTACCAAGGTGGCACGTCCTCGATCTTGTACAACATGTCAAACTTAGGCTCTGTGGGTAGCGGGGTCGAGGGGTCCCTGGTGGTTTCATGCTGGAGGCAGCAGAGATAAGTAGCTTAGGGTGAAGTGATGGGGACAGGCAAAATCCATTCTGCCCCAGAATCAATCAGGCAGCCCAAGTGGCTTGTCAGCAACTGAGAGCGGGGTTCCCGCCCTCCCCAACAGTCCATCCACCCGGGTGCCACTTGGCCTGGCCACAGTTTTCTCCCACTTTGCATTGCTTCCCGCAGGGATGAGTCTACTGTGCCAGCTTCTAGAGCCCTCAGGACCTGCCATTTTAGCCAGGGAAGTGGACCCTTAAGTCAGAAGTCTTGGAGACCACAGGAGAGGGGGCCAAGAGGGCTCAAGACTGTGGACAAGTCCAATCCGGTCCCACCTCTGCCCCCTGGAGATCCTTGGGGTGTCACTGGCCGGGAGATTAGGCCTCTCCTGAACCCCAACCTGGAGTCAGCCAGTCCCAAAGCTGCAGGCTCCTTCACCCCCACCTCCACCCATCCCCCAGTTGCCACATTCAATTTGGGACAGTCACTCTTATCAAGTTCATCAGAACGTTTATCTCTGGCCTCCAGGAAGAAGGCCTGCACAGGCCCTCCAGCCCCCCACCCCCCCTGCCCCCCCTAGCCCCCACCCCCAGCCCCCAGCACCTGTGTCCGGCCCTCGAGGTCCTCCTGGGCCCTCATCTTTGGGGCACAGGTTTGAGCAGTTCCTGAGGAGAAGAGGGGATGACTTGACAAAGGCCAAGGAGGAGGACTTTACTCCACATATCAGGCATTGTTTGAAGTAAATCTGTAACCAGATGCCCAGCTCTGGATTGCGAAAGGGGGGCCCGGGCAGAGGTAATGTATTAACTCTCACTAGGACAGTAAAAGCCACCCAAGCCTCTGCCACATGTGCCCTTCCCTGCCCACATCTGCGCCTGGGCGCTGGACCTGTTCTTGTTTCCCAAGAGAGGGCCAGAGTCGAGGGGGTGAGGACCAGAAGTTTACCAAGCCCCAGGTGAGCGGAGAAAGAGGGAGTGGAAACAGGCACTTATTATGTAACCCCCTGTATGAGGCCCTTCCCCACTGATTAATAACTAGTTCATCATTATCATCATCATCATAGTCATTCTCGTTATTGAGGAATGGCCTTGGCCTTGTGCCAAGAAACATGGATCTGCACTGTCCCAAGTAACCCCTGTGCTGGGCGGTATTAACCCCTTTAACAGCGAAGGAAACAGATTCAGTAGATGTGATTTGACCCAAGCCATGCAGATAGCAAGTTTGCAGAAACCAATCCTAAAATTCAGGTTGGTCTGAGCTGCCTTGCCCTCACCACCCTGCACCCCTCAGGGTCCCTGAGGCAGGCAGCAGATGGGCCTCTGCAGGCAGAGCTGCCTAGGCTGGCCCAGCCGGGTCTGCACTCTGTGTCAGGGCACAGATCCCTTTCCCCTCCCAGCCACATAATTTCTGGGACCCAGTGCAAAGTAAGAATGTGAGGCCTTTATTCCAAAAGTATAAAGAATTTAAAGATAGCAGGAGCATTAGATGGAGCGTGGGGCCTTTCTATGCACCAAGCCCTGTGTGACTGCCCATCACCTAGCCCAGGAAGGCAGTCCTATGCCCAGCCTGTCTCCCCTCCTGGCAGGCCCAGCCCAGCCTGGCCCTAGGGCCTGAGATGGCAGAGGGGGACATGGGGAGGGGCCCTAAGAACTCAGGCTCCTCAGCTGGTGAGGGCTGGGCCTGAGGTCCCCATTCTGTTCCCCTCTGGGCTGCCCCAGCCCCAGCACTCTAGAGCCCACCTACTTCTGGGTCGCTGTGCCCATGGCCAGGCCCTGCCTGAAGGGCCAAGGGGCAGCACCGCTCTCCAGCTGGGCAGCAGCTTCATGCCACAGCACTGAGTCCGCCCGCCTGCCGGTGTCCACACTGTTCCTCTGTCCGCCTGTCCTCTCCTCTCCCTCTTGGCTACTGCTCCCAATTTCCAAAGTTGCTGGACCAGTTTGAAGCCTCTGCAACTCCCCAGCACTTTTCTCTCCAACTTCTCCTCCCAGAACTCCCCAGGGTGCTGTGGAGACCAAGCCCGACCCCCTGCAGATACGGCTCCATGGACACTCAATTCAACCCAAACCACACAACACGCATAGAGAACAAGGTGGAGAACACGGTCCCAGATCCACAGTAGCATGAAGGGGCCCACACACCCAGAGCTGATGCAGCCTCTCTAATCACCCCACAGAAACACAGGTCCACGTCATGGGTGCCCGGCTCCACACCCTGTCCTGAAAGCTTAGTGGGTTTCTTGGGCCCTGACTTTCCTCCTGGTGTCTAGGGTTTCTCTCCTGAGTGAAGGCCACGGATGGTGGGGCTTCAGGCAGGTCCTGGAACAGGTGAAGGATGGAGGGGGCTGAGTGCAGCTCCCAGGGAAGCTGGAGTGGCCAGGGCCTGCCCCAGGCACCTCCATTCCCCCAGCAGCCCGCCTCTCCGGTCCCCTAAGTCTGAATCCCCTCCCAGCCCTACTACTACTCAGCCAGGGACTTGGCCCAAACCCCTTCTGTTGTCTAAGTTTCGGTTTCTGCATCTGTCAAAGGGGGATTAGATTGTCTTCCTGCACATGGCTCTCGTGCAAAATAAAAATATTTCTAAAAATGAGGGTTAGAATGTTCTGTCTCTCTCCCAGGGCTTGGCCAGATCAGAGACACTCACAAACGAAACTGAAAGTTCTGGTGCCACCGATCTCCAGTTCCCAGACCTAGGTGGGGTCCAGGGCTTCTTTACTAAGGAAAAGCCCCAGCCAGAAGAATTTCCAGAGAAAGCAGGACTGAGAACCAAAATGTTGAATCTGGCTGGTCAGAAACCCAGGGCCCATCCATACCAGCTGGGGTCAAAGGCAGAGTGTGGAAAATGAACAGCCATTGGGTGTAGACCCAGTGAGACGTGTGTTCTCGGAGGGGTGCAGATAGCATGGAGTGGCTGGAATAGGTGTGCCACAAGGTGGCCTGCGTGCACAGTTTTCCTTGGTTCTCTTTTCTCATGAAGGCTCTGAAGACCTGGGATGTCACTGAAACCACCTTTGCAAAATTATGACTGAGACAGTGAAAGAGATCTAACTTAATCAGTTCCATCTTGCTTCTAACCTCCAAGTTGTCTTTCTTCATTCCTGAGTGTAGGCTGAACTAACCTTGGGAGAAACTTAGTTTTTAGTTTATAGTCTAAAACAAAGACAATAACAGCCCTTTCTCAAAGCAGACCTCCTTCTTGCCTGAGGACTAGATTGCCTTTGTAGGATGGAGCAACATTAGCCACAAGATGAGAAATTTTGGTTTAGGAGTCATGCAGCTAGAGGTTACAAGATTCTGACCCTCTCTAAACTGCTCCTAAGATCAGTGCTTGAGATACTTTGCAGACCCTGCACTTGATAGATCAGCTGGCATCACCCAGATCCATAAATTGGCTCGTTGGGACTTGTGGCCTCCACCTAGGAACTGACTCAAGGCAAGGAGACAGCTTCAACTCCCTATGATTTCAGTCCTGACCAATCAGCACTCCTGGCTCACTGGCTTCCCCGCCATCCACCAAGTTGTCCTTAAAAACTCTGCTCCCTGAATGCTTGGGGAGACTGATTTGAGTAATAGTAAAACGCTGGTCTCCTGCACAGCCAGCTCTGCGTTAATTAGTCTTTATTGCAATTCCCCTGTCTTGAGCAATCGGCTCTGTCTAGGCTTGAGCAAGGTGAACCCTTTGGGCGATTACATCACCACACCATTGATGGCTCCCTCTTACCTCTGGAAGTTGTAGGGATGCAAATTTGGCCTTCTGTAGGAGGGATGTAATATTGTGAAATATATATTTGGTCTTTGACCTCTGTTTCCTGGAGTACAATTTCTAAAATCTTAGAATCCCCAAAATGATGTCTTCTTGTGTGCTAATGATTGACTGATGGCTGGCAGCCCCTAGGGTAGCTTCAGGACAGGGGCTGGTCACCAGAGAGACCAAGGCAGGATTTCAGCCTCCCCTCACCCCCCATCCCCAGTCAAGGGAGGGCAGACAGGTTGGAGGGTAAGTTGTTCGCCAATGGCCAATGGCTTAATGAATCATACCTACGTAATGAATTATCCACAGAAACTCAAAATTGCAGGGTTCAGAGATCTTCTGGATAGCTGAACACGTGGAGGTTCCTGGACGGTGTTGCATCCATGGAGGGCATGGAAGCTCCGAGCCCATTCCCCATACCTTGCCCTACACATCTCTGCATCTGTATCCTTTGTAACATCCTTTATAATAAACTGGTAAACGTTTCTCTGAGCTCTGCGAACCACTCTAGCAAATTAGTTGAACTCAAAAGAGGGGGTTGTGGGAACCTCATCTTGAAGCCAGTAGGCCAGAAGCTCCAGAGGCCTGGAGTTGGAACTGGTGTCTGAATGGGGGACAGAATGGTGGACTGAGCCCTCAGCCTGTGGGATCTGACACTATCTCCAGGTAGATAGTGCCAGAATTGAATTTTGGAGGGCACCCAGCTGGTGTCAGCTGCAGAATTGCTTGCCTGGTGTGTGGGGGAAAGCCCCCACGCATTCGGTCACAGCCATCTTCTGTGCTGTTGTCGAGTGAGAGAATAGAAAAAGCATTTTGAAGGCCGGGCGCGGTGGCTCATGCCTGTAATCTCAGCACTTTGGGAAGCCAAGGCGAGCGGATCACCTGAGGTCAGGAGTTCAAGACCAGCCTGGCCAACATGGTGAAATCCCGTCTCTACTAAAAATACAAAAATTAGCCGGGCATGATGGTGGGTGCCTGTAATCCCAGCTACTCAGGAGGCTGAGGTGGGAGAATCGCCTGAACCTGGGAGGTGGAGGTTGCATCGAGCCAAGAACACTGCACTCCAGCCTGGGTGACAGAGTGAGACTGTCTCAAAAAAAAAAAATTGATTTTGAGAGTTTTTTTTTTTTTTTCACAAGGGACATCAGCAGAAACACCAATGTCTGCACTCCCAGCCCCACAAGCACCTTTTGCAGAGAAAAGAAGTGAGGTCACTGGGTTTTATTTGAGTCCAGAGGGGAAGGCGTTGACTCCCACCCAGGCCCGAGTGCCCTGAGGCTGGAGGAGGGAGGCAGGATGGCAGCACAGAGCAAGGGCTTCCTGCCCTCCTGGCTGCCTGCAGACGGGAGTGGAGACCGTCAGAGCAAGCCCCAGCTTCTTTCAGAGGAGGGTAGAGTCCAGGACTAGAGCTCTTCTCTTGTGGCTGACACCTTCTCTGAGCAGGCCCCCTGGGGTCCCCCACATAGCAATGCCTCCAGAGCCCCTCGGCCTTGTTGGTGGGCTTCATAGATCTGGTCTTCTCCAAACTCCCCCAAGTAGTGCAAACATGTCCTGGAGAGCCTAGGGGAGCCCAGCAGGAGCCTCAGATGCTGCCCAGCCCACAGTGGGGCAAACCAAGGCTCCAGGAGCTTCATCCTATCCCCAAGCCCCGGGCATCACCTGGTAGGCCAGGGGCCCCCTGTGACCATCACGCTGATGCTTGGCTCTGGCCCCTCGCTAAGTCCTGGGCCTGTGAGACGTTTCACTTGGTCCACTTCTCGAACTCCGTAGCTGGTGGCAGTGGAGAGGAGAGGAGTACAGTTTTGGCAGGAGCCCAGCCAGGGAGAGACCCATCTCCACAGCAAGCTGGACATGCTGGGCATTTGTGGAATTCAGAGAGGGAAAGCCCCTGGCCCAAGGTCACAAGGTGACCTTGTCCACTGGCCCTCTGCTCTCCCACTTGCTCTCAGCTCCAGAGCCCAGACTTCATCCCAGCCAGCCCCTCCCTTGGACCAGAGTCCTAGAGGAGTGTGTGTGTTGTGTGAGCGGCTGAGTGGGAATCTCCACCCACCAGGCCTGCCCTTGGAGGAGGGAGGTGGGGGGCAGGATTGGCAACTCACTCCTGCCAGTTCCGGGAGCAGCTCCGGTCCAGGACATCCGTGTAGACCAACTCGCTCAGCTCCCGCCGCCCCCCAGAGTTTGAGGTATGAAGTTTGGTCTCTGCCTTTGCCAGATTTTGCCACATCTGGAACAAGGAGGGACTGGGAGGCAGGGCCTCAGGACTGCTGCTCAGTTAGGGGGAGGTGGGGAGGATAGGAGCAGAGTCTCTGGGGAAAATAAAGTGGCAAGAGAGCCGTTTGAGCAGGAAGCACCTGTGAGGCTGTTGCATGGCCCCTCCCCCAGCCCCCAAAGCTCTCTGGGATGGGGATGGGGGATGGGAAAGAAATGCTGAAGTGGTAGGTGAGGCCTGGGCACTGGGGTCCCTCGTCCAGGGCACACCTGCCCAGTGGCAAGTGTCATTTTATTTTTATTTATTTATTTATTTAGAGAGAGTCTCACGCCGTTCGTCGCCCAGGCTGGAGTGCAGTGGTACGATCTCAGCTCACTGCAGCCTCCACCTCCCAGGTTCAAGTGATTCTTCTCCCTCAGCCTCCCAGGTAGCTGGGACTACAGGTATGTGCCACCACACCCGGCTAAAATTTTGTATTTTCAGTAGTGACGGGGTTTCACCATGTTGGCCAGGCTGGTCTCGAACTCCTGAGTTCAGGCGATCGGCCCCGCTCAGCCTCCCAAAGTGCTGGGATTACAGGCGTGAGCCACCGCGCCCGGCCGGCACGTGCCATTTTAAACCACAAGAGCAAGGTAAGAAAAACTGGAGCCCAATATTCAATCACACAAGTACTCCCAGGCCCCCACCTCACAGAGACACTGGCACGCAGGCATGCTCAGCAGGTGTGTGTGTGAAGCCAGACACACGCATACTCACGTGCAGGCGCTCACACGTGTGCACTTGCACCATGTACACATAGCCAAAGCCGCCCCGTCAGGGTTGGGGAGGGAGTCCGGACTCAAGGATGGGCCTGGAAAGGGAGAAGTCTAAGGACAAGTGAGTGATTCCCTGGGGTCTCAAAATACTGAGGAGGTCTCCCAGATTGTCTGCTGTTAGGCAGGCAGATGGGTAAACTGAGGCATGGAATATATGAAAGGCTGCATCTGTGGCTTGATGCCCAGTGGTAGGGATTGGGGATCAAAGGCCGGTGGTGGAATGTGAGGTGGGTGGAGGGGTCTGGCTTGAGAAGGGGTGTGAGCAGGGCAGGGTGACAGTGGTGAAGGACTCACCTGGTAAGCCACAGCTCTGCAGGCATCACAGCGCAGGTGAGCGGGCATGTGGGCTGAGTACATCTCCTCATCATCCAGTTGTGGGGCTGTGGCTGTGAGTGGCGCCCTGTCCCCGAGGCCCCCTGGGATGGCCCAGGCTCCCAGCAGCAGCAGCAGCAGTGGCAGTGACAGCCTCATGGCCCCAGGAGCCAGTTCAGCAAGTGTAGTCTGTGGTTGAGGTGCAGATGTGTGTGTGCTTGTGTGGTGTGGGGACCGCCACAGAACACCTGGCCTAGACCAATGGGGAACTGACACCTCACCCCTCCCATCCTCCTCCCACTCCCTCCTCCAGGGCCCCGAAGATGCCACGTGGGCATTGTCCTCTAGCTGGACCCTGGCTCCAGCCATCTCAGCTCCATTTCACAGATAGGGAGCACTGAGGCAAGGAGAGGGGCTGGGCCTAGGCAGGAACACATAGGGGCCGATACTGCCCACATCCTGTGATCTGGCCAAGTGGCAGGCACTGTGCTGAGTGCCTTGTGGGAAGAGTTGGTTGGCTGCCGTCATCTTTTTTTGTTTCATTGACCTTTCTGAGAAATGAGACTGTCATGTTTATTCTGCCTCTTCCGACACAAAGGCTCAGAGAGAGGTGACAAATCCAAGGCCACATAGCTAGAGGGGCCATGCTGAGAAACCCAAGCCTGATTGACCCCAAGGCTCCCTGGCCACTCAACCACCAGAAGGAATGAGGTGTGGCTGCCAGCCTCCTGGGAGGCAAGTTCAGGGAGACAGGGATGCTACAGTGTTTCCAAGACACACATGGTCTCCTTCCCTAGCCCTGAGGTCCCCTCCACCCAGGCCATACCCAGGCGTGGAAGGGCACTGTGGAGGGTGTTGAGAGGCTGTGGCAGGAAATCAGGCACCTCACACCAGTTATTTCAGCCATGATGGCTCCATGGTCAGTGATTTATTACACACCAGGATGAGGTAAAGACACCTGGGGTGGCCCCAGGGCCCTCCATGCCATCGGAGCTGGCATCTCCAGCTAGAAAATGGCCAGTTGTTCTGATTCGTAGCTCTCCTAGTCAGCTTCCAGTCCAGGGCAGAGGGCAGGGACTGCTAGGGACCTGGGCCCCCTGACAGGCCTGGAACAACGAAGGCATCCATCCCCATCCCTGCCACTGCTTCTCATGGAAACTGTCCTTCCCAAACTCATCACATCACACACCAGGCTGGCAAGGGCCAGCCATTTCCGGTTCAGAACTATATACAGACCCCCACGCACACCACCTCCCACCTCATGCAGACCCCCCTCATCTCCCTCAGAGGCTCCTGGAATCTCAGGGCAACTGAAGTGCAGGCTCTGGGCCCTGTCCCTTGCTGTGACTGGTCTGTAGGGCCAGCCCCTCTCTGGCCATTGTTGCCACATCTGTTACTGGGGAGTGGAACCTGCCAAGAGCTTCAGATCCCTCTGGATACTCCACCAGGGGTATCGCTTCTACTGCTGGCCCTAACCCACCTTCTGGCCACACAGAGGGGTCAAGAGGCTCCTGTGGGACAAGAGCCCAACCCTCCCTCTTCTCAGAGCTTCCTGATGACCATTTCACCTACTCCCGATGTAGGGGGTGGGGGACTGAAGCCCCACCCCTGGCCCAAAAATGAGTCAGCTCAGCTCTGAGGGCCAGGCTCCCCATCTTCCCACCCCAAGTTCCAGGCTAACCCCCAACCCAGGCCCTCCCTGTATTCCTTGCTTTGCCTCCACCTGCTGTCCCCCGCCTTAGCTCTTTCTCGGAGCCAGCCTGGCCTGGGCTGTACTGGCCACTTTCCCCCCAGTAACCTCCAGGGCCAAAGCTCAGCTCCTCTTCCTAAGAGCAGACTCGACAGCCAGAGTCCTTCCTGCCACCTCACCAGGGGCACTGGCCAGCCTCACCTCAGCTGGGCCCACCATCAGGGAGGGCAGACAGTTCCCCGCCCTGTCTCCTGCTGCTCCCGTTCCTGCTGCCCCACGGCAGCCACAGCACCTCCTCTGATCGGCTCCTGGGGACAAGCCCAGGGATGCCTCACTTTCCCTATTTGCTTGCCCGCATATACACATATACACACACCCACACACCACACCACACCACGCCCTGGGAATGCCTGGGAAAGGGATACATAATTTTGTTGGGGGAGGAAGTAGGCAGCCACTTCCTGGGTGACTCCAGCTCCACCAGCCTCGGGGCTCAGATTCATTCTCTGAAGATCACTTCCTGTCCGACGACTGACTGGGATGGGTTAAAGACAGAGGCGACGGAAGGAGAGGAGGGTAGGGGCTTGGATGCCAGAACCTCCCAGGCATCCAAGGGCTCCAACTCCATGGGGATCGGCCCGGGGCCTCACAGCGGGAACAATGAACCCTTGCCGGGCTGGGTGGGACCTGAGCTGGAGGGCGGCGCACAGAGGAGCAGAGGAGGTGCGGGGTTGGGGGTCCCGCTCACCGGCAGGTAGTAGGTCCCGTCCAGGGGCCCTGCCTCAGAGACCCAGGGTAGCTGGGGGCTGCCGAGGGCCTGCGGGCCCGGGGACGGTGGCAGAGAGAGGCTGGGTATAGGCCCATAGGCGGGCGGGTAGAGGCCGAGCCCCAGGGCCAGAGGGGTGTAGACGCGGTGGGGCGGCCCGGGAGACGAGGGCGGCAGCAACACCTCCACGTACTGCCCACTCTCAGGGTCGAAGAGCACCCGCAGCCGAGGCTGCCGCGGCGCCTCCACAAAGTAGTAGCGGCCGCTCTCGGGGTCCACCAAGACCTTCCCCAGGGGCGCGGCCCCGGGCTGCCTGCGCGCTCCCTGGGAGGGGCTTTGCGGGGACCGGTCCGTGGGAGGCGCCGAGGCAGCGCGGGGCTGGGCTGGGGCCGTCCTGCCCGCCAACGCCAGGGGCTCCCGCGGGAGTGGCGCCTGGACGGCAGCCGCGGGCTCGGGGGCCGTAGGTGGTGTCTTCGGTTTGGGTGCTATCCCAGGGCTCGGGCTGGCTTGCATCTGAGGGGAGCCGGGGCGGGGCGATCGGACCCCTGCTGGCCCTACGGGGGAGCGCTGGGATGAGCTGCGGGCGCCGCCTAGAGGGCTGGTCCGACCGTCGCCGTCGGGGACCAGGCGCTGGGCCTCTACATCCCTGTTCTCTCCTCCAGGGCCGCGCGCTCGCACTCGCGAGGTTACCTCGGGCCGGCGACCCAAGGCCAGGGCCCCAGGCAGGCGGATCTCTGTGCGCTTGAAGGGCTTCGCCGTGCTGTTCTCTGCCCTCCGCCGCAGGACCCCGTTGGGCTGTGAGGCGTCCCGGGCGACCGTGTCGAAGGACGGTTCAGGAGGCTCGTAGGGGTGCGGCACCACCGGTAGAAAATCCTTGATGAAAACGGAAGTGTAGTGAGCCGGGGCGGGGGGCCCCAGTGCTGGCGGCTCTTGCGTCTTGGATTCGCCGCCCTCCTCCCCGCAGGGGTCGGCAGGAGGCGCAGGCAGCCCAGAGCCTTGTGCTCCTGCCGGGAAGCCTGGCGCGTACGTGGTCTTCACCAACTTGCGCACGTCTCGAGGCCGCGGAATGGCCATGCGCGGGCGTCCCGAGGCCGCCTCTCCAGGACCCAAGACTTCCGGGCACTTATCCGCGTCCAGGGTGCCCACAGGGTGGCTGCCGGGCGGCTCGGGTGCTGCTACCTCTGGGGACTGCTGACTCCCTCCAAAGGCAAGATCTGAAATTTCCCGCGTGGATGGACTCTGCATCTCTGTTGGTTCTGGAGTGCCGGGTGCGGACGGTGTAGGCGGTGCCAACTCCTCCTGAGTTAACCCATTCTGAGCTTCCTGAGTAAATGCTATCGATGAGCCCGGCCCCATGGGATCCCATGTCTCTTGGGGAGATGGGCCCCAAGTTCCAATAGGACGATCTGGAGCCTCCCACGGGAAGAAGGCCGGCGGGGACGGGCTGCTACGTGGCTCCACCGCATCCGCGACTGCCGAATGTGGAATCTCCCACAGGGAAGGGGCTTCGAGGGACGGGCTCCTTTCCCCAGCAACACACTGATTCCACTGGGAAAGGATCGGAGGGGAAGGGCTTCTCCTGCTGACAGTTTCCTCGACGGCAGGATTTTGATTTTCCCACTCGGAGGAGGCTTCAGGGAACAATGGGCTACTCACCCTCCGAGTAGTCCGATCCCACGGGGACAGGTTCTGGGGCGACGGGCAGCGAGGACCCCGTACAGCCCCATTTGGAGTCTGCCGTGGCGGGGACGGGCTCCTTGGCCTCACAGCCCTACTCGGAACCTCCGAGGGGATCCTACACTCAAAAGGCGGACTCCGTGCCCTCTGAACAGTTCGATCCGGCGCCTCTCGCGGGAACCGAGTCTTCCGCGCCTCCT
The DNA here is from genome assembly GCF_000001405.40 of Homo sapiens. Lineage (NCBI taxonomy): Eukaryota > Metazoa > Chordata > Mammalia > Primates > Hominidae > Homo > Homo sapiens. The sequence continues at coordinate 139,394,031 of NC_000005.10, forward strand.
GGATCTTCTCCTCTGACTGAAGGAAGATGCTGGAACTAACAGGACCCAGCGGCTCCGTCCCGGGCGCAGGCTTGTCGCGCCGAATCGCGCGCTCGCGGAGGCTGGGCCACGGCCTCGGGGCCTTGGCGGGGGCCGAATTATCTCGTACGCGAAGTGGCCGAGACTTAGCCTTCTCCAGGACCACGTGGGTGCTGCGGGCCGTTTCCCGGGTCTCAGGTTCCGACCGCCCCGTGGACCCGAAGGTGGCGCTGCTCGGGGCCGGGGCCTCGGGGCTCAGTTTTCTGGCCAACGCCGTCTGCACGAAGCCCGCGGCGGCCTGCAGGGGGCCCAGCGACTCGTCCAGGGAACCGGTGCGCAGGAGCAGCCGGGGGCGCGGCGCGCCGGCCGCCCTTGGGGGACTCTGGGGCCGGGGGCGCAGCTCGATCTGACGCTTGGGCACTGTCCGGGGCCTGGCGGGCGCGGCGCCCTCCTCCAGAGCCACCTCCACACACTCGAACTGCGCTGGGGCGGCAGGACTTGGCCCACGGGGCCGCAGCTCTAGGTAGGTGGCCCAGCGGGAGCCACCATCGGGGACCTGGGACTGGCGTGGGACCGCGGCGGGAGACGCTGGCCCCGGCGGCAAGGGGCTGATGAAGGCCGGCTCCGTGAACTGTTGTTGCGCCTCGCGATCGTCTGCGCCGGAGCAGCCGAACAGGGGTCCGACGCCGAAGATGACTTCCATCTCCCCCGACGGCAGCGTGCGCAGCTGGGGCTGGGGTGGCCGTGGGCCGGAACCTGGGCCTCGCGGGAAACCCGAGCCGGGCCCGTGCCGCTGGCGGCTATTCTGGGCGCTGACGGACAGGCGAGGCTGCGCGCCCGCCCCCCGCCCAGGAGCCACCCAGGGCCAATTCGCTGGGCCTTTCGCGTCCGGCCCAACGTCCGGGGGCTCCGGAGAACCTGGAGCCGTGTAGTAGGAGCCTGACGAACCGGAGGAGTCCTGGCGCCGCGCGGGGGCCGTGGGCAGCTGCCTCGGGATCCCAGGCAGGGCTGGCGGGGCGAGCGCGGTCAGCATGGTGGGGCCGGACGCCGTGCACTATCTCCCTCGCATTCGCCTCCGCTGGTGGCGCCGGCACTGTCCCCGCCCCGCCCGAGGATGCCGTGGGGGTCACCGCGCCTTAAAGCGGCCGCGTCCACTCCTGAGCCAGCGGCGCCGGCAGCAGAAAAGACCTGGGCCCTGCACCCTTCCCTGTCCAGCCCCCATGCCCAACTAACCCCCTTCTCAGGCACAAGCCGGAGTACCTGGGGTGGGCTCCAAGCTTTGGCTGACAGGCAGGTGAGGGAATGGCAGGCCCAACTTTCAAAGCCTTGGAGCCAGGAGTTAGGCCCAACTCCACCTATCACAGGTGAGGAAACTGAAGCCCAGCAGGGATCCGCCTGAAGTCAGGCACTGCTGTGTGCAGTTCAGGCTGTGAGCGGGTGAACCAGACCTTCAGGCCAGGAGACTCAGGTAGGGCCAGCAATTTCATCTTCCCCTCAGCCCCGGGTGCCTTAGCATCACTGCAGGGGACCCCCATTGCCATTGCTGGCCTCAGCTAGAGCTCTTAAGGGTGCACACACCACCTTTCTTGACCCCAGTTACACTCTTCCTGATCCCCTTCAGTAGAGTGAGGAGCACCGCTAGAGGCTTCCCTGACTCCTCAGGGCCTCAGGAAGGTACTACCACTGGCTGGACCCACTGCCCTCGGTGGGACCTATTGGAAGGAGCTGGAGTGGACAGCTCTAGCTTTCAGTCTGCCTCAGCACCTAGAACAGGCCCTGGATACCGATGTGGGGTCCTACAGGAAGCTTCGAAGTAGCTTGTGGTCCCAGCTCCAAAGGCCCCTGCGGCCAGAACAGCCCTGTGCTCCCCCAGGTATTCACAAGGCCCTAACTTCAGCCCCCACAGCCTTAGGACCTGCCCTGGGGACAGGCGCTGGTGGGGAGGCAACCACCACCTGTCATTGTCTTACAACTGTGGGCACCACTTGCCCTTAAACTTCTGGCTTCAAGGTCCTGCTATGACTCAGGCCCCAGCTGGCCCTGGAGCAAGAGCACTGCCCCCTCCTGTGCACTTGGCCTCAAACCGACCCAGGACAGGCTACACTGGGCTAATCTGACCCCTGAAGTGGGTCCTCTGCCTGGGTGTGTCCCCATGATCACCTAGGGGGCACTCGGTGATGGCTTCTGAAAAAATGTTGCTGCTCCATCCCATCCAGCCCTGCCTGTGCAACTTGTGCAAATTGAGGTCCCTTCCCAGATTGTTTCTCCACCTTAAAACCACACACAGCATTGTCTTTTCTCTTCCTCCCATTGTGAAGCTCCCGTTTGGGGGAGGTGTCAGCAGGTGCAAATGCAATTTGCAGGTATAACATTATTGTCATGTGATGGAAACTGACTTCCCAAATTCCTTGTGGTTCTGGAACCCACTGTCTTTGAAGTTTCTGGTCAGGGCTTCCGGCCCTGTAGTCAAGTTGGGAAGTTAAATTTACCAGGACACTGGGAGTGGGGTGGAATATTACTGGGTAACCAGGGCTGTTTATATAGGAAGGGATTAAATACCCAAAGGAAGCGGTGGTGCCTACCAGACAACAAAGACCCAGCTCCTCCCCTAGGCTACAAGCCCCCACCTTGTGGACCCCTACCACTATCCAAGAGGGAGGGAAGTAGCAGGGGCTAGAGGCTGGGGACTCCCAGAGCAGAGAAGGCAGAGGCTGGGGATTACAGCCAGAGAACAGGAAAGCGGCGGCCATTTTATTTTTCCCTGGGATGCTGGTGGCTGCGGGCCTGACGTGTCCCTGAGGCTTTCTTATGCTTCTGGTCCAGCACCTGGGCCATGTAGCTCTCCTGCTGCTTCTGGATCCGGAAGTCAGACATGTGATTCCTGCAACGGAGCCGGCTGGTGGTGGGCTGTGGACAGCCAAGGGTAGGTAGGGGCCAGAGGTCTGGCTCCCCAGTGTCATCAACAACCCCCAGCCGGGCCCAGACCCCTCACCTGAAGATCTGTTTCTGCTGGCTGATAACTTGCTGCAACTCTTTAATCTCATTCTCTTTGCCATTAAGTATATCTTCTTGCTTTATAATGTGAGACTCAATCTCTGTGGGGGAGAGAGGCAGGGAGGAGGGGTGGTTCCCATCCCAGGGCTCCTTCCTGAGATAAGGCATTCCCTCACGGGGCTTTTCAGAGCTTGGCTCCCCACCCAAGAGTTCTCCATGAAGAACTGCTAATACCTTAGTATGAATGAGTTTATTATGCAGTCTTGGGGGAGTGCAGTGTTTGAGGATTGTTGTCAATGACTTCACAAGTCTATTCTGGACCAGAGGACCCACATGAGGGCAGGAGAAGGTCCTTGGAGAGAAGTGGGCAGGCCTGACCAAAGGCTGGAAGATGAATGGCGCCTGCCCTCAACTCCTGCAGGTCTTTACAGATGTTGCCTCCTTGGAGAAACTCTCCCTCATCAAAAAATTACATTTCCCAGTACTTCCTGTTCCCTCTTCCTGCTTTCTCTTTTTTTTTTTTTTGTATTTGAGACTGAGTCTTGCTCTGTCGCCAGGCTGGAGTGCAGTGGCATGATCTTGGCTCACTGCAACCTCCACCTCCTGAGTTCAAGCAATTCTCCTGCCTCAGCCTCCCGAGTAGCTGGGATTACAGGCGCCTGCCACCACGCCCAGCTAATTTTTGTATTTTTAGTAGAGATGGGGTTTCACCATGTTGGCCAGGCTGGTCTCGAACTTCTGACCTCAGGTGATCCACCCACCTCAGCCTCCCAAAATGCTGGGATTACAGGCGTGAGCCACCATGCCCAACATCCTGCTTTATTTTTCTTAACACTTTTACCTAACATACCATATACTTTACTCATCTGTCTTCTCCGCTGCTGGGATGTAAGGTCCACAAGGACAAGGATCTTTGTTTTATTCACGGCTTTATCCCTAAGGCCTAAAACAGCACCTGGCACATAGTAGGTATACAAAAAGTATATTTGCAGACCGAATGAACGGGATGTCCCTGGGGGTTTAGGACTCAGAAAAAAGACCTAGTTCAGTCATCCCAGTCCAAACAAACTTCCCGAGGGCTGGCTGGATGCCCAGCCTTGTGCTAGGGCTTCAGGGGTGGTGGGAGAAGATGGGAGTTGCCTCGATTTTCAGACCTGTTTCCTCATTTCAAAGATGGGGAAAGAGACAGCCCTATCCCACAGTGGTCTGGGGAGGACCCAGTGAGATAGTGGTGGCAAAGCCTACCCCCAAATTAATCGTACATTTGAGGCAAAGATGACTTTCTGAGGCAGGAGGATGGCTTGAGCCCAGGAGTAAGAGACCAGTCTGGGCAACATAGTGAGACCTCGCCTCTACAAAACTAAAAAAAAAAAAAACAAAAAACTAGCTGGGCATGGTGTTGGAACATGCCTATAGTCCTGGCTACTTGCTGAGGCAAGAGGATCACTTGAGCTCAGGAGTTGGGGGCTGCAATGAGCTATGACTGTGCCCCTGCACTCCAGCCTGGGTGACAGAGCAAGACCCTGTCTCTAAATAATAAATAAATAAATAAATGATAATTTTTCTGTGTTGGATCAAAATCCAAGGAGGCTGTAGGGATCTGGGGGTGCTTCATTTACATAACTGCCCCACATGGCACCTTGGAAAATTCTGATTCCTACAGAAAGAAAATCCTACTGTCTTCAAAGGTTGGACAAGGGGCCAGGCACAGTGGCTCATGCCTGTAATCCCAGCACTTTGGGAGGCCAAGGCGGGTGGATCACCTGAGGTCAGGAGTTTGAGACCAGCCTGGCCAACATGGTAAAACCCCGTCTCTACTAAAAATACAAAAATTAGCTGGGTGTGGTGGCACATGCCTGTAATCCCAGCTACTTTGGAGGCTGTGGCAGAAGAATTGCTTGAACCCAGGAGACGGAGGTTGCAGTGAGCCGAGATCGTGCCATTGCACTTCAGCCTGGGTGACAGAGCGAGATTCCGCTTCAAAAAAAAAAAAGGCCAGGCGTGGTGGCTCACGCCTGTAATCCCAGCACTTTGGGAGGCCAAGGTGGGTGGATCACAAAGTCAGGAGATGGAGACCATCCTGGCTAACACGGTGAAACCTTGTCTCTACTAAAAATACAAAAAATTAGCCAGGTGTGGTGGCGGGCACCTATAGTCCCAGCTACCTGGGAGGCTGAGGCAGGAAGATGACGTGAACCTGAGAGGCGGAGCTTGCAGTGAGCCGAGATCTCGACACCGCACTCCAGCCTGGGCGGCAGAGCAAGACTCCATCTCAAAAAAAAAAAAAAAAAGGTTGGACAAGAATTAACTAGAACACAAACTCTGAAAATACAGAAATGTCTAAGCATTTAAGATTTCAAAAGAGAAGACCTGGTAAAAAGTGAAGGCACAGCATGGAAAAGAGGAGACAGGTGAAGGGAGAGAATGAAGACATGAGTTCACCGGGTCATGGGACGAGGACTGTTGAACCTCCTTCCCAGGCGTCCAGCTAAGTGGAATTAATTACTTGTGAAGTTCGTTTGGGAAAAAGAATTAGAAATTTGTGTGACTCTTTGAAAATAAAAGCCTGTGGCACCCGATGGTGAGAGAATGGTTAGAAAATCCCTTTGAGAGTAAAGAACTATGTAAGTGTAAAAACCAAACTGAAACCACACAAGGGGAGTTTGTAGGGGTGGGAGGCACTGGCCAGGGTGAGGTTCACATCACCAGACTGGCTCAGGAGGGCTTGTGTCCCACAGGAGGGGTTTAGAATATTCTGGGGGAGGCAGCCAGGACCTGTCCCCATGACACACACACCTTCCAACAAGCAGATCCAAAGCCCCGTGAGCTTGACTGATCTCTGTTGGAAGGAAATGACCTAGGGGAAGGAGGTCTCTGGCCCTACCAGGAAAGAACCCCAGGTTCTTTTTTGGGAAGTAAGGGGATGCCCAGGGAGAGGGCAAGACTGAGGGGACCAATGGTCTCGAGCATGGGGGCAGTGACTGCCTGTTGCGCCCTGCCATGGCAGGAGCCAGTGACCAAACTACTATGAGACCTGTCAGCCTGCCTGGCCAGATCAAGATGTCAGCCTGCTGCCATCTTCCCAGTGAGAGCACTCACTAGGGGAGAGAGAAGGCTGAACAGGTGAAAGGCAGGGTACTCAAGGCTCCACATGGGAGCCCCATCAGTAAGGACCTTGAACCTCTTGCGCTTGGGCTCTGGCCTACTGGAGATCTGCTGCAGTGAACAAAGCAGATGTTGTGCCTGGAATTCATACCTACTTTTTTTTTTTTTTTTTTTTTGAGACAGAGTTTCACTTTTGTTGCCCAGGCTGGAGCGCAATGGCATGATCCTGGCTCACTGCAACCTCTGCCTCCTGGGTTCAAGCAGTTCTCCTGTCTCAGCCTCCTGAGTAGCTGGTATTACAGGTGCCCGCCACTATGCCCGGGTAATTTTTGGTATTTTTAGTAGAGATGGGGTTTCACCATGTTGGCCAGGCTGGTCTCGAACTCCTGACCTCATGTGATCCGCTTGCCTTGGCCTCCCAAAGTGTTGGGATTACAGGCATGAGCCACCGCGCCCAGCCCATACTTAAACTGGGTAAGGGGAGTTTAGCATTCCGGGAAATGAAAGGGGCTCCTGAGGTGTACGGGCATGTGTAGCTGACTCAGAAGGTGCCCCACAACTTATGGCACCAACTGAGCCAAAAAAGTGGCCCCCAGGCATCTGCACAGAGCAGAGTTGAAAACTGGCAGCCCACAGATATTTTACTTGGCCTACACGATAGTTTTAAAATTTCAAAATCAACTGCCAACACTAAAAAGTCAGAAAAGCTTCCATTAAAACTTGGTTTTGGCTGGGTGCGGTGGCTCACGCCTATAATCCCAGCACTTTGGGAGGCTGAGGTGGGGGATCACCTGAGGTCAGGAGTTCGAGACCAGCCTGACCAACATGGTGAAACCTCATCTCTACTAAAAATACAAAAATTAGCCGGGCATGGTGGTGCACACCTGTAATCCTAGCTACTCGGGAGGCTGCGGCAGAAGAATCACTTGAACCCAGGAGATGGAGGTTGCAGTGAGCCGTGTGCCACCGCACTCCAACCTAGGCAACAGAGCAAGACTCCATCTCAAAAAAAATAAAACAACTTGGTTTCACTGGGCATGGTGGCTCACACCTGTAGTCCCAGCTACTTGAGAGGCTGAGGTGGGTGAATCACTTGAGCCCAGGCATTTGAGACCAGCCTGGGCAGCATAGTGACACCCAGTCTTAGAAAAATAAAAATAACTCTTAGTTTCCATTTTAAAGATCTGGCAATCCTAGCCCCCTGTCACCACATGCATCCTTCCCTATTGAGTCCTGACCCTGAGACTAAGGATCAGGTCCCAAATAGGACAGTGCTTGCCCTGTGTTCCTCTTGTATCAGTTAGGAGTAACCCATCAAAAGTGGGAAAACAAAAGGTGGACTAAGAAGGTTGTATGTTTCAGGAAAAATGGGAGCAAGCCCATTCCTTTATGGCGGTGAAGAATATAGTACACCGACTGCTTCCCTCATTTCCGTGGCCTGCCTGGTCCCTTAAGGCCTTTTCGAAGGTGTGGCCCACCCGGGCCTGCCTGTATCCTCAGCTGGGGACAGGTGTTAGAGTGAAACCCTGCCTTTGACACAGGCACTGGGTGGTTAGGAAAGAGCCCGTTTATATAACCGTGGTGGAGAGCACGGGCCTCCCGCCTACCATTGCACTTGGTGATGAGCTGGTCCTTCTTGCTGGACTCCTGAAGGACTTTGCTCTTGACACTGGAGAGCCTGGGTGGGGAAGATAAGATGGGAGGGTGGGCAGGCTAGCAAGCAGATGCATCCCCCAAACCCCACACCCCGTACTGAGGCCCACTCACGCTTTTTCAAAGGCCAGCTTCTCTTTCTCCAGCTGCTTGGATAGCACCTCTACCTCTCCGAGGGCAAACTGTAACTTCTCCTCTTCCTTGGCCAGGAGGACCTTGGTTTTGGCATGGGCAGCTTTCTCTTCCTGCAGGGGCAGCAGCAGTCACCTCATTACCCTAGGCCGCCTTGGGTCTCCTAGACTCCCTTAACCAGCCCCCCTTCTCAGAGGGACACACAGAAGCCAGAGCACAGGGAGATTCTGGCCACCTTGCTACAGGGGCTGGAGGTTCTCAGAGGCCGACCTTTCTTTTTTCTTTTTTCTTTTTTTTTTTAGACAGAGTCTCACTCTGTTGCACAGGCTGGAGTGCAGTGGCATGATCTCAGCTCAGTGCAACCTCCACCTCCTGGGTTCAAGCCAATTCTCCTGTCTCAGCCTCCCAAGTAGCTGGGATTACAGGCGCCTGCCACCACGCATGCTTGGCTAATATATATATATGTATATATATATTTTTTTGTATTTTTAGTAGAGACAGGGTTTCACCATGTTGGCCAGGCTGGTCTCGAACTCCTGACCTCAAGTGATTTGCCCGCCTTGGCCTCCCAAAGAGCTGGGACTACAGTTGTGAGCCACTGCACCCATCAGAGGCTAATACTTAATGAGCCTGCCTAACCACAGGGATCCTGGGAAACGGGGGAAGATTAGGAGACCGCAGAGGCCATTACTTACCACCAGCTTCTTCTCCACTGCCTGGAACTCTTCTTTACTGACAAAATTTTCGTCCTGGAGAACCATCTGCAACAGAGCCTGGCTGAGGGAGGGCCTGGGGCTGGAGTAGAAGGGGCGCCCTCTAGGGACCAGGACCAAAAGCGGATAACAGGATGATGCTCGTGGTACCTAGGATGAGACTGAGGCCTTGGGAAGGGAGAATTCAGTTCCACAGATAAACTGAGACTCAGCTCTAAGTGCTGCCCTCAAGGAGCAGCCAGTCTCATGGAGGAGGCAGTCCACAGTTAGCACTTCTAACATGTTGTGTGCCTTGATGGGGAGACATAAGGGGATCTGGGGCTCAGAGGAGGCCCCAACCCAGCCTGGGGAAGGGTCAGAATCACTTCCGGAGAAGGGGATGTTAGACCTGAGATCTGACTGCTATATAGGGTGGGCCAGAAGAGGGATAGAGAGAAAAGCACTCTGGATGGTGGGGACACACATGCCAAGGTCAGCTGCCAAGAGGAAGACCTGGGTACCTTCAGGGAATCAAAGGCAATTCAGTGCCTAGAGCTCCATATATTTTGTTGAATGAGAGCATTAGGGTAGCAAATAGGACAGGTCTCTCTCCCCTTTCCCCCACATTCAACTTCCCAGAAGGGAAGAAATTGTCTAAGAACAACTTAGAATGAGAAGTAGATGTGAAGCCAGTTTTATTTCTGAGATGGAGATACATCCTAACCTTCTTATCAAGACAGGAAAACAAAACCAGAAAAACCATGAACTCCAGATGGCCAGGATTCTATCATGCCTACCCAGGTAATCTGTGACTGCAATGCTTTGCACCCATTAGCTGGGGTTTGATTGAGAAGGCAAAAGCTAAGGCATGTAAAGTTCTTGGAGGCCCCTAAGTTAGCGCTGGCAAGGGCCAAATCTGCGCTTACTGCATTCAACACGGCACTGCCTTTGACTCTCGGGAATGGTGTCCATAATAGAAGGGATGACAGTTTCTCTGCCTGCACAGGAGGGCCATGGGAACTCAGTGACGTCATCTCCACTGAAAATGGGGAAACTGAGGCTCAGGGACTCTCTACCAGCTCTTGCAGCAACCAGGCAAACGGAAGGGAGAATATGGCTTGATTTTAGTTAAAATTCCCTGGTTCAGGAAGGTCCGCCCCTTTTTGGCTCCACCCCTACCGACTGAGCCCGGCCTCCTCCTGATGACGCCATGGGCCATGCGTTCTAGCCACGGCCCCCGCATCGGAACAGGTTCTGGCCCCGCCCCCACCAGTGAGGCATCCGGCCCCGCCTCTCCCCAAACTCCTCTGGCTGCATACCACGTTCCTCAGCTGGTGGATTAGTTCCTCCTGAGACTCAATCACGTCCCGCAGTTGATCTAAAGCGAGACACACAGATCCTGACCCCGCCTTCGACCACCCGAGGGGCGTCGCCATCTTCCGCCCCCGCCAGCTAGTTGGAAATGGCTGCCTCGGGGGTGATCCTCGCCGTCGCCCACCAATGAGAATGCGACGCCACAGAGCACCCTGGCAACGGGGGGCGGGGACTTCCTATGTTAGCGGGGCGAGGGGCCGCCTCTTAAAGGAGCCGCCTGGAGCGGGGAAACTGCTGACAACCCTTAAGGCATTTAAGTTTACAGGAAATTGCGCTTTTATTGCGTCTTCTGTTTCTCACGCAGTCCTGAGAAGCCGGCAGGGCCCGGCTTGTACTTTCCTTGCCTGCGAGCAGGCAACACTCAAAACAGCAGCCCTCAGCCTTCACCCAGGGCCTGTTAAACTGCATGACCACGAAGCAAGAGCCAGCATAGGCAACTCCTGCATCTTTAGCTTCTCATGCCTCTTTCTCCAAATCTTTATCCTAATCTCCAAATTTCCTCCATTGTATGAGATTCCAGCCTCCTGGAACACACTTAGTACTTAGGGGTCCTAAGCCTAAGCACGGAAGATAGACGAAGATAAAAAATGAGAATGGCTACACCTGAGATCAAAGTCTTCATACTCTGATACCAGGCTCTGGGCACTAGAGTCTGCACTAGAGTCATGTGCCACCACCCGAGGAGGAGGACCCTGAAGAGATTAGGAGGACTGAAGAGGGCTTGAAGGAGGAGAGTTTAGTAAAATGAAGTCAGGGAAGGATACGGTGATTACGCACACTCACCAAGTCTCTATTGAAGGCTTTTTTTTTTTTCTTGGAAACCCAAATAAGATTAGGTTTGGAGAACATCAGAGCGAATATATATTGTGTTCACTATTTCGTGGCACCGTTATGTTTATATTATTTCATGTGACCCTCATGGAACTCCTATCAGCCCCTTTTTACCTAGGCTCTATGAGAATGAGAATGAATAACTTGCCCAAGGTCACTCTAGTAAGTTGTGGAACGGAGTTCTGCTATGGGCAGTTTGGTTCCAGGGTCCGTGTTTTTGTTTGTTTGTTTTTTGAGATGTAGTCTCGCTCTGTCGCCCAGGCTGGAGTGCAGGGACGTGATCTCGGCTCACTGCAAACTTCACCTTCCGGGTTTAAGGGATTCTTCTGCCTCAGCCTCCCAAGTAGCTGGGATTACAGGCGCCCGCCACCACGCCTGGCTAATTTTCTTATTTTTAGTAGATACGGGGTTTCACCATGTTGGCCAGGCTGGTCTCGAACTCCTGACCTCAGGTGATCCGCCTGCCTCGGCCTCCCAAAGTGCTGGGATTACAGGCATGAGCCACCGCGCTGGGCCTGGAGTTCATGTTCTTAACCAGGATGTTGTGCTGCATTTGTGTTGCACGTCATGGGTGGAAGTTATGGAATTTGATACCCCCAAGTAGGAAATGACTATACTAACAAGGAGTTTGGAAAAAAAGTTACCAGTGACTATGAAAGGAGGCAGAAAGCTCAGGGTAAGTCATTCAAGCCGCTCCCCAAAACCCCCCGGGGGGCCTGACAAACTTGGCCATCCCTGTGGTTCTCTCAGCGGGAGCCCTTGTTTTGTTTCTTGCGTTTATTTTCATGGACTTGGAGACAAGGCCATCTCTGCTGACCTCTCTCTCTTTTTTTTTTTTTTTTTTTTTGAGACGGAGTCTTGCTCTGATGCCCAGGGTGGAGTGCAGTGGTGCGATCTTGGCTCACTGCAAGCTCTGCCCCAACCGGGGTTCACACCATTCTCCTGCTTCAGCTTCCCGAACAGCTGGGACTACAGGCGCCCGCCACCATGCCCGGCTAATTTTTTGTATTTTTAGTAGAGATAGGGTTTCACCATGTTCTCTTTTTTTTTTCTTTTTTTCTTTTCTTTTTTTTTTGAGATGGAGTCTTGCTCTGTCGCCCAGGCTGGAGTGCAGTGGAGCAATCTTGGCTCACTGCAACCTCTGCCTCCCAGGTTTGAGCGATTCTCCCAACTCAGCCTCCCCAGTAGCTGGGATTACAGGCAGCTGCTATCATACCCAGGTGATTTTTTTGTATTTTTGTAGAGACGGGGCTTCACCATGTTGGCTAGGCTGGTCTCGAACTCCTGACCTCAGGTGATCGGCCAACCTTAGCCTCCCACAGTGCTGGGATTATAGGCGTGAGCCACTGTGCCCGGCCGACCTCTGTTAAAGGGCCTAGAACAATACAGTTCAATAGAACTTCTAGTGATGAAAATGTTCTACAGCTGCACTATTCAATAGCCACTAGCCACATGTGGCTCTTCAGCAGTTGAAACGTAGCTCATGTGACTGAGAAATTGCTTTAAATTTTTTATTATTTTCTGAAGATCACCTTAATCATGGCTCTTTAAAATTTTTAAATTTTTAGTTTAAATGGCCATGTGTGGCTACTGGCTACTGTACTGGAAAGTGTGTGCCTAGAGGGCACTGTGTAGGTTGTGTGCCTCAGCACAGACCCTCTCAGAACTTGGTGTACCAAATGTGAATGTTCACCTGAATCACCCTTCACAAAGCTGCACATTCTTCTGGGGCAGTGATTCCTGAGCCTTCCCCAAGAACTGCACTTCCTCCCTAGGATCTTTCATGAGGCACTGCTTGATGTCCCTTGATATCCAACATCCACCTTCACCAGCTGGAACAGGCTGCTCTCTGCGTACTTGGGGCAAAACCCTGGAGAGCAGTAGGCTCCAGCAGCCACCTGGGGGTGGAAGCTTATGAACAAGAGAGAACCCTGGATCCAGGTCTGCACCTGCTTCCTGGCATGGACATGAGGGGTGGTCACCCTGGTTGGGCACTGCCACAGACTCCTCTATATGTTGAAAGGCACTTTGGGCTCCTGGTCAACCAGGACTCAGTGAGACTCAGGATGACATGACATCACAAACAGCTCTGTGATCCTGCCAGGGAAGGGTTGCCTTTCTGCACAGGCTTGTCATTTTGGCTGATGTTCTGGTTATCTATTGGTGCATAATAAACCACCCCCCAATTTTTTTAAGTCATTGAAAAAAATCATTTTGTTCATGAATCTGGAATTTGGCAAGGCTCAATGGTGAAAGCTTATCTCTGCTCCATGCAGTGTGAACTGGGATGGTTCAACGGGGAGTTAGAAGTTCCAGTTCCAACATGGCTCACTCACGTGACTGGCAAGTTGGTGCTGTCAGCTGGGAGCTCTGCTAGGGCTGAGGACCAAAGGTCTTGGTTCCTCTCCATAGGCTGCCTGGACTTTCTGATAGCATGAAGACTGGGTTAAAGATAATCATTCAAAGTGACAGAAAATGGAAGATGCCAGTTTCTTAAGGCCTGGGCCTGATACCTGGCATAGTGTCATTTTTGCTGTATTCTATTGGTCAAGGAGTCAGAGTCTAGATTCCAGAGGAGGACACACAGATTCCTCCCCCTACCCCACCACCTTTCAATGGGAGTAGTGTCAAAGAATTTGGGCTGCACTTCTAGAGCAAATCCTTATGACAGATGGGGCACCACTCCCTTCAAGGTTCATTTCAGGTAAAACCAGTCAGGAACTTAGTCTAGTGGGAAAAGTCAGACAATAATCAAACAACCAGATAAATCTAAAGAGAAACTTAGCCAGGTGGGGCTAAGATTCTGTGCAAGGGAAAGCTTCTGTGAGGAAGTGATGTTTGAGCTGAAGCCTATTAAGGTAACTAGGAAGCACTTAGCAAAGAGGGTAGGGGCAGATGAGTAGGTAGGGATACCAGAAAGAGGAAGCAGTGTATACTTTGTGTATACAAAGTCCCTGGGGCAAAAGGGGCTGGTAGAGTGTAGTAATTAAAGGGTAGCATGGCATAAAAGAAAAAGATTATAGGGCAAGAGGGGGCTTGGGTAGTGGGTAGAGACCAAGAACTTGGCAGAGCCTTGCTAAGCAAGGTAGGCCATGCTAAGGATTTTGGTGATTTTTATTTTAGGGACAAAAGAAAGCTACTGAAATATTTTAAGCAAGAGGATGACGTGATCCAATTTATGCTTGGAAAAGATCTCTTTGGTTGCAGTGAGGTATACAGATTGGAGTGGGGCTGTGTAAGTGCACAGAGACCACTTTAACCGAGAAGGCTACTGCAGTGAAAGTGGATGGTAGTTTGAGAGTCAGATAGTGTCAGAGATGAGAGTAGGTTTAGGATATTCTGGAGGTAAAATTGATGGAACTTAACAGAGAGAGGGAATAAGGGAATATGGGGACAAGGAAAAGGTGTTTTGGCTGTCTATTGCTAAAAACCACCATAAAATGTAATGGCTTCAAACAGCAACTTTTTTTTTTTTTTTTTAAAGACAGAGTCTTACACTGTCGCCCAGGCTGGAGCGCAGTGGCGCGATCCCAGCTCACTGCAACCTCCGCCTCCTGGCCTCAAGCAATCCTCCCACCTTAACCTTCCTAGTAGCTGGAACTGTAGGTGTGCAGCTAATTTTTATATTTTTCGGTAGAGACAGGGTTTCATCACGTTGCCCAGGCTGGTCTTGAACTCCTGGGCTCAAGCCATCTGCCTGGCTCAGCATCCTAAAGTGTTGGGATTACAGGCATGAGCCACTGCACCTGCAAAAAAATGGCTGCAATCATTTTATTATTTGCTCACAATTCTGCAGACTGAGCAGGACTTGGTGGGGCAGCACATTTCTGCTCTGCCCATCATCTGGGGTAACACAAATGGCTCAACTTGAATTATGTGTTTGGGTCCTCAGTTCTTGCTGTCAGCTTGGTTGCTGGGTTCTCTTCTGCATGGCTTCTCCTTTGGTTAGTGTAGTGGTCTCAGGTAGTTGAATTTACATGGTAGCTGGCTTCCCTCCAAGTACAAAAATGGAAGCTGCCAGTTTTGCCACATTCTGTTGGTTAAAGGTCAAAGGCCAGCCCCGATTAGAAAAGGGACTACACAAAGGCATAAATATTAGGGGATGCCAAATTAAGTCTACCACACAAAGTTTCCTGGGTTTTTGACTTTTTAATTTTTTTTTTTTTGAGACGGAGTCTTACTCTGTCGCCCAGACTAGAGTGCAATGGTGCAATGTCGGCTCACTGCAACCTCCGACTCCCAGGTTCAAGCGATTCTTCTGCCTCAGCCTCCTGATAGCTGGGATTACACACACCCGCCATCATGCCTGGCTAATTCTTGTATTTTTAGTAGAGATGGGGGTTTCTCCATGTTGGTCAGGCTGGTCTCAAACTCCCGACCTCAGGTGATCCACCCACCTCAGCCTCCCAAAGTGCTGGGGTTACAGGTGTGAGCCACTGTGCCTGGCCAACTTTTTAATTTTATTGTTAGAGACGGGGTCTTGCTATATCACTCAGGCTGGTCTCAAGGTCCTGGCCTCAAGTGATCCTCCCACCTCAGCCTCTGGAGGTAGCTGGGATACAGGTGTGCAAAACCGTGCCTGGCTTGGGTTGCTGACTTTGGCACTTGGATGGGTGGAAGTGCTAGTGATGGTAATGGGAGCACTGGAAGTCTTGCTTCCGTTCTCCTTCACTAAATAAAAATCTACTCATCTCTGTAGGAAGGGTGATTATATTTCACATATTTCTTCCTCAGAGTTGCTTTCACTGACCCCTCAGACTGGGTTAAATCCCTTTGTTATACAGTCTGTGGTCACCTTGGTCTCCCTTTAGCTATTCATTGCACTGGGGAGTGCTGTGGAAAGCCTGGCCTCCCCATTAGATGTGAGCTCCAGGAGTCTTGGTGCTGGGCCTCACCTGTTCCCTGACCCCCATTCCAAAAACCCAGCCCACCTGGCTCAGAGTAAGTTCTCAATCATTGCTGAATTGAATCTCATCTCACTTTCTTTTTCAAATGAAAGCTATCATGACCAGTTAGGATCATGTAAATATCATTTACTATATTTTTAAACCAAAACTTTCCTAAATATGGGCCACTAGGACCAAAGCCAGCAAGGAACTGGGATAACACCTGAATTTCTGATGCTAAGTGTAGTTTTGATCTGTATATTGGCTGTGAGGTACTGCAGCTGCTGTTATCTGATAGAAAATGTGGAACTGATGCCAACAATGCTATCTACTATTCTAAATGCAAATAATCCCACTGACGGGTGAGGGAAGACTGGAGCAGGCGTCAAAAGCTTCTTTAGTCGGAAGTGGCTCCAAGGGAGTCAGGCGATGTGCAGTGGCCAAGGATGCCATGGGCAAAGGTAAAAGAACCAAGGAAAAGTAGCCATTCTTTTAATATAAAATTGTTTAATGTTTTTCTTTGTTGCAGTACACTCAATCCAGATGTAGTGGATGAGGTGGCCAGATTTTTTCAAGATTCTTAGTCCACCAGGAGCTGATTCCATTTGTGTCATCCCTACTCTGGTCACAGAACATTCACATCTTTAATTCCAAATACTGAGCGTGATGTAAATGATGTAATCAGTATCTAACACGAGTATATACTTTCTTGGTGGCCACTGCATGACATATCAACAGTGCAGCCTCAAAAAAAAGATGTTTTGTAACTTGGCCCTTTCCAAAAATAAATATATTAGGACACTAAGCTTATACCTTAAATGAGGGCAGAATAAATATGAATGAAGTGCAAGCTCCTGTGAGGAGCAGTGCATGCAGATGATGTACTTGCTTGTATGGTGTGGCCAGCTGTAACAGAAAGCCACTGGAACGGCACAGTGCCTCCTCACAAAGCCCATCCTGGGTATCATGAGGAAAAAGAATGACACATAGCTTGGCCAGGCTGCTGGAACCCATGTTCCAGTGGCATCTGGAGTTCACTGTATTTTCTTTTTTCTTTCTTTTTTTTTTTTTGAGACAGAGTCTTGCTCTGTCACCCAGGCTGGAGTGCAATGATGTGATCTCAGCTTACTGCAACCTCTGCCTCCCAGGCTCAAGAGATTCTTCTGCCTCAGCCTCCTGAGGAGCTGGGATTACAGACACGTGCTACCATGCCCGCCTAATTTTTGTATTTTTAGTACAGACAGGGTTTCACCATGTTGGCCAGGCTGGTCTGGAACTCCTGACCTCAAATGATCTGCCTGCCTCAGCCTTTCAAAGTGCTGGGATTACAGGCATGAGCTACTGGGCCTGGCCAGTTCACTGTATTTTCGAACAATTTCCAACAGAAAGCACAGCAGTGACGTTTCCTTACTGGTCACTGCTCCCGTGCTGTGAGGCCTGGAGCTGATCAAGGAAGCTTACACATTTCCCGGCCTGAGCAGATGAACTCTAGGGTTGCTAATCTGGGGACGTGGGTTCCTTCAAGCTCTTTGTGATGAGAAGGATTTTCATCCTCCTTTTCTCACTGCCGATCGTGCGGTAGAGAGAGCATCTTCATTTGAATGAGAGCTTCAGTTTCTGCTTGAGCCTCAAGCCCTATTTCTGAGCGCTGCTCCTCTCACACACGTCTCCAATCTGCAGTAATGCTCAAAGAAACAGTCTAGAGCTGGGTGCCAAGCTCCGGCAGCAAGAATAAGCCCTACCTAGTTATGTATGATCAGGAGATCTTCCAAAGGACGTAGGCGAGAGGAAAAAGCTTATTTTACCACCATGCAGACAACCCATCTAAAATATAACCCAGGAAATTATAGCTTCACAATATTCTGGATAGTATCAAATAGATAAATCCTTCAACCAAAAGCAAATACGGTTCCCTTGAGGAAAAACAGATGTGAATGTTGTGGTCTATTGGCAATAAATAAAACAGTACCATCGGTGCTATAAAAACAGACAATCAGCGTGACATTTAATGGAGTTAGTTATTATTGCTTCTATTTAGTATCATCACAGATTACTTATCGCTGCCATGAAGTCCATAAAATGTGTGACTACCTGATTCCTGGGCATCTAGGACAGGGTCTTTTAACCTGTCAAGTCAGTTTCATTATGGCCAATTTTCTAGCAGTGGTTGGGGATGGGGAGAGGAGAGCTTTGATTTTTTTGTGTGTAGAAGAACTTTCCATAAGCCTGTTTGGCTCATGGACATATTTTACAATGTAACCTCCCTCAGTCACTCAGAGGGGATCAAGAAGGGCCCCCTAAAACCAGGAGGACAGATCTAGTTGGGCAGCAAAATCTGGCTATTTCTAGAAATGCTCCCTCTCCCTGCAACTGAGCAGTTGTCCCCTACAAGCCACTAAAGCCCCCAATCTTTACCTGTGAACCCATCTCCTGACTCTGTGGAATGCCTGCAGAGGCATGGTAGGGAACAACCGTTCAGATGTTGATGAGCCATGCTAGGCACGTCTGTGTAAATCATGGCCATGCATTGGGATGAAGAAACTTTACTTTGGAATCTGTTTAATGTAGACTCTTTTTTTTTTTGAGATGGAGTGGAGTGCAGTGGCGTGATTTCAGCTCACTGTAACCTCCACCTTGCAAGTTGCAGCGATTCTCATGCCTCAGCCTCCCGAGTAGCTGGGACTACAGGCATGTGCCACCACACCTGGCTAATTTTTGTATTATTAGTAGAGATGGGGTTTCACTGTGTTGGCCAGGCTGGTCTTGAACTCCTGACCTCAGGTGATCCACCTGCCACAGCCTCCCAAAGTGCTGGGATTACAGGCTTGAGCCAGTGCACCCGGCCGACTCTCTACCAGAAACTTTTCTTCCAATATGAAGGAAGCATGGAGTGTAGGCTACAGTCACTTAATGATCCTTCCAAGTTCAGAGTCATGATAATTCAGGCAGCTCAGCTCCACAGGAAGGCCCAGAACCACACAGCCCAGGCAGTGACTGAATTCTTCCTAGTCACCAGTGGAGGGCTGCCTGCCTGTGAGGGACCTCTTATTTTGTGTACAGAATTTATGTTAGACAGGGTCCTGCTTCCTAAAGAGCAGCAGGGATGTTGTCCTGAACAGATGCAAGATTGCCACAGAAAAGATGAGGGGTCATGGGGTTGGGGAGGACGGAGGCATCCTCGGGAAAGGTTCTGCTTTGCCAGTCTGGCTAGAATCACCTGAGACATGAGGATGCTCTCCCACTTTCTACTTGACACTCAGCCTACCGTCTTGCTCTGCCACTACAAGACCTGGGTCATCCTCTCTGGGCCAATGTTCTCATTCATAGAACCAGGGATAATACATCTACTTCAGAGTTGTGAGGAGGTTTAAGTAAGAAAATATGTGTGAGAGCCCCTGCTTTTATAGTAGGCACTCAATAAATGTTGAATGAATGAAAAATCATCTCAAATCACAAACTATAGGATACTGGGTTAAACAAAGTGGCTGCTGGGGCCAAAGCTAGACCCCCATATCCAAGGAGAGAGGATCTGTCTCCTCTATCTCTAGGCTTGAGCAAACAGCCTGGAGAGCTGGCAATGCCTCCTCCTGGGTCTGACCATCTGCCTCTGTGGGATGTAGGAACTCAGCCTAAGTGCGATGACACCAATGATGATACTGAGGGGAAATGACCGAAGGGACATTCTCTGGGTTCTATGATGGAGTAGGGAGGCTTCGTGGAGGAGATGAGGCTCGGTCTTGCATTATACCTTCGCCCTGGCCCCCGCCTCCAGATGCTGCTCAGTAGTTTTAATTTCTGGACTCTCTAAAGGAGAGAGGGTTAAGGAAATAAAGGAATCTCAAATTAGGCAGTTTGCTAATGCTACTAACTGAGCAGAGATTGGAATAATAGAAAACTATTGACTACAATAGTTTAAATTTCTCCATATTCCCCTAGAAAATGGAAAGCTGGGCAGGAACATGTTCCAAAGGCTAAATCTTGGCGGAGATGATGACTCTAATGAAGGGAGAGGTATAATTCTTGGTAGACAGTGTAAATAACTAATATTAAGCTTTGGCTAAGCCTAGGAATGCCTGGTTCTTAAGACTTCACTGAAGAAGGGAAGAAGGAAGAAAGCATGGATCTGCTCTGGGATGCCCTGAACTCCATTCACATAGGCAGGGTAGGCATGGAGCAGGGAGACGGAATCCAATGCCTTGCCATTAATTTAACTTAGATGAACTACTCCTGGTCCCTGGAGCCACTCCCCAGGAAGGATCCTGTGAAGACACATCTGGCTCTCGTGCCCATGCTCCTGCCACTCTGCCCAACCAACGAAGTTAGCAAATAGTAAAGTGTTCATCATTACCTAGTTTTGTATTATAAAATGGAATCAGGAACATAAATAGGAACAAGTAGCAAAACCCCAGCCCTGCGTAGGACCATTATCCTCTCAGCCACCTCTGCGTAGGCCAATGAGTTTGGAAAGTTTCTCACAGTTTTCAAGTTTCAGCGACTCTGCTTTCTGTTTCAATCGTTCATCTCTGTATAATCCTGCCAAATTTGTCAGCTCTGACTCTGAAAGATAAAAGAGGTAACCAATTCATCAAGAGCTGAACTCCTTTGTTTCATTTCAATGTTTCTGGAGTCAAAGCTCCTTTTACTTCATTTCAAGCTTTTTCTTACAATTAAATATAAGAAACATTTAGTCATTTATTCACAAAACACGTCTTAGGTACTAGACCAGGTGTGGAGGATTAAAGGGCACCTGTGACCCTGCAGTCCAACAGTATCTGTGCTCTCTTATAAAAGCACTGGACTTAGTTCTTACCAAGAAAACATTTGGCACCAGACTTAGGAAACCTGCGCATGTGCAGTGAGACCACCCTATAGCCTCCTACAAACGGGATTCCAACAGCAGCTGGGAGAGAATGGAGTCCAGTGGCCTATTCCTGTCATCTGAAACAGACAGCTGCTTTATTCTTCTCCTGCATTGCTGCATCATAACTCACATGTGCGAAGGCACACAGAGCCTACTGCTGCCGGGTGTGCGTCCACAGAAGGCCAGGGCACTACTGGCGCTGTTCATTCCCTCACCACACGTAGGGTCCCCAACTCAAAGGCCAAAGGCAGCTGGGCCTTTCTAAAAGTTGAATCATCTGGATCCGGTGACCTTTGTCTCCTTGACTAAATTAATTTCATTTTCTCTTTATGGTGGAGAAGGTCATTCTATTTTTAACCAGAATATAATCTCTGCTGTGTTTCCTGACTCAACAGTGGTTTGGTTGCCTCTATTTTTTATTCTTTTGTGAGGTTTCAGACATATTCAGGGAGGAATGCCTGAAGAGCACCTTTAGAGACGTATTGCGTATTAACAGGATGGCATGCTTGGATGTGGTGTGTGTTTCCTGAAAGCCTCCAACAGCAGGCAGCTACTCAATGTTTAAAGGACCAGACTTGTAAAAATGCTATTTTAATTGTTTTGAAATATGCCTATCTATTCTTAATCATCTTGCTGACAGATTTTGTTTTTCTTGGTGGAACGAAAGACACCTGTCTGATTAATCAGCAAACTGCCTGGAAACGGAATTATTATTTAGCCAGGGGGAACAATGGGCATTGCTTTCTGAATACGTTTCTATCAACACAAAACACTGTCTGGCATTTCTGTGCACAATGATGCTATTTACCCCCAAGTAAGGCCCAAAGTGCAGATTAAGTGCAGGACTCCAGAGTGAGGGATGGATATGCATAAAAACCCTCCCTCTACAATGGAGGCCGCACAGCCTGGGCTCTAGCCCAGCAGTTGCTTGGCAAGCAGTGGGTCTCCCAGGCTCCAGAACAATGCGCTCTCCCTGCTTGGTGAGGGTGCCTGCAGCGCCTGCTAGCCAGGGCTTGCCTTGGCACAGTCACCCTTGCAGGTGATGGGGCGTCATGGAGGATCATGGGCCATATCCAAATGAAAGCTCTCTGCTCCTGCATCCTGCCCAGGGCTCGGCACTAACTCCAATCTCAGGCTACTTTGGCATGTGGGTAACCTTGCCCAGGAGGCCTCTGTGAAGTCAGTCTATGCCTTTAGTCCTCTGGAGTCACAGTTACACCAGTATTGAAACAGATTCTGTGGTTTTGCTTTTCTTTGAAATGATTTCCTCAGGTTTTCCATTTGCTCAGCTTTTCTAAATGCTTCATTCCCTGAAATCTTGTTCCAGGAAACATTAAGGGCTAGTGACTCTTTATATTTTCTACATTGAAGGCCACTTCAACAAGCTGATGAAAGATAACTGCTTTTCTCAAAATATCACATTGCTTTTCATAAAGTTCACTGAAACCAGCTCAGAGACCCCTGCTCCAGAGCAATGACCTTGTACAAGGTCAGTGTTTCAAGGAATCATGTCCCACATCCCCACTACCAAGCTTAAAGCAACTTCTCTCCAAACTGCCAGTGAATCCTTTCATCCTTCAATGAACAAAGGGTCAACTTGAAGAATATGCTACTTTTGACAAATTCTGTTAATATTCAATAAATTCTAAGTAATTAAAAAAAATTTTGGGGAGTGGCAGGTTCCAGAGAATACCTTTTCTTCTTAGCAGAAAGTTCCCCTTCCTCTGAATGCCACTGTAACAGATGGACAGAGCATTGAGCCTTAAAGATAAACTGACTCAGGCAAATTGCCAAGAGAAGCAAGACCCAGAACCTCTCCTAAGGTTCTCTGCAAAAGAGCCCAGATTGGTCTCAACAGCTGAAAGACCGCAACAGATCCCAACTGCCCTCATGATCCAGCCCCATGAGATGGTGCTACATCCAGTCTACAGTGCAAAGCCAGGTAAAGCCAGGACTCCACCAGAAATTAGGCACTTTCTATGTGCCAGACACTGTGCTAAGAGTTACACCCATACCATCTTCCATAACCCACACAACCTCTCTAGGAGGAAGTGGATTCTATCCCCATTTCAAAGCCTAAGCTTCTACCCACTAGGTTATCCTGCTCAAGGGTGTGGAAAGAAGTGCTCCTCTACCAGTCTGGGCCAGGAGCTCAGCTCAGCTCAGCTAGGCCAAGAGGCAGTTCCTGCCTGCTACCTTCGTCCAGCCCAGCCTAGTGGTGTGGCCACTTGCCCTGGCATCAGGCTTACTATCTAGATGCAGCTGCGAAGAAGTAAACAGGACAATTAGTGTTTATAGTAAGGGATTACTCATAAAGGTTTGCCCAGATTGGCCGGGTGTGGTGGCTCACGCCTGTAATCCCAGCACTTCGGAGGCCGAGGTGGGCGGATTACCTGAGGTCAGGAGTTCGAGACCAGCCTGACCAACATCCTTGAAACCCCGTCTCTACTAAAAACTACAAAAATTAGCCAGGCACGGTGGCATGCACCTATAGTCCCAACTACTCAGGAGGCTGAGGCAGGAGAATCGCTTGAACCTGGGAGGTGGAGGTTGCAGTGCGCCGAGATTGCATGACTGCACTCCAGCCTGAGCGAGAGAGCGAGACTCTGTCAAAAAAAAAAAAAAAAAAAATTTTCACCCAGATTAAACATTCTAAGGAAGAGCAGAGAAAAATAAATGAACCAAACAAAGATTTAAAAAGTCAATGGCTAACCTTGCTAAAAACAGTTTGCATTTGGTATTTTGCCAAGAGTGAACTTTGTTCTCAAGTGGGTTTATTTTTACAACCTCCAAGTGCTAAATTTAACCTTGTTGGCTGCACTTGCTGCTGGATTCGGAGGGCAGATGCTGCTTGTTCTCAAATGGCACTTGGGTTGTGTGGAGGCTCTGCATAGCCGCTGTACTTAAATGCCAGAAATAGATTTTTAAGGGGTTTGTGCTGATAACTGCCATTTGGAACTTGTGGGTACACGCATCATGCTTACTCACTGGATTTTTTTTTTTTTTTTTTTTTTTTAGATGGAGTCTCGCTCTGTCACCCAGGCTGAAGTGCAGTGGCACGATCTCAGCAGACTGCAACCTCCGCCTCCCGGGTTCAAGAGATTCTCCTGCCTCAGCCTCCCAAGTAGCTGGAATTACAGGTGCGCACCACCACACCCAGCTAATTTTTGTATTTTTAGTAGAGAAGGGGTTTCGCCATGTTGGCCAGGTTGGTCTCGAACTCCGGACCTCAGGTGATCCATCCTCCTTGGCCTCCCAAAGTGCTGGGATTACAGGCATGAGCCACCACACCTGGCCACTCACTGGATTTTTATTTATACCTGGAGAGTGCCGAAGCTCTGAACTAGGCCTCATGGGGATGGGGACAAAAGCTGAGAAACTACCTCTGGTGCAATCCTTACCATGAGCTCTTTGTATAATTCCAGCATCTTACTGCCACAGAGGAAGATGTGGGGCAGGCGGGTGTTTGAAGAATGTGAAATGCAGATTTTCATCCAGTTCTTGCAGAAAGCAACAAAGTCAAAGCCCTCCCAGGACCCAGACAATGGGGATTTTCAGGACATACACTGGCTTTCACCTGATTTGGATCCATGTATATACTGCCTTTTTATTGAGACAGGATCTCGCTCTGTGGCCCAGGCTGGAGTGCAGTGGAGTGATCACAGCTCACTGCAGCCTTGATCTCCCAGGCTCGACCTCCTGAGTAGCTGAAACCACAGGCATGTGCTGCCACACCTGGCTTATTTTTATACTTTTTCTAGAGATGGGGTTCCCAGGCTGGTCTCAAACTCCTGGACTCAAGTGATCCTCCTGCCTCGGCCTCCCAAAGTGCTAGGACTATAGGCATGAGCTACCATGCCTGGCCTATATACTGCCTTTTAATATGAGGCCTTTATCCTGCTCTAAAATTCTTTCCTGATTTTTGATTCTTGTAAAATCTAGTTTAGCAATGGGGTAGAGTATTTCCTGAATCCTCAGTGTTTTTCAATAAATTGGAATTTCCTCTTCCTGTTTAATTTCCTCTTATATCCCAGAGTCATTGCTCACCAACTTCCTAATGCACCTTGAGAGAACATTAGGACTTTGCCGTACAGAAATAGGGGGCAGAGACCAGGTCCCTAAGGGTGAGCTAGGACACTAACCCTGCTGTTGTTATTCACAATCCTCAGCATTTTCATTGTTTTCTACTCCTGAGAATCCTCTCTTCAAAAGACATTTGTTGAGCACTTGTTCTGAAGCAAGGACTGTGCCAGAACCCTGGGACACAAAATTAGTAAGACCAAGTTCTTATTCCCAGACAGTCCATAGTCTTGCAGGGGAGACTGACATATATCCCTGGAACTCTAACACTGTGTGATTGGTACTATGTTAGCAGGCTGAACAAAGTGCTTTAAGAACACAGAGGAAGGAGAGCTTAACTTGAGGGCGGGGTTGGGAGTGTGTGATGGTCAATGAGGGCTTAGCAGCACTGTGACTGAAGAGCTAATTTTATCAGACTCCATTAGGTATTTAATGATACTCAGTAATAAGGCTTTAGAAATGAGTCAGAATTTGCTTTTTAAACATGAGCCAAAACTTCAGTTAAAAGGGTACCTCCTGAAAAATAAAAAAGAAAATAAAAATAATCAAAACCAAGTTTTAGAAGACACAGTCACTAACGCGGTATGTGTGTGTAGAATTCAAGTGGGACCAAAGGTGAAGCTGTTGGCTGAGACGGGGCTACCCCTGCTGCAGACACTCCTAGTAACACTTGCTGGAGCTGTAAGCCAGTGGCAGATGCTATCATCCCCACTGTCTCCAGAGAGGGAAATAGGGGGGAAGGCCTGCCACACCCAAAGGGGCAGACCCAAGGGGTCGCTTTTGTTCTGTGTGGCCACAACCAGCTGGAGGTGAGGGTAGGGGACACCTCATTCCATACCAGAAACCTCTAAACCTTTGTTCTGTTTCAAAAAGTTAGGCTGGCTCGATCAGATTTCCCTCTAGGGAGTGTGGAATTGGGAAACTGTGGACCAAATCAGCGAGCACCAAGAACTTACAGACGTGTGTGCTGCAGAAAGGGGCACTGACTGGTGAGACTGGGGAATTTGAGAGAGTGATAAGCAGGGTGGCAACCACTGTAAACCATGGCAAACAAGGTTATGCAAAAGGGAAGCTGGAAGAAAGAAAGGAAGGCAGCTGGTGGGGAGAGGAGAGGGGGCAGATTGGCAGAGAGAGGTAGAGACTCAAAGAGAGACAGACATACAGACAGGTGACTAGTGCCGCCTAAATTCCTAAGATTTCCAAGTCCTGGCCACATGTATCCTGTCAATAAATTTCCCCTACTTTTTTATAGTATCCTGAATGGCCTTTGTCCTCTGACTCTGTTCACATAAACATGCGTAGCCTCAAACAAGAAGAGAGGAGGGATCAGGAGGCTGGGGGTGCCTCCTGCTGGGAACCACAGCCACCAGCTAATGCCCCTTTTACAGTATCTTACTTTGTTGTTTCTCCTTCCAACAACTAGTCTGGATATAATCAATGTAATCCTTCTCTATTGTTTTCTCCAAGTCATGCAGAGAAGCTCCTCTGTAGGCCTTGTCAAAGTTTTTATCCACAAAGTAAGGCACCTGCAGGTTCTGAGTTTCTCTAGAAATGGTGTAGCCCAAGGTCCTGAAACAAGGAGAGAGAGGCTCATGTGAGCTCATAATATTTGGCAATATTACTCTTAGCACTGCCCTCACAGATATCATCATCATCATCTGCTCATAGAGCAGAGGCAGATATCATTTTCTAATATACCCAACACTTCTTATTTCCCTAGCAAAGTTGTAAGTATAACATCATCATAATTGTATTATGTAAGCAAGTTCATACTATGAATTCAGCTTCAGCATAGTTTATTCTCTTAAAGGACTCACCTCTCTTATACTGCTCTCTGTGCTAAAAGTAGAATGCTGAATGCTTAAAACAAACAATTTTTACGTTGTGTAGGATCTAGTATGGTACCTGACAGAGTAGGCTATTATAAATGCTGGTTGAATGAACTGATTATGTTATATAGCAAATTATTTACAAAAAAAACAGATAGCTCACACCAACCTAGAAGCAATATTTTGGACATGATAAAAAGTACTTCGCACATAGCTGCTAACTGAGAACTGCAAGAAACTCAGACAAAAGATTTCAATGATGCTTTAGAGCTAACTCTCTGTGGGTCCAAGACATCCAAAGGTATCTGGTGCTTAGCAACATTAATAAGAGTACTGAGCTGACTAATTCTAACCATAAGGAAACATAGAAGGGACCTCAAACTCAAGTTAAAACAATGTGACAGAAATGGTTTTCTTCAAACTGGACAAATTCTACATTAAAGGGGCTATATTTTATTTGGCCTTTTTCCGGCCCTCTCCTTTGATCCTCTCTAATTAGAGTAAGAGCTGAAGCCATGACTGCTCTCCCCTCACTCTAAGGTTTTGGGGGAGCTTACAGAGCAGGTCCGTGCTTACCCCGCTGGCCTCACAAGAAAGAAAGCTAAAGTGCCATATGGAAAAACATGAGAAGCTGGGAAACAGAGGGAATCAGGCCAGTGTGGCCTGATGGCAAAAACCTCTCTATGAAGGCTAGGTGCAGTGGCTCATGACGGTAATCCCAGCACTTTGGGAGGCCAAGAAAGGTGGAGGTCAGGCGTTCGAGACCAGCCCAGCCAACATGGTGAAACCCAGTCTCTACTAAAAAATACAAAAATTAGCCAGGTGTGGTGGCACATGCTTATAATCCCAGCTACTCAGGAGGCTGAGGCATGAGAATCGCTTGAACCTGGGAGAAGGGGATTACAGTGAGCCAAGATTGCACCACTGCACTTCAGCCTGGGAGCCTGGGTGACAGAGCAAGACTGCTTCGAAAACAAAAACAATAAAAAGAAACCTCTCTTTCAGCCTCAGCTTCGCTCTCTGTAAAAGGAAAATACTAGCCGGGCGCGATGGCTCATGCCTGTAATCCCAGCACTTTGGGAGGCCAAGGTGGGCAGATCACCTGAGGTTAGGAGTTTGAGACCAGCCTGGCCAACATAGTGAAACCCTGTCTCTACTAAAATATAAAAATTATCCGGGTGTGGTGGTGCGTGCCGCCTGTAATTCCAGCTACTCAGGAGGCTGAGGCACATGAATTCCTTGAACCAGGGATGTGGAGGTTGAAGTGAGCCCAGATTGCACCACTGCACTCCAGCCCAGGCGACAGAGTGAGACTCTGTCTCAAAAAACAAAAACAAACAAAAAAGGAAATACTGACCTGGATTGACCTGGAATGATGGTCTTGTCTACAGTGATCACTGACAAAGACTCTTCCTGTTATATATTGTCTAATAAATTCTACTTTTAAAAGGTTTTTTTCCCACTAAATTATAATAATGAATAATAATTTATTATTCATTATTAACAAAAAAGATAATCTAGTGATTCTCAAACTTCAGTGTGGACCAGAATAATCTAGAGGGTTTTTTAAAACTCAGACTTCTGGTCCTACCCCCAGAGCCTCTAATTCAATGGATATGGAGGGGCCCTAGAATCTGCCTTTCTAACATGTTGCCTGTTGATGCTGACGATGGCTGGTCTGGGGACCAAACTTTGGGAACTGAATCAACTGAAAGAATTAATTGAAGAAATTTTTAAAAATCCTATCAGAGTTTATAATCTATACGCAAAAAGCATTACAAGGAATTTCTCTATTTTCAACAAAAACAAAAAAATTGAAAATAATCACTTGATCCCCATTATTAATACTATGCTCCGAGACCCACAGGGTCCAGCAATCCTATCAACAGCTTAACAGAGTCTTTCTAACTCTACCATGGTGTGATAATGAGTTCATCTAAACCTTAAATTCTACTGATCCTTCAAAAACCAGTTACTGCTGTTCTGCAGCTGACCAGATGATGTCACTATAGAACAAGACAATCTATTTCCCGAGGCACACAGGAGACTGCCTCAGTATTTTTGAGTCTCAGCACCATGACTACCCAGCTGTTCCTTTAAACATCAAATCGGTGTTTTCTACAGCAAAAGGTGAAATGAAATGTTAGTAATGTATCAGCAAAACCTTCAAGTCTTTCACCCCCAGACTGTTACTGAGAAAGATTTAGAAATACCAGACTTACGATTTATAGAACAGACTATATGGGGGATTAGTAGCCAGCAGCTGAGTAATGACAGATATAATCACAATCACAAGAACTGGAAGTAGCTGAATAAATGCAGAATATGTAGTCTGAAAAAGAAAAAAAAATAAAAACTTGCTGTAAGTGTTCTTTTTTTTTTTTCTGTCGCCCAGGCTGGAGTGCAGTGGTGCGATCTCGGCTCACTGCAAGCTCCGCCTCTCGGGTTCACGCCATTCTCCTGCCTCAGCCTCCCGAGTAGCTGGGACTACAGGCACCCGCCACCACGCCCGGCTTAGTTTTTGTATTTTTAGTAGAGACAGGGTTTCACCGCAGCCAGGATGGTCTCGATCTCCTGACCTCGTGATCTGCCCACCTCGGCCTCCCAGAGTGCTGGGATTACAGGTGTGAGCCACTGCGCCTGGCCTGTAAGTGTTCTTTATCAATATAAAGCTTATTGAAAATAAGATAGTTGCTCCAAAGAAAATAACAAATTATCAATGCACTGCATAGGAGGATCCACAAAGCCCCAGGCTTTTCTGGGAAGGCTGTACTTTCAGCTGAGAAGTACAGGTTGGGCAGTCCTAATCAGAAAATTCAAAATCACAAATGCTCCAAAATCTAGAACTTTTTGAGTACCAGGATGACACTTAAAGGAAATGCTCATTGGAGCATTTTGGATTTCCTTTTTTTTTTTTTTTCTGAGACATGGTCTTGCTCTGTCACCCAGGCTAGAGTACAGTGACACAAACATGGCTCACTGCAGCCTTGACCTCCTGGGTTCTGATGATTCTCTCGCCTCAGCCTCCTGAGAAGCTGGGACCACAGGTGCACACCACCGTGTCCAGCTAATTTTTAAATTTTTGTAGAGACAAGGTCTTGCCATGTTGCCCAGGCTAATCTCAAACTCCTAGGCTCAAGCAATTCTCCTGCCTCAGTTCCCCCAAAGTGTTAGGATTACAGGTGTGAGCCATAGCACCCAGCCTCAGATTTTCAGATTAGGAATTGTCAAATATATAATGGTATAATGCAAATTTCCAAAATCCAAAAAAAAAAAAAAATCTGAAATCTGAAATACTACTGGTCCAATTTACTTCAGATAAGGGATACTCAATCTATACCAAATAACCTTTACTCTCTCTGCTGAGCAGGCTGAAGGAGGTCCAACAACAACCTGGATTGACACCCAGTAATCCCCCTGCAGCCCCATTAATAAGACCAATGAAGCAAACATCTCTAGGTAAACCTGCCCAGACTGTGCCTCTTACAGTAGTGGGGCTCTAGGAGCCAGGTTAGCATCATGCTTGGCCACAGCTGATTGGACTCAGGGGACATCCAACTCTGGCAGAGGTAATCACGTTTTCTCTCCTAGGAATTTGGGGTTGAAACTCATCACCCTTCACTTCTGGGTCATCACTTTAAGGAAGAACACACACTCTCAGGCACTGTAGACTGGCTATTTGCAAGGGGAAGTAGAACAAGCAAAGCTGCTTGGTGAAAACAAAACAGAGGCAAAGAGTGGCAGGAAAACTGGAGACAATCTGGGCCCAAAGAGTCCTGCAGAGCACAGCTGCTTGGGAGCCTGACAGTATCCCAGTTCCTTGTTCCTGTCTGTCATGAGGCCCAGCTGTGCTTCTTGTCCTTGAGCTTCATGAGACTCTTTTGATCCCTTACCTTAAACCCCCTTTAGTTCTAAATATTTTGAAGAGGATTCCTATTTTCTGCAGCCAAGAAAATTATGAAGCCGGAGCGGTGGCTCATGCCTGTAATCCTAGCACTTTGGGAAGCCAAGGCAGGAGGATCACTTGAGCCCAGGAGTTTGTGACCAGCCTGGGAAACATGGTGAGAAATAATCTCTACAAAAAATGAGCTGGGCATGGTGGCACGCACCTATAGTCCCAGCTACATGAGAGGCTGAGGTGGGAGGATTGGTTGAGCCCTGGAGTTTGAGGCTGTAGTGAGCTGTGTTTCTACTATTGTACTCCGGCCTGAGTGACAGTGAGACCCTCTCTCAAAAAAAAAAAAAAAAAAAAAAAAAAAAAAAAAGCCTTGATGAAGTCAGCCCCACAGATTGCTGAGATTCTGGGAGAGCCACCCAAGAATGGGCAGAGGGAGGGGATACCATTCTGCCTATTTAGGCCAATTTTCCAGCTCTTCTAACCATTGCTTTTGCTTTCCTAAAGCACATCTTTCCTAAAGCAACATATCTCAGGTTCAACTTCTAAAACTTGACCATGTACCATCAAGGTTGGCCAAGTACAACTGTTTATGGGCAGCAGTGCTCCTCCCTCCCTAGGTACCTGAGGTTTCTCTTCTTCCTCCTCCTTCTGAGTCTGTGTCCTCTCATGTCGGTGCCGTCGACGGTAATAGTAAGTGTCATCTGTCACATTTGAAAACATATGAATATTTCCTGGAAAAGAAATACATGGTATGGGATATGGCAAACACTCCTTCCCTGCCTTTTTCTTTTTTTTTTGGAGATGGAGTTTTGCTCTGTTACCCAGACTGGAGTGCAATGGGGTGATCTCGGCTCACTGCAACCTCTGCTTCCTGGGTTCAAGCGATTCTCCTGCCTCAGCATCCTCAGTAGCTGGGATTACAGGCACCCGCCACCATGCCTGGCTAACTTTTGTATTTTTAGTAGAGATGGGGTTTCACCATGTTGGCCAGGCTGGTCTCGAACTCTTGAACTCAAGTGATCCACCTACCTTGGCCTCCCAAAGTGTTGGGATTACAGGCGTAAGCTACCGCGCCTGACCCTTCCTTGCCTTTTTCAAGGTCCTTGTTCCCAGCTAGGTTTGTTAAGGATAGAGTATTGGCCTATTTTACCCAGTAGAAAAATAAGACAATAGGCAAGCCAAGTGAACCAGCTGGAGCTAAAGCGTGCTGAGCTCTCCTGACTTCATTTAAATAGTCCTTTGCAACTAGTGAGAGAGAACCCCGAAAGGCTAGAAGAGAGAGAGCATTAGGGCCGTGAATCCTATCTGGCATGTTCACGTCTGCTTCCGTGCCCAATACCATATTGTGTCACTGGTATCTTTTAATAGCAACTCATAAAATTCAATTTACTTCCTGGGCATTGAATTATACCAACTTCCAACTTGCTGGGGGGTACTTTCCTATCTTCTATCTTTGTAAGTGCTATTTTACACAACAATAATAGGCATTTTGTTACTTATTTATAAGGCACTTAAAAATATCTAATCCTCACAGTGACCCTGTGAAGTAGGTATTATTAACAGCCCCATTTTTCAGGAGAGGAAACAGGGTCAGAGAGACTAAATGATTTGGTCAAAATTATGCACAGCTGGGGGCTGGAGACTTGCCTCAAACTCCTGCTCAACTGATTCTAGATCCTTGCTGTTTCCATCATACCATTGTACCTCTATTCAGATTTTCAAACAGGAGCTTGCTGAGAGCCATAAATAAAGAAATATGTTTAAGAATGATAATTTGGGGAGACTAACCTGTAGGAAAATGTCCTCCAAAGAAGACGTTGAACAGCTCTTCTGGAGTGATGTCAGCTTCAAAATCCCTGTAATAATTATAAGGTCTGGCTCGAGGGGCAGTGAAAGTCACCTGTTCATCTCCGTATTCATCATAGCGAAGTCTCTTATCAGGATTGCTCAGGACTGCAAATGCATTTCCTATTGCTGCAACCAACAAGAACCAGCACATGAGGACACAGTCTTTGCTATGGCTGAGAGTGATCACAGCAGCAGTGACAAAGAGCCTAGAGGTGACTCGTGCTGGACAACTTCGCAGGGGCCCAAGAAGAGATGCTTGGGCCTAGAAAGTTCTCCACAGTGCTTGCCCTTCAGGTTTTCCCTGATCGCCAGAAACAACAACATTGGAATCACAGGAATTAAGAACTTCTGCTGCAGTGAGTTAACTCCCAATCAACAGTCCTGTAGTCATCCCAGCTGTCCTAGAAGTTAGGAAGCCCCCCTCAGTTCGGGTTCCCAGTCACCACAAGTCCCAGGCATGTTGGGGAAATGTTCTCCAACTGGTCAGCACTCTCATTCATAAAAAATGTGTTCTGGCCAGGTGCAGTGGCTCATGCCTATAATCCCAGCACTTTGGGAGGTTGCAGTGAGCCGAGATCATGCCACTGCCTTCCAGGCTGGGCAACAGAGTGAGACTTTGTCACACACACACACACACAAAGAGTGCTCTTTACTTTAAAAAAAATTTTTTTAGAGATAGGGTCTTGCTGCATTGCCCAGACTAGTCTCAGATTCCTGGCCTCTAGTGATCCTCTCACCTTGGCCTCCAAAAGTTTGGGATTATAGGTGTGAGCCCTGCATCTGGCCAAAAAAGTGTTCTTATTTCACTTGAGTGCAATAGTTTATGTTGGAAACAGTTCACACATCAGTAGTGATATTTTAACTTGTAGTCCAAAAAATTTCCTGAATTCTCTTCTGAAACAATCTTAGTAGAAACCTTCCTGCTTGACTAAAAACAAAGTCTTCATCATAGTCTTATTTCAGTTTACTTTAGACAAATATTTTCTGAAATTAAGAAATGTATTTCCAATGTCTCAAGGAGGGTTCAAAGGCTGAATAGTTACATATGTTTACCAACATGTCTCCTTTCTATGTACAGACGTGCAAACCTTGCCCAATTTCATTTAAACATACAATCCGTAGCACCAATCAATAGAAACCTCAAAAAAAAGAAATCTTTTAAGGCATCCCGCACTCCCTACCTGTAATTCAGTCAACACTGTCAGAAACACAGAAAGAGTATTTCTTCATGATTCTTTTACCTGGGGAATTGTTAAATGTTTGCCTTGCCACTCTGTTACCTACAACTCTATATATACATATGTACATATGTATTGTAATAATTATACATTTATTTTGCTGAACCATTTGAAAATAGGCCACAGATATTACGTCACCTTGCCCCTAAATACCTCAACATATATCTCCCAAGAAGAAAGACATTCTCCTATGTGATCACAACACCATTATCACAGCTAAGAAAATTAACATCAGTCCATTATCATCCAATGCATCCATGCAAGATCAAGTATAGCATTTAGTTTCTTTTAAGCTAAAACTGTCCCACCTTTTTTGTTTTTCATTATGTTAAATTTTTTGGAAGAACAGATCAGTATTCTTGTAGAATGTTTCATATTGATTGTTTCCTCATTATTAGATTCAGGTCAAACATTTTGGCAAGAATACCCCATAGGCGACAACTACCTAGCACTCAATGGTTTTAGCATTCACTGAAGATCTTTGCCTGTAACAATGACTTGGAGTGCAGTGGTGCAATCACAGCTCACTGCAGCCTTGACCTCTGGCTCAAGCAATCCTCCCACCTCAGCCTCCCAAAGTGCTAGGATTACAGGTGTGAGCCACTGCGCTCAGCCTGAAGAATATATTTCTTAAAATATCATGGAGGATGGGCACAGTGGCTCACGCCTGTAATATCAGCACTTTGGAAGGCCTAGGCGGGCAGATTACTTGAGCTCAGGAGTTTGAGATCAGCCAGAGCAACATGGCAAAACCCCATCTCCACAAAACATACAAAAATTAGCCGGGCATGGTGGTGCTCACCTGTAGTCCCAGCTACTCAGGAGGCTGAGGTGGGAGGATCACTTGAGCCCGGGAGGTGGAGGTTGCAGTGAGCTGAGATGTCACCACTGCACTCCAGCCTAGGTAAAATCAAGTGGGAGCTATGCTGATTATCACTATTTAAGAGGTGTGGCAGGGGGAAAAAACCCTCCTTATGGCCTTATAAAACAACTATGGGGAAGGCTAAAAGCAACTTATTATGACCAACCATGACAAGGGCACCATTGAGCATTGGTTCAGGATCAGACCTTTGAAAGCATCTGTTGCTCCAGGAGCACAGTTCTTGTCAGGGTGAAATTTCAGGGCGAGTTTTCTGTAAGCTTTCTTAAGCTCTTCGTCACTAGCATCTCGAGAAACTCCCAGAATTTCATAGTAATTTCTGCATTTCTTGATCCTAAAAAAAATCACAAGCATGTATGTCTATAAAGGTCCCTTTTGTACAACTAATTGCAAGATAATACATCGATCCTACCTCCAATCTGTGGGACCCAAAACAAACCTATAAGAAAATTAGTGCACACGTTAATGAAACATTCAAATTCATTAACAATGTCCTTCTCCCACC
Organism: Homo sapiens; assembly: GCF_000001405.40. NCBI lineage: Eukaryota > Metazoa > Chordata > Mammalia > Primates > Hominidae > Homo > Homo sapiens. The sequence goes on from NC_000005.10 coordinate 139,428,855, forward strand.
CAGAACTTAATGCCTTTCAAAGTACTTTTACATCTACTATTTACTCTTCCTATATCCCTGCAAGTGAGTAGAACAAGTATGCTAATTGTTACACCAAGGTTCAGGCTAAGATCCTGAGAGATGAACTACAGGACAGCAAAGCCAGAAGAAACAGTTAATCACCCTGTTTGTTTATAATTTTTTCTCTCTTTTTCCTATGGCTATCTTTTTAAACTGTATTTTTTGCTTTTTTTTTTTTTTTTTTTTGAGACGTAGTCTTGCTCTTGTTGCCTGGGCTGGAGTGCAATGGCGCGATCTCAGCTCACTGCAACCTCTGCCTCCCAGGTTCAAGCAATTCTCCTGCCTCAGCCTCCCGAGTAGCTGAGATTACAGGGATGCGCCACCAGCCCTGGCTAATGTTGGTATTTTTAGTAGAGATGGGGTTTCACCATATTGGTTAGGCTGGTCTCAAACTCCTGACCTTGTGATCTGCCCACCTTGGCCTCCCAAAGTGCTGGGATTACAGGTGTGAGCCACCGTGCCTGGCTAAACTGTGTTTTTAAAAAGTTAACATACACATGATAGAAGAAAAAGAGCCAACAGAACTAAAGTTTATACAGTAAAAATTTTCCTGCTTCATCATTCCCTGTCCCCCAGTTTCCCACCACAGGGATAACCATCATTAGAAGTTTTCTGTGGATCCTATGTACAGAGAGTACAGGTATAGTCCTCTCCATTTTTTTTCTTGCCTAAATGGAAACATATTATAATCACTTTTCTACATCTTGCTTTAAAAAAAAATTATTTTGGGCTGGGCGTGGTGGCTCACTCTTGTAATACCAGTGCTTTGGGAGGCTGAGGCAGGAGGACTGCTTGAGGTGAAGAGCTTGAGGCCAGCCTGGGCAGGATGGTAAGACCCTATCTCTATGAAAAATTTTAAAAAGTTAGCCAGGCATGGTGCCTTGCATCTGGAATTCCAGCTACTCAGGAGGCCAAGGCAGGTGGATCACTTAAGCCCAGGAGTTTGAGGCTGCAGTGAGTTATGATTGTTCCACTACACTCTAGCCTGGGCAACAGAGCATGATCCTGTCTCTAAAAAACAAACAAAAAACAATTTATCTTGGAGATCAATCCTTAACATATAGAGATGAGAAGTATAGAATAATAGTTTAGACTAGACAGTAGTTTAGATTAGAGTGGCAGTTCTGAACTTTTGATCTCAGCAACGTTTTATACTCTTAAAAATTACTGATATGCATGGTACAGGAAGCGAAAAAAAATTACTGAAGACCTCAAAAGAGCTTTCATTTATATGACTTCTATCAATCCACATCTACTATACCAGAAATGAAAACAAAAAATTTTTAAACAGTGATGATGTAATTACATGTCATGTAGCCTCTCAAAAACTCCACTGTATAATCATGAGAAAATTAGTGAAAAAGACAAGTAACATGTTTATATCATTATGACTACAGTTTTAAACTTGCAGACCTATCCCCTAAAAGGGTCTTGGGGTTCCCCAACCACCCTTTGAGAACTGCTGGATTAGAGATGAGCTCTGGAGTCAAAATGCCTTGGTTTAGCTTTGATTTTGCTGTGTACTTAACCTCTATAGCTTGGTGTTATCTTCTGAAATGGGCTAATAATTATATTTCACAGAGTTGATATTGTGATTAAATAAAGTCTTCATCAAAGTGCTTGAGAGCATTTAATACTAAATAAATATTACCTAGTACTATATATCTACCTCTTTTTTTTTTTTTTGAGACAGAGCCCAGGCTGGAGTGCAGTGGCGCGATCCTGGCTCACTGCAACCTCTGCCTTCTGGGTTCAAGTGATTCTCCTGCCTCAGCCTCCCGAGTAGCTGTGACTACAGGCTTGCATCACCACACCCAGCTAGTTTTTTGTATTTTTAGTAGAGACAGGGTTTCACTGTATTGGCCAGGCTGGTCTCGAACTCTTGACCTCAAGTGATCCACCTGCCTTGGCCTCCTAAAGTGCTGGGATTACAGGCATGAGCCACCACGCCTGGCCTACCTCATTCTTTTTAAAATCTAAATATTATTGCATTGTATCAATGTATAATATATACATTACCTACTAATTTGTATTGAGAAGGTCTTCAGTCTTTTGCTACTATATAATTCAGTAAGGCAGGCAGAGATTCGGAGCTTCGTTGGGAAATTCATCGTAAGTCAGTAACACAGGTTGGACTCTAATGCAGGGTCTGGGCTGTCAGCAGATCCCTTCCACATGAGCTGCCCATGGGGAGTCTTTGAATCCCCAGCCCAGTTTCCAATCTCTGCTTCCATGGCAGACACTCAGGACTCCCTCTCCTAAATTTACTATTTGTTTAATAATGCTTTATTGAGAAATAATCCACGTACCATAAAGTTCACCCTTTTAAAATGTACAATTCATTAGTTTTTAAATACATTTTTAGAGGTGTGCATCTATCACCACTATCTCATTTCAGGACATTTTTATCACCCCAAAAAGAAACTCTATACTCCTTAGTAGTCACTCCCACTTCTCCCCCAGCCCCTGGGACCCACTAATCTACTTTCCCCTCTATAGATTTGCTTATTCTGAATATTTTACATAAAAGGAGTTATATAACATGTAGCTTTTTGTATCTGGCTTCTTTCACTTACTGTAATTTTTTCAAGGTTCATCCATGTTGTAGCATGAATCTGTTCATCCCTTTTTGTTACAAAATAGTATTTCATTGTATGGATATACACCATGTTGCTTGTCCATTATCAGTTAATGGACATTGGGTTGTTTCCCCTTTGGGGTCGTTATGAATAATATTGCTATGGACATTCATGTACAAGTTTTTTTGTGGAAGTATATTTATATTTCTCTTGGAATATACTAGGAGTAGATTGCTAGGTCAATAATCTTAATTTTCTTCTGAACCTTAAGAGGAATTGCCATATTGTTTTCCAAACTGGCTGCATTCCTACCAGCAATGTACAAAGGTTCCAATTTATCTGCTTCTTTATAAACACTTATCATCCACCTTTTTGACTATAGACATTCCAGTGGGTATATCTCATTGTGGTTTTGATTTGCATTTCCCTAATGACTAAAGATGTTGAACAAGTTTACATATGCTTACTAACCATATATATATCTTCTTTATTCATATATGGAGGAATATATAGGAGGAATGCCTATTCAGACCCTTTGCCCATTTTTCCAATTGGGTTATTTGTCTTCTTATTGTTGAGTTTTAAGAGAACTTTGTACGTTCCAGATAAAGTCCCTTATCAGATATACAGTTTTTAAATGTTTTCTCCCATTCTGTGGGTTGACTTTTCACATTCTTTTTTTTTTTTTGAGATAGAGTTTCACTCTTGTCATCTAGGCTGGAGTGCGATGGCATGTTTTCGACTCACTGCAACCTCCTCCTCCCAGGTTCAAGCAATTCTCCTGCCTCAGACTCCCGAGTAGCTGGGATTATAGGCACCTGCCACCACACCCAGCTAATTTTTGTATTTTTAGTAGAGACGGGGTTTCACCATGTTGGCCAGGATGGTCTTGAACTCCTGACCTTGTGATCCACCTGCCTTGGCCTCCCAAAGTGCTGGGATTACAGGCGTGAGCCACCGCGCCTGGCCACAGAACTTTATTTTTTTTTAGAGACAGGGTAGGGTCCCTGTCACCCAGGCTGGAGTGCAGTGGCACGATCATAGCTCACTGCAGCCTCCAACTCCTGGGCTCAAGTAATTCTCCTGCCTCAGCCTCCCAAGTAGCTGAGACTACAGGCATGCACCATAACCCTGAGTTAATCCAAAAGAACTTTTTAAAGGCAGTCCCTTAATGGCAAAGTACTTCCTGACTTCACGAAGAAAATATCAATGGAGCCAGTCCAGAAAAAGGGCTCTCAGTGCCCAGGCCTTCTTGCTGTACAACCAAAAGGCTGGCAGCTGGTGTTCATCTTTTCCATTCAAGGCTCAGGGGTTAGCAACTTTATATATAATGGCAGCCCCCATCATAAACTGAACTGCATTTGCACAAAATAGCAGAGTTAGCCTATCCCTTCCTGCCTTATATCCTGATGCTCACTTCTCATCCTTACTAGTACAATGTCCTTTGTGACATTTCTTTTCCAGAATAGGGCACTTTTGTCTGCACTAAAAAGTTGATGAGGTAGGGCTGGCCGCAGGGTTCACACCTGTAATCCCAGCACTTTGAGAGACTGAGGTGAGTGGAAGCCTTGAGCTCAGGCATGCGATAAGTAATAATCACATCATGGACTGTATGCCTTTCTTATAGCAGTCCTGCACCCATATAAAAGCTTCATTTTCAATATGAGATGAAAAGGTATTTTGCAAAAAGTGCAATGTTTTCTTACCTGCTGGCATTAAGTGCAGGTGGATCACAAGGCCAGGAGTTTAAGACCAGCCTGGCTAACATGGTGAAACCCCATCTCTACTAAAAATACAAAAATTAGCTGGGCATGATGGTGGGCGCCTGTAATCCCAGCTACTTGGGAGGCTGAGGCAGGACAATCGCTTGAACCTGGGAGGTGGAGGTTGCAGTGAGCCAAGATCGTGCCACTGCACTCCGGCTTGGGCGACAAGAGCAAAACTCCATCTCAAAAAAAAAAAAAAACAAAACTGGAGAACTGCAAGAGATCACTTTTTACTGCTATACATAATTTACTCAAGAGACAAACTGCTCACAAAGAGATGATTAGCATCATGTGGCATTTTAAGCAGATACTCCCAATACTTGAGGCTCAGCAAAATAACAGGAGCTAACTACAAAATTATTACAGTAGTACAGTACTACTGTTAATTTTATGCAGGTGTGATTAATACTGCACCTGTATGTTTACATTTTTCTCAAATGCAAATGGTACCATGTAGTCTCAAGTGTTTGTGAGCATATGTTTTGATAGATTTTCACTTTTTATAATAGATTTGTGTATATTTTATGATAGTAAATGATAAAATAGACTAGAATCTAGATATATTTTATGCATTCATATAATTTTCTTAATTTTTTGGTATGTCCATGCTCCATGGTTTGTGAGATGGTGATGATGATGATTATTATTTGAGACAGAGTTTCGCTCTTGTTGCCCAGGCTGGAGTGCAATGGCACAATCACAGCTCACTGCAACCTCTGCCTTCTGGGTTCAAACAATTCTCCCGCCTCAGCCTCCCAAGTAGCTGGGATTACAGGTGTGCGCCACCACGCCTGACTAGTTTTGTATTTTTAGTAGAGACGGAGTTTTGCCGTGTTGCCCAGGCTGGTCTCAAACTTCTGAGCCCAAGTATTCTTCCTGCCTTGGCCTCCTAAAGTGCTGAGATTACAGATGTGAGCCACTTTTTCAAATTGTTGCAAATCTAAAAAATTTTTCCAATGTATTTATCTTTTAAAATTGACATATAAAAATCCATGGTTCAAACTGATGCCACTCAAACCTGTGTTGTTCAAAGGCCAACTGTATCTCTTTTTTAAAACTATTTATTTATTTATTTGTATATAGAGACAGGGTCTTGCTTTGTCACCCAGGCTGGATTGCAGTAGGGTGATCATAGCTCACCTCAGCCTCGAACTCCTGGGCTCAAGGGATCCACCTACCTCAGCCTTCTGAGTAGCTGGGATTTTGGGTGCATGCCACCACACCTGGCTAAATTTTTATTTTTAGTAGAGACAGGGCCTCGCTATGTCGCTCAGGCTCGTCTTGAACTCCTAGCTTCAAGAGATCCTCCTATCTCAGCCTCCCAAAGTTTTGAATTACAGGCATGAGCCACCACACCCAGCCTCAACTATATTTTCTTAATTTCATTTTTTTATTGTTCATTGCTAGTATATAGAAAAATGATAATTTTTGTATATTGATCTTATATCCTGTAACTTTGTCCAACTTGTTTATTAGTTCTAACAGTATTTGTGTGTGTGTGTGTGTGTGTATTCATTAGGATTTTCCATTTACAAGATCATGTCATCTGTGGATGTAGTTTTACTCTTCTTTCCAATTTGGATGGCTTTTATTTCTTTTTCTTGCTTAAATGCCCTGGCTTGACCCTCTAGTACAATGTTGAACAGAGTGGCAAGAGTGAACAGACATACTTGTCTTGTTCCTGATCTTGGTGGGAAAACACCTAGTTGTTCACCTTTAAGTATGATGTTAACTGTGGATTTCTGTAGATGGACTTTATCAGGTCGAGGAAGTTCCCTTCTATTCCTAGTTAAGTGTTTTTATTATGAAAGAGTGTTGGGGCTGGGCGCAGTGGCTCACACCTGTAATCCCAGCACTTTGGGAGGCCGAGGCGGGCAGATCACAAGGTCACGAGACCATCCTGGCCAACATGGTGAAACCCCGTCTCTACTAAAAATACAAAAATTAGCTAGGCATGGTGGTGCGCGTCTGTAGTCACAGCTACTCAGGAAGCTGAGGCCAGAGAATCGCTTGAACCTGGGAGGCAGGGGTTGCAGTGAGCCGAGATCGTGGCATTGCACTCCAGCCTGGGTGACAGAGCAAGAATCCGTCTCAAAAAAAAAAGAGTGTTGGATTTTGTTAAATGCTTTTTCTGTACCTATTGAAATGATCGTGTGATTTTTGTCCTTTATTCTATTAACATGGTATGTTACATTGATTGACTTGTGTGTGTTAAACAATCCTGCAATACTGGGATAAATCCCACTTGGTGAAAATATATAATACTTTTTACATTGCTGTATTTGTTTTACTAGTATTTTATTGAATATTTTAAAATCTATATCCATAAGGGATATTGGTTGATAATTTAGACTTCTTATGATATTTTTGTCTGGTTTTGGTTACAGAGTTAATACTGGTCTCAAAGAATGAAGCCAGCTGGGCCTGGACTTTTCTTCATTGGAAGTTTTTTTTTTTTTTTTTTTTTTTTTTTCAGACAAGGTCTCCCTCTGTCACCCAGACTAGAGTGCAGTGGTGCTCACTGTAGCCTCGCCCTTCCTGGCTCCATCAATCCTCCTACCTCAGCCTCCTGAGCAGCTGGAACTGCAGGTGTGCACCACCATGCTCGGCTAATTTTTGTGGGGTCTTTTTGTTTGTTTTTTATTGTACTAATGAAGTTTCGCCATGTTGGCCAGGCTGGTCTTGAACTCCTGGGCTCAAGTGATCCTCCCACCTCAGCCTCCCAAAGTAATGGGATTACAGGCATGAGTCACCATGTCCAGCTAGAATTTTTTTGATTGTTAATTAAATCACCTTATTTGTTGTAGGTCTACTTGGGTTTTCCTTTTTTTTTTCTTTTTCTTTTTTGGAAATAAGGTCTCTGTCACCGAAGCTGCAATGCAGTGGCACTACCATAGCTTACTGTAACCTCAGATTCCTAGGCTCAAGTGATTCTCCTGCTTCAGTCTCCAAAGTAGCTGGGACCACAGGCATGTGCCACCATGCCCAAGTATTTTTTTTTTCTTTTTTTAGAGATAATGTATTGCTGTGTTGCCCAGGCTGGTCTCAAACTCCTGGTCTCAAGCAATCCTCCTGCCTCAGCACCCCCAAAGCTCTGGGATTACAGGTGTGACCCACCATGCCTGGCCTCCATTTTTCTTGGGTCAGTTTCAGTAATTTGTGTCTTTCTAGGCATTTGCTGATTTTATCTAGGTTATCTAATTTGTTGGCACACAATTGTTCATAGTATTTGGATTGGTAGGGATATCCCTCTTTCTTTTTTTTTTTTTTTTTTTTTTTTGAGAGACAGGGTCTTGCTCTGCTGTGCGATTATGACTCACTGTAGCTTCAACCTACTGGGTTCAAGCAATCCTCCTGCCTCAGCCTCTCAAGTAGCTGGGACTACAGGTTGGTGCCATCATACCAAGCTAATTTTTGTATATATATATTTTTTGGAAGAGAGGGGGTTTCACTGTATTGTCCAGGCTGTCTAGTTCCTTAAGGTAGATTAGGTTACTGATTTGGAGTCTTTTTTAAAAAAATAAGCATTTAGAGCTATAAATTTCCTTCTAAGCACTGTTTTAGCTGCATCCTATACATTTTAGTACGTCGTGTTTTCATTTTCACTCATCTCAAAGCATTTTCTAGCTTTCCTAGTGATTTATTCTGTGACTTGCTTGCTTATTAGGAGCTTGTAGTTTAATTTCCACATATTTGTGAATTTCTCAAATTTCCCTTTGTTTTTGATTTCAGAGAACATACACTGTATGATTTCAATCTTTTTAAATTTATTGAGGCTTGTTTTATGACCTAAGATATGGTCTATCCTGGAGAATATTCTATGTATCCTTAAGAAGAAAATCGTTCTGTTGTTGTTGAAAGAATGTCCTGTAGATGTGTGTTGTGTCTAGTCGGTTTCTGCTGCCTCTCTTAAAGTAGAAGCAGGGTAGTCAGTTCATGTTATACCCTAATATTCCACTTCTATTCAGTCTTCCCTCTGAGGTCAAGAAGCTAGTATGCCTCAATTATCATCATCATCATCATTATCATCAGTCAATACTTACATAGCACATCCAGGCACTCTTCTAAGCACTTTCCATAAAATCACTCATTTAATCTCACCACATGCTCACCTTTGTACCCCAAGCAGCTGTTCCTCACTATACGTGGAGTTCCCCTCACCCTGCCGGGTCTGAGTCCACTCATTCTCAGACTTCTTTTCCTTTTGTGCCTTCATGCAGTTACAGCAGCCACAGGGGTCATGACTCTCAGGAGGTGTGTCTTCTGGGTATTTGTTTCTTCTAACTGCGTCAATGTAAGCTGCAAACAACAGCCCCTCCATTAGGTCTCCATCTGACCCTGAAAATCAACTTTGCAACCTGCCTTTCCTCTCTGGGAGGCTGCTCGTAAGCATGAGAAGGTAAGCATGATGGCCAGGGCTAGAGGCGTCATGCTGACTTTTAAGCACTCATACAAAGCTGAATAAACATGTTTCTCTGTGGTCCGTGGTCAGAAGAGACACTGCTCGTAAAATAGTATTTTTTGTTGCAGTGCCTCCCACCCCTAAAATTTAAAGTAGAGAGGAGTTCAATTCTTTTACACTAACAATTATAGAACTAATATATACCAAGGAACTTGGCTAGAAGATCAAGAGGGCGGATGGGTAAGATCTACTCCTGACCACAAAGAGGTTAGTTTAATGCAAGCTTGTCCAACCCGCGGCCCACAGGTGGCATGTGGCCCAGCACGGCTTTGAGCTCAATACAAATTCGTAAACTTTCTTAGAACATTATGAGGGCCGGGCGCGGTGGCTCACGCCTGTAATCCCAGCACTTTGGGAGGCCAAGGCGGGCGGATCACGAGGTCAGGAGATCGAGACCATCCTGGCTAACACCGTGAAACTCCGTCTCTACTAAAAATACAACAAATTAGCCGGGCGTGGTGGCAGGCGCCTGTAGTCCCAGCTACTCGGGAGGCTGAGGCAGGAGAATGGCGTGAACCCGGGAGGCGGAGGTTGCAGTGAGCCGAGATCGCGCTACTGCACTCCAGCCTGGGTGATAGAGCGAGACTCCGTCTCAAAAAAAAAAAAAAGAACATTATGAGATTTTTTTTTGCAATTTTTTTAAAGTTCATTAGCTGTCATCAGTTAGTTATTTAGTCGTCAGTTAGTGTATTTTATGTGTGGCCCAAGACAATTCTTCTTCCAATGTGGTCCAGGGAAGCCAAAAGATTGGATACCCCTGGTTTAAAGGGAGAAGATTCAATAACAACACCTGCAGAATGTAAAGAGGGTCATAAGCAATACAGTCAAAAGGGGCAGAGCACTCATGTCTTCTCTGGAGGACCTGAGAAAGGCTTTAACAACATCTTTCTTCCGCTTAACATCCCTCAGCTACCTCCACCCACTGCTCCTGGACAGTCTTCCTCTAAGTCGGCCTGGCTAACTCCGACGCATCCTTCTTGTCACCATTTGTAACACTTTCTGCAAGAAACCTCCCTTGACAGCCAGTCTGCGTTAGGTACCTTGTAAGTGTGCTCTCCAAATCCCTGACCTTGCTGTGTAGCCCAGGCGTTTTGTATTATTCGCCCGTTTTGTAATTGGCTGTTCAGTCGTCAAACTCTCTCAGTGGGCTGCGAGTTTTGTGAGCTAAGGGACCCATGTCAGTCAAATCCCCACTGCAGAATCAGCATTAGGCGGGGCACACAATAGGTATTGGATCAATATTTTTTGCCTGACTGTAGGGTGGAAAAGGCTGGTCCTGATGCCGGCTGGAGCGACATGATCAAACAGGGACTGAAGGTCAGGTGGCCCAGTTAGGCGAAAGATAAGGGCCAGGTTAGCAAGCTGCGGAGAGACCGCAGCACCCCACGGGCCCTCCAGTCACCTTGGCATGGGCGGGGCCTGACAGCTGCGGGCCCTGGGCGGGGCACGGGCGGGGGCGGGGCTGGGGGCCGGAGGCAACAAGTCGTCACCGGTGACTCTGGGCTCGCGGTCGGTCCCCAGCTTCCCTACCCCATCCGCAACCCTACTCAGGCTCAGCATCTTTTCACAGGCCTCTATCCATCACCTCAGACCCAGGATCTCAGCCCTTGTGCGTCTTCAGGATCCTCATCCCTGATCTCTCCCGAAGGCCGCCCTATCCCTCCTTCAGGCGGGGACCTAGTACCTTCCGTCCAGCGCTCCCCGCTGCCCAGAGTCGCCGCCATATCGGTTCCCAATCAGCAGGTCCGCCGAGCCTCCCCCGTGCCCGAGGCTGAAAGAGAAGGGGGCGCGGAGCGCGGGGCACGCTGGTCATTGTAGTCCAGTCCATATGAGCTCCCGGGGCACTGGACTACAACTCCCGGCAGGCTCTGCGCCAGAGGCCGTGGGAGACGCAGAGAAGTGCTCGACCTTCGTCAGGAGATCTGTGGAAGAGTGCTGCTGCCAGCTGCCAGCTGCCTGCAGCACGGCTCTTGGCTTTTCCTCATTTGTAGAGTTGGGATAGTGGCTTCGGCCCTGCCTAACCCTAGGGACATCCAAGGAGGGGCGACTGAAGTCCTGCCTGGAAAGGGCTTCGCAAACTATAGGCTAGAGGGTGACAGTATGACTATTATGCTCCTCAGGGATGTCTTTTTGAAGCATACGCTAATGCCTGTTCTGTGCAGTCAGTGGTAGGCCCTGGAGATTCAGAGATGGGTTTTGGGGATGCGGAACCCAGCCTTTGGAAGCTTGAGTCAGGAAAATAGAAAAGTGATGTAGATTTATGGGGTTGGAGGGCAATCTCAGTATGTCCCTACTGCCCCAGCTCCTCAGGCACTGGACATCAGAGGGTATCGGGGTGGAGAAAGAAGACATGGAAAGGTATTGGGGCCGGCATGAAGAGCCTCCATCTTTGCTGTTCCTGTCCTTCCTCCAACCCATCCTACTCCAACACCCCTCTGACACTTTTCTCCTCTCTTCCAGTCTAGTTATCTCTTTAGCCCATTCGTTTCTTTTCTGAAGGACCAGACATTGAGATTAGTAAAAAGGAAATGAGGAAATAAATATTCTTGCTGTTCCTCATCCAGGTATGGATGGAACCTAGCAAAGAATAAAAGCAACACTTTCTTCATAGGTGGATGGCTACAGTTCATCCCCAAACAAAAAATTACCCAGAATTAACTGAGGTCTTACCCAAGAAGACCAAATCAATCATGATATCAACTAGCACCTACTTAGGCAGTTGGGGAGAGATGTATATTCCTGGACATAAACTTGGAAGGGTAAAAGCACCAAAGGGCATGCAGTTCCAGCCCTTGCCTACAGTCATGGCCCTGGCATCACTGACATTATGCCCACTTAAGAACTCAGAGAACGGCCGGGCGCGGTGGCTTATGCCTGTAATCCCAACACTTTGGGAGGCCGCGGCAGGCGGATCGCGAGGTCAGGAGATCGAGACCATTCTGACCAACATGGTGAAACCCCGTCTCTACCAAAAATACAAAAATTAGCTGGGCATGGTGGCGTGTGCCTGTAGTCCCAGCTGCTCGGGAGGGAGGCTGAGGCAGGAGAATCGCTTGAACCCAGGGGGCGGAGGTTGTAGTGAGCCAAGATCGCGTCACTGCACTCCAGCCTGGGTGACAGAGTGAGACTCTGTCTCAGAAAAAAAACAAAAAACAAAACTCAGATAACAAGGCCTTTCAAGTGGAAAAAGCACTGGTCTAGAAGTTGTATAGGTGTTATATTAATAGCTGGGGTTTTGCCACAAATCATTGCGTGATCCTGAACATCTCCTTTTTCCTTCTTCTTTGGCCTCAGTCTCATCACCTATAAAACGAGAAGGTTGGATTCAATTAGTAGTTTTGTTTGTTTGCTTTTTGAGACAGAGTCTTACTCTGTCGCCAGGCTGGAGTGTAGTGGCATAATCTCGGCTCACTGCAACCTCTGACTCCCTGGTTCAAGCGATTCTCCTGCATCAGCCTCCCGAGTAGCCGGGACTACAGTCGCACGCCACCATGCCCAGCTAATTTTTGTATTTTTGGTAGAGACGGGATTTCACTATGTTGGCCAAGATGGCCTCAATCTCCTGACCTTGTGATCTGCCCGCCTCAGCCTCCCAAAGTGGTGTGATTACAGGCGTGAGCCACCGCACCCGGCCTCAATTAGCGGTTTTTAAATTGAGGAATCCTTAAGGCTTAATGTGCAGATGTCTCTGGAATCTTCTATTGAGGAGTGGGAGCGGGGAGGAAGGCATAGCAGGGAAGGCACTAGCACCTCACCCTTCTTCAATCAAAGAAGCTCTGTTTTTTTCTGTTTTGTATTTTGTGGTCTACTAAAGGAAAGAAAACCTACATGTTTGAAAACTACCAAACCAGTTGACCACTAAAGGCTTGTGTCATTTGTAATATCAGTTTCTCCTGGAGCACTTAAAGTCAGTGTTCTTCCCTCATCCCCACCCCCATAAGCACTGAGAAAGTAACAGTTGTCTAGAAATTTGGTCATTTTCACTTAATTTAGGAGGAGGAATTTAGCATAGTGGTTAAAAAATCTGCATAGGATTGCCGTAGGATATAGTAAGATAATGCTTGCAAAGCTTTTAGCACCTCATCTGGCATGTAGTATGTGTTTAATAAATGCTGACCACTGTTATAGACTGGCTCAGAGGAAGAGAAACCATTTTTTATAGTTTGACATTGTAAATTAGGAGCAAAGGGGTATATATGGGGTATATCATAAGGTCCTGGATATAACTAACTGGACCCCATTCCTGTCTATCTGGCAATCATTACCTGCAAATAAGACAAGAAGCAAAACACTACCAAAAAGGGCTGGGAAGTTGCTTGTCCATGTACCCTAACCCCTGAATCCAGCCACTAAAACTGGTGATTTTCTCCCTTTCAGAAACAGAAGAAGATGGCAAAAGTGAACTAGTATGAGAAGGTTTTGGGTCATCCTAAATCCAATGAATTATGGATGTCCTTAAACTTGAGAGGCAAAGGAGGCCCCAGAACCATGAGATGAGTCAAAAGCTCAGCTCTAGGACACTGGACCTATGACCAGCTAACTAATCCACGGAGCAGTGTACTCACAGAAAGCTGGATCCTGAAGGTCCTTCTTGTGCTCTGCAGCTGAGGGAACTGATCAGGGACATCCATCAGGTGGTTGAATATAAAAAGGAAGTTCTTCTGGTTTGGGGAGGCTAGACCGCCTGCTCTAGAAGATGGACAGCTGAGGGTGGGATAGACCTTGGAGTCCAGGGGCACAGGGAAAAGGTCTGGAGGTACTACCTGGAGATGTTAGAATACCATGAAGTCAGAGGTGTTTGGCTGAGAGTGGGCTGTTAGAGCACTGTAGGGGTTAACTGGATTGAGAGGAGCAACTATGAATTATGAGACTATCTAGGAGCAGAGCCTAGGTTCAAGAGTATTGGACAAGATTTGGGAAGCTGGGGCCTCTTCCCAAATCTTAGCTGCTGTCTGGTAGCTAAGCATCCTCTCTCCTCATGCTCTGAAACCTTACATCCCCTTCTTTTCCAGACTTCTTTTCATTTACTTCTAGAACAGTAACAAAAATGGTTTAGCATTATGACCTTCTCAAATATTGCCAAGTATCCACATGTATTCTTCAGTTTGTTTACACCTCAACTAACACTTCTGGATGAATTTTTTTTTTATGATCGCATCACTTGGACTAACGCGAAACTCTAAAGCTCAACATTAAGAATACTTCTGTGACAGTTTTTGCTTAAACTCATCAACTAGTCAGCAAAAATAATCCTCACTGTAAAGTTCAATTTCTGTGTTTTGTAAAAGAGGAAGCTGTGGGCCCAAAGAGTATAGGATGGAGATGCCAGTCGAAAAGGACCCACAGGAAAAGTGAGAGGGTAACTGGGAAGGAGATAAGGGAAGAGAAATTGGGGTCTCCAAGGCAGTTCTCAAAGAGAAGGAGGTAGATGTGGAAAGAAGTTTGACGAAGAGAGAAAGGAGGACATCCACAAACCCAGGAAAAGACTGGTGGACAGAATCACACAGTGTTTTCCAGCACATTCAAATTTAATAGAGTAGTACTAGCTGGGCTTGGGGAAATTGTGTGCCAGAACTAGGTCAAGGGGGCCTGCAATGATCCTTCATCTGCTAAACCATTTTACCTTAGGGCCAGCCTCAGATTTCTCTCAGTTTTCTCCACTTACTTTATTTTTTTGAGACAGGGTCTTATTCTGTTACACGGGCTGGAGTGCAGTGGCGCTATCACAACTCACTGTAGCCTTGATCTCTTGGGCTCAAGCGATCCTCCCACCTCAGCCTCCTGAGTAGCTGGGACCACAGGCACATGCCACTATGCCCACTATGCCTGGCTTTTTTTTTGTTTGTTTTTAAGATATGGGATCTCACTATATTACCCAGGCTGGTCTGGAACTCCTGGGTTCAAGCAATCCTGCCCCCGGGGACTTCCCAAGTGTTGGGATTAAGGCGCCTCCACTTACTTACATGTTGAACTGTAATGGATTCTTGCTGGTGATACTGAGGTCTGTCCTGTGCCCTATATGATTGAGATGCTGCCCCATCCAGCCCTAGAAGAAAGAAGCTGAGTAAATGATCCTCCTGTCCCACTGGGCCTGTGTGTCTGTGCTGGTTTATTGGTTGCCCTCCCATAGGATGAGGGAAAAAATGAGAGAAGGACATTCTGCAGCTAGCCCCCAATCCCCGCCACCTGTTCCTGTTTAAGGACCACGTAGTCCTGTGTGAGAAAAGGGAGGAAGTCATCTTGTAAACAATCATCATCCTGTTGTCTAGACATGAAGGAAGAGATAGGGTTTCAAGGAAGCTGCAAGGGCTGCAGAAGGCTGCACTCAGATTTCCTGTCAGAGGTGGCATCTTGGATTTGCATAAATAGTAGGCTCCTCCAGGAGAAACCTCTCTATTAGAGTTTGCTCCAGAGCAGAATTCAGCATTTAATTCATCCTCAACCCCTTCCCAAAGGATAGAGTTACTTAGCAACAGGAAAATCCACATGGCTTATGTGGTACTGCGGTGTCAGTGTCAGGGTAAAAGCCTTTCAATCTCAAAGATTATTAATACCAGTTGTCTCCCTCTTCCCCCACATATAAATACCTTATGACTAACAGCTTATATACGCAGGTCATTGCCCAGAGTCAGAGGAAAATGTGTGGTTTTATAATGAAGATGACAGCTGAGTTACTTAGAATGAAGCCCCATGTCCTTGACCTGATTAGTCCAGTATGATGAGCAGCTGTACTCAGTGCCCATGGCAGGCAGAATAACAACAGCACAAACAGAATCCTAGACATTGTTATGTCACCTGAGGGGTTCCATCCCAATGGTGGATGTTGGACCAGAAGTGGCTACTAAGTCATGTGCTGTTGGCTGTGAGATTTAAATCAAATATATATGAATTATTTAAAAAATACTAGCCAAGGCCGGGCATGGTGGCTCACACCTGTAATCCCACAACTTTGGAAGGCTGAGGTGGCCGGATCACCTGAGGTCAGGAGTTCGACACCAGCCTGCCCAATATGGTGAAATCCCATCTCTACTAAAAATACAAAATTAGCCAGGCGTGGTGGTGGGTACCTGTAATCCCAGCTACTCAGGAGGCTGAGGCAGGAGAATCACTTGAACCTGGGAGGCAGAGGTTGCAGCGAGTGGAGATCGTGCCATTGCACTCCAGCCTGGCAACAAGTGTGAAACTCCACCTCAAAAAACAAAAAACAAAAAACAAACAACTAACCAGGTGTGATGGCTCACACCTATAATCCCAGCACTTCGGGAGGCTGAGGGGGGAGGATGTCTTGAGCCCAGTAGTTTGTAACCAGCCTGAGCAACGTAGCAGGACCTCATTTCTACAAAAAATTTAAATAAATTAGCCGGTTGTGGTGGCACACGTCTATAGTCCCAGCTACTTGGGAGGCTGAGGCAGAAGGATCATTTGAGCCCAGGAGTTTGATGTTGCAGTGAGCTATCATTGTGCCATGCCACTGCACTCCAGCCTGGGAGGCAGAGCCAGACCCTGTCTTCTCTCCCCTCAAAAAATACTGCAGTATTGCTTTCGTAGGTTAGGTACCCCACAAAATAGACTCTGAGACGCTGAGATTTGCATACTAAAGGTTTCTTAGTGAGCACCCCTGGAACAACAGCTATGAGGAGTAAGGGAAGTAGGAATGGGGGCAAAGGAATTGAGGCAAGGGGTCCAGGTCTTCATTCCCACTCTTAGCCCCCATCAGCCAATCATCAACCAGCCAACAATCCCACAGCTGGGGAACAAGCGCCTTGATCCTGAAGTGGGACCTGGGTGCTGGTGCCCTACTCCAAGCTGTCTGCTACAATTGCTCACTTCCCAAGTATCTCCATGTTTATTATCCCATTTTACCTAGCCACTAGCCTGTGAGGTAGCCAGGGCCAGGTAGGGCGCATTCTTCCCTGTTAATACACAGGAGAAATGGAACTCCTGAGAATGTGAAAGGCTTGTCCAGAGCTGCCTGCAACTTGTCTCTGGCTCTCACCCAGAGTGATCTCTACTTAGCACATTGTATTCATTTTTTCCTACGTCCAGAGTCTATAGAACTGTGGAATGTAAGAATGAGAAAAGATAGTGAAGGCCAAGTCGTCCAGCCAGCTCACTTTAAAACCCGCCAGGCATGGTGGCTCATGCCTGTAATCCTAGCACTTTGGGAAGTCAGGGCAAGAGGATCACTTGAGCTCAGGAGTTTGAGACTGGCCTGGCCAACACGGCAAGAGCTTGTCTCTACAAAAAATTTTTAAAAATTAGCTAGGTGCAGTGGCTCATGCCAAGAGTCCCAGTTACTTAGAAGGCTGAGGTAGGATTGGTTGAGCTCAGGAACTCAAGGCTGCAGTGAGCCACGATTGTACCACTGCACTCCAGCAGTGGTACAAAAAAAAAAAAAAAGTAAAGATATAAGAGAACAGGCTTGGAGGAGGGGGACAATTGCACCCAAAGTCTGTGGCAGAGCCCAATCTTATGATCAGATTTCCTTCACCCAAGAGCCAGTTTAGATTACCTAGGAAGTGCTGGGCACAGTGTGTCATGCAGGAGCTACAGACATGGGCAGGTTACAGGCCCTGTCCTAGGGGATTTTAGAATACAGTAAGTTCTCTTCTCTTCTCCTTTTCTTTTTTTCCTTCCTTCCTTCCTTCCCTTCCTCCCTTCCTCCCTCCCTTCCTCCCTTTTTCTTTCTTTCCCTCTCTTTCTTTCCTTTTCTTTCTTTCTCCTTCCTTCCTTCCTTCCTTCCTTTTCTTTCTTTCTTTCTTTCTTTCTTTCTTTCTTTCTTTCTTTCTTTCTTTCTTTCTTTCTTTCTTTCTTTCTTTCTTTCTTTCTTTCTTTCTCTTTTCTCTTCCTTTGTTTTCTTTCTTTCACATCTTACCCTGTCACCCAGGCTGGAGGAGAGTGGTGCAATCAACCATGGCTCACTGCAGCCTCTACCTCCCAGAAGCAAGTGATCCCCAGCCTCCTGAGTAGCTGGGACCACAGGTATGTGCCACCACACCCTGCTAATTTTTGTATTTTTTTGTACAGACAAGGGCTTGCCATGTTGCCCAGCCTGGTTGATATGGTTTGGTTCTGTGTCTCCACCAAAATCTCATCTTGAATTGTAATCCCCATAACCCCCAAATGTCGAGGGAGGGATCAGGTGGGTGGTGATTGGATAAAGGGAGTGGTTTCCTCCATGCTGTTCTCATGGTAGTGAGTGAGTTCTCATGAGATCTGATAGTTTTATACGGCAGTTTTTCCTGATCTTGCTCACTCTCTCTCCTGTTGCCTTGTGAAGAAGGTGCCTGCTTCCCCTTCCATCATGATTGTAAGTTTCCTGAGGCCTCCCCAGCCATGCAGAACTGAGTCTACTAAACCTCTTTCCTTATAATTACCCAGTATTTCTTTATAGCAGTGTGAAAATGGTCTAATACACTTGTCTTGAACTCCTGCCTCAAGCGATCCTCTGGAACCTTGGCCTCCCAGAGTGCTGGGATTACAGGCATGTGCCACTACGCCCTGCTCACTCGGTTTCTACAGTCTCATTTTAATAATTTTAATGAGACAGAGGGGATGAAACTTGTTGTTCTAGCCTGTCTCTCTCATCACCTTGAGAAGTCTGAATCAGGAAAAAATAGCATATTGTTGCTTCAGAATGAGTAAGCTGTGTTCTCCCTATGTTCCAAATTGCCAATTAAGTTAAATACTCCCGAAAGACACACATGGATGACTCCTCCCTTGATTTTCCCCAAGATTCATTTCCAGACTAGTGTCATGGTAAACATGACTAAGACTAAGAAAGCAGACACCTCCTTTCTTTTCCTCCTTCTCTTTAAATGACTTTCCAGTACTTCTACAATCTTTTATTCTATATTTGGACACAAGATAACTGTTGTATGGGGTAAAGTGGGTGGGGTTTGTGTTGATGAAGTCACAGACCTATCTTCACCGCAAACCTTCCCAGGGTTCATCCCATAGCTAAGACCAAAGTGATGCATGTCTACCCAGGGGCAGGCAGAGGACATTTGCCCTTTTCTCATTCACCTCTCCCCAAGAGGTGACTTAGGAACTTCCCTAAGAAGTTTCCTAGTCAAAACTTCTTTCTTGGTGACGACTGGTCACTGTTTACAGCCCCTTGTTTCTCTCCTCTATTGGAGTGGTTAGTCAGTCGCCTCAACCCTACTAATAAAAATAAACCAGGTGATACTCTGGTTTCTCTTCAGATCATATAAATCTTTCACCTTTTACTAAAGATTCCTGTGGAGAGTTTTTGAGTTTTTAGCTAATTTTTTGAGCCTTTGCTTTAGCAAGGCTAGTATAAAGAAGAAGAAGAAGGGGGCGAGGGGGAAACAATGGCTGGGTGTGGTGGGTCACACCTGTAATCCCAGCAGTTTGGGAGGCCGAGGCGGGTGGATCACTTGAGGTCAGGAGTTCGAGACCAACATGACCAACATGGTAAAACCCTGTTGCTACTAAAAAAATACAAAAATTAGCCAGGCATGATGGCACACGCCTGTAGCTCCAGCTATTTAGGAGGCTGAACCAGGAGAACCACTTGAACCCTCGGGAGGCAGAGGTTGTGGTGAGCCAAGATCACGCCACTGCACTCCAGCCTGGGAGACAGAGTGAGACTCCATCTCAAGAAAAAAAAACAAAAGCAACAACAACAAAACCCAGGTGAACTTGATAAAACCTGACACAAAGTCCCTTCTATCGACCATCCAAGTTTCTCAAAGAGCTGCCCATAGGGGCAGAAACCTGCATGTATGTCTGTTCTAGGAAACAAGGCCCAAAAGCTGCTAGAACATACTGTTAAGAAATGTGCATGGGAGCATAGACCTTAAAAGTAATTAGACTGCAGGCTAGAAAATAATTTTAATGCAAAGTAGAAAGTATCAATCCACCTCATCACTTTCCTTGCTCTCTCTCTGTCACCTCCTCTTTCCTGTGGCTCTGAGGAGGTGGGAGAAGCAGGCAGTATTTCCACAGCAGCTGTCCATACAGGAAAGAGTCTCCCCTGTTGGTAGCTTGCTCCCAGATCTGGGGCAATGCTAGTGTCCTTTAGATCTAGAAGCAGACATGAAACAATAAAATAATTTACATGTGGTTCATTGCCTCTACTAATTCCATCTCTTCCTCCTTGTAGTCACAGGGCAGCTGCATCATCCTTGGACTCATGGGGACCCAAAGTTGCTTTTAAAGAACCTGCAAAATAAATGCATAATGGGGAAGGGTGAACTTTTTAGGATTGGCAGGGTACAGAAGAGGGGAGAAAAGCCAGAGTCTTTGAAAGTATCTCCTTTCTGGCCTGAAAGTAGGAGGAGGAAGGGAAAGGTGAATTTGGGGAAGGAAGGCAGGAAACAGAAAAATGTACCTTCTCTGCTGAGAGACTTTGTTTGCCATTATTCATGTTGATGTTCTTCATGGAGATAAGGGTGATGCTGTCTTTCTCTCCATTGGCTGTGGAGCAGCTGGGGGAGGAAGGGGGTCTGGGTTAAAGAGAGGAGGAGGGCAGGGCAATGGGGAGTCAAGGAACTGTGAGGTTGTTGAGCCTTAGACCTTTGTCTCAAAAAATCTATATTTTGGTGGTGGATCATGATGAAATGCGAGTGTGCTTTGAAGACCGAAAGACTGCATTTATTTATTTATTTAGAGATGGAGTCTCGCTCTGTCGCCCAGGCTGGAGTGCAATGGTGCAATCTCAGTTCACTGCAACCTCCACCTCTCGGGTTCAAGCGATTCTCCTGCCTCAGCCTCCTGAGTAGCTGGGATTACAAGCACGTGCCACCATGCCCGGCTAATTTTTGTATTTTTTAGTAGAGACAGGATTTTACCATGTTGGCCAGGCTGGTCTTGAATGCCTGACCTCAAATGATCCAGCCATCTTGGCCTCCCGAAGTGCTGGGATTACAGGTGTGAGCCACTGCACCTGGCCAAGACTTGCATTTAAATTTTGGTTTTACTACCTACTACTTGTTTGATCTTTACCAAGTTACAACCTCTATTAAAGCCTCAATTTTATTTTTTTAGTTTTTATTGAGAGGGTCTTGCTCTGTCACCCAGACTGGAGTGCTGTGGCACGATCACAGCTCACTGCAGCCTTGACCCCCTGAGCTCACACAATCTACCTGCCTCAGCGTCCCAAAGTACTGAGATTACAGGTGTGAGCCATCGCATCCGCTAAAGCCTCAATTTTTTTTTTTTCCCCTTGAAACGGAGTCTTGCTCTGTCACCCAGGCTGGAGTGCAGTGGCACCATCTCAGCTCACTGCAACCTCCGCCTCTGGGTTCAAGCAATTCTCCTGCCTCAGCTTCCCGAGTAGCTGGGATTATAGGCACCTGCCACCGTGCCCAGCTAATTTTTGTATTTTTAGTAGAGACTGGGTTTCAACATTTTGACCAGGCTGGTCTTGAACTCCTGACCTCGTGATCCACCCACCTTGGCCTCCCAAAGTGCTGAGATTACAGGCATGAGCCACCGCGCCTGGCCTAAAGCCTCAATTTTTAAAATGTATAATGGAGTAATGTCTCGGCTTACACCTATAATCCCAGCATTTTGGGAGGCTGAGGCAGAAGGATCACTTGAGACCAGGAGTTTGAGACCAGCCTGGCCAACATAGTGACATCTTATATCTATTAAAAAAATTAAAAATTAGCTGGGCATGGTGGCACATGCCTGTAGTCCCAGCTACTTGACAGGCTGAGGTGGGAGGATCATTTGAGCCCTGTTGGCATCACTGCACTCCAGCCTGGGCAACAGAGCAAGCCTGTCCCTTAAAAAAAAAAAAAAAAAGGCTGGGCATGGTGGCTCATGCCTGTAATCCCAGCGCTTTGGGAGGCTGAGGTGGGTGGATCACAAGGTCAGGAGTTCGAGACCAGCCTGGTCAACATGGTGAAACCCTGTCTCTACTAAAAATACAAAAATTAGTTGGGTGTGGTGGCTCATGCCTGTAGTCCCAGCTACTCGGGAGGCTGAGGCAGGAGAATCACTTGAACCTGGGAGGCGGAGGTTGCAGTGAGCTGAGATTGTACCACTGCACTCCAGCCCAGGCAACAGAGCAAGACTCCATGTCAAAAAAAAAAAAAAGTAATATATACCTTGAATAATTGCTATAAAGATTTGAGATAATATTATAAAATATATACCATTGTGTTCGGCACATAAGAAGTATTCAATAAGTGGTTCCTAAGCTTAGAGATAATGTCTTTTTATATTAGAATCTGAATTCCTACACTTTTCATGATGGGGTTATAGAGGGTTAGCCCTGGTGTTGAAGAGTTTCAGTCCATCTCCTGTCATTTGATTGTTCCCTTTCAGGTCTGCCCCTGTCCTGCCCACCCCAGCCCTGGCCTCAGAGGAGCCTGTCAGGATTGTATGTGTGTGGTATGTGTGTGTGGTGTGAGGGGTGTATATGTGTGGTATGGGGTATGTGGTGTGAGGTGTTGTGTGTGTGTGTGTGGTGTAATGCATGTGTGGTGTGTGTGTATGTGGTGTGGGGTGTGTGTGGTATGGGGTGTGTGTGTGGTATGGGGTGTGTGGGGTGTGTGTGTATGGTATGGGAGTGTTATGTGTCATGTATGTGATGTGTGGGGGAGTGTGTATGTGTGGTGTGTGTGGTGTAAGGTGTATATGTTGTGTGTATGTATAATATGGGGTACATATGTGTTTTTTATGTGGTGTGTGGGTTTGTGGTGTGTGTGTGGTTTGGTTGGGTGTGTGGTGTGTGTGTAGTATGAGGTATGTGTGTAGTATGAGGTACGGGGTGTCTGTGTGTGATGTGTGTGGTTTGGGTGGGTGTGTGGTGTGAGTGTGTATAGTATGAAGTGTGTGGTGTGTGTGTAGTATAGGGTACGGGGTGTGTGTGTGTGGTGTGGTGTGTGTGTGGTGTCTGTGTGTATGGTATGGGGGGATGTGTGTGGTGTGTGGGTGTGTGGTGTATGTATGTTGTTTGGGTGGATATGTTGGGTATGGGGTGTGGGGTGTGTGATGTGGGTATGCGTGGTGTGTTTGTGGTGTGTGTGTGGTTTGGGTGGGTGTGTGGGGTATGTGTGTGGGGAGGGTGGGTGTGTATAGTATGGGTATGAGGGTGGGTATGGTGTGGGTGGGTGTGTAGGGTATAGGGTATGGGGTGCATGTGTAGTATAGGATGTATGTATGTCGTGTGTGTGTAGTATAGGGTGTGGGGTGTGTGTGTTTGTGCTGTGGATGTGTGGTGTATGGGGCATGTTGTGTGTTTATGATGTATGTGGGATGTGTGTATAGTATAGGGTGTATGTGTGGTGCATGGGGTGTATGTGGTGTGTGGGTGTGTGTGTAGTGTGGGGTATGGGATATGTTGTGTGTTTGTGGTGTATGTGGGGGTGTGTGTATAGTATGGGATGTGTGTGGTATGTGGATGTGCATGGGGTGTGTGTGTATAGTATGGGGTGTGTGTGGTATGTGGATGTGCGTGGGGTGTGTGTGTAGTATATGGGTATGTGTGAGTAGTGTGGGGTGTGGGATGTGTGGTGTGTGGTGTGTAGGGGTGTGTGTGTATGATGTGTGGGGTGTGTGGGTATATGTGTATAGTGTGGGGTGTGGGGTGTGTGGTAGGTTTGTGGTGTGTGTGTGTGTATAGTATGGGGTGTGTGTGTGTGATATGTGTGTGGGGTGTGGTGTGTGTGATGTGAGGCCTGTGCTGTATTTGAGGTGTGTGTGTGGAGGGGTGTATAGTATGGGGTGTGTGTGGTTCGTGGGGTGTGTGTGGTAGGTGGGTATGTGTGTGTAGTGTGGGGTGTGGAGTGTGTGGTGTGTTTGTGATGTGTGTGGGGAGGTATGTATAGTATGGAGTGTGTGTGGTGTGTGACGTGTGGGGTGTGTGTGGTGTGTGGGTGTGTGGGGGGTGTGGGGCATGTGTATAGTATGGGTTGTGTGTATGGTGTGTGATGTGTGGGGTGTGTGTGGTGTATGCATAGTG